>NC_000004.12:175796381-176421381 GCF_000001405.40 Homo sapiens | reverse complement strand
TTTTAGTAAGTTTCAAATTTAAGTGGTATAACTCTTCCACCATTTTTCTTCTTTTTAACAATTGTTTTGGCTATGCTAGCTCCATTGAATTTCCATACTACACATCTATTTCATGCTAGATATTTTCCCACAGGTCTCTGAGGGTCTGTTTATTTTTCTGCAATCTTCTCTCTCTGTGTTCTTCCGACTAGATCATTTCTATTGATCTATTTTCAAGTTTCCTGATTCTTCGATCTGTCCTCTTCAATTTTCACTTATGTACCCTAGTGAAATTTCCATATATAAATTTTTACATATACATACAAATGCATATAATCACTTACTGTGTGTTTTACCCAGCCTACTTTTCACTTTTTATATTTCTTCTCACTATCATTATTCCATATATTCATCTTTAGGTAGTAGTTTTTTTCTCACTTTTTTCATAATCTCCATTGTCTTTGAAATAACAAACTTCTCTTTTATAATACTTTAAGCTTCCTTTCTGAGATTCTTTCCAAATAAACATTTCTTTTGCTTTTATTGCTTAGATGTATACAGCATGATTGCTTTGATATATTTATGCATAGTGAAATTGTTATTATGATCAAGTAAATTAACAAATATTCAGCATCTACCACAATTTCTCTATTCCCCCATCGTCTGTTGACAGACACTAAGGTTGTTTCTATGTCTTGGCTATTGTGAATAATGCCACAATGAACATGGGAGTGCAGGGACCTCTAGAAGGTGCTGATACTACCAGAAAAGGGCTTGCTGTGTCATACAGTAGTTCTATTTTTCATTTTTCAATCTTCTTCCGTACTGTTTTCTGTAATGGCTGTACCAGTTTACATTAAAACAGTATAATACTAACATAAAACAGTTACATAGACCAATGAAATAGAAAAAGCAGCCCAGAAATAAACCCAAGCACATAGGGCCAATTAATTTTTGAGAAGGACAGCAAGAAGATACATGGGGAAAAGACAGTCTCCTCAATGAATGATGGGGAAACTGGATTTCCATGTGCAAAAGAAAGAAATTGGACCCTTATCTTACATCATACACAAAAATCAGCTCAAAGGCCTAAACACAAGGACTAAGCCCACAACATTTATAGAATAATCCACAGGGGACGAGCTTCTCGACATTAGTATTGGCAAGGATATTTTTTGGATATTACACCAAAAGCTCAAGCAACCAAAGTAAACATAAACAATTTGGACGACATCAACCTAAAAAGCTTCTGCACAGCAAAGGAAACAATCAACAAAGTGAAAAGGTGACCTACAGATTTGGAGAAAATATTTGCAAACCATATTTCTCATCAACAGTTAGCATAGAAATGTATAAGAAGTTCATGCAACTCAATAACAACAACAAAAATAACCTGATTGAAAAATGGGCCGAGGACTTGAATCAACATTGTTTCCTCTGCACTTCCTGATGGACACTTCAGATTTCCAAAGCTGCCAAATAAATCTCATCTATCTCGGGAAATAAGCTTACATTTTTGCCATTAGTAAGGTTTATTAAAGTATAATACATCAAACTGATGGGGGTCACTAAACATTTTCTAAGGTCTGTAAATGCATTGTTGCCTAATGACTATTTCCACAACTAACAAAAGAACACACAATATGAAATATAATCCTTAATGTTAAAGTAAAAGCAATTTACTATCAATAAGACCACATTTGCTTTGCAATGAGTAAGGAGTTGAGCACTGATAGAAATTTTCAAATGATCTTAATTTGGGACTTAATTTTGTGCACTTCTAGACTCTTGGCACAATGATTCTGTATTGATTCTTCATTGGGAAGCTACTCCCTTTGAGCTACTGAGATTCACTGCTGTCTGACCAGCATATGCTAAAAGAGCATTTTCAGATAAGTTTATAGTGAGTGTAATAAAGACATTCTGATGATATCCACATTTTTCTTATTACTTTGAAATAGATTATCTAATTTTGAGATACATGAGTCTAAAAAGCTAATTTATCAAAATTAATATATTTTCCCTTTCTCTATTAACAGCACTTAAAATTCTCACATCTCTCTTTCATTTACTTAAATATTTTCTCAAATTTTCTGTCTTGATGACCAACAATATTTTCTATTTGATGTTTTTGAAATAGGTAATCATTTTTTAACGCTAAAAAATTTAATCATGTAGTATTCCTTTAAAGCTCATTTGCCAATTGTGGAATTGAGTTGTTAGACTGGAAGAAAATATGAAATGCCAGAATTTCTGCAGCCTACCTCCCAAAACATTCATTAGCTAGCACTTTAACTGTACCTGCTCAGATCCTTCTGCAAGTCACAGCTGAATGAATAAGGTTGTCCAATTAAACATCTTTATATCCTACGAAAAACACAACAAAACACAGTTTTATACCACTCAGTAACTCTTGCACTCAGACACAGGCACTCTAACTTTCATTTTGTATTGCTGAAGTTTGTATGTCTAAAAATCAAACTGTCAGGGAGGTGCTACACGGAGAACCAGAGAAGCAGTCTGACCCTGAGGAAGCATACCAGGACTCACGTGAAGAAAAGCTGACAGACTGTAAGAAAAGCAAGCCTAACAAGCAAGCGAACAGACAAGCAGAGTGTTTTTGAAGACTTGCAAAAGGAGTGCATTTGAATAGTAGTCAAAATGGACATATTTAACTATAGCTAAAAATAAGTGAATCATGAGTTCATTAGAAATGTGCTTCTTAGTCTATAGTCATATTTAGACAATATCAAATCAATAAAACAGTAGCAACAGCATAGTTTGTGAGAGTCTAAAATTCCTTTATAAATATGGAGAAGGAAAATAGTATAGGAAAATTTTTAGGGGACCGGGTGCGGTGGCTCACACCTGTAACCCCAGCACTTTGGGAGGCCGAGGGGGCAGATCACCTGAGGTCAGGAGTTCAAGACCAGCCTGGCCGACATGGTGAAACCTCATCGCTACTAAAAATACAAAAATTAGCCAAGCATGGTGGCAGGTGCCCATAATTCCAGCTACTATGTAGGCTGAGGTAGGAGAATTGCTTGAACCCAGGAGGCAGAGGTTGCAGTTAATCGAGATCATGCCACTGCACTCCAGCCTGGGTGACAGAGTGAGATGCCATCTCATTAAAAAAAAGAAAAAAAGAAAAAAATTTTAGAGGACAATATTATCAACAAAACCAGGTGACAAAATATCCCCCTCAAACCCCAGAATATGCATAAATAGAATCAGGCTGGGGCTATAGGCTATATGATCAGCAGCTATGCAGAAATAGAAAAATGAAAAGAAATTCAATATTTCAGAAGAAAGGAGTTCTGATGATCCTCTGAGACAGAGTTCAAAAATTGCTTTAAAATATTCATCTCTAAAAGGAAAGGACCACAATCTGAGTCAGAATTTCAGCAAGCAGATTATAGAACCAAATGGTGAAAGTGGTAGAAATCTGCACCGACTCCAAATTATGGATGAGTACAAGATCGCAAGATCTCAGAAAGGAAAAGGCTACAGCAAGATCAGAGGATGCCCAAATTCTCAGTAATTAGAAACATACGAGAAAATTATCCTTTCATTAAGACAGTGCCCCTTCTAAGGAAATATTGCTGAAAATGGAATCCAAATTGGGCAAGCAAGAACGCTGGCAGTACAGAAGAGAAAAGGCTTACACACTAGTGAGGGGGAGTTCAGAGGAAGTTGACCTCAGAATGCTTTTTTAGAGGTAGTTACAAAGACTGACATTATTATTCATACTTCATAGGACCCATGATGAGGGAAATTTCGAACACTGAAGGTCAAAATGCATACTGGTTCACTCACAACCATAAATACTAATGCTTCTTTCTAAATATACAGGAAAACCCATCTTATTTAAACACGAGCAACAGAAAATGTTTGTAATTGATTGCTATTCAATGAGAGGGTAAAAATAAATACTCAACCTACCAACAAAGGATGACCCCAGAAAAATGTATAACTTAGTATTTCAAAATTGGCTCAAAGGAGCTAAGAAATTACAGAAGCTACAAATGAACAGTATGAAGCACAAAAAAGGAAATTCCAAAAATAATAGAACTAGACAAAGGGAGGATATTAAAGAATAGTGGAGAGAGATCAGGAAAGGAATAAAATCACAAATAAAAGCTAGACTAGGCCAGGAGTAGTGTGGCTCACGCCTGTAATCCCAGCACTTTGGGAGGCCGAGGCAGGTGGATCACAAAGTCAGAAGTTCAAGACCAGCCTGACCAAGATGGTGAAACCACGTCTGTACTAAAAATACAAAAACTAGCTGGATGTGGTGGTGAGCGCCTGTAATCCCAGCTACTCGGGAGGCTGAGGCACAGAATTGCTTGAACCCAGGAGGCGGAGGTTGCAGTGAGCCGAGATTGCGCCACTGCACTCCACCCTGGGCAACAGAGCAAGACTCATTCTCAAAAAGAAAAAAAAAAGACTAGGAGAAACACAAAAACCGAGAAACACTAGAGAGAACACAGTAAGAAAAATGAAACGTAAATAGGAACACATTTTTAAAAAATCAAAAGTATAAGGAAAAACATAGGACAGGGTTTGTTCAGAAAAAGGTAAATATGGAAGAGAGGCCATGAAGAGACAACATATGTGTAAAAGAAAACTGAAGAATAAAGACGAAGTGCAATAAAGTGAGAAAAGGACACTCTAACCTGGGAAAATCAACTCAGAATCATCAACACCAAGACATTTCAAGTAAATTAATTCAACTTCAGAGAAAGAGAAAGAATCCTTTAGACATCCAAATAAAAAGAACATTAACTTGTAAAAAGAAAATCAGAATAGCCTCACACTGTTTGATATGAACACTTTGTACCAAATGACAATCAAGAAGCATTTTTAAATTCTCAAGGGAAAAAAAAAAACCCAAAAACATGGACTTATGATTTTGTAAAAAGCTAACTGATCTTCAATTCTAAATGCCAAAGAAAAATCGTTATAAACGTGCAATAAATTATGGTATATGCACACAATGCTATTAACAGCAGTAACCAGCAACAACACAGATAAATCTTAGAACATAAGACGGAGTGGAAAAAGCAAATTGCAATATACTTTAGAAAGTCTGAATCCAGATTTATAAAGCTCAAGAATAAGCAAAACTAAAATATGTTGTGTAGGGATACACATATGTGATAAAGCTACCAAAAGCAACAACAACGAAAATAAGAGAAGAGGAAAAAAACAGTGGTTTCTTCCTATGGGGATGGAGAAAGATGACACAGCAGTGGGGTGGCCAAGTTCTAGCTCTTCACAGCTGGCCATTTTGTTATTGTTTTTGAGGGTTATTGTTCTTTATAGTCTTCCTAAGAAATATGTAGAAAACAAGCCTTATATGGGCAATAAATAACTATAAAAAATACATCATAGACCAGGCATGATGGATCATGCCTGTAATCCCAGTGCTTTGGGAGGCCAAAGCAGGTGGATCACCTGAGGTCAGGAGTTTGAGGCCAGCCTGCCCGACATGGCAAAACCTCGTCTCTACTAAAAATACAAAAATTAGCCAGGCATGGTGGTGTGCACCTGTAATCCCAGCTACTCGGAAGGCTGAGGCAGGAGAATTGCTTGAACCTGGGAGGCGGAGGTTGCAGTGAGCTGAGATTGTGCCACTGCACTCCAGCCTGGATGACAGAGTGAGACTCCATCTCAAAACAAACAAACAAACAAACAAAAAGGATCATAAACACAGGTAGCCTTGAATATATGTAACTTCAGAACATAGATTAATTTGGGAGATAAGGGCAAAATATTATAAAATTGTACATGCTTTAACAGTGTATATACAATAAAACTAACAAAAATGGAACTCGTGGAGAATACGTAAAGGGTAGAATAAGCTTGGCAATTGCCTCATAAGAATTAGGAGAAATTTTTAAAAATCATATACAAATCAGATAATGGGAGGAAAGAAAAGAATGAGGAATAGGAAGTCACTGGGCATTATCAATATTGATTATTACAGGGAACCAGTAAAGAGTATCTAAAAGAGATGCAACTAAGGATATTATGTAAATGTGTTAGTATAAAAGTAACCATTAGGCAAAAAACCTCATAACTCCAAAATAAGTATAAAAAAGGTAAATTACAAAGAAAATAAACTTATGGTGAAAGGCTTTATATGTCTCTATATTTTACAACTAACATTTAGAAATGTAAACTAAAACCATATAACAAAACTAAGATCACAGATATAAGTTATATGATTGTATGATCTTATGACCAAGTTTTGTGAGCTGTCATGTTAATAACAATATGGTTCTCACTCCTCTATTAAATGAAGGTGAATTTCAGATTAGCCAACAATGTAAACTTCAACTCTATGTTCTTACAAAACAGATCCATAAAACAGAGACTGAGAAAGGCTAAAAATAAGAGGACAAAGATATACCTGGCAAAAAGCAAATAAAAAAATTAAAAAGCATTAATCAAATGAGGGAGTACCTATTTCAATGTTAAAGGTTGTAATTCATAATAATAATATAATAAAATGTAAGAATGAACCAAGAAAAAGAAAACTTAGAATTCAGGAAACAGGAGATCAAAGCCAGAAGAGAAGAGTATTGCCTGAGTAGCGGTGAAATAATGTCCCAGAATGACGGAGTTGCAGCAGACGTAAAAGGTAATGAGGGAAGATAGAGGAAGACAGAAAAAACATGAAACTGGTACCTACCCTACCTCAATATACAGGATTATATTTGGAGGGAATTTATAATTTAAAGTATTTGGAAATATTTGGGAATACATACTTAGAAAAGTTAGCAAATGAAAAAATTAGGCAATGAACTCCTTGAGAAGAAAAATATATATACACACACACACACATATATATATATACACACAAGACTGAAAATGTGATCACAGTGCACTAGATGTCTCTCCTATGAAAAATATTGACAGTCACAGTAATGTGAAAATTTAATATTCATTCATCATAAACGGTACTGTAACTAAAACGAGAATATGGGCAGGTAGAAAATGTGAGTATGGCAGTGGGGAGTGAAAACATAAGGGACTGTATCATGTCACAGGAGAAAATCAACATATTGTATAAAATTGATTTTAAAAAGAAATAGCAGCTTAAGCATATGACTTAGAAAGTCAGTGAAGTACAATTTTACAGTTCTTTGGGGTTGACTTGTTCCAGCTTTATTCCAATCCCTGGAATAGTGACTAACAGAGAAGTCCCAGCCTGCATACAGCTAACTTTCTTGCGGGGCAGACAGGCAATAAATAAATAAAAATTAAATGTATAGAATGATAGTTTTATGTGTCAACATGGCTAGACTGTTAATTCAGTAATAGTCCCCAGGTATTGAATTAACCACTAATTATCGGTTTTGCTGTGCAGGTATTTCTTAGATGAACTAAAGTACATGTCAGTTGGCTAAGTGAGGAATGTCACCCTAGATAATCTGATTCAATCAGGTGAAAGGCCTTAAGAGCAGAACTGAGGCATCCCTGAGGAAGAAGAAATCCCCCTGTGGACTGCAGGCTTCAGCACCAGCCCCAGAGTAGCAACCTAACCTTCCTGGAGCCTTCCTGTGGACTTCTAGCCTGCTTGGCCATCCTCCCCAATCACATAAGACAACTCTGCAATAAATGTCAACATATATCTCCTAGTGGTTCAGTTTCTCAATTGAACCATGACTGACACATATAAGGATGCCAGATACAGATATAAAAGCAACGCTGGATAAGAGTGATAAGAATGTGTGTGGGGAGAGGATGCTGTTTTATATTGGGTGGTCAGGAAGGACTCACTGAAAGGATGCTTGGCTGATTGATGGCATCACTGCTCTCATTCTTCACTCCTCTTTTATCCAGGCCTTTTGCCATGGGACTTTGCATCACTTTTCACCAAAAGCAGGATCTATTTCTTTTCAACTGCTAAATCTAGACAGATTCAGAGGCATGTGAAATCGTGGCAGGACTTTCTCAAGCTTCTGTGTGAGCCTCATCTATCAATATCTCACTTCCCCAAAACAAGCTTTTTTACAGATGAGGCTCATGCAGAAGCTTGAGAAAATCATAAAGCTTTTTTGAGAAAGTCCTCCCACAATTTCACATGCGTCTTGTTCCTTGAACACAACCATAACAATATGCCAGGGCTAGCCTGCTGGAGGGTGAATGAGATGACAGCTCCAGTCATCCCTGCTGAGGTTATACTGGACCATCCAGTACCCAGCTGACCCTCAGATATATCAGTCTGGCCATTCAAGATCAGCAAGAGGTGACTTGCTGACCCACAGCTGAAGGTGGACACATGAGTGAGCCCATACATGACCAGCCAAGTCCTGCCCAGCTTAGCTGAAACTCATCACTAAATATTTATTGTTGGAGTGCCACTGATGTTTTGCCATTGCTTGCTCTGCAGCATTGTTGTAGCAATAGGTAACTGTATGGAATAGGCCTGAAAGAAGCAGAGGACCAGGCTATACTAAAGGAACAACACTGCTGCAGTGGAAAGGACAGGCTCAAATGCACTAAGGCAGGAGTATGCTTGGCATGCCTACGGGGCAGCAAATGGGCTTGTGTGGCAGGAGTACAAAGAGATGGAAGGGTATCAGGAGGCAAAATAAGTTGAGTGGCAGCAGATGAAACATGTAAGGCCTTGTAAACCACAATAAGGATGGAGTGACACAGGAACTCAATGGATGCTTTCAAACCAATTAGTATAAGGACTCTTGAACATGCACATTGGCTGCTGTATGAAGAATGAGCTCCAGGGAGGCAACTGCAAAGTAGGAAGGCTGTTCCATCCTCCAGTAAAAGTTCTCAGTGAAAATGGAAAGTGATTGTTGCTTTGATCAGGTTACAGCAGAAGAGGTGGTAAGAAGTGTTGAGATTCTGCATATTTTGTTAATAGAATGCCAAAAGGATTTTTAGATGGATGGGATATGAAAGAAAGAAAAACATTAAAGGATGATTCCAAAGCTTTGGTTTGAGCAATTGAAGAACAGAGTTGCCATTTATTTAGTTGAGGAAAAATTTTGGAGGAGCAGGTTTGGGGATAGGTAGCAGGAGTTGAGTTTTGAACATGTTAATTTTGAAATGGCACTAGGTACACAAGTGAAGATGTTGTGTGATCAATTATAGAGATAGAGACAGAAATATGAATCTGGGAATCACTTATAAGAGACATATAGCACAAAATTGAAATCCCAGAGGGAATTTCTAGCAAAACATAAATGATCCAAATTGAACCAAGAAAAATAATGCAAGACTTTAATACACCAATTAAAAAAGAAAAGTTTGGAGAGTGATTAAAGACCTACCATTGAAAAAGGCACACAGACCAATGGTTTCAGCAGCCAAGCTAACCAAGTGTGCTGCAGAATACCATAAGAAACAGTTTAGAGAATTGAAAGTGACCTTCTCTGGAAAGTGGAAATTAGGGGTTGGTAGAATTGAGACAGGGAGCTGCTGTTTTTCCTTTTAAAATTTGTACTTCTGTATAACGATTTAAATTGCATATGGGTATTGTATTGACTAAACTTATTGAAATAATATGGCAGGGAGACACAAAAGTAGAACCAGTGGTTGTAGACAAATCTTCCCAGATATTTGGTTATGTGTAGGGAGCAGAGGAATGGGCCAGTGTTATGGTTAGGTAGTGGGAAGTAGAAGGGCTATGAAAGTTTAAACGTGGGTTCCCATAGAGATGAAATGACCAAACAAAGTCAGATGAATGATAGAGTGAGGAAGAACTGAAAGAACATAGCTTTCCCCAGGTGAGAATGGTTACAATACAGAATACAAATGAAAGGACTGTTCATGGCCGGGCTCAGTGGTAATCCCAGCACTTTGGGAGGCCGAGGCGGGCGGATCACGAGGTCAGGAGATCGAGACCATCCTGGCTAACATGGTGAAAACCCGTCTCTACTAAAAAAAAAACAAAAAAAAAATACAAAAAATTAGTCCGGCGTGGTGGCGGGAGCCTGTAGTCCCAGCTACTCGGGAGGTTGAGGCAGGAGAATGGTGTGAACCCGGGAGGCGGAGGTTGCGGTGAGCCGAGATCGCGCCACTGCACTCCAGCCTGGGTGACAGAGCGAGACTCCGTCTCAAAAAAAAAAAAAGGAAAGAAAGAAAGGACTGTTCTTTGTTAAAAGAAGGTGTCTTAGTCAGTTCAGGCTGTATAACATGCTACCATAGACTAGTGGCTTATCGACAGCAGAAAGTGATTTCTCACTGTTCTGGAAGCTGGAAGTTCAAGATCCCCGAGGGTATCAGCATCATCTGGTTCTGGCGAGGGCCCTCTGCCTGGTTGAAGACTACCATCTTGTATTGTATTCTCACACAGCTGAAAAAGAGCTAGCTAGCTCTCCCGTCTCTAAAAGGCACTAATCTCATTCACAAACTCCAACCCATTCACAAACTCCAATCATGACTTAGTTACCTCCCGAAGACTCCACGTCCTAACACCACCACCGTGGAATGAGGGTGCCAACATGAACGGTGAGCAGTTACAGTCAGTCCATGACAGCGGGATTGTTGCCTTTGCTTGAAGGGAAGAGAAGGAAAATGGATCCTGTTGCTGAGAGGTTTGTGGATTTGGTGACAGAAACGGAGAGGGAATTGCCGCCGAATGGTTTCTGGTTTGGGAGTATTTCTAACACTTTTCTTTTTTCTAACACTGTTTGGGTTTCAGTGAAGTAGGAAAGGAGGTTTTTTGATGAAAACAGGAGTTAGAGAAGGTTCCAAGAGAGGAAAGCGTACATGAAAAGTCATCTTTGGTATAGAGGGAAGAGAGTATGAGAGAGATACAAATCAGCAAACAATGTTTTGCTGCAGTGTTGAGGGCTCTTCGAAATTTGTGTTTATGAATTTAAAAGATCTCCATAGAATCGCACCCACCTGGGCATTGCATCCATCAGGAGTGGCTGTGGGTGTCATCAGTGACCCACACGAGGAGCAGGGGAGCAGGCTGGAGTATAGGGAAGAAAGTGAGATGCCCTTGAGTGATTTCCTGGACTATTTTGGAGAGGTAAGAAGGAGACGTCTACAAATTTTGCAGGTTGGAATTGAACTGAAGAGAATATTTTACTATTGAAACCCTGTTATTCCACAAGCTGGGATGGAGTTGAGAAGAGGGGGTGGGAGTACATCACCTTATTTGATATTTGACAGTGTGAAGAATGTGTAACTATTGGGATTATTCCCATTTTACAGTTGAGAAGATGAATCATTGGAAAGTGAGTTGTGAGGACAGAATTGGAATATGGAACTTCTATCTTCTGTTAAGAAAGCAAAATTTGACCTCTGCCTTGTTAGGATTTTTGGTTGGGCCTAAGAATTACATTGACATAAGATACATTAACAAGAGAAAGCATACAAATTTGTAAAAGTTTCATGTGACATGGGAGACTTTATAAGGAAATAAGGACCTGAAGAAGTGGCAAAATCTAAATGCTTTTATACTAGGTTGAACAAAGGGAGGCATTTGTGGAAAAGCAACCACATTTTGTAGGGAAGCTAATGGAAGATAATAATTCTTTTAAAAAGGTCTGTCTGTACAGACCTCTCCTACAGAATTCTCTCGGCTATGACTCCCTGTTGAAGAATGTGGGTTTTTTTTTCTTTTTTCTTTTTTCTTTTTTTCTCTGGGGCTGGGAGGGCATCTCTCACATGGGAATTTTCATCTCCTGTCTCCAAGAAGAAAAAGGGGAGAATAGAGTATCCCTCTTGTATCTGTTGTTTTTAAATGCCTTTAGCTCAAAATTGCCCCTCTGCCAAAGTGGCCTATTTTGGAATGTTCTGCCACACTCCATTTCCAATTTTTCTTTTCATTTTGCTTTACTGTACTGTCATATTGTCTCAAATCTAGTAGGGAGATATTTGAAATGGATTCTTATTTTAGCTCATGCTGTACTTTTCGCACATAAAATCTGAATGTCTGCCATCTTTACCAAAGAAGAGACAATCTATGGCACTGATTTTAGATTCTCCAACATCAATTAAAGGCAATTTGGAAAATTCTGTGTCCCCTATAAGAGACCAAGAGTTATATTATTCAGCTTCACCCACTTAGAAGTGAAAGGCCTTGGAAAGAAAAGGCAGTTATTTTTTAAATCATAAATTTTTCCAAATCTGAATTCTAAAAAACTTTTTTAACTTAGACAATTTTCCTTCCTGGCTCCACCTTCAATGAAATCCTGCCAGTTTTTACACTAAGGACAATCCATTGAAGTGTGATTCTTGAAAAAGTTGACATATTCCAGGAGAATGAGCAGCTCATTTTTATCAATACTTAAATATTTAATTCAATACCACAAAGCCCTAAAGGGTTGTTGCAGGAAGATATTAAAACCTGAAACCCAAAATTTGCTTTGCATATTACTCAGCCACTGAAAAACAATTCTCAATAAACTCTAAGGATACTTAAATTAACAATTACTTATCAATTCTGGTAATTGGACACCCGATCCTACTTATGCTGCTGGCATTCCTGACAGATCGGAGCTGCCACTCACCGTCTTTTTCTGAAATCTTACTCTACAGCTAAAAAGCATGGTATTTCTCATAAAGACCTTTTAAAACTCTCTCAGAAAGTAGCTATCAGCAGAAACATTCGTTAAATTTGGTTGTCCATTTTCCTGTCACTTATCCAGGAAGATTATTTTAACTCTCAGATTTTCAGCCTAACAGAAAATGGCTGACTATACTGTGGTCCCAGAGGAAATTTCTTCTGGAAGAAATAGAAGGCGAACTCTAATGTCAGAGCAGACATTACCCTCAGCAGTGGGTGAACAACACCAGTAGGGCTTCAACTCTTGAAATCCAGAATCAGTTCTTGAAACCCAAAATGGATGAATACAGTCTTACATCTTTATTTTTCAACTTAAGTGTCACTGTAAGCCAATCATTTACAGTTTCTTGGAAAATAACTTTGGCCTAGTTAAATAAATTATTTCTTTTAAAAAATGTATAAGGTTTTGTAGGGCCAGTCCTTTAAAGCACGTTAACATGCTTCATACTAAAATATCTTTAACTGCATCCTCTTCAAGTTTACCTATAATCACAGTACATTTAAATTGCTAGAAAATCCTTATAAGTATTTACATATGTCAACCTAATGTTATTTTTATCTCTGTTATGTGTGAAGAATTTTCTGTTAGGGAGCAAGATGAGAAGCAAAGATAATAAGAAACAATAGCAAAAGTCCAAGTAAGAACATGTGAGTTGGGAAAGAGTCACAGTAGTGTAATAAGTGGTGGTCAGACTCTTCTAGACATATGTCAAAGGAAAAGCTATCAGAGTTTACGGATGTTTTCCTGTGAAGAGTGAGAGGAGTCAAAGATAACTCTGAGAATTTTTACCTGAGAAACTAGAGGATGAATGGGCCTTTCAATAAGATGTCGAGAGGGTGAGTGTATCAGATTGATGTAAGTGGGGGTGTGTGTGCAGACTGAGCTTGTTTGGGACATGTTAAATTTACAAAGCTTATTAAATATCCAGATGGATGTCAACTAAGAACTTGGATGTGTAAGGTCTGAGTTCAGCAGAGGCTGGAAGTATCAACTTGGCCATTAAATGATGAGTCCACCTAGGAAGTAGGGGAAGCTAGAGAAGAGATACAAGGGTTACCTCCTGTGGTTTCCACAAATGTTGGGAAGGTGAGGAGAAGAGCAAAAGAGACTGAAAAGAGGAATTCAAGGAGCAGTAGGAGGACAGAGAAAGAAGTGTTCTGGAAGCCAGGTAAAGAAAATGTTTTAAAAAGCGCACGCACTATGTCAAATGCTGCTTGTAGGCTGCGGTACATGACAACAAAAATGAAAATATTGACCAGGGAGCTGGTCATGCAAATGCAACTCTTAAACTATTATGAGCTGTTTCAGTGCAGTGATCAAGACAAGAACTTTATTGGGGCTGCTCCAAGAGGAAAGAGGAGTAAAGGAAGTGGATAGCCTGGGTATAGTTAACACTCTTGAGGAGATTGCTGCAAAGAGATCAGAGAATTGGGGCAGTAAGTATAAGGGCTCTTGGTATCATCAGAGGGTAATTTTAAGATGGAAGCAATTCTAATGTTGTTGTATAGCAAAAAATGTTAATGCAGGAATGATAGGGAGAAATTTAAAGAAAGCGATTCTAGAGCAGATGATAGAGATGGGACACAATGCATAAGAAGGGTGGAGTTGGCCAAGCCGACAGACAGTTCAATCATGGTAATAAGAAAGAAGATGATAAGGTGCTGATAGAGATAGATTGGCAGATGTGGTGGTGAGAACATGTGAAAGATCTCTTCTGATTGCTTCAAATTCCTCAGAAAAATAGGGAGCAAGGTCATCAGTAGAGACTAATTGGGGAAGTTTTGGAAAGATAAGTTATGGACTAACGGCCTAACATAATAAGGGAACAGAGAATTAAGGAAATGTAATATTTTTCCTGGCAATATCGAGTTGACTTAAGATTAGTCACAATTCATATATTTTTTAAAGCAGTCATGATTGTGTACTTTCTTCCAACCACAGTCAGATTCCTAGGTCCAAGCTACAGGAAGATTTAAGAAAGCATTGAGGGTTTTCTGGGAGAGCATTATAGAGGTGGTAGAGTCAGTGAATTGGAGATGCATATGAGACTGAGTTGTTTGTGTCTTAGACATTTAGAGGAAATAAATAGGAAAGATAAGATACAGTTTTCATAGAATGGGATACTTGTAGTAGAGATTAAGACAGGTGATAAAGATGTTGGTAATAACAAATTCTGTGCTGTGACCATGTGTGTGGGTGACTGAGAAATGACGGAGAAACAGATTGTTGAAGATCGAGGAACTGAGAGTCTATGTCTCTCCAGTGATATCTAGGGCAGTGCCACGGCTGGCAGACAGGAGATGTCACCAGGAGTAAGGAAAATCTGTGGAATTCTTCATCTGTCCTACTAATCATATGAGGCCCTGCAGAGAGAGTTGCTGTCATGTCAATAGCAGATTCAGACACATGGAACCCTGTGGATAGCTCCCGACAGCTGCAGCAATGGGAGTAAATCTATAGTTAAAATGGAAAAATACACTGTATCCTAGCTATACAACTCTGTACCTTAAGATGGCCCAAAAAATTCTCTCCTCTGACACATTTGGTGGCCTTTCTCTGGGAAAAGCCATGGTATGCATTATGGTCATCAAAGACACACAATAATGTCAGAAGAGGGTCAACATTGCCTCTACTTCCTGATACCTTATTTCCCTTGCCCGCTTTAGAACAATAAAGTCAGTCTGGATGTTCCTGCAGTACTGCAGCCTTCATTTCCAGAATTACACACAGAGCTAGGTTGAAATGTGAGGGAAAAGCAGGAAATGGACTGCTCAGAAAAAAGTATACTCTATACGTTAGGGAATAGGAGAAAAAGTTTCTCCTGTGCAGCCTACCTCCTGGGGTAGGTAACCTAGTTAAAAGTTAGAACTGAAATCATTTTGGATGTCTTTTAGACGCTCCTGTCTTTATTTAACATGATGCCATAAGTTGTTTTGTTAAGGCAAAATAACTTGGAAATAAATCATTTTAATTATTATGGTATGTCATAATTTGGTCCTACTACAACAGACATAATCAATTCTCTTATCATAAACTACTGAAGTTTAATTTCATTATTATAAATGACACTGAAGAGAGAAACATATTTACATCAGTAGGCATCTATCG
The DNA here is from genome assembly GCF_000001405.40 of Homo sapiens. NCBI lineage: Eukaryota > Metazoa > Chordata > Mammalia > Primates > Hominidae > Homo > Homo sapiens. Next base: position 176,405,740 of record NC_000004.12, on the reverse strand, counting down.
CTCATCATTTGTGTTGGATCAATTCTGGAAGGAAAGAATATTAACCATTTTAATGAGCTTTTTCTCTCTAACACACACACACACACACACACACACACAGAGAGAGAGAGAGAGGGACTCAAATTTGCTCTCCAATCAGACTATGGCGTTAACAGTATTTCATCAGAAATATATAAGAAATATCTCTTCACTATTTTGATATACCTGTAACAACCCCAAATTTTAATTTAAAAGATATATTTTGGTTTTTAAGAGTGTAGAACTTCAATTTAAAAAAACAGGTATGGTGAGTGGGAAGTTAGTGGGTGTAATTATACATCCATTAGAAAGTAATGAAGTTATGTGAGAAAGCAAAATATTAGAGTTCATTTGGGTAAAGCTAAAAGAAGGGAGAAGCAGATGATAAAGCTGACACAGAATTAATATATAGCAGGGATGGGAAACTTCATCCCTTCAAAGAGCTAACAAAACTCATTAGCTTAAAGTAGAACACCTGTCAAGTTTTGACCTTGCCGATATTTTCACTGATCTGAAATTAGAAGCAGGGAAAAAGACTGTCACACCAGAATTAATTCCAATCAACAGGGAGGAATACATTGGCAATGAAAAAAACTATTGTCAGAAAAAAAATGAGTAAGTAATACTAGAAATGGAGAAAACTTCCTTTGTATAATTCTTTGAGACAGACTTTAAATACAAAGGCAAGGATTTCATTCTATTTTCTGGATCTCTCTTAACAAAGATGGATTAAGAGAGTTTGAAAGCTCTAAAAATGTAATTATCTAGGCAATAACTAATTATTCCAACGAGGTAGAAAAATGAAGGGCAAATTAAGAAATAAATGAGTTCCACAGAGTGTTCTCAGTGAATTTAGATGGTAATAGATGTGTACAACAGCAGGAAGAATGAGCACACAGCCAAGGACAGATGTAAGATGCTGGCTTGGATGAATCATGAAGGTGAAATCCATAAGTCAGCCGAGGGCTTACTAATAAACACTAAGGAAAAACCAAACAAAGAAACAAGAAAGGGAAAGGCCCCATTTGAGATGGATATTTGAATGTTAACAGACGGTGGGAAGAAATTAAAAACACTACACTAGATTTTTATTTTATTCGCCTGTTCTCTCACTTTGATAATGATATTCAGACTGAAAATAACAAAAAAATTAATTTATTCAAGCATACACGCTAAAACCATTAGGTTGAGAGATGTTGGAAAACAGGATATTTGCAAATTTCCAAGGGTTGACACAGGTTATTCACTAACCCAAAGGGGAAAACTACCTTTATATTTAAGAGATCTAGTATTCAGGCCTTAACAAAGAGACTGATTTTAGTATTGTGGGACATCCTGATATTATGTGTCTAATGATATGTTCAATATAAGGTATTCCTGTCAAAAATGTTTAACCTGAATCTAATTAAAGTTTTAGACCTAATTTTCAATTAACAGAAAGTACTAGGGTGAAATGCAAGAAGGCAGAATAGGAAGCTCTAGGGTCATACTCTCTACCAAAGAAACTGTTAAGCTGGAAAGGGCAATTGAAATCAATTAATTTGGAACACTAAAACCTAATTGGACATGTATGGCAACCAGGGGAGTGCTTGATAAAGGGAGAGGCTGCTACATTTTCTAAGTGAGCTACATATGCAAAACAATGATCACCTGCCCCATTCTTCAGCCCCATTACAGCTGCGGGGGTTGCAGCCCGTGTTCTTGAAGCAGATGTCTGGTACCAGGTGGGCAGTGGAGACTTTGGTCTCCAAAAATTTTATGTAATGTGATTGGTTGGTCTGGCAGTGCACCGAGAGACAGGCATACGTGCTTGCCTTGGTTTCAGTCCTTTCAGTAGCAAAGAGATTCCACTGAAAAAGTTAAAGCACAGAATGTTTTCCCCCTTTCTTTGAAGGCAGACATTTTAAAGAAATCTTTATCAGGTCACTGAATGACTGCGGAGATAATGGAACAGAAATTTCAGTAACCACACACAACAAAGAATAGATACTTTGCAAAAATAGTGTGGAAATGTCTCAGATGGATGGCTGTAGCCCTCAAAAAGCAAAAATCAGCAATCCCTGAGAAGTGGGAGAGTCAGATTTCCAGAGTCACCACATTATAATACTAAGAATGTCAGGTTCTCAATAAAAAAAACTAAAATATACAAAGAAACAGGAAAGGATAGCCTACTCATAGGAAAAAGAATTTGACAGGAGCCATCCCTGAAGAAGCCTGGATATTTGAATTACTAGCCAAAGATATTAAATCAACTGTTTTGAATATGTTCAATGAGCTAAAAGAAGCCATTGACAAAGAACTAAAAGAATTCAGGAAAACAAACAAAATGAGAATATTGGAACCCAGGAGTTTGAGAGCAGCCTGGGCAACATAGCAAGACCTCATTTCTTTTAAAAAAAAATCAATAAAGAGCTATAAATTCTATAAAGAAACAAATCAATAATTCTGGAGCTGAAAAGAACAATAACTTAAGAGAAAAGTTCACCGGGGCACCAGAGGATTCAACAGCAGATTTGAGCAGGCAGATAAACAAAATATGACATATGCATCTGTGCATGTGTGTGTGTCTACACACACGCATATACGCACACACACATTCAGTCATAAAAAGAATAGTTCTGATACATACTGGAAGACATACATACATCTGATATGTAACTGAAAGAACCTTGAAAAAGTATGCTAAGTAAAATAAGACAAACACAAAAGGACAAATGTTGCATGATTTCCCTTATAGGAGATGCCTAAAACAGGCAAATTCATAGAGACAGGAAGTAGAATACAGTTTGCGTATACCTTATCTGAAATGCTTGGGAATAGAAGTGCTTTGAATTTCAAATCATTTTGGATTTTGTAATATTTGCATGTATATAATGAGATATCTTGGGGATGGGACCCAAAATAAACACAACATTTATTTATGTTTCATATGCATCTTACAGACACAGAAGGTAATTTTATACAATATTTTTAATAATTGTATGCATGAAGCAACGTTGGTGTACATAAGGTCAGATGTGGAATTTTCCACTTGTGGCATCATGTCAGAGCTCAAAAAATTTTGGATTTTGGAGCATTTCAGATTTTAGATTTTCAAATTAGAGATGCTCAACTTGTAGAGGATACCAGGAGCTCTGGGGAGGGAGAAGTGGTAACTTATTACTTAAGTGGTATAGAGTTTCTGTTTGGAACGATGAAAAAGTTCTGAAAATAGTAGTGGTGATTGAGTAATAGTGTAAATGTACTTAATACCACTAAATTGCGTACTTTAAAATGGTTAAAATTGTAAGTGTTATGTATATTTTACCATAATAAAAAATAAAATTTAAAACATTTTTAAATTAATTTGATATTTTTGAAAATGAGCTATATGTTAGGTCATATTAAAATTAATGTTCTTAACTGTAACAATTATAATTTCATTAGGGAGAAAATCATTGGTGTGAAGAGTCATGAGATTTCAACTTTCAAATGGTTCAGGCAAAAATACATACATCAACAAACAGATAAAAAGATAAATCAAATATAGCAAATTATTAATAACCATGGAATACAAGTATTAGGTATATCTGAAAATGTTATATTAAAAGTTAGAAAAAATACTAACTGAAATCCAAAGTACATGAGATAGTATTATACAACTTAGATGTTAAAATTATCAAGCCTTCTCATTCTAATTAATTAGTTCCTAATATGTTCATGAAACAACTAGTGCTCTTTGAGGAATCAAGAAAAATACCAAGGAAAGATAGAAGTTAAAATATGTAGTTTCAATTGCCCAAAAGTGAGGGCGCAAGGGAGGAGTTAATGTCTGTAAACTATGTACTATCAAATTGACATGGATCTTGATCACTTCACAAAATGAGTGATAAAGGGTAAAACAGAAATACTTTAAAGAAGTGATGATAACCAAGACTCAACAGTTTCACTAAAAAGAGGTGTGTCAAATCAATCATTTCTGATTTTGACAGATTAATAGATTATGAAGTTGATTAAGAAAGTTCTGTAGATATACTATATCTGAATTTAAGTAGGGCATTTGATAAAGATTAATCATTCTAATTTTGTAGACCCTGGGTTGGTAAACTAAATCCAGCTGCCACTGTTTTTGAAAATAAAGTTTTAGTAGAATGCTCCCTGCTTCATTTATTTATGTATCATCTGTGTCTACTTTTGTGCTACAACACTAGAGTTTATCCCTAGTTGCAACAGAGACCAAAATATTTATCTTTGTTCCTTTACAGAAAAAGTTTGCTCATTTCTGTTGTAGCCAAGTGGGGAATTATAGACTATAGATAAAAATATAGTATATAATTAAGCATATCAATTATTAATTTACCATAATGGAGATAACATTATGAGATTAATAAGAACTTTAATGAAAAGATATTCAAGCATACCTCAGAGATATTGTGGGTTCAGTTCCAGATCACTGCAATAAAGTGAGTCACACAAATTTTTTGGTTTCCCAGTGCATATAAAAGTTGTGTTTACACTATATTGTCATCGACTAAGTATGAAATAGCATTATGTCTAAAAAATGTACATAACTTAATTTTTAAAAATGTTCTTCCTAAAAATTGCTAATGGACATGTGAGCCTTCAGTGGGTCCAAATCTTTTTGCTGATGGAGAGTCTTACCTTGAAGTTGATGGCTCCTGACTAACTACTGTGATAGTTGCTGAAGGCTGGGGTGGTTGTGGCAATTTCTTAAAATAAGACAATAAAGGTTGCTGCATCAACTGACTCATCTTTTCACAGAAGATTTTTCTTGTGGCATGTAATGCTGTTTGATAGCATTTTACCCACAGTAGAACTTCTTCAAAAGTGGAGGCCATCCTGTTAACCCTTGCTGCTGCTTCATTAACTAAGTATATGTAATATTCTAAATCCTTTGTTGTCATTTCAACAATTTTCACAGCATTTTCACCAGGAGTAAATTCCATCTTAAGAAACCACTTCCTTTGTTCATCCACAAGCAGCAATTGAGATTGCAGCAATTCAGTCACTTCTTCGGGTTCTACTTCTAATTCTAGTTCTCTTGCTATTTCCATCACATCTGCAGTTACTTCCTCCCTTGAAGTCTTAAAGTCCTCAAAGTCATCCATGAGGGTTGGAAACAACATCTTCCAAACTCCTGTTAATGTTGATATTTTGACCTCCTCCCATGAATCATGAATGTTCTTAATGACATGTAGAATGGTGAATCCTTTACAGAAGATTTTCGATTTACTTTACTAAGATCCATCAGAGGAATAATTATCTATGGCTGCTATAGTTTTGTGAAATATATCTCTTAAATAAGAAGACCTGAAAGTCAAAATTACTCCTTGATCCATAGGGCTGCAGAATGAATGTTGTTAGCAGACATGAAAACAACATTAATCTCGTATATCTCCTTCAGAGCTCTTGGGTGATCAGGTGCATTGTCAATGAATATATTTTGAAAGGAGTCTTTTATTCTGAGCAGTAGGTCTCAGCAGTGGGCTCAAAATATTCAGTCAATCATGCTGTAGTAAATGTGTTGTCACCCAGGCTTTGCTGTTCCATTCCTAGAGCACTGGCAGTTTATTTAGCGTGATTCTTTAGCATGATTCTCAAGGTCTCTAGGATTTTTGGAATGGTAAAGGAGCAGTGGCTTTAACTTCAAGTTAACAAAAGCCCCTAACTAGGCCCCTAACAAGAGTCAGCCTAGCCTTTGAAAATTTGAAGGCAGACATTGACTTTTCCTCTCTAGCTATGAAGGCCCTAGATGGCATCTTCTTCCAATAGAAGCCTGTTGTCCTACACTGAAAATCAGTTGTTTCACATGGCCACATTCATCAAATCTCTTAGCTAGATCTTCTGGATAACTTGCCATCAGCACTTGCCTCTTCACATTACACTGTTATGTTATGGCAATGGCTTCTTAAACTTCAAGAACCAACCTCTGTTAGCTTCACACTTTTCTTCCGCAGCTTCCTCACCTCTCCCAGGCTTCACAGAATTGAACAGAGTTAGGGCCTTGCTCTGGATTAGGCTCTGACTTAAGGAAATGTGGTGGCTGGTTTGATATTCTATCCAGACCACTAAATTATTTTCCATGTCAGTAATAAAGTGGTTTCACTTTCTTATCATTCATGGCTTCACTGGAGTAGCACTTTCTATTTTCTTCAATAACTTTTCCTTTGCATTCATAACTTGGCTATCTGTTTTGCACAAGAGGTCTACCTTTCAGCCTCTTTTGGCTTTGGACCTGCCTTTCTAAGATTAATTATTTCTAGCTTTAGATTTAAAGTGAGAGTGGTGTGACTCTTCCTTTCATTTGAACACTTAGAGGCCAATGTAGGGTTATTAGCTGGCTTATGTTCAATATTGTTTTTCAGAGAAGGCCCAAAGAGAGACTGGGGAATGGGTGGTCAATGGAGCAGTCAGAACACACATAACATTTGTGGATTAAGTTCATCATTTTATGTAAGTGTGGTTCATGGCACGCAAAACAATTACATTAGTAACAACAAAGATCACTGATCACAGATGACCATAGCAGATATAATAATAATGAATCATCAAATGTGACACAGAGACACAAAGTGAGCACATGCTGTTGGAAAAATGGCACCGATAGACTTGGCTTCACGCAAGGTTGCCACAAGCCTTCAATTTGTAAAAAGTATATTGTGAAAGGCAATAAAGCAAAGCACAATGAAATGAGATATGCCTGTAGTTTATGTAATGGAAATCAGTGTTTACTGTGGTCCAATATGATGTGTTCATCAATTATTTCAGAAGATGTATTATAGTTGAAATATTTATTAAAATTGCAATTATGATGAATTTGGAAGTGATAAATATAAACTGGCGCCGAAAATATGAAAAGAGGCTGGGTGCAGTGGCTCATGCCTATAATCCAAGCACTTTGGGAAGCCGAGGAGGGTGGATCACCTGAGGTCAGTAGCTCGAGACCAGCCTCAGCCTGGCCAGCATGGTGAAACCCTGTCTTTACTAAAAATACAAAAATTAGCTGGGCGTGGTGGTGGGCGCCTGTAACTCAAGCTACTTGGGAAGCTGAGGCAAGACAATCGCTTGAACCCAGGAGGCGGAGTTTGCAGTGAGCTGAGATCGTGCCACTGCACTCCAGCCTGGGTGACAGAGACTCCATCTCAAATAAAAAGAAAATATGAAAAGAGATGGACAAACTCATTAATAATTAAAACATGCAAATTAAAATCTGAGATATTTTACAATCACAGATTGGCCAAATTTAAAAGCCTGAAAATACTAAATACTGACAAGGAGGTAAAGCAATAGAAACTCATAAGCTGAAGTGAATGTTTAGATTGGTACAAACACTTTGGCAAACAATTTTTCTCTAGCAAAATTGAAGATGTACATGCCCTAACTGGCAATGATTCCACTCCTTAGAGAACGTTACATAAATTTGTAACCAAATGTGTCCAGAAATATTTACAGTAACATTGTTCATAAGAGTTCAGAGAATAGAAGGAAGTGAAGGACAGAGTCCTAGGACACTCTAGCATTTAGAAATCCAACAGAAGCAGAGATACCAGCTAAAGAATCCAAAAAGGAGTATTGCATGAATTTAAAAAAAAAAAAGTAAAAAGAGTCATGGAAGAAGCAAAGAATTTCAAGTAGGAGAGCGGAGAACAATTGTTTCAAAAACTTCTGAAAAGGCTGGTAAGATGAAAATAAGAGTCAAATTAATAAAGATTTCCAAGATGGTGGTCATTGGTGACCTTAATATAAACCATTTCTCCAGAGTGGTAAGATCAATTGTCCAAGAGTAATGGGTTGAAGTGAGATGAGAAAGGAAAAGAGGAGAAGTAGAGATAAATATAAATAACTCCTTTAAAGCATTGACCTAAAAACAAAAGGATTTGGGGAAGAACTATTTTTAGTATTGGTTTTTTTGGTGAGTGTACTTGAGGAATGTTAACATGCTAATGGAAATGATTCATTAGAGACAGAGAAATCAATGCTGTCAATTAGAAAGGGAATGAGTATAGGAACAAAGTCCATATAAGCCAAGAAGGAATGGGATGCAGAATGTAAAAGGAGAATTTAATATAAATACCAATTGTACCAAGAAGGAAGGCAGAGCATGAGGGAAAGGACAAATGTATGTTGGTGGGTTTAGTAATGGGAAGATAAGAGTTTTAAATCGTATTTATTTTTTAAGTAAGCATGAAACTAAGTCCTTAGTTTAAAATGGGGAAAGAGGATAAAAGTAATGGAATGTGAGAGGGAAACTAAAGAAGTTGTCAAATAATTGTCTCAGAGAGCAGGAAAGTTAATTTAATAGATAAATATAATGGCCTTGTTGGGTGCTTATTTGAAATTTTTGTTCACATATTTAAATTAAGATGTGGGCATGCAGATGTATAATTCCCTTCCATCCCTTCACTCAACACATAACTACTGATAATCTTCTCCTATGTTTCAGGCACTGTAAATAAAGCAGTAAAGAAAACCGAAAATATTCCTTGTTCTTATGGAGTTTTCATTACAGTGGGAAAAGGAAAAAAACAGGCAAAATAAATAAGTAAACAATACATATGTAACAAGTGTTTAAGTAATAAGGAAAAAAGGGTTTCGGGTTGGAGATAACGAATATAACTATGAGTAAGGTGAGCAGCTCAAGCCTCACTTAGAAGATGTGATGTGACCGAGGTGGGCGGATCACGAGGTCAGGAGATCGAGACCATCCTGGCCAACATGGTGAAACCCCGTCTCTACTAAAAATACAAAAATTATCTGGGTATAGTGGTGTGTGCTGTAATCCCAGCTACTTGGGAGGCTGAGGAAGGAGAATCGCTTGAGCCCAGGAGGCAGAGGTTGCAGTAAGCCAAGATGGCGCCACTGCACTCCAGCCTGGAGACAGAGCAAGACTCTGTCTCAAAAAAAAAAAAAAAAAAGATGTGACGTGAGCAGAGACTTGCAGGTGAGAAAACCACATAGATAGTTGGGAAGTGCACTCCCAGAAGAGGGCAAAGCCAGTGCAAAGGCCCTGAGGTAGAAATAAGTCTGGTATGGTCAAGGAGCAATGTGGAGGTCAGTGTGAAAGCAGAGCAAAGAAGGGGAAGGCTAGGAGAAGATGAGTGACTTCAATGCTGGAGCAGCACAGACAAATCTTTGACCAGGTAGTTTGGCAACAAGAACAATGCAGAAAGGGACAGGTAGGAATGAGTTAAGTACTGAGCTATGGAAGCTAAGCATGTAAGGAGCAGGGTGATACCATCATGGAAATGAAATACAGTAAAACAGTGGTTGGAACAAAAAATTGGAGACTCCTATAGGGCTGAAGAATAGACAGCGTAGGATATCAGAATAAATGGGGCCGGGCACGGTGGCTCATGCCTGTAATCCCAGCACTTTGGGAGGCTGAGACAGGTGGATCTCCTGAGGTTGGGAGTTCGAGACCAGCCTGACCAACATGGAGAAACCCCGTCTCTACTAATGGTGCACCATTGCACTCCAGCCTGGGCAACAAGAGTGAAACTCCATCTCAAAAGAAAAAAAAAAAGAATAGATGAAAAAAAAATGAATGGGGAAGCATAGCAATTAACAGACAGGTAATGAAATGTTTAAAACTGAGAGTTTGGAGGTGGCACAGTTGTTGGTGTTGATAATGTCTGTGATTGAGTCACTGAGCTGGTGTAGAGGAGAAAATTGTTAGAGTTGAAGAGATCAAGGTACTAAGAAGCTAGGATAAATAATATGTATGTATGTTGAAGATACCAGGAATGATGACAGGAGAAGTTGGTGGGGAAAACAAAAGGGAGAGCCAGATACTAAAGGTATAAAAGAGTATAAAGTTATCAAAAATTTATAATTACGTATAAGAAGATATATTAAAAAAAGATTTACAAAGTTATAAAAGGCAGTGTTAGAGGCTTTCCACTTCCAGGCATGATGGAGTAACACATGCTAGACTAGCCCTCCTGCCATAAGGAATTTTGAAGCCAGACCAAATATATGAGGCAACTGTGTTCAGTCATTGAACAAGAGGCATGCAAAACTGAAATTTCTGAGAGAAGAGAAATCCATCAGATAGGTCCCACAATTACCTCTACTATTTGCCTGGGGACAATTTCCCAATCATAATGCACAGATTAAAGAGCAAAAAGAGCATGGTGGTCCCACAGAACTGAGAGCAAAGCAAAACTACCTTCATATCCATGGTGAAATAAAATGCATTTACAAATAAACAAAAGTCAAGAGAATTTGTTGCCAGCCTACCTGCCCTACAAGGTATGCCAAAAGATGTTTTTCAGGCTGAAGGGAGATGGTACCAGATGAAAATTTGGGTCTAGATGATAAAGGAATGAAGATCACACGAAATGGTAAATAAGTAAGCAAATATAAAAGATTATTTTTCCTTCTTAATTTCTTCAAAAGACAAGCCTGTTTACAAGAAGAGTCACATCTGGAAGATAGCAAGATAGTGGATGCTAAAGATTAATCACATTAATGTCAAAGGAACGGTAGTTTTGAAAGAGAAGGAACAAAAATTGACTTGGAATTTACAATGAGGAAAAGAAAAGTAGCTCTATCTGCTTTTCCAATAGAAAGCTTTGCTAGTGCTGGGCGTGGTGGCTCACGCCTGTAATCCCAGCACTTTGGGAGGCCAAGGCAGGTGAATCACAAGGTCAGGAGTTCGAGATCAGCTTGGCCAAGATGGTGAAACCCCGTCTCTACTAAAAATACAAACATTAGCCAGGCATGGTGGTGCACTCCTGTAATCCCAGCTACTCAGGAGGCTGAGGCACAGAATGGCTTGAACCCGGGAGGCGGAGGTTGCAGTGAGCCAAGTTCATGCCACTGCACTCCAGCCTGGGCGGCAGAGCAAGACTCCGTCTCAAAAAAAAGCTTTGTTAGTGCCAGTGGGTGCTTTCACTAATGTTATTAAAGACATTATTACATCACAAAACACGGAGTAAATAAAGTCTCAAATTTAGAGCTAACCTAGACTTGATCATCAAATACAATTAAAACTAGATATTTATGTAATATTTAAACAACAAAATCTCTACCTTCAATTTTTACATGATATAGGAATAGAGAGAATAATAGACTTTAAAGTGAATATTATATAGTATAGTATGGAAGTTGTTTGTTTCCTTAAATTCGGAAATAATTTAGCTTAAATACACTAGCCATAGAGCCATTTTAAGTGCATTTCCCCTCCCTAAATTGTCCAATTTCTTTAATGATTATCATTTTACTTAAATTTTTCCTTTGTCTTTAGTCAATCATGATAATTTGTTTTTTCTCTAAAATTAACTGTTGAATCAAGGTTTTCAAATGGATTACATTCAACTTTATGTTACCCTTATTTTCCATTTTTTTTATTTCAGGTTTTTCTCCTTTTTGTTTCTTTTTAGATATTTCTTATTTACTTTTTCAAGAACTTCCTTCTTAATTAGATATCCTTGATTGGCATTTTCGAAGAGCCTGATCTTAGATTGACTTATAAATTCTGCTCTGAAAAATCTTTTTAATTTTTTTATTTGTTTTTTTCTTTAATGTTTTCTTCCCCTTGCTTTCCTCAGATTTGCTCTTTTTTGTTTATTTAAAATATTTGATTTAAATGCTTAGCTTAATTATTTTTGTTCGTATTTATGAACGCTTGTGATAAATTTACTCCTTAACAGAGCTATGGCAATATTTCACCCATTTTCTTATATACTGTTGAAATCTGTATCTGCTGCCAAGATGGAATGATAGGTGGATAGAAAACACAAAGATGTTAGTAATGGTTATTGCCATGTAGATAGGATTATGCCCTCTTTTAATAGTGCTGTCCTTTCACCACAGCATACCAGGGTGTGGGGTGGTGCTCACCAAACATAGGCAGCAGGGACCTGCCTGGGCTTCTAGGCTGCTGTGGGGCCCTGACAATGGCTGGTGCTTGTGGTGGAGGCGGGAAGATCCTAGTTGTCACTCTATTCTGTACAGTCCCTCCTGGTTCACTAGGCTCGTTTCAAAGCCCGCTGACAATCCTTTCATTACATTCCTTCCTGCTCTCGTCCTCTCAGATTTAGAGGATTCTTTCTAGTCTGGGATGGGAGGAGATGTTTTGTGAATTTTACTGTTATTTATTAGAATTCTCCCACATCTGTTATTTCAGCCCCTGAGAGCCAGACTTCTGAAGTATAAAAGTCAGTAATTTAATCCTGTTGTTTATACTTTCACTGTACTCAATGTATTCAATGGGGAAGGGCTAAATGGAGAAATAAAATACTGTAAACAAAGAAATACATTGGTTAACACTGCAGCTACCTTTCCTAACCACACTATTTTAAGTCACCTCCCCAATTGGATGTCACAGGCTACAGCTTTGAATATAGTATTTCACAGCTTGTTGAATTCAGAACTTTTGTTTCATAACACTTACAGTATTTTAACTGTTTGTAGAACTTTACCACTTTGCAATCTGTTTGGTTTACAAAGGCATCGTAGTTGGAAGTCTCTCAATGATGAAAATGGTATTTTTATAGAATTAAGACTCTCTGAAGCACAGGATGAAAATAATTTCTGATTCTCATAATCCAGTTCAACAAATTTAGGTAAATACTCAGCATTCATCAATTACATCTTCCTTTATGATATCATTTAGGAAGTGTTAAAACCTTTTAAAATCTTCTATAGTTGCCTAAGCTTAACAGCTGAATTTCCTTGTCTTTGAGGTGTGCTCTAATATATGCAGATGCCAAGGAGTTTTCAAAAATTTGAGAGGCTTAATCTTTATTGAACAAGGAACAAATTTTACTTTACAAATTATAATTCTATTGTATCTACTTTTCCTGATATGTACTTTCCTTAACACTATAATCTATCAGACACCCACAAACAGCTCTCTGTACCTTTCTCTACCTGGGCTTAGGACTTGGCCTCAATGTGACATTATAACTGATCTTGTATGACAAAAGTCTCCATAAGTTAAAGGGCAAATGATGGACTGGAAGAAAATATTTGCAATGTATGTAACTGCTAAAAATTAAATTTAGAATATGTAAAGAAATGGTACAAATAAAACAAAAAAAGATAAACATAAGAGGGCAAAGTATGTAAATGGGCAATTCACAGAAGAGGACATATTCTAAAGTTGGGAAAGTGAAAATTAACCAATAATAAAATTGAATGCTCTTTTATATATCATAGTGACACATTTTCAGATACAATAAAATCTAGTATCTACTAGGGTGTGGGGAAACTAGTATTAACTTACAATGCTGGCAGGAACATAATTTGGTACACTCAATTGAAGGTGGCTTGACAATATCTATTAAAATCTTAAATGAACATCTTCTGTGCCCCTGAAATTCTTATTTCTGAAGTGTACCAACACTGAAATATGTCAAAGACTGTTAGCAGGTTTTCTTTCTTTTTTTTTTTTTTTTTTTTTTGTTGTTGAGACGGAGTCTCGCTCTGTCGCCCAGGCTGGAGTGCAGGGGCGCCATCTCGGCTCACTGCAAGCTCCGCCTCCCGGGTTCACTCCATTCTCAGCAGGTTTTCTTAAAGCAAGTTGCAGCAGAAGAATAAACACGTGTATCGCATAAAAAGTGACAAAAACGATAAATGTCCAACTAATAACCATTGTTAGCTGTGTGAAGGATTACAGATAGTTAAGGAGGCCTTTGGATATATCTATATTTTTTTTCTAATTTTTTTAACAGTGAGAATGTATTCATGTGATAGTTGTAAAGTTGAACTTAAAATTCATAATTGAGAACCCAGAAGGGCTTCATAAAAAATAGAGATATTTCCTCTTACTTATTACTTCTTTGTAAAGTATCCTGAAACCTGAAGAAGGAACCCCCTGATGGTGTCTTTCAATAACAGAAATATTTCTTACTGAGAAGTGTTTTAAAAACTGCCCAGCAAGGGCCCCTTCAGTTAAACTTGTATTGCTTAGGCGGGGTCTGTCTCAGCATCAGTGGTTTCTTAAGCTCTCTGGGTAATTTAGACATGCAGCTAGGGTTGAGATCTACAGTCCCACAGGACCCAGCCTCTGCCTATCTTTCCCACCCCTCTTCTTGGCAGCATGGATCTTCTTCCTCTCTTCCAATACATCAAACTTGTTTCCTCCTCAGGGCTTTTGATTTTTCTGTTCTCATTTGTCTGGAATATTCTCTTTCCAGGTCTCCTCATAGCTCACTTCCCCTCTTCACTAAAGGTCTTTAATCAACGTGATCTCATTGGAGAAAACTTTTTTGACCTTCCTATTTAAAATACCTCCCTTCTTCTTGTCCCATCCCCGACCCTACATCATAGCTTTGTGTCCTATTACCATGCTCAATTCTACAGGAAATCTTGTTAGATTATAGGTAATATTTTACATCGAGTTCACTACTTGCCAGATTTGCATGATCAAGGTTCTTTTCTCATTAACTATTATATCCTCAGTAGGAATCTGATAAATATTTGTTGAATGAATGAATATAAAGCAGTAGGACTGTTAGATAAGCTTTCAGAGAATGTGTCAAAGAAGGTGAGAGAGTGGAACTGAGTCTCAAAAAAACTCACTCACTGTTTGGTGGGAGAGGGAGTGGCTGGAAAAGGGCAAGATGCAGGGAGAGAAATATTGCAGAAGAGAAAGGAAGACATAGTGTACACAGGCAAGGAGGCCCTTTGGCACTTTCAACAGCAGGTAGACTATGTGTAGCTGAGATTCAATGGGAAGGTGGAGCTATGGAAATGAATCTTTGCAGGTAGGCAAGTCCCAATCCTGATGGGCATTACGTAACGAAGAACAAGTTGAATTGTATCCAACAGGCAATAGAAATCTAATAAAGGATTATAAGGAGCAGAGTGACATGATGATATTTATCCCCATTAATGCCATCTTAGAATTGACAGCATACGTACTATAGTAATATAGTGTTGGGACTCCGGAGTGAGACCAACCTATGTACAAATTCCAGAATTTACTACTCATAATTTTGGGCAAGTCACTTCACTTTTAAGAAATAGAGTCCTCATCTTAATAATATGGATAATAATGTTTCTGAAGAAGATTTAATAAAATACTGAATGCAAAGAGCTAGCACAAAATCAAGTACATAGTATCTCGGCAATGTTAGCTCTTTGCTTTGGTATGAGACCTCATGGTAGCAAAGGCTAATGTGTTCTGTGTTTCTCCAGCAAAATTTCTCCCAACTGAAATGATGTATAGGTTGATTCTTCACCCAGCCACTTCCCTGTGGTTACAGCCTTCCTCCACTTTACCCCTCATCATTTTCTTTTTCCCTTATTGCTGGGTCTTGAGTCACTCACCAACCAATGTAAAAAATTATGGCTTTCATTGAAAGCCAATCCAATTCTTCCTTAAGCCACTTCTACCTGACCTGCTTCTATTTTTTAGCCATTTCTTCTCTACTTTCCTAACCCTGTTAAACTATCAAGGAAAAATCCTTCACTTTCTTCATTTTCTTTTTTTTTTTTTTTTTTTAAGACAGGGTCTCACTCTGCCCCCAGGCTGGAGTGCAGTGGGGCAATCTTGGCTCACTGCAACCTCCACCTCCCGAGTTGAACCGATTACTCTGCCTCAGTTTCCCAAGTAGCTGGGATTACAGACACCAGCCACCACACCTGGCTAATTTTTTGTATTTTTAGTAGAGACGCAGTTTCATCATGTTGGCCAGGCTGGTCTCAAACTCCTGACCTCAGGTGATCTGCCTGCCTCGGCCTCCCAAAGTGCTGGGATTACAGGCATGAGCCACCATGCCCGGCCAAATCTTTCATTTTCCAAACTTTCATCTATTAAAACACATACCCAGCCAGGAGCAGTGGCTCACGCTTGCAATCCCAGCACTTTGGGAGGCCGAGGTGGACAGATCATGAGGTCAGGAGTTTGAGACCATCCTGGCCAATATGGTGAAACCTCATCTCTACTAAAAATACAAAAATTAGCTGGGTGTGGTGGTGCGGGCCTGTAGTCCCAAGTACCAGGGAGGCTGAGGCAGGAGAATTGCTTGAACCCGGGAGGCGGAGGTGGCAGTGAGCCAAGATTGCACCACTGCACTCCAGCCTGGGCGACAGAGTGAGACTCAGTCTCAAAAAAAAAAAAAAGCAGACATACCCTTTACCAATTCAGTTGTGTAAAACACAGCTTTTCCCTATTGACCCTTCTCTCCTTTCCAAATTCTCTCAGAAAGAAGTTACAAATTCACCCACATCCTCCAAACTCTCAGTGCTTTTCCTTATACTCTATCCCATTTTCAGACTTGTTTCAGGACGTTGGATCAATACGCCTTCACTGAAGCTCTACTAGATTTCCTGTGGGCTGAGACTCTGGTGTATTTTTTTTTTTCCTTTCTTAGGATTCTTCTCAGTGATTTCTACATTCATGTGCAGACCCCAGGCAGGTCTCGGTGCCACATTCCTCTACACTGGTTCCCATCATATCCATGCCACTCAGATGCTACATAGGATAACATGTCATCTTCAGCATCTCCTTCTAAAACACTGTATTCTGAAATTACTTACTTTACAAAAAACCTTATCTCCTTATAATTCTGGCACCCCTTATTCCCACTAAAATTGCTCTTAAATCTCTCCTGACCTTAAGCTCTTTAATGCTTTCCTGTTCTCTCAGGAGATCAGTCTCTGGTCTCCATTCTTTATTTAACCTAAAAATTGTAACCCATTATTTCAAATATGCACACAAGTAACTCTTGAATGAGCCGTAATGTTTTGTGTGATCAAATCTACGTTTCATCATATTATTTAGCTAAATGAAACGTCTTTCTTCTTCATCAAACACCACACTTCTTTTTAAATTTAACCAACCCAGAAAAGTATTATTTGACTGTAAGGTATACCAGAACAGTGGTCCGCAACCTTTTTGACACCAGGGGCCAGTTTCATGGTAGATAATTTTTCCATAGACCAGTGATGGCGGATGGTTTCGAGATGATTCAAGCGCGTTACATTTATTGTGCACTTTATTTATATTATTATTACATTATAATATATAATGAAATAATTATATAGCTCACCACAATGTCGAATCAGTAGAAGGCCTGGGTTTGTTTTCCAGCAACTAGACGGTCCCATCTGGGGGTGATGGGAGACAATGACAGATCATCAGGCATTAGATTCTCGTAAGGGGCATACAACCTAGATCCTTCGCATGCGCAGGTCACAATAGGGTGTGCATGCCTATGAAAATCTAACGCCAGTGCCAATCTGACAGGAGGCGGAGCTCAGGTGGGAATGCAAGCAGTGGAGAGCAGGTGTAAATACAGATGAAGCTTCCCTCGCTCACCTGCCACTCACCTCCTGCTCTGTGGCCCAGTTCCTAATAGGCCGTGGACTGGTCCCTGGCCCAGGGGTTGGGTATCCCTATACCAGAATATAGATGTGTAGGATGCTTATAATAGGGCTTTCATTGTCTTTACTTTTAGTATAAAATACACAAATATACTGTAACTATGCACACTATAATAATTAGCCAATAAAATTAATTCAAAGAAATAATGGACTTTATGAAGAATAATCAGTCATTGCTGTTTACTGACTCAATATAAAATGGTAGGACCGTAAGATAAGCATTCAGGGGAGGTGTCAAAGAAGATGAGAGACAGGAACTGAGTCTCAAAAACTCACTCATTCTTTGGTGAGAGAGGGAGTGAATTGGTTTTATAAGCCAATTCAGTCAAAATCGCTGAACCAATCATTTTCTCTCCAAAATTTTCTCTCCAGTATTTTTCTCTCACTATCACTGTCACACATGCAAACACATAGTGTTCATACATATTAGAGTTACATATGTTTACTATTTGAAGCACATAAATTTTGACTTCCAATTTGGAACCTTTCAGTTCAATTTTGAACTAGAGTATTCTAAAAATCAAAACACGGTCTTGAAAAACAGTAGCACTACACAGACTCTGCCAAAAAGTTCATGTTGTGATACATGCCCCTAGGGAAATAGTTGGACCAGCTTTACACAGTTATACAAATCCATTGAATTCAGTCACAATTGTTAAATAAACAATTTAGCTTTACATTAGACATGGGAGATGGGGGAGGTAATAGATATTTGGAAAGACTGGGAAGCTATTTTTCAGGATCATTAAAATAAGAATGAGTCAGAGCTAAGCAGAAAATAAGGACAGAGTACACAGGACTCATTTGAATTGTAAAAATTGCATAATTACATGACATGGCTAATTAACTTAGCCTTTTATCTTTATATCTTCCCCCCTCAATACTTAGTACACTAACTTGCACTTATAGTACCCTCAAAAATATTTGACGATGTTATATCAAGAATGAAATTGGAAATCATCATTCTCAGTAAACTATCGCAAGAACAAAAAACCAAACACCGCATATTCTCACTCATAGTTGGGAATTGAACAATGAGATCACATGGACACAGGAAGGGGAATATCACACTCTGGGGACTGTTGTGGAGCGGGGAGGGATAGCATTGGGAGATATACCTAATGCTAGATGACGAGTTAGTGGGTGCAGCACACCAGCATGGCACATGTATACATATGTAACTAACCTGCACAATGTACACATGTACCCTAAAAGTATAATAAAAAAATAAATACATAAACAAACAAACAAATAAATAAATAAATAAATAAAAAGAATTGCATTCTTAAGAACCTGCACCTACAGCAAGTCCATTTAAATGTTATACGGAATGTATTTTTAATGTATTTCAAAATGGGAAAAGATAAAAGTCCAAACAGAAACAAACATAGCAGTTCATCCTTTCAATAACATTTGAGTGTGGGGGTTCCAAAGCGAAGAAGCTTTGCGTTAAGGAGATAATTCTATAGCAGCAAATGCAAGGTACATTTTCTTCATAGTTACTGGATCAAAGAAGATGCAATCAGCCTATCAGCTGAAGCCTTTTTTTGTTTCCCCACACGTGGAAGGTGGTTTCTAGGCTGCAAACACCACTCTCAGTCTTTAGAATTAACTGGTTCCCATATTCATGAGTTGCAGATCATTAAAGTTATCTTCCTTTATTAATGACAAATTATCAGATTAGTAGAAAGTCACCTAACAATATTCTCTTCGTTAAAATTTGGCCATCTACCCACTCTTTCATCCTTTACCCAATAAATAAATACCAGATTCCTTAGTTTGGTATATATGGCCCTCCAGGGTTTGGCCCCATTTGCCACGACTTCCTAATATCCACTCTAGTCCCAGTATCCCGTCAATATCACCTTCTCTTTTGACCTTTATATATAGCTTCTTCTGCCTGAAATGGCTTGGTCTTCCCATGCCTCCTTCAAGCACAACTTAATTACTGCTGATGTGAAGCCTTTCCTTACCTGCTTGCCTTGCCTTTATCAAGGTATAGTCACTAACAATAGTTATAATAATGGTGTAATGTGCTCTTACTAGGTGTCAGGAAATGTACTTTTCCTTAGAAGGAAGTAAAGAATAGTGGTTAAAATTAGAGATGCTGGAGTCAAACTACTTGGGTTGTCATCTTAGTTCCATTATTCCCTATGAGTAAGGTACTTTCAGTACTTTAAGTAATCTCCCTGTGCTTTCAGTTCCCTCCGTACAGTGGAGCTAATAATAGTTCCTCATGATGTTGTTGTCATTACATCCAAAGAGCTTGCACATAGTAAGGCCTACACTAACATATGTGTTTTCTCAATACAATCTGCTTCCCAGATAAAATAAATTAAGGCTTATGATTAAGTAACTGAAACTAGTAAGTGGTAGAATTGGGAATTAAACAGAGATCTCTGAATACGAAGCCCATCCACTTAACCATTGCATTATCCTGCATCCAGAAATTTGTTCAATTCTTTCAGATACCAAAGTGTCTTAAATGTTTCTTTATTAGCACTTACCATAAGCCATCAAATTATGTCCTTAAATATGGAGCACCTTGAGAATGGGATCTGTTCTCTTTTATCTCTTTGGT
This sequence comes from Homo sapiens, assembly GCF_000001405.40. Classification (NCBI taxonomy): domain Eukaryota; kingdom Metazoa; phylum Chordata; class Mammalia; order Primates; family Hominidae; genus Homo; species Homo sapiens. The sequence goes on along the minus strand of NC_000004.12, from coordinate 176,385,804 downwards.
GAACTGCCCAGCACCCAGCATGATGCCTGGTACAATACAGATGCCCCATAATTGTGTGCTGAGGAAGAATTAACTTGTTATTAAGGATATAGAGGCAATATCTAAAAAAATTCTCTACTTTGTTTGCCAGAGCCTCAAAAGCAGTAATTAATTTGAAATCTGAATATGGCCTGCAGATGGAATTGATATTTGGGACAGGATATCTTGCTCCTAAATAACATCATTTGTGTAGCCATTTATTATGTCTATTTCATTTAGATTCCCAAATTAAAGGTAATTTAAGCAGCACCCTTACCTTATGACTGTTACTTTGTTTTTGTATATTCCCAACTATTCTCAACACAGACTGTGATACAAGTAACAAGGATTCAAGTAACTAGTACCCTGTCCTGGGCCCTGTGTTTCCCTGGCCATGTCTTCACAAGAACTGAGGAGCTCATATGACCAAGGAGACATTATCCCCTCCCCACATGGAGCCCACACTAACCCTTCAAGACTTTGCTATCGATATACCAGTCCCCCAACTCCCTGCCCACATAGCTCTAAGCCTGTTTCCAGGATTGTTTTGGACTCTTCCCTCCAAAGGTGAGTATGCGTAGGTGTCTGCACTCTTAGGCCCTAGGGGTGGCCAAGCAGCCACCGTTTGTTGAATGAGGGAGGTATGGATGGAGCTTAGAAACGCATCTAGGCGGCCAGGCACGGTGGCTCATGCCTATAGTTCCAGCACTTTGGGAGGCCAAGGCGGGTGGATCACCTAAGGTCGGAAGTTCAAGACCAGCCTGACCAACATAGAGAAACCCTTTCTCTACTAAAAATACAAAATTAGCCAGGTGTGGTGCCGCATGCCTATAATCCCAGCTACTCAGGAGGGTGAAGCAAGAGAATCGCTTGAACCCAGGAGGCAGAGGCTGTGGTGAGCTGAGATCGTGCCATTGCACTCCAGCCTGGGTGATAGAGTGAGACTCCATCTCAAAAAAATAAATAAATAAATAAATAATAAAGAAAGAAATGCATCCAGGCTGGGCGTCCACACCTGTGCATGTGGGGCTTCTCATGGCGAGGGGCAGAGCTGAGGGTGGGAAAGGAAAATGTCAAGTCATATGCCTGAAGCCAGCTCCAAGTCTACCAGCACATCCCAGCTCAGGACTTGGAATGGTCCAGGAAGTTTGAATTCAGACCTATACTTCCAAGTCATCATGAAAAGAAATGTGTTAAGATAGGAAAATAGGACAGATTTTTTAAACTTTCTGTTAGCTTGATTTATAATTGCTAGATATTTAGCCAAATATTATGGGGTTTACATTTGTACTTTTGCTCCAGATCCTGCTAAGGTTAGTGGCAGGTTTGCAAACGATGATATGCTTATGGTTAAAACCACAGTCATTTCTCTCTTTTCCTAGAAAGAATTAAGGAGTTTAGTAAGAAAGCATCAACATATTAATGAGAAAATGCCTGGGTACATCTGTTTCCTTCTTGATGGTAGATTTAACCAATGTGGATAGGCAGCCTTGCTTGTAAGTCTCCGTAATCACCAACAAACGACTAACATGAGATTATTTTTAAAAACCTCTACTTTTTAGCATGACGGTTACGATATTTATCAGAAAATAAATGTCTCCAATGTTATGATTTTTCCTAACGAGATCCACATGCAAAAAGGAGAGAAGGTTAGCAATAGAAAAAAAGAAATATGCTTGTCAAAATCTAGATTCCCAAGAAGAAAGCCTCTTTTCATTTTATAGCAGAGGGAAGTTTTCACTTTATCATCAGTAAAAATGCTTGTTAGCCAGATTAAAATTTCAGAGACTTGATGGTGGAAAACCCTTGTAAACAGAATGTGCAGCTGTGTTTCCAAAGCAGTGAGGAAAAGCCACCTGCCAGTGTAAACTCAGGCTACATTGTTTTAAAGCAGTGGCTGCCTTTCTTATCAGAAATGTGCACGTCAGAGAAGAAAGTGGGGAGGTCTCAGAAGCCCACCTAAGTTCAGCAAATCAAACGCCGTGTCAGACTGGTTCCCGTTATTAGGATGGACATTGTGAGTTATAGTAAATCCAAGAGGTACCTTTGCTTTTTAAGGAAAGGAAAGGAAAGGAAAGGGAACTGTGGGACTTTGTAGGAAAGGAAACTGCCAGTGAATCCAATCTACACAGAAATCAATTTCACACGGCCATAATTCAAGGAAATGGGGCAGTATGTAATGACGTGGACATTCATTTTGCTTTTTAAAATTCAAACGTTCTTCTTGGCTACTACAGTATTTTTGAAATCAGCTTGGGCTTTTTTCCCTCTCATCTCCCTCTACAAGCATTTTTGCTGTACATGGGAATCTATGAAACAGAGCCTTGCACTGTGACTCAACCCATTGTTTCTTTTAACTTTTCTCACCATCTCCTCCTGCATCATTTCCCTTTCTCAGGACTAAAAAACAGTCACGGAAAAAAATCAATGTTTTAAAATATACATTCAACAAATAGTGGGAAATATAATAAAATGAATTCACTAATTTGGCTTTGACTTTCACTAGTGCATACTTTGAAGTTCATACACAACTCACATTCTAGGACAGAATTGTATTCCTTGCATCATAACATAATTGGTAAATTTCTATTTCTTTTTCCCCTTCTTGTCGGGCTGGGGAAAGAGGGCTATAACTTTGTTCTAATTTCTACCTCTACTGAAGGTATGTTCTTGAGTATTTGTGTATGATATCTGCTATGAAGATAATGTTTTAACACATTTTAAATAACAATGGTAATAATAGCATTAATATATTTAAAAATATGTCCAGGACCTGAAGAGATGGAAATTTGTTTATTTGACTCCAATACATTATGACAGCTATGACTTGAAGACTGACCAATAAATAATGATGCTCAGGTTAGATTTTCTTTAAATAAAGATACTAATACTGTAATGTCTCCTTTTAAAACAAATTCAGAGGCAAAGACATGGCACTTTAAACCATATGATGGAAAACAGAGAAAAAGTGTCATATTCTAGTTGTCTCTAACAGAAGGAGGACATCATGATGGGAAGTAGCTATATACAGTTTATATTGGGGAGGAAGAACTGAGTACATTGTAGAAAACAAACTCGGAGTGCAGTAATTAAAAAAAGGCATAGAATCCAACCCCCACTATTGCCAACATGGACTTCAGAAATCAGCAATCTGATAATCTCATCTGCCAAATGAGGAGGCCAACACTCAAGGGTTGTGGCATCTCAACCAGGTCACATCAAAAGGGCAAGATTTCTTAGATGAAATCTCAAGATTCCAAATAAAAGGCCTGTGTCTCTGACTCCCTGCCTTTAATGCTAATAACACCTTCGTCCAGAATCAATTTTTTTTAACAACAAAAACTTAGAGTTAATAACTTTACTAATGATGCTGAATAGATACACTTTTTCTTGAGGTAGAGAACATATAAACATAAACTAGCATTGAGTCTCATTCATTGACCCTGTCACTATTGTGTTTCCAGTATAATGGCAGCATCTTGTAGAAGAAAATAAGCATGGACATTGGCGCAAGAAAGATCTCACAACTGCCAGTATACTGGTCTTTTATGCATGACAAAATTACTCCAACTTTCTGAGATTCATTTTTATCTTGTATACCTCATGATAAATATTGCATGACTCACGAGCCTTTGTGAAAATTAAATTATATGACATAAATGAAAATACCAAGTATTCTGCCTGCCACCTAGGAAGTGCAGAATATAATACCTGATGAAGAAGGATTAATACCTAAAAATTAGATGGGGATACAATTGAACCCTTTTTTTAAGAAAAAATAAATAACTAGAGAATAATTCGAAGTTGTTTGTTGAACAAGTATTTATATTTTAGTAGTGTGACAGACAAAAGCAATGAAATAGCGGCTGAAGAATTCATGAACCAGCAAGAACAACAGCAAAAAGAATCAGTGTGAGGGGCAGGGCAGTGGCTGCACAGAGACGATATCTTTAGCTGAGTTTGAAAAGAAAAAGAATAGCTTGATAGGTGGAGTTGACAGTCAAAGATGTTCTAAGAACAGTATGAAAGGCTGGAGCTGAGAAGGAACTGTCATGTACAAAAGATATAGAGCACGGGGGTCCAATCTTTTGGTTTCTGTATTCTACACTGGAAGAAGAAAAATTGTCTTGGGCCAACATAAAATACACTAACGATAGCTGATGATCTAAAAAACAAAACGGCAAAAAAATCTCATAATGTTTTAAGAAAGTTTACAAATTTGTGTTGAGCCACATTCAAAGCCACCCTGGGCCTCATGTGGCCATGGGCCTTGGGTTGTACAAGCTTGATTGAGCATCATTGGCTTAGGAAAATCTGAGAAAACTTTGTAAGAAGTAGTAAAATATGGATAAATAAACTGAAGCCCATCAAACAAAGGCCTTACATGCTCACCTGAGTGGCTCGAGTTTGGTATAAAAATAATACATACTAGATTCCAAAGTAGAGGAACGATACAGTGATTTAGTGATCTAGTGATTTAGAAGCAAGCAATCTGGCAATCAAGAGCATGATGGATCATGCTGGAAAAAAACTTCAGAGAAGTGGAGAGAATGGATAAAAGCACCTCTAATAATCCCAAAATGAGGTGATGGAGGCCTGAAATGAGACAGTGGTGAGGAGTCCAGCTCCTAGCCAAAAACCTATAATCATCTTTCAAACCCTACCACAGACAATTGCAAAGGATTTACCTGGCAGGCTTCACAGGGAAAAATTGTCCTCCCCACACCAGACTGTGTGCAGCCAGTAAACTGCAGTCTCTGAAGGGAGCTGCAGTCAAGGGCTCAGTCACTCCATCCTCAGCACCATGCGCTTATGCATATCTGCATCTCTAGCCCTCCCTGCATTCAGAGAGAGGAGGTCTCTTCATCGGGTCATTCTGCGGAGGCCTCCTCACTGGGGAGGACACTTGAAGCCTCTTTTTTCTCTCTGACTCAATATTCACTGTTTCCCACACCTAGTCCTCCCCTCTCCAGCTCACCCCCATCCCCACCCCTGGGTCCATAAAATGGCCAGAGCCTTTTGTTCGGGCTCCCGTACGTAGGTGGTGAGATAATTCCCCGCCCCACTCCCCCGTGTGCACTGATACATTGGACCTTCACCCAGTGCCCTTCTGTGGAGAAAAAAGGAACATTAAAATGGTTAAGCTTTTTCCTCTTGCCTATTCTACTACCTTAGAAAGTCATTAAAGGATTGGCTGTTACTTTCACTTTGGCTTGTTGTCTTAATTGACCACTCCACCACGGGCGTCTCAGCTCTCTCCAGCTCAGCTCAGCTCTTGACAGGTGGCAGAGCGAATTTTGAAAAATGTTGAATATAGTAGACACCCTAGCTCTGATCTCCATTCTTGTTTTAAGCAAATCTCCTACACTCTCAGTCCTCAGAACTATAAACTACAATTGTAAAACATTTCTCAGAGAAAAACTTATAATATTTAAATACTAGTTTTAAATTCTTTAAAAAAAGATCATGACAGTGTTTCAATTTCAAATTTACAATATAATATGCTAAAAGTCCATACTTCATGGTCTAGACTAATTTAAATGAAATTTTTGTATCACCAGCATTTGTAATGTAAATCCAAGAGTCGAGAGATCTTTAAATTATTGCATTTCAAAAACATTACTGGAAAATGATAAACTATAGGGACCTAAAGTCTCAAACAACTATGATAGAGATTGAATACCTGACAATCTTTAAAAGTAGGGATGTGAGGAAATGAGGAGAGGATTTATTTGCCTCCATTGTACTCATCTCTAACATTAAATATTCAAGTTCATGGAAAAAGCAATGTGTTTATTTTACGGTGCTCTGATACTGTGATAACTACTGTGACTTCTTATGGGAATATTGCTGCATAACAATTGCCAGAGAAGCTCATCAATCTGTGTTTCTCAAATGTGAGCAGCTCATTAGTACAATCTCCACCCAGGGAACACACAGAGCTCCCTTCTCTGCTTCATCCTGCGATTTCCATCATGTCCCTGGACCATCATTACTATTTGTATTTGTAAAATCCTTCTCTTGCCTCTTCCTTTCTGTTATCATTTGATCACTTTGCCCTAAAAGCTGGATAACTGAGTACTCAGTCACTTCTTCTTTTTTTTTTTTTTTTTGAGATGGAGTCTTGCTCTGTTGCCCAGGCTGGAGTGCAGTGGCATGATCTCCACTCACTGCAACTTCTGCCTCCCAGGTTCAAGCGATTCTCCTGCCTCAGCCTCCCAAGTAGCTGGGATTACAGGCGTCTGCCACAATGCCTGGCTATTTTTTGTATTTTTAGTAGAGAAGGGGTTTTGCCATGTTGGCCAGGCTGGTCTGGAACTCCTGACCTCAGGTGATCCACCTGCCTCAGCCTCCCAAAGTGTTGGGATTACAGGCGTGAGCCACCACCCTCTCAGTCACATCTAAAGGGGACAATGTGTGAATCAATGACAGACATGAGTATTGCTCTCTTCTTTTACTTTGTAAATTCCTATATATGCATTCCTATATATGCATTGATAATAAAACATTTAAGGTTTTACAGAAGTTTTTGAGGAAAAGGCCTAGTACAAAAAGTTTTAAATCTAGTATAGAAACTACCATTAGGTTAGAAAACTAAGAGTTTTCTGCATACAAGATTTTCAGAATGATAGCATATTTCCCTTCTCAAATATTAAACTGTACTGTTTTTCTTAAAATTATTAAATAGTTGTTTAGTATGAAACTATGTTTCTTCTTTTCCTAGCTTTTCTCTAGTATGGTATCTTTTGTCCTGGCAAATAACCACTGTTTAATATACATTCCTTAAAACTAGCTTTTGTATTTAAAAGCTATGTAAATTATATACAAAGTCAAAAATCTTCAATAAATAAAATAAAGAGAAACATGGTAATTTTTATTTCGCCTGGTTGCAAATGGCCTGTAGACAATGAGGATCTATCTAAGGGGCAGGAGCAGGTTAAGGTGGGATCCCTGACAAGCATTCTAGCTCTATGTCCCTCCTTCAGCAAGAGCCACCAGATATGAGCAGAAATTTCTATACTTAAATACAGCACTCAGCCAGGCTGTTTCAATGAACTGATTTAAAATACAAGAATCACAAAACAAATGAAGAGACATCATCAGTTTCCCCACAATGAATTCGAGATTTGTTGAGAAAAACTGGTAATATTCTTCCCTTTTAAGGAAAATATTCCTTGAGGATAAATGATTAATTCCTATTAAAATGAGAAAGTAGATTTAAAACACAAAGATAGTTTGAGAAACATCCAAGGATTCATTGACTTTTGCATTTACTACATTTTCTTTAAAAAGGTACCCTCTCACTTTTAGAAAAAAACTCAATTTACGCAAATTAAGCTTGTTTTACCCAGGTTTTATAAAATCTGCCCTTACCTGACAAGCCCTGTGCTAGGATCAATGGCTAGACATAATGATTGTTTGTGATTGTAGCAGGAATGATTAAAAAGCACATTGTTTCACCCACATCTGCATGAATATATATCACACTACATGACATTTTAAAATTCTAAAGTATGAGTAAAATCATAACCGTACATTGACATCAAGGAGTGATTTGTCTTCTCCTACGCAAGTGCAGATTATTTTACCACAAGTGCAAATTTAAATTCTCTGCATGTCTTCTCTGGCTTCTCATTTATTTTCTAGTTACACATTTTGGAAACTGAGATGGAGATTTTTTAAATAATTAAATAAGAAAATAAAAATTCATCATTGTTTGAATGCAAAATGGCTCAAGTCCCTGATAGGTTAATAGGGAGCATTATTATTGTTACAGTTCAACAAACATGTCACTTTGACATAACTAAAGGTGATTTCCCTTCAGCTGGTCATAGGCAGGTGAGAATAAATGGAGATTATTTAAAGAGAATGACTGACATCTGCTGGAATACAAGAGAAATGAACAGAAAACAATGCAAGCATAAATGCTTACAGTTAACAGTTTCAGAATACATCAATGTTTACAATCTGTAACAGAACAATGTTAGCATAAATCCTCAAAAACAGAGGAATAATGGGGTGTAATGGAAAGGGGCATCTTGTGTAATTCTGTTCTGTTGCACTATGCTGAGTCCAATCAAGATAGCTTCACCCTAGAGCAGTTATACAATCTCTAAAAATAGTGCATTTCTGTTGCCTGTGATTTTTCTACATGTTATCGTTGATTTCTATAGTCTGTGGGTTCCTGTACCTTGACTCTGGCCACGTCTGTGCAATCAACTAAACGGGCTTTACAAATCTACAACCAAGGAATTAATTAGAATTGATCATTTGGAGGGTCAGAACACAATTTAGCCCCAAAATAGACAGATCCATGCCATCAAACATTGCTGATCTATGCCTTAAATTGGGCTTTAACGTAGTTCCCATTTTAAAAATGATTTCTTAATGAGGCAAGGGGAGAACGATTTCTTGAGAGCTTACTAAGTTATTCCATTTAGGATATCCTATAATTTCACGTGGTAGGTATTTTTAACTCCATTTTGTAAATGAGAAGATTTAATGGCAGAGAGGTGCAGAAATGTGCCCAACGTTACACAGATTGTAAGTGACAGAGCTGAAATTCATTACTTAATTCTACCTGATTCCACGGTTGGTGCTTTTCACCATACAATTTAATTCAAGGTACTTTTGTATTTTCCAGTGTCAATACCATTTTACGCTACTTTTTAACTGTATACCTTTCTAGTGAAAACTATTAGGGACTGTCCTGAAGAGTATCATGATCTGGTCCTGCTTTTGGATATTCTCTGCAAGCAAGTACTTGGTAAAGATCTGTAAATCAGTAAGAGAGTATTCAACAGAGTCAATGGAACCCATCTTTCCTTTTTTTCTCTAGAACAGTTTAAAAAGCAGTCACAGTCCTCAGTTTCTTCATTAGTACAATGATGGAGATGGACTAGATAACTCCTAATGTATCTTCCAGGGGTGCATCTGGTTAGGAATACAGCAAAGGAAAACAGGTTCATTCAGTTCATTATTATTCTGCAATAACACACTAACATAATCAGGGCAATTAGCTACATATTGTACTCATCATTCATTAATTGCAAAAGTGTTTTTTTTTTTAATTTTTGTCTTTGTTTATAATGCCTCATGGAAATTGAAGTGAAAATATGTACTCGAAGATAGTCTATTTTTACACACAAACACACCTGCCAAGAGCCTATCTTTCCTGACAGAAACATTTGAAAAAAAATATATTTTCATGTTATTTTTCTCTTACTCTTTCCACAGACTAAAAACGAAATCTACATTTTGCCTGAAAAAGAAAATGACTATGATCAGAATTTAAAACACATGCAAAAATTATTTTAAAAAGTTTCATAATAAAAGATTATTTCTATGAATTACAATACAATATATCTAATATTGCACCAGCTTCTTAAGAAGTTTTCAAATTTCCAGAAGTTGTATTTTTTAAAAAAATTCCAACATGCATAAACATAGTCTGAATATGGTTTCAAATGTTAACATAGACGGTAAAAGTAACACAATACAAATGTCTTCTGTAATTTATCAAATTTCTGCATTAAAATATATAGCAGGTTGAATCTTGAATTCAATACTACCATCTAGTGGAAATCAACCAAAAATGCAGCAGATAATGCTACTTTTGTTTTTTCACAAGTACAACTGCTATTCTTCCCATTGTCTTGCAATAACTAAACCAGTGGTCAAAGGACTGATGAGAACCTCTTTGAAATAAGTATTTTCTTGTAACAAAAACATTATTTGTTTTATTAGGTAACATGCTTATGGAATATACTAAACAATCTGACTGATTATAAAAATATAAATATAAAGTATCTAATCATGGGCTTATTCTTGACAACCAATCTCTCATACAAGACATTTATATATATATATATATATATATATATACACGTGCTTTTACATAAACATGTGTAAGACATTTTATATATATAAGACATTATCTATTATATATGACATTTATGTATATTGATTGTGCTTTTGGATGCAATTTCCTAGTATTTTTTGAGGATTTTTGCATGTATATCCATCAGAGGTATATATATAATTATATATTATATATATTACAATATATTTTATATATATATAATTTTAAGGAAAAGCAGAGAGTTTATTCAGTGATTTAACTTCCTTAAAGCAAGCCCTTTTGAAATTCTTTTTGCTTTGTAAATACATAAACCAGTAAGACAGTTGTTTATTATCATTATAAAGCATCATGTACTTTACATAATTTTATTTATATTTAGGAAATACAGGTGCAAGTATCTTACATGCATATATTGCCCTGTGGTGAAGTCTGGGCTCTTAGTGTACCATCACCCAAACAGTGAACATTGTACCCAATAGGTAATTTTTCAACTCTTACTCCCTGACCCCTCCCCATGTTTGGAGTCCCCAGTGCCTGTTATACTCATCTGTATGTTTATGTGTACCCATTGTTTAGCTCCCACTTATAAGTGAAAACATGCAACTTTTTACTCTCTGTTTCTCAGTTATTTCCCTTAGGATAGTGGCCTCCAGTTCCAACTATCCATACTGCTGCAAAAGACATAGTTTCTTTCTTTTTTTTGGCTAAGTAGTATTCCATGGTGTATATATACCACATTTTCTTCATCCATTCCTCCATTGATTGAGACTTAGGTTGATTTCATGTCTTTAATATTGAGAGTAGTGCTGTGATAAACATATGAGTATAGCTGTTTTTTTAAATACAGTGATTTATTTTCCTTTAGGTAGAAACCTAGAAGAAGGATTGCTGGACTGAATGATAGCTCTTTTTTAGTTCTTTGAGAGCTCTCCATACTGTTTTCCATAGGGTTTGTACTAATTTACATACCGACCAAGAGCATTTAAGTGTTCCCTTTTCTCCTCATCCATGCCAACATCTGCTAGTTTTTGACTTTTTAATAACAGCCATTCTAACTAAGGTAAGATGATATCTCATTGTGGTTTAAATTTGCATTTCTCTGATGATCAGTAATGTTGATAATTTTATAATATGTTTGTTGTCTGCTTGTGTGTCTTTTTTTGAAAAATTTCTAAAAGTTTTCTTAAATTAAAAAAAAAAATTTCTGTTCATGTCCTTTGACACTTTTTAGTGGGGTTGTTTTTCTTGTTAATTTGTTTGAGTTTCTTATAGAATCTGCAACTTAGTCTTTTTCAGATGCAGACTTTGCAAATATTTTCCCCCTTTCTGTAGGATATCTGTTTACTCTGTTGATTGCTCCTTTTGCTGTGCTGAAGCTTTTTAGTTTAATTAAGTCCTCTTTATTTATTTTTGGTTTTTTTTTTGCATTTGCTTTTGAGGACTTGGTCATAAATTATGTATCTAGGCCAATGTCCAGAAGAGTTTTTTCCAAGTTTTCTTCCAGAGTTTTTATGGTTTTGGTTCTTACATTTAAGTCTAATCCATTTTGAGTTAATTGCTGTATTTGGTGAGAGGTATGAGTCCAGTTTCATCCATCTACATATGGCTATCCAATGTTCCCAGCACCATTTATGGAATAGGATGTCATTTCCCCAGTGTATATTTTTGCAGACTTTGTCAAATATCAGTTGGTTTTAAGTATACAGCTTTATTTCTGAACTCTTCTGTTCCATTGATCTGTGTGTTTATTTTCATATCAGTACCATGCTGTTTTGGTTACTATAGCATTATAGCATAGTTTGAAGTCAGGCAATGTGATGCCTAAGCCTTTGTTCTGTTTCCTTAGGATTGCTTTAGTTATTTGAGCTCTTTTTTGATTCCATATAAATGTTATGATTCATTTTTCTAATTCTGTGAAAAATGGTGTTCCTAATTTGATAGGGATTGCACTGAATCTATAGGTTGCTTTGGGCAATATGGTCATTTTACCAATACTGATTCTTCCAACCCATGAGCATGGGATGTGTTTCCCTTTGGTTGTATCATCTATGATTTCTTTCCCCTGTGTTTTGTAGTTCTCTTTACATAAATTATTCACCTCCGTGGTTAAATATATTCCTATGTATTTTTTTGGTATTGTAAATGGGATTGAATTCTTGATTGGGGCCTCAGCTAGATTATTATGGATGTATAGTAATGCTACTAATTTCTGTACATTAATTTTGTATCCTAAAACTTTACTAAATTTGCTTATCAAATCTAAGTGTTTTGGTGGAATAGTTTTCTAGATATAAGATCATATCATCCATGAACAGACATAATTTGAATTTCTCTTTTCCAATTTGGATGCCTTTTATTTTTCTTCTCTTGTCTGATTGCTCTGGTGAGGACTTCCAGTACTATGCTGAATAAGAATGGTTAAAGTGGGCATCCTTGTCTTGTCCCAGTTGTTAGAGGAAAGGCTTTCAACTTTTCCACATTAAGTGTGATGTTGGCTGTAGGCTTGTTGTATATGGTCTTTATTATGTTGAGATATGTTCCTTCTATGCCTAGTTTGTGGAGGATTTTTATCATGGAGTGATGCTGAATGTTATTGAATGCTTATTCTGCATCTACTGAAATGATCACATGGTTTTATCCTTAATTTGGTTGAAGTTGTAGATGTTAAATATCATTGGCTGGGTGCAGTGGCTCACGCCTGTAATCCTAGTACTTTGGGAGGCCAAGGCGGGTGTTTCACAAGGTCAGGCTTTCAAGACCAGCCTGGCCAACATAGTGAAACCCTGTCTCCACTAAAAATACAAAAAATTAGCCAGGCATGGTGGCAGGCATCTGTAATCCCAGCTACTCAGGAGGCTGAGGCAGGAGAATTGCTTGAACCTGGGAGCCAGAGGTTACAGTGAGCTGAGATCATGCCACTGAACTCCAGTCCATGTGACAGTGCAAGGCTCCGTCTCAAAAAAAAAAAATCCTTGCATCCCTTGGATAAATCCCAGCTGATCATGATGTATTATCTTTTGGGGCTGATTTTGGATGTGATTTGCCAGTATTTTGTTGAGGATTTTTGCATGTATATTCATCAAGGATATTGGTCTGTAGTTTTCTTTTTTTGTTATGTCCTTGTCTGGTTTTGGTATCAAGGTGATACTGGCCTTGTAGAAAGAATTAAGGACAATTCCCTCCTCCTCAAAATCTTTTGGAATAGTTTCAGGAGGATTGGTATTAGTTCTTTATTGTGTGTTTGGAAGAATTTGGCTATGAATGCATTTGGTCCTGGGTGTCTTTTTGTTGGGGGATTATTATTGATTCAATCTTGCTACTCTTTATTGGTCTGGTCGAGAGTTCTGTTTTTCTCTTGTTCAATCTTAGGAACTTGTGTGTTTCCAGGACTTTATCCATTCCCTCTAAGTTTTCTAGTGTGTGACTCTGTAATTGTTCATAATAGTCTCTGACGATCTTTTGTACTTCTGTAGTATCAGTTGTAATGTCCTTTTTTCATTTCTGATTATGTTTATTTGGATCTTCTCTCTTCTTCTCTTGGGTAGTCTAACTAGTGGTTCATCAAAACACCTTACCCCTAAAGACACAAATAGTAAAGGGATGGAGAAGATATTCCATGCAAACAGAAACCAAAAGCAAGCAGGAATAGCCCATACTTACATTAGATAAAACAGATTTTAAATAAAAAACATTAAAAAAAAAGACAAGATCGTTATATAATGATAACAGGATCAATTCAGCAAGAGGATATAACAATCCTAACTACATATGCACCCAATATCAAAGCACCCAAGTTCACAAAACAAAAATTACTAGACCTAAAGAAATAGACAGCAATACAATAATAGTGAGAGACTTTAACATCCCATTCACAGCACTAGACAAGACATCATCAAGATAGAAAATTAACAAAGGAACATTGGACTTAAATTGAACTTTAAATGGACTTAACAGACATTTACAGAACATTTTACCCAAAAATTACAGAATATACACTCTTTTCATCAGCACATGAAACATTCTTCAATACACCACATATTAGTCCACAAAACTAGTGTTAACAAATTTTTTAAAATCAAAATCACGTCAAGGATCTTCTCAGACTATGTTGAGAAAAAGCTAGAAGTCAATACCAAGAGAAACCTTGGAAACTATATAAATACATGGAAATTGAACAGCATGCTCTTGAACAACCACTGGATCAATGAAGCAATTAAGACAGAAATTAAACATTTTTTGAAATGAATGAAAATGAAAGCATCTCATACCAGAACCTGTGGGATATCATAAAAGCAGTGCTAAAAGGAAAGTTTATAGCATTAAATATCTACTTCAAAAAGGTAGAAAGATCACAGATTAACACCCTAACATCACACCTCAAGGAACTAAAAAACTAAGAACAAATAAACCCAAAGTTAGCAGGAGAAAAAGAAATAACAAAGATCAGATATATGTTATAAATATAAATATATATATATGTTATAAATATATATAATATAACATATATAGATGATATATGTTATTTAGCTAAGAAGTGGCCTAGATGAAATAATACCTCTCAGTAAAAAATAGAAAGACCATGATCTATAGAATCAAATATATTTGGACTGGCATCTCAGCACCATCACTTACTAGCCAAGAAACATTGGGTTTCAGTCCTCTCATCTGAAATATAAAATAGTACTTAATTCTGGGGGGAGGTTATAAAGAGTTAAATTGTATATATGTGTGCACACATGTGTATGTGTTTGTGTATATCACACATTCACTCACTTATTAGCAATTGTTCTTATTCTTAATTCCTAATTTCTTTTATTTTGTACTTCTGCCACTATGTGTATATCCATGGTAGTCTTGCATAAACTCCTGTAGTCTGCTTAATCTTCTGTTGATAGACACTAAACTAAATCCCTGTGTTACACCAACTTCCTCTGACTATTTCTACTAGTGTCACTTTCTAAATTATCCTGGCCACCTGATTCTTGCTGTACTTACTTCTATACAGACCTATTATTGATACCGTATTAAAAAGATGCCCCCTTTTTGCAGGGTAGTTCTGAAATTCTCTTCTAGTTAATTCTGGGCAATGGTAAAGTCAAGTTAGTGAAGGTTAAATAACTGGTTTTTTGGTAGAAAGTCACCAGAAAGAACACTTCCTCCAGGAAGAAACAGACTTGTTATTTATTCCTGACTGCAACCATTGTCAAG
The DNA here is from genome assembly GCF_000001405.40 of Homo sapiens. Classification (NCBI taxonomy): domain Eukaryota; kingdom Metazoa; phylum Chordata; class Mammalia; order Primates; family Hominidae; genus Homo; species Homo sapiens. The sequence goes on along the minus strand of NC_000004.12, from coordinate 176,370,716 downwards.
ATAAAAGAGAATATAGGCCTATGGATGTTTCAGAACTGAAAGATAGCTGATAATCCTGCACTGTTCTCATTGTGTAGATTATAAATAGTCTTTCTACTCAAAGATGGTCTAAAAGGCCGGCATTGTCTGATTCACCATACTCTTTTTAAAATTTTTTATGTATTTTCCAGCTTCAGAAATCCTGGAAGTTTGTGCTGAGATTGAGTCTCCAGTTGCCTAGATCAGGGGTTCTGATTACAAAGGTCAGAGCCTCTGCAACCGTCTTAGACATGTATCACAAGTAACAAAATAAACATGTACTGTTATTAAGCCATTGAAATTTAGAGACTCTTCACATTTGCAGCACAACCCAGCTAATTCTGATGAAAAAAATTGGTTAGTTAAATGTAAAATATATAAAGCAACTCATAAATCCATTTAGCTGAATGCAGAGAACTACATTTTAATAGGCTGAAAGCAAACAAGTGAGGTTATTCCCCAGTCCCTCTGCATTTTCGATTCCTACATTCTCTGAGGATAGTGTATATGTTTTATGTGACCTCTGACTTGCTGACATCAATTGAACAAAGATCCCAGGGTCAGGATATTTACCCTCTCTGTTCACAACTGCTTCACCTGTAAAATGATGTTAATACTTCTTGCCTGCCTAAAAGTAGCCATAATGACTATCAGGGTCCCTTTCAACCATAAAATTTATAATTCTATAGACAAAATGGTAGGTAAATTTCCTCACTATTAATGCATGGCCATGATAGAGCTGTTTCTCTATGATAGAAGGCACATGAAGTGGGTTCCCAAGAAGACAAAGCCATCTAAGGAATTCATGGCTAAAGAAATAGGGTGCTGGGGTTAAATCCTGATTTGATTCTGCTAAACTGCTCGGAGGATACAAACCATTTAATTTCAACCTTTTCAGTTACTTCCTCCTAAGATCCTTGGTGGTCCTCTTCTTTCATCTTTGTCTCACCATCACCCAACTCTACAGGCCCCAAATCTGAGTGGTAACTTACTGCAGAGTTTCCCAAGTGTTTAGCTACAGACATGGGATGTAGGGAAGTGAAGTAGGAATGGTAGAAAGGAAACATTAGTTGAACAGCTATATATCAGACACTCTGATAGAAAATTTAAATATATTACTTTTCTTAATCTTCATAATAATATTATATAGTGGGTATTATCATTGTAAAAAAAATAAGAAAACTGAGACTATGATTAATTCATAAGTAATAAGTGCAAAATCCCAAGATATTTTCCAATATATAAGAGGAAAAGAACAATTTTTTTTTTAATTTAAACAAAAGGGTTTTTTTTTCCAAGATGGTGGATTTAGAGGCTTTTGATGTTCCTCAGCCACTTGGAAATAGCAAGATAGTACATAGATATCAACTCTGTGAGCTTCAATTCAAGAAAGAAAATGGCAATCCACTAAATTGTGAAGGACACCCCAGATCCTAGGGAGAAGACCATGGGGCAAACAGTCTCTGTGACAGTGTCCAGTGATAAAAGTAAGTGAAGTCCCAGTATGTGAGAAGGCCAGAGACCCTCCCTCTGTGACTCAACTTTTCACCAGGAATCTGAGCAATTCAGGCACTTTGTTTCTCCCAAGCCCTGGAGTTAACTTGGGGAGCGGCTTGGAGACACTGAGAGGGAAAGACACCAGGAAAAAGCTGCAGGCAATTTCCCAGACCCGGGACTGAGAGCAAGACACTATTTTTAATGTCAGCACATACAAAGTCATTCTTTGGCCACCTGGCACTGTGGCCATGCAGGCATTTCAGTCTCAGGCCACATTTTGGAGGTCATGCTCTGGAGCAGGGTAGGGGCCTCCACAGCCAGAATCGTAGAAAGCACCTCAGCAGTAGGCACTGGAATTGTGCTCTCCTCCATCGCAGGCCTGGGGTGGGAGGAGATCTGCTATAACAATGGTTTCTACGAGGGACAACACTTGCAGGCAGGGCCAGCTTGGTGACCTGGAAGTGGTCTGCATGTGCTATTGCTGAGTGCCCCAGAGCCTGCCTCCCCTGAGATCATGGTGTAGCGGGACCCTCTCCACTCCACCTGCAGGCATATCTCCAGGCATTTGGAGCACCCACTTGCCCAGATTGGCAGCCTGAGTTGCTCCATCCTTCCTGTGGAGAGATCTAAGTGCAGGGAGGCCCTCTCTGCTTCATGCCCAGGAAGATTTCCAGGTATCTGAAGCACCTGCTCACCTGGTTCAAAAGCCTGAGTTGCCCACCCTTTCTGTGCAGGGATCACAGTACATCTTGGTCATCTCTGCTCCATGCCCAGGCATAAGTCCACGCATTCAGGAGCACATGCTTGCCCAGACCAGCAGCCTGACTTGCCTCACCCTTCCCACACGGAGATAGCGCCTCTCCACTCCATGCCCTGGCAGATCTCCAGTTATTCAGAGCACCTGTTTGCCTGAATTAACATCCTGAGCATCTCCACCCTTCCTCTGCAGAGATTGTGGTGCTGGGGAGCCGTCTACACGGCACACCCAGACAGATCTCCTGACATCTGGAGCACTCACTCTCCTGGATTAGGAGTTTAGGCCAGCACCTTCAAAACCCTCTCCCTCCCCGACCCCATAGAGAACTTGGGGCTGAGGAGGTTTCCCAGTTCCATGCCTAGGCACGCAGCTGGTGCTTGGTGGCCACCCATTGAATTTTCCTTTGGTGCTGGTTCTTGTGCCTACCACTGGGAGACTTGCAGGCAGGCAGGCCTGCCCAGTCTGGCCCCACCCATTTGGCTCCCTGCTAGGACTAAGCAGGGAGCTCAGATCACTGTGCACTCCATGATCAGCCCATTGCCTGAGACAATAGGAGCTTCTCCCAGTAAACAAGGATCTAGTACATACCTGGCCACATTGGCCACTGCCAGCTCCCACCCATAAGTGTTAGCTACTGGCTTGTCAGTCAAACTGCACAGCGCAAAATAAAACCTCCCAACTGAAATGCGTAAAGCTGTGGAAGCAAAGCAAAAAGATTCCACCAAACATTTGCTACAGTCACACCCCCTAGAAATGGGGGAAAAGGGCAGAAGAAAAAACAATAATGTTATAGGGAAAGAAAGAAAGAAAAATTCTGTCTGCACTAAAATTACAAAAATTAGAAATGCCAGAATCTTCAGATGTTAAGGAACCTGTGTAAGAATTCTGATTACCATGAAAGATCCAAATGTATTGACATCACCAAAGGATAACACTAGGTCTCCAGCAATGGTCATTAAACAAAATGGAAATTTAGTAATGACAGATAAAGAATTCAAAGCATGGATTGCAAAGAACCTCAGTGAGATCCAAGAAAGGTTGAAAATCAATACAAAGAAACTTCTAAAGGAATCCAGGAAATGAAAGAAAAGATAAACATCTTAAAAAGAAATCAATCACAGCTTCTGGAGTTGAAAACCTCACTTAAGAAACTTCAAAATACAATTAAAAGCTTAATCAATAGACTAGACCAATCAGAAGAAAGAATATCAGAGCTTGAAGACTGGATTTTTGAACTAACACAGACAAAAATAAAGAGATTTTTTTTTAAAAAATGAACACACACTTCAAGAAATATGGTATTATGTAAAGCAAGCAAACCAATGAATTATTTACATTCCTGAGAGAGAAGGAGAAAAAGTAAACAAACTGGAAAATATATTTGAGAGAAGAATTTGAGAAAATTTCCCTAACCTTGCTAGAGATGTGAATATCAAGATAAAGAAAACCCAAAGAACACCTGTAAGATACTATACAAAAAGAACATCACCAAGATGTAAGGTCAGCAAACTGTCCAAAGTCAATGCTAAAGAAAAGGCAGCCAGAGAAAAAGGTCAGATCACATATGAAGGGAACCCTATCAGGCTAACTGCAGACTTAAAAGCTAGGAGAGATTGGGGCCATATTTTCAGGCTTCTTAAAGAAAAGAAATTCCAACCAAGAATTTAATATCCTGCCAAGCTAAGCTTCATAAGCAAAGGAGAAATAAAATATTTTCCAGACAAGAAAGCACTAAGGGAATTCATTACCACTATATCAGCCTTACGAGAGACTCTTAAGGGAGTTCTAAACATGGAAATGAAAGAATGATACCTATTACCACAAAAACACACTTAAGTACATAGCCCACACATCCTATAAAGTAATTATACAATTGAACTCCAAAGCAACCAGCTAACAACTTCACAATAGAATCAAAACCTCACATATCAATATTGACCTTGAATGTAAACAGTCTAAATCCTCAACTTAAAAGACAGAGAGCAGCAAGTTGAACAGAAAAACAAGACCCGTCCGTCTGCTGTCTTCAAGAGACCCACCTCACATGTGACAACACTCACAGGCTCAAAGTAAAGGGATGGAGAGAGATCTATCACAGAAACAGAAAACAAAAGAAAGCAGGGGTCACTATACTTACATCAGATAAAACAGACTTTAAAGCAACAACAGTAAAAAAGGAGAAAGAAAGGCCTTTACCATTACATAATGATAAAGTGTTCAACATGAAGATTTAACTTCCTAAACCCATATATGGAACCAACATTGGAGCACCCAGAAACAAATACTTCTAGAGCTGTGAGAAGACATAGACAGCCGTGCAATAATCATGGGTGACTTCAATATCCCATTGAAAACATTAGACAGATTATCGAAGCAGAAAACTAACAAAGAAATTCTGGACTTGTATTCAATGCTTGATCAATTGAACCTAGTAAACATCTACAGAATTCTCTATTCATCAGTCTCTGAATATATATTCTTCTAATCTGCACATGGAATATAACTCTAAGATCAACCACATGCCCAGCCATAAAGTAAGTCTCAATAAATTTTTTAAAAAAATCAAAATCATGCCAAACATATTATTGGACTGCAGTGGAATGAAAACAGAAATCAATACCAAGAGGATCTCTCTAAACCACACAGTTACATGAAAAATTAAATGACTTGCTCCTGAATAACTTTTGTGCAAACAATAAAATTAAGGCAGAAATCAAAAAGTTCTCTAAATAAATGAAATCAGAGACACAGCATGCCAAAATCTCTGGGATACAGCAAAAACAGTGTTAAGAGGAAAGTTTATAGTGCTATATGCCTACATAAAAAAATTAGAAAGATCTTATATTCATGATCTAACCTCACATCTAGAGGAGCTGGAAAAACAAGAACATACTAATCCCAAAGCCAGCAGAAGAAAATAAATAACTAAAATCAAAGCAGAACTGAATGAAATGGAGACTCAAAAATCCATACAAAGAATCAACAAGCCCAAAATTTAGTTCTCTGAAAGGGTAAACAAAATTGATAGAACACTAGCTAGAGTAACAAAGGAAAAAAGAGAGACGATCCAAATAAGCACAATCAAAAATGACAAAGGTCACAATACAACTGATCCTGCAGAAATACAAAAGATCCTCAGAGACTATTATGAACAGCTGTATACAAAAACTAGAAAATTTAGAGGAAATGGATAAATTCCCAGAAACATACATCCTCCCAAGATTGAATCACGAAGAAACTGAAAACCTGAATAGACCAATATTAAGTTCTGAAACTGAATCAGTAATAAAAAAACCTACCAATCCAAAAAAAGCCACAGACCAGATGGATTCATGGCTGAATTCTACTAGATGTACAAGGAGGAGGTGGCACCAATTCTACTAGAACTATTCTGAAAAATCAAGGAGGAGGACTCCACTTCATTCTATAAGGCCAGCATCACCTTGATACCAAAACCTGGCAAAGACGCACCAGAAACAACTGAACAAAAACTATAGGCCAATATCCCTGATGAACATAGATGCAAATATCCTCAGCAAAATACTGTTTACCATGATCACGTAGGCTTTATTCCTGGGATGCAAGGTTGGTTCAACATATGCAAATCAGAAAATATGATTCACCACATAAACAGAATTAAAAACAAAAAGCATATGATCATCTCAATAGATGTAGAAAAAGCTTCTGATAAAATCCAACAATGTTTCCTGGCAAAATCTCTCAAGAAACTAGGAATTGAATAAACATACCACAAAATAATGGGAGCCATCTATGACAAACTCACAGCCAACATCATACTGAACAGGGAAAAGCTGCACACATTCCACTTAAGAATCAGGACAAAACAAGGATGCCCACTCTTGCCACTCCCATTCAACATAGTCCTCGCTACAGTAATCCCACAAGGGAAAAAATTAAAAGGCATCAAAAGAGGAAAAGAAGAAATCAAATTATCTCTCTTAACTGCCAATATGATTCTATATCTGAAAAATCCTAAAAACTCTGCCAGAAGGCTCCTAGAACTGATAAATGACTTTAGAAAAGTTTCAGGATACAAAATCTAAGTACAAAAATCAGTAGCATTTCTATACACCTATAATGTTCAAGCTGAGAGCCAAATCAAGAATGTGATGTCAATTACAATGTGCACAAAAAATAAAATAAAATATCTAGGAATACACCTAACCAAAGAGGTAAAAGATCCCTACAAGGAGAACTACAACACACTGCTGAAAGAAATTATAGATGGCACAAACAAATGGAAAAACATTCCATGCGCATGGATTGGAAGAATCAGTATCATTAAAATGGCCATACTGCCCAAAGCAATCTAAAGATTCAACACCATTCCATTCAAACTACCAATGTCATTTTTCACAGAATTAAACAAATCTATTCCAAGATTCATATGGAATAAAAAACAGAGCCATAAAGGCAAAGGAATCATAAGCAATAAGAACAAAGTAGGAGGTATCATATTATCGATTATTCAACTGTACTTCAAGGCTGCAGTAAGCAAAACAGCACGATACTAGTTCAAAAGCAGACACATAGATCAATGGAACAGAGGAGAGAATGCAGAAATAAAGCTATACACCTGCAGTCATCTGATGTTTGACAAAGTTGACAAAAAATAAGCAATGGGGAAATAATTCACTAGCCACATGCAGAAGAATGAAACTGGAGCCCTGCCTTTCACCATATATACAGATTATATCAAGACAGATTACAGATTTAAATGTAAGACCTTAAATAAGAATCCTGAAAGAAAATCTAGTAAATTGTGGACATCTGCCTTGGAGAAGAATTCATGACTAAATCCTCAAAAGCAATTGCACCAAACAAAAATTGGGAAGTGGGACCTAATTAAAGAGCTTCTGCACAGCAACAGAAACTACCAACAGAGTAAACAGACAACCTGCAGAAGGGCAGAAGATACTTGAAAACTATGCCTCTGCCAAAGGTCTGATATCCAACATCTATAAGGATCTTAAAGAATTCAACAAGCAAAAAACAAATTACCCCATTAAAAAGTGGGCAAAAGACATGACAGACACTTCTCAAGAGAAGACATTTAAGCAGCCAATAAACAAATGAAAAAATGCTCAATCTCACTAAGCATCAGAGAAATGCAAATCAAAACCACAAGAAGATATCAACCCACTCCGGTCAGAATGGCTACTGTTAAAAAGTCAAAAAAGAACAGATTGCTGGTGAGACTGCAGAGAAAAGGAAATGCTTATATAGTATTGGTAGGAATGTAAATTAGTTCAGCCCCTGTGGAAAGCAGCTTAGAGATTTCTCAAATAACTACCATTTAACCCAGCAGTCTCATTACTGAGTATATACTCAAAGTAAAAGAAATCCCTCTACTAAATGAGTACTTGTATGTTCGTCACAGCACTATTCACAAGAGTAAAGACATGGAATCAAGCTAGATGCCCATCAACAGTGGACTGGATGAAGAAAATGTAGTGCATATACCCTGAGGCACTACATGGCCATAAAAAAGAACGAAATCATGTCCATTGCAACAACATGGACTGACCTGGAGCTCATTATTCTAAGCGAATTACCGCAGAAACAGAAAACAAAATACCACATGTTCTCACTTGTAAGTGAGAGCTAAGCACTGGGTACACATAAATATAAACATGACAACAGACACTGGGGACTACTAGAGAGGGGAGAAGGAGAAGGGAGATAGGGCTAAGAAACTACTTGTTGGGTACTAAGCCCAAACCTCAGTATTACACAATAGGCTCATTTAACAAGTCTTCACATGTCTCCCCTGAATCTAAAATTACTTGAAATTATTTTTAAGGCCGGACGCAGTGGCTCACGCCTGTAATCCCAGCACTTAGGGAGGCCGAAGCGGGCGGGTCACAAGGTCAGGAGATCCAGACCATCCTGGCTAACACGGTGAAACCTCATCTCTACTAAAAAAATACAAAAAATTAGCTGGGCATGGTGGCGGGTGCCTGTAGTCCCAGCTACTTGGGAAGCTGAGGCAGGAGAATGGCGTGAAGCCGGGAGGCAGAGCTTGCAGTCAGCTGAGATCGTGCCACTGCACTCCAGCCTGGGCGACAGAGCGGGACTCCGTCTCAAAAAAAAAAAAAAATTTTTTTTAAAAAAGAAAAAGATTTTAAGATCATGGGACAATATTAGTAAATGACATGATAAAGCAATTTACCAAGAAGAAACGCAAAGAGAAAAGAAACATTAAATCATGTCAATCTCATAAGAATCAAACATATAAAATTTAAAATTAGGTAAATGTTTTTTCACCAACAAATTGGAAATTTGTAAGAAAATAATAAAATCTAGTTTTGGTGAGCTTTCAAAGACATGGAAACCCCCATAAATTGTCAGGTGACTTAAAAAATGCCCTAACCCCTTCAGAAGTCAGTCTGGCAATACATAATACAAAAAATTCATAAAATATTCAGCTGGGTGCGGTGGCTCATACTTGTAATCCTAGCACTTTGGGAGGCTGAGGCAGGCAGATCACCTGAGGTATGGAGCTCAAGACCAGCCTGGCCAATATGGCGAAACCCTATCTCTACTAAAAAATACAAAAATTAGCCGAGTGTGGTGGCAAGTGCCTGTAATCCCAGCTACTCGGAAGACAGAGGCAGGGAGAATTGCTTGAACCCAGAAGGCGGAGGTTGCAGTGACCCGAGATCACACCACTGCACTCCAACCTGGGAGACAGAGCAAGACTCCATCTCAAAAAAAAAAAAAAAAAAAAAAAAAAAAAAATTCTACTAACCCATCAATTTCTGTGTAGGGATTTTCCTAGGGAAATCATCAAAAATATATGCTAACATATGCAAATACTTATAGCTAAGATACTTGTTGAAATGTTTTTAATATTAGACTTCAAAAATCTCAGATGACAAACAATAGACTGATTTAGTTCATATTGGTAATTATAAATTGATGTTGTAGAAGAATATTTAACAACAGTAAAATTTTCATTATGTAGAATAAAATACAGGCTAGAAAATATTAAATTTTTAATATATCTAGAATACATATCTACATACAATTTTAAATTTATATTTTATAGAAGCATAAACTATAACATAATAGGCAGTATAAATATGCATGTGTGTTTGTATATGTGTGTATCCAAATGATAAATTCTCCATTCTCTGACAATCAATTTTGGGGGAGTGGGATTAGGCCATAACATGCCTCCTCAGGATCAAGCTGTTCACTATTGCTCTTCCAGGTTGCACAGTGGGTACCACTTCCAGGTATTTCTGGTTATAACCTGGAGATCATGAACTGTAGTTACTTTTAAAACAAGGTTCATACACATAGCAACCTTGTTTTAGAAGTAACCACAGTTCATGTGCTTCAGGTGAACTCATTTATCTTTAGAGGCCAATCTCTCATCTCTTGACAACACTGGATTAGAGTATCTGTCAGTAACTGTGTACAGTCCCATATATAATATTGTCCAGTGTTTGGTGTTTTTCATTTCAAACAATGTAATCTGCTGTACTTTAGGAGAAAGGGATTATAAAGGGCTATCTAAATAGTACACAGAACTGGTGGATGAGTTAAAAAAAGTCTTTAGGCTAAGTTTGCAGAAACAATTTCCCAAATGACACCATCAAACTGGACAAAGAATGAAGTTTTTGTCTCTGCCATGGTCAGAGTGCCAGTGCTATAGCAGTTAATTCAGAAATACATCTTAATTTGCTGACATAATTTGTGTCAGGAAAATGGGTGCCCCACATTTTGCCTCTGTCCTCTGGTGACTCATGTTCTGAATCAATCTCAAATGAGTACATTTGCTTTGTAGAACCTAAATCACTAGCTGCAGTGAACACTAGCTACAAGTGAGTCTGAAAAACATAATTTTATTTCTGTAGTCTCTGCACACTGAAGAGTTGTAGGAATGGGTATTGCCATAGTCAATCCACAGTTTTCCTTGGCAGTCCACCCCTTTGACAACACAATGTCCATATGTGTCATTCTTTCAACATGTGTATTAAAAAAAAACCCAACGCATTTTCTCCTAACATAATGAGATTATCTTTCATTCAAATAAAAATGTTTGCTCTGTCCCTGAAAAAAAAAGACCCAAGTCTCGTCAGTAATTGCATTCATTTATTCATCTTCCAATTTGGTTATACTCCTACTTTGATATTCGGTATATTTCAAACTCAGAGTAAAGTTAGCCAAAGGCAACACAAATAGAAAAGGGAAATTACGTAAACATATGCCTGATCATGCAAAGAAGAAAATATTGACAGCTACTATAATACTTATTTCTGTAACTAATCAGGAAGGCTTAGTTGAAATGTACAATGTCCTTCCTCCACTCCCAATTTGCACCTCAACTGGTTGGGGTTCTTTACCTGGTGGGGTGGCCCAAGGCTTCATTCCTTTGTGCCTTGGCTGCTCCTGCCTGTATGGGATTTCTATATTATTTTGTTAATTTTTATCATTAGTACTTGGAGGCACCTCAGTCTCCTGACTTCCAGATGTTTCTCTGTTGCTCCACAATGTATCTGCAACCACATTTTTCTTTGATAATTAAGGCAAATGTACTAGTCAAAGGAGTCTGCAGAAAGGCATGGGGGGAGGGTGGGGAGATTTGGAACTCCCATGTTAAGCCACAGCCTCTGGAAACATTTAATGTTTCCAGGTCAGAACAACAAACTGGGCCGAGGCAGAGCAAATGCAAATTCTTGTTAGAAAAGTCACCAGTTTCAGCACTCAGCCTTTTTACAATAAGTCATACCAGATGTAGGCTCCCAATGTTTTTTAAATCACCAATACACAAGAAATAAACTATTGTAAAGGATAGTCGGTAGGTAAAATAAAAGGTCTTTAGATACAAGAATGATAAGAATTTTCAGATACAAAATTTTTCTAGGGCAATGTATAAAATGTTCAAAAATAAAAGTTGGAACTAAATTAATAGGCAAGGACCAAGAAAGTCAAAAAAGTTCATGAAAATTTTAAGAGAGTCAAGTAGAATTTTAAGAACTAATAGAATAATAATTATACGGGAGGATTAAGCAAAAACTAAGAGCACTACCACCGGACATTATTCATTGAAGAAGTATTTAATATGTGGACTTCAAAAAAGACATGGAAAGCAAGAAGTAATGGTGAGTTAAGAAAATGGTAAATATTTAAGTAAATCTCAACAAAGACGTTTGCTTGTAGTGATTATGACGATGTGAAAGGAAAATAAATCTTGGGGCCTTAAAATCACCAAGCTAAAGGGAAAAGTCAAGCTGGGAACTGCTTAGGGCAAACCTGCTTCCTATTCTGTTTAAAGTCACCCCTCTGCTCACTGAGATAAATGCATACCCGATTGCCTCCTTTGGAGAGGCTAATCAGAAACTCAACAGAATGCAGCCATTTGTCTCTTATCTACCTATGACCTGGAAGCCCCCTCCCCAATTCAAGTTGTCCCAACTTTGCTTTGAGTTGTCCCACCTTTCCCAATCAAACCAATGTTTGTCTTATGTATATTGATTGATGTCTGTCTCCCTAAAATGTATAAAACCAAGCTGTGCTCGGATCACCTTGGGCACACGTTGTCAGGACTCCTGAGGCTGTGTCCTTAACTTTGGGTGTGCGTCCTTAACTTTGGCAAAATAAACTTCCTAAATTGACTGAGATCTGTCTCAGATATTCAGGGTTCATATTTTGGTAACCATGAAGGGATTCTGAGTGGAGATACCCCTGACCTTTGACAAATCTCCTATCAGTGCTTGGTACCAGCTCGAGTTATCTTTATGGCTCAAACCAATAGGACAATTTGCTGAGGCCTGGAAGCCTCTCCCTCCAGAGGATCCCTGGTCTCCCCAAATTTGGTTGAGATATGAAGTTTATTTTGCTGTACAACTGTTTTTTTTTTTTTTTGAGTTTTACTGACTTCCAACAAGGAGGGAGGGCAAGTTGTCCTGCTTCCATGGTGATGGAAGGCAGGTAACTCCTTTCTGGAGTTTGAAATCACTCCCAACAGGGAAGGCAAGTTTGAATTTTTTTCCTGCTTCTAGGAAGGTAGAGAGCAATCTTCAGCCTGAGACCCACCCCAAGGTAAGTAACTGAATTGGGGTTTGTCTTGGCTAAAGTTAAGATTAACAACCAGCTGGTCTTAATTTTTCCTTACCATTAGAGCGCTCAGTAATGGTATAAGTTGTGCAATCATTTGTTTGTTTCGCTTAACTGCTTTTTCGTTGTTTGTTTTGTTCCTGTTTTTGTTGTTGTTTCAGTCTTTTTCCTATTGGGTTTGACCAGCTCTATCCAATTTGATCAAATCTAAAGGAAAGTTCCAAATTATGGGAAACAAGGCCTCTGAAGTGGCTAAATTGCTACAAAAACAAAAACAAACAACATCAACAAAAAGGTGTGGTGGGGGAGAAAAACAACCACTAAAAAGAAAAAAAAGTAAAGTTTTTTTTTTTTATTTTGACTACTTAAGGAGCTTTATTTACATAACAAAGCCACCTTTTTGCTCTTTCAGGTCAAACTGAAAGAGCAATGGTTGTGGCCCTATGCTGCAGTTCCATAGCTAAGTTTCTGCCTTCTTTTTTTTCACTATGACAGCCTGGGTTTCGTTTCTAAATCAAGCCCTTTCTGGTTTGATGCTTGATGTCAGAGGTGTTTGAATCAGAGCAACTCCATCCTGAATAGGGGCTGCGTGAAATGAGGCTGAGAACTACTGGGCTGCATTCCTAGATGTTCTAAATCACTGGATGAGATAGGAGGTCAACACAAGATACAGGTCATAAAGACCTTGCTAATAAAACAGCTTCCAGTAAAAAGCCGGCCAAAACCCAACAAAATCAAAATGCCAATGAGAATGACCTCTGGTTGTCCTCACTGCTACACTCATGACAGTTTACACAAGCCACGGCAACATCAGGAAGTTGCTCCATATGGTTTAAGAAGGGGCACCATGAATCAGATCTACCCCTTGTTTCACATGTAATCAAGAAATAACTATCAGCAGCCATCAGGAGGGCTGCTCTGCCTATGGAGTAGCCAGCCATTCTTTTGTTTCTTAACTTCTCTAATAAACTTGCCTTCACTTTACTGTATGGATTCTCCTTGAATTCTTTCTTGTGTGAAATCCAAAAACCCTCTATTGGGGTCTGGATCAGGACTCCTTTCCATTAATATTGGTACTTCTAAAATAGCAGCAATTTGACCTCGCTGAAATATGGTAATAAGATTTTAAAAGATTTTTTTAAAGGAGTTCAACGGTTAAAAGTCACCTTAATTAAAAGCTAACATCCAAGCTGTGTTTGTGTATGTCTGTGTGTGCGTGTATTTGAATTTAAAAGGCCTGTTTTGTTTTGTTTTTCTCTCTCCTAGGACCTTGTCTTTTTTGAGCAAAAGTTTTTTTCTTCTCAGTTGACTGAATTCTGTTTTCTTCATTTACATCTGCTGTCTCTCCTTTCTCTTGAACCCTGTGCTGCAAGAGGGACCTAAAATAGTTTATAATAGCCTGGGGTTCCTTAAAGAAAATGGAGAAGGTGCCAGACTTCCTTGTGGGAAAAAGCTGCTGTTTTTCCTTATGGAACTCCAAGAGTGTAAACAGGCAAATTCGTCTCAGCTCTTAAACTGCTTGCTTTTGTACTACGTTACCTGATTTTTTGACTAAAATAGTTGCAACAGAGGCTACTCTTGGGTTTTTAAGGAAGAATGTCTTTGTTTAAAAAATGAAATGTCTTTGTTTAAAAAAAAATTTTTTTTAGTGCACTGTACAAGCATCGCATGTTCTAGCCTCATAATAATTCTCCCTTTTTGGAGACCCAGGATTCTGTATGGGCTCTGCCCAGAGCTCAGCGATCTAGTTAAGTGACAAGTAGTCCCTATCTAAATTAAATTAGTCTCCTTATACAATACTATGATAGATTTCTGTATATTTTTACGTTTGATTTGGCATCCATCTTTAATTTCCCTCTAGCACCAACAGACATTTTCTCTCTGTACCTTGGGTTGTAAACTTTGCTATTTGATTTTTCACCTAAGAGTTGTTTCCTTCAATACGCAGATTTAGGGCTATTTACCTGACAACTGCCAGCATAATGAAACAGGTTTTCAAGAATTTGCATGTCTTAAATAGGGGGAAAAAGGGAGGTCTTATGAATCTATAAGGTGTACTTTTATTGATATGCCTAATGCATCTATGTATTTATGTGTTGTGTACACAATGTTTCACTATTAAAAATATATGAAAGAGCTCTAAGTAATTGGCTTAAGGAAAAATAAAAGTGCTTAAATCAAATACTTCATTAGAAAAAAGGAAAGACTAGTCAAATGCTTTTTCAAATTCAAGTTTTTCAAGACCTAAGTAAAATCATTAATAAATAAGCTAACTTTAAAATTTTTGATAAAGTAATATTAGAAATGTCTTAAGAGTTTCCAGCATACATTTTTGTTTGTATTTATTAATCAAGCATTTTCATACTTACCCCTGCCAAATACTATCAGTTCTCAAAATTTGGCATAGGGGTTACAAAACTGTAAAGCCCAGTGCAAAACAGAATGATCTTTGTTTATGTAGCTTTTGATAAATAAGACGTTAATATTGGTTTAATGACAATAGCTAAATCTTGAATTATTTAGTAAAATAACCATAACTTCTAATCTTCTGGCTTTAGGCAGTTTAGTCCCCAGGCAGGAAGGGGGTTTGTTTTGGGAGAGGACTGTTATTGTCTTTGTTTCAAAGCTAAATTATAACCTAAATTCCTCCAAAAGTTAGTTCGGCCCATGCCCAGGAATGAACAAGGACAGCTTGGAGATTAGAAGCAAGATGGAGTCAGTTAGGTCAGATGTTTTTCACTGTCTCAATTATAATTTTGCAACGGCAGTTTCATAACTTTAAGTGATGACTATTGCAGTTTTCATAATCTAGGTAAACAATTAAAATGAAATAATTAGGTAAATGTATGGGGTAAATACTTGTAGACAAACTTTTCATAATTTAGAATCTAAAGTTATATTAAATAATAGCTATTTCATTACTTGGGTATTTTCCAATTAAAATATATTGTAGGAAAACATTCTTTCTAAAAATACAATACGTGTCCTTTTTAAAAAGGTGAATACTTTTGTCTAATTCAAAGCTTATTTCAAGATTATGTATAAAACAAGGTAAAAGATACCAGGAAATAAATAGAGATGTAAAGAAAGTTATAGAAATAAAGAGGTATTTTTTGGTAAGAAGGTTAAAGAGAAATAATTTTATATGAGAAGGAATCTTGTATGGTAAACTTTGTCCTAAAATAAAACGTCTGGTTGTTTAAAAAAGAGGGATGCTCATGACAAACAAGAATGTCCAAGCATGTTATGAATGGTCTGTGTAAGACACAATAAGAGGATTTATTTAAAAGGACAACTTTTTTATGATCATTTTGTCTATAATTTTAATTATCAATTATCTAGAGATTGTGTTTAATTATTTAAAAAAACTACTTATACCCTAAATAATTGGTTCAAAGTATGCCATGTTCTTAAGTTGTTGCTTTACTCTTTTTTGTTTTTTTTTTTTTTGACACACAGTCTCACTCTATCACCAAAGCTGGAGTGCAGTGGCATGATCTCATTTCACTGTAAACTCCGCCTCCTTGATTCAAGTGATTCTGCTGCCTCAGGCTCCTGAGTAGCTGGGATTACAAGTGTGCGCCACCATGCCCAGCTAATTTTTGTATTTTTAGGAGAAATGGGGTTTCACCATGTTGGCCAAGCTTGTCTTGAACTGCTAACCTCAAGTGATCCACCCACCTTGACCTCCCGAAGTGCTGGGATTACAGACGTGAGCCACCATGCCCAGCTCTAATTGCTTTACTCATAATAAATTAAAAGACATTATAATTTTTTATGCAAAGTTCAACTTTTATTGCATTTTGCTGTTTTTGGCTTTCTCTCCCTTTTTAAAAGGCTTGAAATAATAACTCTATGTTCAACTCATTTTTAGCTCCTGCAAGTTATTTTTTTTCCAGTTCTAACTATTGTGGCCTGATGCAAAAACAAAACAAAACAAAAAACAATTTCATCTTAAAGGTCTAAAGGAAATGTTTCCTTCCAACAGAATATTCCCCATAGGGAACAGCAGTCACATTGCAGAAGATCTTTTCTCTTGCCTTGGGTAACTGGCCTAATAAACAGATCTTGTGCATCATTGAAATAATTCCTATATCATTATTACTATGTCTGGTTTACTTAGAAAAAAACTGAGATTAAAAACAATTTTTTAAAACTACAGTTACTACACCCTTATAACTTTCTGTTATGTGCTTTTAAAGTCCTTGTGCCAATAAGTTACAGGGCTTTGACTCCTGGGTCTAAAAGGACACCAAGTTCTGCTGAATCTTATCACTGACAGCAATTAAAGCCTCTCTTCAGACACCATAGAAGATACCAATCAAAATAAACTGTGTTTGTGAGACACAGGGCCAGAAATTAAAGCTATTCAACTCCTCAAGGCCCAGGAATTATTGTGGAAGTGGCCAGCACATGAGATTCTAAGGGCCAATTTTGAGAGATAAAGTAAGTTCAGTTTCTCTATAAAGTAACCATTAATGTCAAAGGCACATTGATGCAAGCACAGCATATGGGCCCCAGTATCAGATTTACAAGGTTTTCCTGAAGCATTAGCCAACTCCTTAATAAAGGTTATAAAAGACTTACGGAAATTATATCTTACGTCAAGATGATTAAAATTTTATAGATTGTGTATAAATTTTTGAAAACAAATTTAACTGGCTTCACGATGTTTTATTGCACTTATTTTTTGAAAAAGTAAGTCTCCTCTCTCAAAGAATGAAGATTTTCATCTTTTTTTTGAAATCCTTATTACTTTGGTTAAATGAATGACTTATTTTACAACGACCTGTGATCCTATTTTGTAATATCAAGTGTTTTAAACTTTTGATATTTGACAAACTTTCCAAAATCAAATTATAAATTATGTCTTTTTCTGACCTAATTAATCTTTCATGGTATTAGGTTCACTAAAGTCAAAAAATGACATATTTGGCTTATTTGGCATAAAAATCATACAGGAAACATTGTCAAATATGAAATGTTAT
Source organism: Homo sapiens (assembly GCF_000001405.40). NCBI lineage: Eukaryota > Metazoa > Chordata > Mammalia > Primates > Hominidae > Homo > Homo sapiens. Next base: position 176,353,367 of record NC_000004.12, on the reverse strand, counting down.
TTGGCTTTCTTTGGGCTATAGTTCTATAAATATGCTACTGGTAGGAGTTCCAACATTATGGGAAACTGCTATAATTCTGATATGACTTAGTGCACATTATCAGTCATAACTATAATTGTTATGTTAAATTATCGTGTGCCACAGAGGTAAAAAATTTCCTTGTCAAGTGTGTCTTTGACTATGGCTGCCTTAAAACTTTTTGTCATTGACAAACAATTGTCTTGTTTTGGTCCTTTTTAGAAGGTGGCTTTATAATCAGCTATAAAACTCTAACAGGTGTTCTTCAACACAGGTTTATGATAACTTTGGAGATTGTGACATTAAAATAGAGGAAAACTTTCAGGACTCTTATGGTGAGATGGAATGTCCATGAATATCATGCAGAAGAGGAGCTAACTGTATGGACTGAACTAATAGAAGACTGAATTAATCTTTTGACGTTTTGCTTAAAACATTGCTGATCCTTTGTTTTGTTTTTCAGAAACAAGAAAACTTTTCCTTTGAGCTATTTACAGTTTGTAGCAATTGAGTAAAGTATACTCCTGTGAACAAAATTTGGAGCATATCTGTTTCTACCTGAATTCTCCAGAATTTGTAAACTTTTGTGAGTATTCTTAATTTACAGCAATACAGTTATTTGCATAAGTGCAAATAATACTTTCTTTTGCAACAGGACATCATTGGATAAACTGGTTATTTTACCAAGGCTTTGACTGGAATGGTGTGCTTTCCTTTAAGGAATCAAGCTTGACTTATAGAACCAATAAAAGCCTCTTGGGAAAACTGGCCTCATACCTTGCCTACACAGTTTCTGTACAGGGTTCCTGACCTGTTGTAAGTAAAGAATGTCACTTTCTGACAGGCTCAGGAGTCCCAAGTTTTCTTGGGACCTCAAGAGGAGAGGAATTTACCCAACTCATAGATATTTGATGGTGCAAATCCATGGCTGGGCTTTTAAAAAGTCTTATCTGAGATTCTTTCTATGAAACAAAGCTCCATTTAATTAATAAATTGATGATTAATGATTAATTATAATTAATAATAAATTATTAATTAACAAAGCAAAATTAAAAAGCCTTTGTGAAAAATAATTATTCCTGCTGCATGTTGTACAAATAATCTGGCCAAGTATAATAAAACAAATCACTCCTACCATGATTTGTCTTTGGTAAAAATGGCAAACTGGAGAGAGAAAAATTCAAAAACTATAGTACACCCATTGTTAGATTCTAGTCTTGCCTAATGTTTTTCCATTTTTATTATTTTCTACAGTTTGGACTGAATTATATTTTTTCCTGGCTATAATGAATAATGTCTCCAAAATAATGTTTTCAATGTGTTTCTTCTTTCTTTTCCTTTTTACCCCTATTTTTCCCAATTCGAAATTGTTGAAAACTAAGCTGTGTTTTCTTAAAGCCCTGTGAACTAAAGCCAGGCAACTTAAACTTCAGAAGAAAATAACAGAAACCTATTTAAATACATAAGCCACTTTCATACCTGCCTACTAATGTATGGACTTCCGAGTAATGTGGCCTATATCAATCTTCCAGGATTGCTCTTTTGTTTGTTGTTTTGTCCCTTCTTCCCCCTATTTTCTCTTCATAGGACATGAGACTTCATAACCTGTTAAAATGAGCTTTCCTAATAACTCAGGACCTTCCTGTCTAGGAATAAACCATCCTAGCCATGACAGATCAGACAAAACCTGAGACCAGAGATTCATTTTCTTTTAAAATACTTCCTCCAAAAAGATTTTTAAAAGAAAAGCAGGGGAAATGTGAAAGAAAAATAAGTCTTCAGGCCCTATAATCACTAAGCTAAAGGGAAAAGTCAAGCTGGGAACTGCTTAGGGCAAACCTGCCTCCTATTCTATTCAAAGTCATCCTTCTGCTCACTGAGATAAATGCATATCTGACTGCCTCCTTTGGAAAAACTAATCAGAAATTCAAAAGAATGCAAACATTTGTCTCTTATCTACCTATGACCTGGAAGGCCCCTCCCCACTTCAAGTTGTCCCACCTTTCTTTGAGGTGTCCCACCTTTTCAGACCAAATCAATGTTCATTTTACATATATTGATTGATGTCTCATGTCTCCCTAAAATGTACAAAACCAAGCTGTGTTTGGATCACCTTGGGCACATGGTATCAAAACCTCCTGAGGTTTTCTCACCGGTGTGCATCCTTAACTTTGGCAAAATAAACTTCCTAAATTGGCTGAGACATGTCTCAGATATTCAGGGTTCACAATGAGAATGATGTCCAACTTTTGTTAAGTCTAAGAAAGAAGTAAAATAATGGACAACAGCAGCATTAGGTCATGAGCAGGTGAATGTGGCTAAGATGTTCTGAGGTCCATTTATTGCCCAGAAGTTTTCTAGGTGCTGGTGATGGCAGCAGTGGCCCATCTGGAGCAGCCGCTGTGAAAACACCAGCTGCAGTGGGGGAGGCGTGGCCAGGGCTGTATGCTCCACAGATCCAGCAGGAGCCAGGAACAGGCAGAAGCCTCACCCACTTCTGATTTTGAGGAGTAGGAGCCCCGCCCTCCAGGGTGCAGCTGCAGCTGCTCAGCCAGGGCTGCGGACCCAGGCATCCCTGTGTGCCGAGACCAGCTCAGTCATGGAGACCCTAACCCAGTGGTGCTAGAGGAATTATAAAGACACACATACAGAAATATAGCATGTGGAGTGGGAAATCAGGGGTCTCACAGCCTTCAAAGCTGAGAGCCTCGGACAGAGATTTACCCACATATTTATTGACAGCAAGCCAGTGATAAACATTGTTTCTATAGATTCTAGATTAACTAAAAGTATTCCTTATGGGAAAGAAAGGGATGGGCTGAAATAAAGGGATGGGTCTGGCTAGTTATCTGCAGCAGGAACATGTCCTTAAGGCACAGATCGCTCATGCTATTGCTTGTGGTTTAAGAATGCCTTTAAGCAGTTTTCTGCCCTGGGTGGGCCAGGTGTTCCTTGCCCTCATTCCAGTAAACCCACAACCTTCAGCATGGGCATCATGGCCATCATGAACAGGTCACAGTGCTGCAGAGATTTTGTTTATGGCCAGTTCTGGGGCCAGTTTATGGCCAGATTTTGGGGGCCTGTTCCCAACATGTCCCCCTTCGTTTTGCAAAGCGATAAAAGCAAAGGCAGCTTTGTCCCAGTGAGCTACTTCTCACAGGAATTGGGATCCTCATCTGCAGACTATACAAAGACAAAAAACACAGATTAAAAGCACAATTATCATTGAAATCACAGAGCTTCCAAGTGTTTTTATCCATTTTAATGAGTTACTAGCTGCTAATCTGTCTGCAGCTCCTTCAAGCACTCCAGTTCCTGGCATTTAGGTCAGGTGTGCCTGGGATGCTTTAAATATTTGTTCTTTTAATTTTGCAATATTCAAAGACAAGTTTGTAGAATGTCCTTCTAGATGCTTTTTTATTCTTTCATAAATTTTGATCTTATTGAGAGCTATTAATAGTTTCCACAAATCCTTATGTTTAGCTCCTAGAGCGGGCCATATCAGATTGAGATTGAGGTGCCACTATACCGCCATATTTCCACATAATAGGAACTCTTGCCATATTTCTTACTATTTCTACCATCTGACCATTTTGTTCAGACCAGCTAAACACAGTGTGGCCGTGGCATGCAGACTGAGAGGTGCAATTCAAGCTAAATGTCCCCTTAGGGGACCAGTTAATAATGATTCCATAGGAATTGTTGCATAGCACCTCTGTATGTTCTGCAATGCAATCTTCCCAAACAAGTATGTTCATTACTTCTGGCCAGGTCCAATCCTGTTTACAAATAGGTTTTTGAGGGTTGTATGCCTCAATTATAGGAGCAGATTTATTATAGTAAATACTAAGATCAGAAACATGTGTAACTGTGTCATAGAGTGATTACATCCAGGCATTATTGCCAGCCAAGATTGATAAATATGCCCAATATGTATAATTGTTCTCTGTGTCAGCCCTTGTTGAAGGAATACTCACAGCAATGGTGATCACCACTATCATAGCTACCATTAAATTACTCATTGTGACTGGCTGTCCGGCTTTCCTCAGGTTTTCTTCCGCCATCTGTAATAGCTTCTTGATCTGTCCCCAGGTGGGTAGCTGTGTTCAACGGGTGTTGCCCGTAACAGCTGGGGTCCTCCTCACTGTCAGTCTTGACATGGCTGCAACTGGGGGGTCCTCGGGATCCTCCCAGAATCTCTTCCTCAGCATCTGGCTCATTATAAGGTTTCAGGTGTCTTCATGGTATCCAAATCAGCTGTTGATTTGGTCCTGGAGGAACACAAGCATAACCTCTACCCCAAGTTGTTGTTTTACCTATTTCCCAACTTTTTGTTATCAGATCTCTCCACCAAACCAGTTGTTCTGCTTCTGTCTTTGGAGCTGGTTTCTGTAGATACTGTTCAGCTGCTGATAACATCTGGCCTTTAGGCAGGCTCAAAAAATTTAAAGTTAATAATGCTAGATTCAGTTGCATATGGGGTGTCCTGTAGTCCCTGTTTCTCTCCCTTTTTTTGTTTTTGCAACTGCTGTTTCAGGGAGAGATTCATTCTTTCCACTATGGCTTGTCCTTGAGAATTATATGGGATATCAGTAATGTGTTTAATATTCCATATGCAGAAAAATGTAGCTAGAGCTTGGCTAGTATAGCCTGGGGCATTATCTGTTTTAACAGAAGCTGGAATGTCCATCACCACAAAACACTGCAAAAGGTGACATTTATCACAGGCAGAAGACTATCCTGATTGGCATGTAGCCCAGAAAAAGTGAGTAAAGGTGTCCACACATACATGTACATAAGCTAGTCTCCCAAACGAGGGAACATGTGTGAGATCCATTTGCCAAAGAGAATTAGGTTCCAACCCTCGAGGATTAACTCCTCCAGTAAAAGATGAGGAATGCACAATTTGGCAAGTTGGGCATCGCTGGATAATAGCTTTAGCTTCTTTCCAGGTAATGTTGTATCTGCATTTGAGACCAGAGGCATTAACATGGGTTAAATTGTTAAAGTGTCTAGCATTAGATATTGCATTAGCAACTGGTGATCAGCCATTTGATTCCCTGCAGTCAAAGGTCCTGGAAGAGGTGTATGAGCCCTAATGTAAGTGATGTAAAAAGGGTACATTCTACTCCTAACCGCTGTTTGCAATTGCATAAATAAAGTCATCAGTTGTTCATCTGTATGAAATCGTAACTGAGCATTTTCAATTAATCGTGTGGAATGAACCACGTATGAAGAATCAGGAATTGCATTAATAGGCATAATAAAAGCAGTCAATACCTCAAGTACAGCTATAAGCTCCACTTTTTGAGCTGAAGTATAAGGCATCTGAAAAAATTTACCTTTCGAGCCAGAATAAGCTTTACCATTACCAGACGCATCTGTAAAAACATTCTCAGCACCTTCAATTGGTTTAAATTTAGTTATCTTAGTGAGAATTCAATTAGTTAATTTCAAAAATTGAAACAGTTTCATTTTAGGAAAATGATTATCGAGAATACCCACAAAGTCAGCTAAATGGGTTTTCCAAGTAAGACTATTTATAAAAGCTTAATGTATTTGTGCCTTTGTGAGAGGGATAATAAACTTTTCCAGGATCATATCCATGTAATTTAACAATCCAAGTTCTTTCATTTCCTATCATAGTAGCGATTTGATCCAAATAAAGAGTTAGAGTCTGTGAATTAGTATGTGGAAGAAAAAGCCATTCTACTAAGTCCTGTTCTTGGACAATAACACCAGTAGGTGAATGCTGAGTTGGAAAAATTAGCAAATCTAGAGTCTTCTCTGGATCTATTCTATTTATTTGAGCTTTATGGACTTGCTTTTCGATTAGCTGCAGCTCTGCCTTAGCTTCTTTTGTTAATTGCCAAGGGCTAGTGAGACTAGGATCTCCTCCAAGGATAGAAAATAGATAACTCATGGCATAGGTATGAATGCCTACAGCAGGTTGTATCCAATTAATGTCCCCTAGTAATTTTTGAAAGTCATTTAATGTTTTCAATTCATCCCTACGTATGGCTACTTTCTGAGGCACAATGGTAGTGTCATTTACTAAGGTCTCCAAGTAGGAGTAAGGAGTAGTCTGAATTTTGTCAGGAGCTATAATTAAACTAGCACAAGAAATCGAATTTTGCAAGTGATCATTACATTGAAGTAATATTTCTCCAGTGGGGGCAGCACAAAGTATATCATCCATATAATGAATAATGTAACACTGTGAAAATTTTTTACGAGTAGGTTCAATTGCTTCCCCTACATATGTCTGGCAAATTGTTGGACTGTTTAACATGCCTTGTGGCAACACTTTCCAGTGAAAATACTTAGCAGGCTGCAGGATGTTTACTGCAGGAATTGTAAATGCAAACCATTCATAGTCCTGCTCAGCTAAGGGGATAGTAAAAAAAAAAAAAAAGTCTTTTAAATCTATGACTATTAAAGGCCAGTTTTTTGGAATCATGGCAGGAGAAGGCAATCCTGGCTGTAATACTCCCATAGGTTGTATAACTGAATTAACGGAGCTCTTAAATCAGTTAACATTCTCCATTTACCTGATTTTTTCTTAATTATGAAAACTGCAGAATTGCAAGGGGAAAATGTTGGAGCTATGTGTCCTTTTTCTAATTGTTCAGTAATGAAGTCCTCTAAAGCCTCCAGTTTCTCTTTACTCAGTGGCCATTGTTCTATCCAAATTGGCTTATCTGTTAACCATTTTAAAGGTATAGGTTCTGGAGGCTTAACAATGGCCACCATCAAATCCTAAACCTTGGAGGGAACTTTGTCTTTCTGCTTGAAGCGGTTCCTTCAAAACTTGCAAATGTTTTCCTAGTCCCATACCAGGGACATACCCGATTTCATCCATCATATATTGACTTTGAGGGTTAAATAATTATTCTGGAATTAGAATTTGTGCTCCTCGTTGTTGTAATAAATCTCTTCCCCATAAATTTATAGGTACAGAAGTTATAATTGGTTGAATAGTCCCAGGTTGTCCATCGGGCCCTTCACAATGCAAAATATAACTACTTTGATATACTTCAGGGGCTTTACCAACTCCAACTATGTTAAATTGAGCAGGTGGAATTGGCCACATGGATGGCCAGTGCTGTAGAGAAATGATTGAAGTGTCCACTCCTGTAACTACTAAACCTTTAAATTTCTTTCCCTGAATAGTTATTTCACAGGTAGGACACTTATCAGTAATTTGACTTACCCAATAAGCTGCTTTGCTTGTTTATTTGTGCTTCCAAATCCTTGTTCATTTAATTTCACTTTTCCCCATTTCCACATACAGCACAATCAGGAGCTGTGCTATACACTCTCCTGGCTCTGCTTTCCAGGGAACATAAGTAGATATAACAATTTGAATTTCCCCGATGTAATCTGAATCATTGACTCCTGTTTCTACTTGTACCCCTTTTAAATTTAAACTAGACCTGCCTAGAAGTAATCCTATCATCCCCGCTGGCAAGGGTCCACAGTCCCCTGTTGTAACCTTTTGCAGGGGTTCCCCGAGCAGAAGGCTCACAGCTTTTGTGCAGCATAAATCTACTGCAGCACTACCGGCTGTGGCAGGGGACAGACATTGTACAGTGGTGAGGGAATGGTCTGAGCCGGAATGCCCCGGTTTAGAACGGGGCCCAGGAGGGACCCCTCATGGTGTTTCCTGAAATCGGGTTCCCATCTTTATCAAATTTAGAGTGACACTGATTAGTCCAGTGTTTTCCTCTTTTACATTTTGGACATATTTCAGGCTCAGCAGTTTTCTTTTCTCCCTATTTGGCAGCCTGACTCGCTGATTTTTTTCTACATTCTTTTTTGGTATGATCATGCTTCCCATAGTTAAAACAAGCTCCAGGAAACGGAGTATTTCCTTTATCCACTCTCAGTCCTGCCATTGCCTGGGCTAGCAGAGTAGCCTTATGCAGATTACCTCCGATACCATCACAGGCATTGATAAAATCAACTAAATGTGCTTTCCCTCTAATAGGTCACAGAGCAGCCTGGCAATTGGGATTAGCATTGTCGAAAGCTAATAACCACAACACTATATCCTGAGCAGCTGAATCTGCAATCACCTTTTTAAGAGACTCCTGTAACTGCGCTATAAAATCTGCATATGGTTCTTTTGGTCCCTGTTTGACAGAACTAAAGGGAGGGTATTGTTCTCCTCCTGAAGTGATTTTTTTCCCAAGCTCTAATGCACACTCCTCTAAGCTGCTCTATGGCATCATCCTGCATGACCACTTGTGCATCTAAACCAGCCCAGCCGCCGACCCCTAAAAGTTGGTCTGCAGTTATATTAATCTGAGGTTGGGCCTAGGCATTACAAGCAGCCTGAATGGAAACTTCATCTGCCCACAAGGTTTTAAATTGTAAGAACTGAGTAAGAGTTAGACAAGCTTGAGCAAGAGCATCCCAGTCAGTAGGAATCATCTGACTGGAAACAGCAACATTCTTTAACAGTTCCATTACAAAAGGAGAACCTTGTCCATATTGATTAATAGCTTGTTTAGATTCTTTGAGTAATTTAAAAGGAAAAGGCTCAAATGTAGCTATAATATTTCCCTGTTGATCTGGGGGGTGTATTCTAATAGGGAACTGCCAAGCCTCTAAATCACCCTCTCTTCTAGCTTGCTGAATTCCTGCCTGAATAGAACTGAGAGCGATCGCTTGAGGCGCTGCTTGAACAGTCACTGGGGCAATCACTTTTTGCCCAGCATCCTCCAGAAAAGAAAGATCTGGAGGGTCAGGCCACTCTTTTTCTTCAAAATAAGGAGGGGGTGCAGAAGGATAGGGATAAACCTCTCCCTCCTTTGCCACTTTAGCTTTAGCAGGCAAACAAACTTGCTCTGTTACTTCTTCTGTTACTTCATTATACTCTCCTTTCTCCTCATCATCAGTGTGAAAAGGTTCCAAGGTGGAACGAACCAGAGCCCACACTTGTCCCATTGTTACACTGATGCTTCCGAGCTCCCCTTCTTACTCACCATAGGGATTGCTTAAGAGTACTCAGGTGTCCTCCAGCATAGTTCCACATTCTCCAACCATCACTCCGGGGACCCTTTGACCTGGTTTCAAACCTCCCATATTGGGCGCCACTTGCCGAGACCAGCTCAGGCGTGGAGACCTAATCCAGCGGCGCTAGAGGAATTAAAGACACACACACAGAAATATAGCATGTGGAGTGGGAAATCAGGGATCTCACAGCCTTCAGAGCTGAGAGTCTCAAACAGAGATTTACCCACACATTTATTGACAGCAAGCCAGTGATAAACATTGTTACTATAGTTTATATATTAATTAAAAGTATTCCTTATGGGAAACAAAGGTATGGGCCGAAATAAAGGGATGGGCCTTGCTAGTTATCTGTAGCAGGAACATGTCCTTAAGGCACAGATTGCTCATGCTAGTCTGTGGCTTAGGAATGCCTTTAAGTGGTTTTCCACCCAGGGCAGGCCAGGTGTTCCTTGCCCTCATTCCAGTAAACCCATGACCTTCAGCATGGGTGTCATGGCCATCATGAACATGCCACAGTGCTGCAGAGATTTTGTTTATGGTCAGTTTAGTGGCCAGTTTATGGCCGGATTTTGGGGGCCTGTTCCCAACACCTGTGCTCTCCAGAGCCCAGGAAACCCTCCTGCCCCCTCAGGCTTGGAATTGCCTGCTCCCAATGCCTGGCCTCTCCCTGCTTCTGGCACCCACTCCTATTCTGTAGTAAAGTTGAGGATGAGCCTGGGTGCTGTCACAACCTAGCTGGGTGTGTGTGTGTGCTTGAGGCAGTGCTGACATGCCAGGCCCCTGCCACCTCAGCCCCCATCCGACTTTGGGCACTGACAAGCACAGGAGGGAGGCTGAGGTGGGGGCTGAGAGCAGCTCAGTGCAGGGCCTACAGGCACCCCTTGGCACAAACAGCCTGGGCACTGTGCATGGCAGGTTGATGGTGGCAGGAGGTAGACACACTCCTGGGCACAAAGGAGCAGGTCACCCAGCGAAGCCCCACCTTCAAGCCAGGGACAGAGTGAAGCCTGGGGGTCAGGTTATCAGTTCTGCAGACTGGATAGAAAACTTATGGTGCTTTTTCTGGGCCTGCCCACGGCTGCCCACGGACCAGTCAGCATGCAGTATCTCCCCTCTAAAGCCCATAAAACCCCCAGACTCAGCCAGGCTTGGGTAGAGGATGGGACAACTTGCCTGTGGATAGGAGCTACCAACTCTGGGCCTCCTCTCCACTGAGGGCTGCAGACAACAGGTTGACCTGGCTGCAGAGAGGAGCTACCTCTGTGGTCTCCTCTGAGCTGCTCTGTCCCTCAATTAAGCATCTCTTTGCCTTGCTCACTCTCCACTTGTCCACATACCTCATTCTTTCTGGACATGGGACAAGAACTCAGGAACTGCCAAATATGGCAGGGCTGAAAGAGCTGTAACACAAGCAGGGCTGAAACATGCCCCTTGCTCACCACATTGCAGGCAACAAGGAGGAAAGAAGAGAGAAAAAGAGAAGACCTGCAGCCTTTCGAGGAGCCCAGATCTAGGAGCTCCCAAGCCAGGGCTGTGAGGCCCTCATTGGGGGTCTGCAGTTCCTGGCATCTCCAAGCTTGTGGACACCACCATGTTCCCCCGTGCCAGCCATGGAAGATGCTTGTGGTATGCCTGGTCCAGCCACAGTCTAGCAGGGAGCCAGCACCCTTGCCAACACCTGGAGCTGTCCACCCCACCACAGCAGGCGTACCTCAGTGTGTGCAGTGACTGAACCCCACACTCGCTTGCTCACACACCACTCAATACTCTGCACTGGGGTTGCCCTTGGCAGGTGAGGGATCCAGGCCAGTAACGCGAGTCGAGCACAGCCTGCCAGGCTAAGTGGGCAGAATGAGCCCAGCAGGCCTGAGCAAAACTTGGGCAAAGGCACCAGCAGCCACAGAGGTTTCTGGCTGGAAAAGCGACAACACCCCAAGGATCCTGTGACTCTGGGAATACAGCAATGGACAAAGACAAAAATCCCAGCTCTCGTGGAGCTCACATTCTTAATACTTTACATTTTTAACTAGTAAGAATCATTAGCTTAAGAATTTATTAAATCTGCATGACAGTATTTCAAGGTTAACATAAAATTTTTTAAATCAATGAATACAAAATAATAAAATAAAGACAAAGATTCAATTAATTCAAAATAAAACAATATGAACAAAACAAGTATAAAAATACATTATACATGAATAAGAGGGGCAAAACAAGCCCAACTACATTATTAATCACTATAACCACCAATTTAAATTTAAATAGCTTACCAGATTGGATTTTAAAAATCCAGCTCTATGCTATTTAAAAGAGACATATCTATGAGGACATGAGGACAAGGAAAATATTTCCATAGTTTTAATGATAGAAAATCATGTAGTGTAGGGCCATACTGTTTCCTGTTGTCAGCCAATTTGTAGTTCAGATTGCCCAGAAAAATACCATGCTTTCTGTCAGTGGGTTATTCACCATGTTTAATTTATTTGCCTTGTTTCAATGAAAGGAGATTTACTGGCAATCTGCACAGAGAAGTGGTAAGACTGATTTATTTGTTAGTCTATTAGAAATTTAAAAATTTTGTTCTTTGTCACTGATTAGCATAGTCTCAGTTTATGAAGTTAGACATTGCTGCTGGGTGCAGTGGATCACATCTGTAAATCCCAGCACTTCGGGAGGCTGAGGTGGGTGGATCACTTGAGCTCAGGAGTTCAACACCAGCCCAGGCAACATAGTGAAATCTCATCTCTACAAATACAAAAATTAGCAGGGCGGGGTGGCGCCTTCCTGTGTTCCCAGCTACTCAAGGAGCTGAGGTGGGAGGATTGCTGGAGCCTGGGAGGTCCAGGCCAGAGTGAGTGCAGATTACATCACTACACTGCAGCCTGGGTGACAGAGTGAGAAGGTGTCTCATGTTCTAAAAACTAAAAAAACAAACAAACAAAAAAAAAACCCCACAAAGTTAGAGATTGCTTTCTCTTACATTACCACTCTCAACTCAAAGCTTTTAGCAATTTTTATGTGAGGCAAGACTAAATAAACTGATAAGTGTACAATTATTCTTGTGGGTAATTTTTCTTTCTGCATTTTGGTGTTGTAAACTGTGTACATTAGATGGCAATACTATAGTGTGAGAGAGAGAATTAGCGATCTAGTACTTGTTTTCATGAGCTGTATCACCAGAGGGCACCAAAGGACCAGTTATGAGCAAAAAAAAAAAACAACAAAAAAAACCCATTCGGGAAAAAACCACTGTAATGATTGCACTGTTTTTACCCAACCTTTTCACAAGCACATATCTGGCCAGTGTGAAGACTTTCCGCCTCATAAAGGTAACATGAAATACAAAGCTTCAGGGTATCAGGTCTACACAGTGCATAATGCCATGCCAAAGGCTCTCTGGTGCTATCACGTTTTATCGTAAAGAAAGAAATTTTTAAATCAGGAAACTGGAAAAATTACTTTCCTCTCTAGTGACTTTACTGCTTACACTAGATTAAAAAATATTTCGTTTATAGTGAAAATGATTCTCCAGTGCTATCTCACTAATCATTTAATTAATTGAAACAGTAATGCACTAGACATATTTGCCTCTTATTAATGTTTGGAAAGCTTGTAGTCCTGAGTGTATTTCTTTTGTTGACAATTTCCTTTGAAATGTGATTTCTAGCAGGGGTAATTTGACTCTTTTAGTTAACCAGAAAACGTTAGATGGCCATCAAATATTTAGAGCAAGAGTTTGGAAAATGACACATAGTAGATGAGCAGTCAGTAGCACATGTGGTTATTTGTAAAAGTGCACTGACTTTGGAGTCAGCTAGACCTGTGTTCAGGACCCTCTAAGTCTGACCCTGAGCTCAATGTCCTGAGTCTATTGTTTTGCATTTGAATCATAACTCCACTGTCCTATCCTTTGAATTCTCCAATATGTGTCTTGCCTCAAGGTCTGGCTCTTGCTACACCTTCAGCCAGGATTTCTCTTCCACCCAGTATCCCTGCGGCTTTCTCTTTCATCTCCTTCAGATATCACCTTGTGAAAGAAGTCTGCCATGACCATCTTACTTAAACTAGCATCCCAGTACTCCTTATCTCCCTTCCCTAATTATTTATCTTCATAGTACTTACATCCTATGACATGAAATATGATTTTCTCATGTGTCTGTTAAACATTCTCCCTGCTAGACTGTAAATTCCATTAGCGAATTTTTTTTTTTCCTGCTTTGGTCACTGCTCTGTCAACTAGAACAATGCCTAGCAAATAGGAGCACAATAACTATGTGTTGAATGAATGAATCCCAAGAATGTTATGACTGGTCATTTTCTTGGAAAATCACCTACCACATAATAGGTAGCCAGTAAATTGTAGCTCTTATTATGAAAACTTTTAGGCTGTTATTATCATTACTTTTAATGGCAAAAACAGCAATTACTTTTGCACCAACCTAACAATTCTTACTACTGTTTGAACTGACTTTTCTTTTAAACAACGGTCCTGAAATTGATTTACCAGGTAATAACCACCAATTTTTAAAAAAATGAATGAAAGAATAAATAAGCATATCCCCATAAGTGTATGTATTTTGTGAAACTTTAACTGTAATTTTGTGTGTGTGTTATGAATGTGTTATAAAAGCACAGAAGATACTGACAGACCTTTCATAGGTTTTCCTGGAGATTGTATACCTGTTAAATAATGGATCTTCCTTGCTGGAAGGAAAATGACCAACACAGAGACTTAGATTTGAAAGGACTGATCCGCCTGGCCAAATTTGGCAATTCCAACCAGGTAGTGATGTTCCTTATTGTTTTCACTCATGGCAAAGATTCTCAGCTATCTAGGAACTTAAGCTTCCTAGGCCTTTGCATCCGTCAGGAGAATTCTAACTAGCTGGCTCAATGTGACAAGTGACATGTTATTCCCCTGCCTCCAACCCACTTTAATATATTTATTCTTTAATTAATATTCACTGCAGTTGGAATACTTTAATTCTTGACTCTCTAAGACAAGTGGAGAAATCTTAAAGGCAGGTTTGAGAATTGAGGCCACATTACAAAACAAAACAAAACCAAACACCTCCCAAGAAAGTGTAAAGTGTTTTGAAGAACTGTCTGTATCACCACATTCCATTCCAGAGTATAAGCAATGTCTGGCGCATTAAAGATACTAACACACACAAATGAACAATGTAAAATGGATGAAATCTGAATAGTCTATTAACTGTACCAACATCAATTTCTATGTTTTGATACTGAACTATAGTTAGTAAGATGTCACCATGAGGGAGAACTAGGTGAAGGAGTACAGGGGACCTCTTTGTGCTAGTTTTCAACTTCCAGTAAATCTATAAAAGGATCAATAAAGGCCTTTAAACAATATAGTCTCCTTACCATCCATGACCCTTTTCAAAACTGAAATTATTGTTAGACTACTTCCCAGAAATGTATTTCTAGTTAGTAGGGATGGGTAGACAAAGGAAAAATCTTAGAACCTGTCAATGGTTTTATAGGATCATTTCACTATGGGAAAGATCATCAAAGATTGTTAAGTAGACAAACGACCAATGGAGTTATTAATATAATGCACTGATTTCAAGTTAAAATTAAAATAAAGAACTTGCTAGAAAAAAAAAAGATGCTGAGCAAATATTTAATTGAATTTCTTGATTTACAATCAAGTGCAAAGAGCTGGTCGGTGGCCAGTGAACTATCCGTCTTTAAGTTAAAGTTATAAATCATTTTGGATTTTGGGTTCCTCATCTCTTTAGGGGATTAGGCTCCTGATTAGGTTTGTTACACATTTGCTTTGACCATTGTCACTGCCTGGATACTGACCCATATCCTTGCTGTCACAGTAGAGGATTCCGTATTTTTCTTAGCTTTCCTAAAGGCAGTGACATTGTTGAAAATTTCCAGAGCCCTGTGCTCCCAGGAAAAAGCAATGGTTTTAAAAAAAAACCTTTTATGTTGTGAGAAACAGTTAACTTCAAGGAACCACCTCCCTTGGCATATCCAAGAACTGACCCCCCCCATCCTTCCCCTTGACTCCCTTGTTTACCTGCCTCTATAAAACCCCAAGCCTCCTTCATTTCTTTGACACATTCTGCTGCAGAAATGAAAATTCTCCCTATTATAATATCTAAAGCAAAATTATCTTTATTGCCTGGTGCATTTTGTCTTTCACGCCAACTTCCATTCAAAGCTTTATTATTTGTTTTCTCTGGCCCTTTTTAGGCCACATGGTTAAAATGAGGGTATATTTTCCTATACGCTTCAAGATCATTAAGAAATTAATCTATATGATTGAGCTAAGAAATTGATTTTTTTCTATTCTTACCAGAAAAATACTAAGTCTGTTGTTCAGAGAACATCTGTCTCCTACACCAAAGATACTGAAGAAAGACTCATTGTTCTGAACAAGGTAAAAGAATTATTCAATTTGCTCTACAATTATCTGTAAAAAAAAAAAATACATATGACTTTGCAAAGAGACTTTAATGTTTGTGTTCCGTTCGGTTCTGTTTCCTCAACTCTGCTACATTTCACAGAAATAACAAAAACCTGCTATGTACTAAAAATGCTGGGAAGTCCTTTCCCATACATATTTTTTTGCTCACAGCAATTCTAAAAGAAAGGTATTCTCATTCCCATGTTTCTGAGGAAGAAGCACAGTCTGTATGGAGGAGAGTTCAGGCTCTAGTGCAGGTGCCAGGCTTTGAATATTGGCTTTACCACTACCTACCATACTGACCTGGAGCAAGTTACTCACCTATCTTGATCTCAGCTTCTTTTTCTTTAAAATGGGAATGATAATAGTACCTACCTCGTAGGGTTGTTGTTAGCATTCAGTTTAATATATGCAAAGCACACATAATAATGCCAGGCACAAACAATGAATATCAAACATAAGGCTTAGACAACTTACTCTAGTGAGCATTGCTTAGCCAATTTCACATTGCTAGAAAGTGGCTATACCAGAATCCAAACCCAGATATTGCTGACTTCAAAACTAAGACACTTTCTATTTCATAACACTGAAGAAGCTGGGAGAAAGGTTAAAAGAGCATTATTGAATGAAAGAAAAGCCTGATACATTTGATTATATTAAGAAGCTTGATTGATCAAAAGGAACCATGAAAAAGTGAAGGGGTAAGCTAGAAGACTCAAACTGAGAGTATACAAAGAAATCCTACAAATCAATAAGACAAATAGAAAATGGGCAAAATTTGAACAGGCACCTTACAAAAGAAATCCAAATGAACAATAAACATGAATAGAAGTTTCTCATTTTAGCAAACAGAGAAATATAATTTACAACCAAAATAAGATACCATTGGTTATTCACCAGCTTGGCAAAAACTAAAGTCTGCAAACCCAAATTTAGGCAAAGAGAACTCACACTTGGAAAAACCACTTTGGGAAAGTTTGGTAATATATAGTAAAGATGTTGATATGAATTCCATAAGACTTAGGAATTTCCAATCTTAGGTGTGTATGCTAGAGCAGTGGTCTTCGATTAGGAGGAACATGGAACTTTGTGCATGGTGACAGACAGCTGTATGGAAATCAGCTCTGCTCTCACACGTACTTCTAAAGTGATCTGGCTGGTAATGCGCCCAGGCTTGAGGTTCTTTCCCTCCATCATCCCTTTCACAAAGAAAGCCTCACCTCATCCAGAATCTTGCTATGGTGCACTGCCACAAGGCATCAAACCTTGGGGACAAAGAAATAATTTAATAATTCCCTTAATGAAAGCAACATAAATTATCCCCTCCCATATCTAATTCCATCTCATCAAGAGTTACGATTATCTATCACATTTCTAATATACTTCTTGTTTTGATCAACTGTGTACTATTGATAACTGCAGAATTAACTTACTCCAGAATAACTTTTACACCCTTAGAACTTAGAATATTGGGGTCAGAGGAAATTGTAAAAGATAAATTTCAATTTACATGCACATTTTTGTTACAAAGAAATGTGGTACAGTTATTAATAAAAGACTTGAAAATAGCACTCTCTAGAGTATTACCCATTAGGACAAAATTTTGCTAGAGGCATGTAAATATAATTTGAAAAAGAAATGATAAGAACTTTGACCACTAAGGAAGAATTTGTTCATTAGAAAATGAATGATTCTATCAAATCATATAAATACCATATTCCACTGGATACATTTAGATACATTTTTAAAGTAATGCAAAAAAAAGTAATGTGCAGTTGGTACTTTAAAATGTTAATACTTGCAATGTGCCAAAAATTACATTCTATGACAAGATGAAAATTTTTCAGTATTTAAGAAAGTTTAAAAAAAATCTTTGATGTGCTACACAAGCAACAAAATGTGAAGATCCCTTTCCTAGAGAAACACATACACCAGGCTACCTGTACAAGAACATTCAGAGCACATGTCTGTCAACAGAACAGGTAAATAAATTATGCCTACTCCGGATGCCTACTATGGATGACTATATTACAATGAATTACTGCCTAACAATGAAAATGAACTACACCTTCACACAAAAACATAAATGATTCTCTTAAAGTTAATGCTAAGCCAAAGCAGCAAGACCAAAAATTCTTATGGTAAGATTACATTTATGTTCATAACCAAACCAAACCAAACTGTATCGCTTAGGAATGTGTGATAGCTTATATTACATTTCTAAGAATTCCCTCCTCCTTTCCTGTAAGAGTATTACTCAGTGCCATGTGACTTGTGCTCTTTCCCTATGGAATCTAGCTCCCCAACCCTTCAACTCCTTGGCTTTGCCATGTGACATACTTGAGTCAATTAAAGGAGTAGACTGATGCTCATCACCTTCAATCAGAGGCTCCAAGAGTTTCCAACAGTTCTAACTGCCCTTTGGAATCCCAAAAGGAACTTTTCTCTCAATGTGGAATCTGGAATGAAGAGATGTGAGGAGTATATCCTAAGCCCCTATTGATGCAAGAAATACACATTTGTTTTTGTAAGCCACTGAGATGTTCCTATTGTCCATGATGGCAGTAAAGCTGATAGGATGCAACAGAGGTAGTAAACTTTTCAAGCAAGGCAAGAAAATGGCTAACACAAAACTGAAGACCGCAGAAAGGTAACAGGTTGTGATCCAGAAGAAGTATAGGGAGGGAGGCATGGAGTAATAGTATTGTTCCAACTGCTGATCTGAGTAGTAGTTACAAAGGCACATGCTTTATATTATTCAGTAAACTATATACAAATATCTCATAAACTTTTCCACATTTCCTTTTTTCCATTACAAATGTAAAAAAAAAGGTGAAAGACATTAATTCACAAGGACTTATGAATGTCCTTAGCCTAATACTTTTCAAATATAAGTTACTCCATATACCTCCCTTTACCATTAATGTTAAACATTTATCACTGAGATACTACTAGGAGATAGATTACATTTTACAGTAAAAACCCAGTTCATTTATCCTCTGAAAATCTGTCATGGAATGTCCTGAAATGCCTACCTTACATGAGACAAAACACCTGTGTAAGCCAATATAACTAAAATTAATCACACATTTTTTGCTTTTAATTCAATTTACTCAGTAAATATGTAGTGTCTTATAGTAAAATGAACAAGATAAACATAGCCTTCTTGCTCATGAAACTGACAAACATGAAACATATATATATGTATATATGTGTGTGTGTGTGTGTGTGTGTGTGTGTGTGTGTATATATATATTCCCAAGGGCAGCAAGAGCTATAAATGCTGCTGCAAAGTAAGGAAATAATGTTCCAGGAAAAAAAAATTAAGTACTGGATGATTAGGCTAGAGATTAGATCAGGTAACTCATGCCTGATAAGTGCTTTAAAATCTAACCCTTAACATCTAATATGCTCACCTTCAGAAAATCCTTAATGCACTACAGACAAGACACAAAAAGATAAATAAATGTTGACTATAATAAACTGGTATTCCCTGCTGGGATACAACAGGGGCTGGTCAGCTTAAGCTGGTGAGCATAAGCAGAAAGTGATAGAATGACTATGTGAGAAAGATTTATGCTTCCCATCCACCACATAGTTGTTCCTGAGAAGTGATTACCCAACTAAAGATTGTACTTCCCAGATGCCCCTTGCTTATCTGCACAGGGACGTGCAATTCGTTTTCACCCTTGGAATGCGAGTTGGTGGTGTGATACTCTGGGCGAAGCTAATTAAGCAGGTGGGCCTTCTCCACTCTTTTCCTCAACCCCAGACTGCCAACTTCAAGTGAGGTCTTGTCAACCCTGGGGCGGCAGTCACAAGCTGGAAGACACCTGGGTCCTTCAGTCACACCATGTGGAAAGCTGCCTCAATACCCACATTGGTTCCTTGTAAAAACGAGAAATAAACTTTTGTTTTCTTTTGAGATGGAGTCTCACTCTGTAGCCCAGGCTGGAGTGCAGTGGAGCTCTTGGTTCACTGCAACTTCCGCCTCCCAGGTCCAGGTTCAAGCAGTTCTCCTGCCTCAGCCTCCCCAGTAGCTGGGATTACAGGCACATGCCACCATGCCCAGCTAATCTTTGTATTTTTAGTAGAGATGGGGTTTCACCATGTTGGCTAGGCTAGTCTTGAACTCCTGATGTCGTGATCTATCCCCCTCAGCCTCCCAAAGTGCTGGGATTATAGGCGTGAGCCACCGTGCCCAAACTTTTTCTTATGCTACCAAAAGTTTGATGTCACCTATCATAGCACTTGGTGTTATTTTAACTAACAGAATGTTTAATCAGACTTTCAAATGTTGAGATGAGGGCAAGAGTCAGGTAGCAATCAATCTCTCTCTTAATCTCAATTAAGTGTGATTCCCAGTTAGACTTTTAGTCATCCTGGGTTGTCGGTGCACGTGCAGAGAATTAACAGCATTTAGAGATTCTTAAAGCAGCAGCAGAGGCTGCACAGTTGGATAAGCCATGGATTTCTCAAATAAATTTGAGCGAGACCCACACAACCTTGAGCAGACTTATAAGATGAATTTGTTTCAGATTCCTCAGCGCATGTCAGAACCCACTTCCT
This sequence comes from Homo sapiens, assembly GCF_000001405.40. Taxonomy (NCBI): domain Eukaryota; kingdom Metazoa; phylum Chordata; class Mammalia; order Primates; family Hominidae; genus Homo; species Homo sapiens. The sequence continues at coordinate 176,333,317 of NC_000004.12, read as the reverse complement.
CCCCACTCACATCTGTTAGATTCCTTCCCACCCTTTGTACTCACTCACTAGGGAGCTTGCAGCCATTCCAAGCCACTCACGAGCAAGCATAGGGCTTAGGAGCACAAACATGGTACTTTTTAGAAGAAATGCACAGAGGCTTTGTCTCCAGTATAGTACTAATCAGTCCCTTTACTTCTCAACTCTTAGGTGCCTATTTCCAACTATACTCAACAGATACACAAGTGGAATGTGTATAAATTATGCACATGAAAAGGGAACACTTCAAAGCTCCTTCAAGCTTGAGGTTTATTTGGATATAAAGGTATACTTATTAAAGTGGTAAGTTTTCTTTTGGTCATGGCAACTCATTAATCAGGCAACAATTTACTGAACTCCGAATTCTTAACACTTCACTGGGAGAGAGGGAAAAGGACAAGAGAGTATGAGGAAAAACGTTTAAAAGAGAAAGTTCTGGTATACACTTGCCCAGGTTGAGAGAAAACAAAATAAAATGTAGCTGACCTCTTTTATCATTCCTGGTAACATACACTTAGGTTAAAATCCCTTACCCTCTAAATGCAATGATTTTCTGTTGTTTTGAGGGGGTATTTCTGTTTTGATTGTCTGAATTCACTAGTAAATAAACGTTCCCTTAGTGAGCCAGACCAGCCAATGTGCCCAAGAAGCTGGTGGAGGATCAGCCAACACCCTGGCCTTTCAAAGAGTCAGCTATTTGTTTTAACCCATTTCTTCCTGAGCTATACTTTAAACATGCATCCTGAGTTTTTTTTTTTTTCTTGATCAGGTCTACGGTAGGGTTTTCCAGTGTTATTTCAAAGTAAAGCAATTTATGTATCAATCTTATCACTAGCCACTATCACTTGGCTCTCTTAGCAAGTCAGAAAGAACATAGGTCACAGCAACTAGAGCAAGAGCAGCATTTACCTTTACTGAACTGTCCAACTGCCCCTGATAAGATCTAATGTCATTAGGAGCTCAAGAATGAAAAAAAAAAAACAGCACTTACAAAGGAGGACGGTATTAATGACAAAGAATCCCCATGGTTTGGTCACATTAGAAACACAACGCCTTCATTCTTCATCAATATTTATTGGGCGCCTATTATGTGCAAGGCACTACACTAGGCGCTGGGGAAGATACAAAGATAAATCTGACAGACTGCCCTCAAAGAGCTTACAGTCTAGTATAGGAGCATACAGTCTCTGGAGAAGATATTTTAAGTGTAACTAACCTCCCCCATCCCACCCCCACAAAAAAAAAGAAAAAACCTACTAGACTTGGTTTCTTCCATTTACTTTTAGTTTAGCAGCTTCACGTAAAAAGCATAAATCTGAAAGTCTTTTAAAATGCATACTTTTACTGGTAAACAAAATTCATTTTCATTAGAAAAAATGCTGAATATTTATTGCAATTAAGAAAAATCTTCAGCCGGGCACGGTGGCTCACACCTGTTATCCTAACACTTTGGGAGGCCGAGGCAGGTGGATCACTTGAGGTCAGGAGTTTGAGACCAGCCTGGCCAACATAGCAAAACCCCGTCTCTACTGAAAATACAAAAATTAGCCGGACGTGGTGGCGGGCGCCTGTAATCCCAGCTACTCCGGAGGCTGAGGCAGGAGAATCGCTTGAACCTGGGGGGTGGAGGTTGCAGTAAGCCAAGATCGCGCCACTTCACTCTAGCCTGGGCGTAAGAGCAGATCTCCGTCTCAGAAAAAATAAAAAAATTTAAAAAGGAAAAGAAAAATCCTCAAACATATGTTCAGTATTTTCATGAATTTTTTTATGAATGACTACATTGTGAAGTAAACAATTTCCCAAATTGCATCAAAAACATGCAACAATTTTTTGAAACATCTCTTTAAACTACTGAAAGTCACACATGTAACATATACAGGCTTCTCTCTGCTAAAAGCAAGGAAAGTTTTGAAATGAATATATGCTTGTTTGCTACCAATGTTCACAGCTCATGGTTTTCCCCCATGAACCCACTTCATGTCAATGCAAAGTATTATAAAATAATACCTCCATTGACATATACCCGAAAGATCCAAAGCTCTAGATCTCTAAGCTTCAGATAGAAAAAAAAATAGTGAAAAATGTTCATTATCAATTAATAGCTGGGCTTTAAGATTATCATCTTAGAGAAAAAGCCCAGCTTTTCATCTCTAAGATGAAATCTTTAAAAAGCCCATCTATCATCTCTAAGATGATAATCTTAAAGCCCAGCTATGAATTGGCTGACGAGACCCACCAAAGAACTGTAAAATAATTCCAGGAAAGGAAACTCAAAACCCACTTTCTTATTACACCCTTAGGAATTTCTGAAGTTTTTGTTATTTTCCTTTCAGAATAAAGAAACCAAATGTAATCAATCAGGGGAATAAAAAAATACTGATACAGATGTTTGTCTAGGTTAAACTGTTAGAGAAAGGGATATGTGAACACATTTTTAAATTAATTCATTTCTAACCATAATTACTTTTAAATAAGTGTCTTCAAATTATTCTCTTTTCTCAGAATCATTTCTGGGCTCAGGTATTTCTAATCATACTCAGTTTTGTATAAGCCTGAAGCTTTGTGTCTTTGTAGAACATTATGAGACTTCTTTAAAACACTGAGACTAAAGCAAATGAACTGGTTATCAAACTGAACACAAGTCAATTTTTTAAATGTAGAAACTGCACCCAAAAATGAGTTCCTGAGACTGAAGGTCCTTATTCCCATGTTGGAGCATTCTTTTTCTGAGCAATTTCCCTTAGTCAAGCAAACAGAAAACTTTCTCCACATTGTACTAGTTGGGCATTTTTACTTATCTTCCTCACCAAACTCCAAAAAAAGTGGGCTTGTCAAATAACTGTAATTCAAGTAAATTTCAACATTAATCTCTACCAGACTAACAGATCCACTCATCACAGAAGTATCATGAACTGTTAAACTGGTACCAGGTCTGGTTAAGACTGCAGGCTTATCGCACATGCCTTTAAAGAGGACACACCTGATTTTTAAGCTTTGACACCTGCACATTTTAAGTTTCCATGTCTAGTATTTGTACAAACTAAATGAGGTGAAATTTTCAGAGTGTAAAATCTAACAGAAATAAAGTAAATCAATATGAGTTATGTGTTAGACTTTCATTCGTTTTCCTGTCTTCATATTACTAACGTGCTTTTTTGTTCAATCTCTTTGCTGAACAGATAAATTTTATCAACTTGTGTGGTGTAAAAGGATGGCCATTAAAGTTAACTGGTCCAACTCTGTCATTTTACAGATAAAGAAACCAAGACCCTGAAAAGTTTAATGAAAAAGCTGGGAGCCAGGCAGTTTAGCATTCAGGTACCTTTGACCTTTCTGCTGGTTTGAAAAACCCATACCCACAGGCTTTTGCATGAACTATACAACTCCACACAACAGATGTTAAAATTAATGTAATTAAATAGTGATGTATTTCACATAAGGTAAATATAACAAATGTCTGTAATTTAAACTATTCTTAGAAAATATTAGCCCTTTTTGGTCACTGCTAATAGTGTAACTACAGTGTTTGGTCTTGCTTTTCTAAGGGTAACTGATTTGCAGTTGCTACTTTGAGGATGTTTATTTGTCCACTGCAGAAAAAAAAAACATGTTAAATACGATCATGTATTCAATCATGTATTATGTACTGAATTTCTAAGTTATTTTTACATACATGTAGATTTCCTTATGCTTTTAATATAAGTGAAATGAATTTATTCAGAGAATAAAATATTACCTCGATATAAGTTGTTGGCAGCTTGAAAATTAGTCACTTCCATATAAAATGGGAAACCTTTTCTAGAATAGAAAGGGTGTCCAGGGTAACAAAAATATCAGGAAGGTTTTAAGTAAAATTTGATTAGTCTGCAATCTGAGGTATAAGAGAAAGGATGAGCTCAGAAAATTAGAAGATCTGAGTTCAAGTTTTAATTCCACTCCTTGCTGGCTAGGTAACAATGAAGCAATTCAATAAACTTCTGGGTTTCAGTTTCTTATCTGCAAAGAGCTAACACTTATACTACTTACCTCATTAGATTATTGAGGATGACATACACTAAAGTATATGAGTGGTTTGTAAATGGAAAGCATACCACAATTATTATTATCCCAATAATTATTAAAATATAGACCTACAAAAAGTAGTAAATAATTCACTTAGTGACAGCAGGCATGCTCACTAGAAGAAACATAACTCAGAGGGTAAACCATGCAAACATTTTAACTTTCAATGGCAACGCTAAAAAAAAAAGTACAAAGCTATAAAGGAACGTTTTTAGAGAAAGCACTGAAGACACACATTTTGCTGACCTAAAAGATTTTAAAATGAATTAGAATAATTTACATCATATAAAGAGGTATTTAGTCTTTAAGTGGAGAAAGTTGCTAGTCACATGTAAGAAAAACAAGTATTATGGGCCTTCCTAAGACAAATGGAATAAATTCCATCACTTTTGGCTTTTTTATAAACCAGACTTCTAACAAATAACCATATTAATTTTCCAGTAATCAAACATATCCTAAAAGAGGAAAAAGAGAATGTCTACTTTTAAATCACATCCAATGTGAATTTGCGTGAATGCAAGGCATAAAATACAGTTATTATGACTCTACAGGCACCTGAAAGTTTTAACTACCTTTCATGCTTACTTTATATTCCATAAAGAATAATGGAAATACAGGGAATACTTCAAATATGTATTTTTTACAAATCTGTTTTATGTAGTTCTTATTCTTGTAAGATAATATTCCACTGTGGCAGCCTTGTTTTTTTGTTTTGTTCATAATATTAAGTAGCCCATTAACCTTTCCCTTTAAACAGGCCTTTTGATGTTAGTTCTTATACCAAAAAAAAAAAAAAAAAAACCCAAAACCAAAAAACAAACCAACAATACATGAAGATGTAAGGGAAGAGATTAATGAGATACAATTCATTAAGTATAAAAATATGTTGTTTCAAATTCAGAATAATTTAATAACTCTTCGTTATTTCATATGTATCTGGAAATGGGACAGATACGTGTCCTGATCCTGTCACAAGAGGTAGAATTCCAGCATTTGGTACGACGTTCCAAGACAGGGTCAAAGTGACATTCCTGTTTCCCCTATAAAAAGATATAATAAACACAAGTCATCAGAGACACTAGTAGTTCAAAAAAAATTTTAAGACAAACACTGAGATGTCAAATACTTTATTTATAACCATCTATTCCTAACAGAAATCCTAATATGTTAATCTGCAAAAAGAACTATTTTCTCATGTCACTTAAAATCCAAGGACAATGCTAGAAGACAGGGGCACTACATTTACTGATATCCCAGGATGACCCATCTAAACTCACAGCTGCAGTTAGAACCATCAACCGAAAAGTTTAAATGATTAAAACAGTAAATGTAAAAAGAGACGAGCTAAGAATCAGAGCAATGATTTGAAGCCTAACTCTGTCAATTATCTAGATGGACAAACCTTAACAAAATTCTCATGTTCTGAAATTTTCATTGCAAATACAGACGTTTGGCTTGGTCGAAATAGCTTTCTTCTAAAATTATTTCCAATGTTTACCACTAGAGTCTAAGAGGTAAAAATAACCTGAGAGATCAATCACACTGACTAAAATGAGCTTTAGAGAAGTCACGTTTGGAGAACCAATACTACTTCTTTTAACTATTATCAACTCCTAGACCCAACATGCTGCTTCTAAGGTTTCCCGACTCACGCTCAGAAAGGAGCCCTTTGATTTGACCACCACAGCCCTACCGCATCTGAACAAGCCCGTATTCCTTGTACACGCTTAGGATAGAAGCTTTATTAGTTTGACTATGACATTTCAGAAACTGCAAGAGAATTGCTTATCTTAGATCTCACTTTGCATTTCCACCCAATCTTTCAGTTCAGATATGCATAAATACTTCTTTCCCAATTTTTCTCCTTTTACTCTCAAGTATTTTTCTTTAAAATAAAAATACATCTTTCTCTCTTTTTCACCTCTTATTAAATGTAAAAAAATGACCAAGAATTGCTCACTTGAGACCATTTCCATCGTCAAAGAAAAAATATTTTGTTTTCATATCTTTCAGCAGCAGCTTCGGATTATCACCTCTCAAAACAATCTTGTCCCATAGGACAACTTGGTTCAGAGCCTATATTAAAATGAAAATTAATTAGATAACTCATCAGAAATACCATCTTATCACTTCAAATTAAAAGTATTAGTAAGCAAATAGTTTGACATGTTAATGAATTCAACTTGAGGAGCTTGCTGAAATCTTAATGCATACAAATGATAGCAAAGAGAGAGATACAAAAAAGGGGCAAACTTTTCTCAGAGAGAAGAATGACAATTCCCTGAAGGAGTTCATTCCTTCTGCTAACTCAACTGTATTACTTAGTGCCTTCATAACTTAATGCAAGGTTTTTGATCTATAAGATCTCCAAAAAGTGAGGCCTTTGGAGGAACAGATGAATTAAATCCCTAGAAGGGAAGTATTCTTTTAAATCACTTTTCCCTATAAAATTTCTAAGACCCTCCAGCTCAGCATGGATCCTAAATGGTGCCAGGAAAACAGACAAGAGCCAATCCCTGTTCCATCACACTGCTAATACAGGTTACTGCTGATTAATTATGTCATGAAAATTTATAAGAAATCTTCTCCAAGATTTCTTTACAAAAGCTTTAAGAAATCACTAAAGAAATGAAGCCTTTTAAAGATCTTTTTTCCCTTTAATTAAGAAAATACATGCATTGTTGTCTCATCAAGGCAAAATTCTAGAGGTCAGACAATTCTTTTAAGCTACTCTTTCAACATATTACAAATAAGTTCCATTTAGAAAATTAAAAGTATGAAATGGAAATAAAAAAAATTTGTGGCCACTACTAAATCCCAAGGAATTTGCTCTTATTAAGTTAGCATCTATTCGCTTTTAAGGCCAATTACTCAGTATATGATGACTACATTAACTAAAAAGAAATGTAGAGCAGTTATTTCTTCCTTTTTTTTTTGGAGATAGAGTCTTGCTCTGTCAACCAGGGTGGAGTACAATGGCACAATCTCAGCTCACTGCAACCTCCACCTCCCAGGTTCATGCGATTCTCCTGCCTCAGCCTCCCAAGTAGCTAGGATTACAGGCGCGCACCACTACGCCTGGCTAATTTTTTGTATTTTTAGCAGAGATGGGGTTTCACCATGTTGGCCAGGCTGGTCTGGAACTCCTGACCTCAGGTGGTCCACCTGCCTCAGCCTCCCAAAGTGCTGGGATTACAGGTGTGAGCCACTGTGCCCGGCCTGAACTAGTTTTTTAAATCACAAATTATAATTCATAATAAGTTTTATAATTAAAAGCTATTAAACCATTATATCAAAACCTATTAAAACTATTAGTTTATGATTGAAAGTTATTAGCATGGTGGTGGGTGCCTGTAATCCCAGCTACTTGGGGGGCTGAGGCAGGGGAATCACTTGAACCCAGGATGTGGAGGTTGCAGTGAGCCGAGATCATACTACTGTACTCCAGCCTGGACAACAAGAGTAAAACTCCGTGTTAAAAATAAATAAATAAAAACAACAACAACAACAAAAAACCAGTTCAAGTACTCAGATACTCAGATTAATGAATCCCATGCAACCCTAAAACAAAGGCAAATTGTTCTCAATAGGTAAGGATATTAATTAATTGTAGCTATATGGCTTAATGTAGACTACCAAAAACACCTTGCACCATGTTCTTTTTTTTTTTTTTTTTAAAGAAAGGTATCTGGTACTAAGATGGATTTTAAAATAATCTCAGAAGGTTTGAAAATTATTAACAATCTTTACAGCTTTTGATTATATATAGTCATAATGAGAATTATAATCACAGGTCTCAAATTTTGTTGATTCAAGTAGGTCACCATGCAGCTCTCTAATTGCAGCTGTGGAGAGAGAATATTTTAGCTTAAAGAGTAAACAACGGCCGGGCGCGGTGGCTTATGCCTGTAATCCTAGCACTTTGGGAGGACGAGGCATGCGGATGACCTGAGGTTAGGAGTTCGAGACCAGCCTAGCCAACATGGTGAAACCGTCTCTACTAAAAATACAAAAATTAGCTGGGAATGGTGGCAGGCGCCTGTAATCCCAGCTACTCAGGAGGCTGAGGCAGGAGAACTGCTTGAATCTAGGAGGCAAAGCTTGCAGTGAGCTGAGATTGACGGCGCTACTGTACTCCAGCCCGGGCTACAAGCACGAGACTCTGTCTTAAAAAAAAAAAAAAAAGTAAAAAAAAAAAGGAAACAGCTGAGTGGTGGCAATACTACCGGCTACCCACTCCATTTCCTAGTTGATAGTTCAGCAATATCTTTCTGATCTTACTATTGTTAATTAATATCATTGACAGTGTCTCAGCCAAGTTATCAGATCTATCTAGGTTGTCTTTGTGTTTTTTTAATCCTTCAGTGTGACACAGCAGCTCAGAAGAGGAATACAAGTATGAGCTCCACCATTTTCCTACTGTTTACATATGCATGGATTATTAGCATTATCTTCAATCTGTGATTTCTTTGCAGAAATCTTTTTAAGCCACTTTTCCATTTTGAAAGGATTGGCTAAAATTTTATAATATAATCCACTTATGTATTGCATATACTGCAATATTTTACAACATGCTGAAAGCAAATGAATAAATACTAGGTAGCATGGTGAACTTCTTGACCTACAGAATTCCTCCTTTCCTCCAGAATATCTGCATATTGTAGAAGGCATGTGCCCATCTATCTGACTTAAGGGCTGAATATGAACATTAACGTCTGTTCATATAGCAAGTCTCCATTCTGGAGACCCCAATGCTAGAGAGCTAAATAGAACAAACAGAAAACAAACAAACAAACAACAACAACAACAAAAAGGCTCCCAAAAGATCAAATGTTTTCATAACACAGCTACCTCCACTGGCTTGTGATGTTTTGCTAGGTAACTCAGGTCAGATATTTTAAATATATAAAAATGTGTATTCTTTCGTAAAGAGTAAGACTTTAAATAGCTATTAAAATACTTCTAATTAGATATACTTACATTATTTTTTGTTGAATATTCTGCTGATAAATAAAGAAACAACTGCTTAACATTCCAATCAAATATATTCTCTAGATGTAAGTAAATTAAGGAAAATATAAATTTATGAGCAGTATATCACTTTTAAATAGATCTTAATTATTCTTAGGTTATTTATCCATAACAGTAATACTAAAGTAGAAAAGAGGCGGCCCAGAAACATAATGTGCCACTAATTTAATAAAAATATGCAGAAGATAAATACATTGTGAAATCCAGCTTATTCCAAAACAAAAAAATGTCAGTATGAGATTACTGGCATCCTCCCATACTCCTCCAAGGATTACTAGCTGAGATACTTTGACTAGTAAGAAAAGAACAAATCCAAAATTTGGTTTTCTGTAACATCAACTAAGTTAAAAAAAAAAAAAAGAGGACTCGATATTTCAAGCAAATACAATTCCACTGGAGCTCTAAAGTATAAACAATCACCACCATTTAAATTTAACAATATGCAAACATAAACAAGGCTCAATAATTAACCAAGTATAATAAATTGTACATGTCACTTTTGGTCACATGCAAGTAGACATTAAAATGTCTCTCAAAGATGCAAATGACACCAATGTGGCTCAATTCAGTCTCCCAAAGAGGACAAGAACTTCACCAGAATTAACAAGACTGGTGCCAATACCAAGAAATAAGCGGAGTTAATATTTGGATTTTTAAGTATTATGTTAATTGTTAAGTTAACTCATTTTACTATATGAGTTTCCACACTGGTAGTAACACATTTGTTACATTCCATTATTAATTATGTGTAACCACTAAGAATCACTCCTTTAGAACTAAGTCTAGGACTGCTGTTTACAAGAACAGCAACAATTTCAAGTAGTAGTAGCAGCAGCATTAAGAAAATCTGAAGAAACTACAAATAATGAGATTGGTAATATATAAATACCATAGATACCAGGAAATTTCACTATAATTCTCTGGATACACAAAATTACTACCCTCACAGTAGACCTAAATTCCCTTAAGCAGATTTTTAAAAATTACACAAAGACTTAAAAATACACATGAAATTCAGCATAAGACTCTTCCGATGGTACACTCTATTTCCTAAAAAGGTACCTACAGAACTAATTCTTAGCCTATTTCTAAATCCAATAATTACCAAAACTTAAGCTAAAAGTAAATTTCATGGTCATAGAAAGGCAAATTAGATAAATTCCCCAAGTATATGATCAGCTTTAACTGTTCAGACAGGTACTTTCACACAAGTTCAGATCGTTCAATCTCCACAACCATTTAAATCACGGGGTATTAAAAAGGCAGATGAAATCAGGCTAGAAATGGCAGAGAACATTGCCAAGATATTAACCTAAGAAAGACCCTAAAAAAGACTAGCCTGGCCAAAATGATCAGAGTTGTCAAAAGATAGAAACTCAATCTCAAGAGAAAATATTTAAATATCACCACCAAAGAAACTCTTATAATTGTTAATATTTTCTGACTTTTATAAAAGTCCTTATAAAAAGAGTTATGACGGCAAAAAGCAACCACAGGTTACCAATAATTTTGATATGACCTTTTCAAATCATAACACACGTAATTCACTTTTTAAACATATGTTTCTCTCTGCTATAATAAAATATGGATATATTATTTGAAATTGTACATGAAATATTCACAGGCAGGCTGAGCATTGGTAATATTTTTCCTTCTTATCCAAATGATCTAATTTTATTTTTTCTTTCTAAAATACAGATTCAAACTTTCTTATGTAGTTTTCAATCAATTTAATGTTTCGGTTAAGAATTTAAAGTATGTTCACACAACTACTCATGAATCTATGAAGTTTTCTCCAAGTGTCATGGGGAGGTATTAACATTATTTTACTGATGAAAAAGGCGGAATTTCCAAGGTTTGGCTGATTCAATGAGATAGTCACACTGTATCCCAAATCATTAAACAACACATATCTCATTATAAAACTACAGAAAACGCAACGAAATATTTTCTTAAAGGATATCAGCAGTTATATCAAATGTGATAAATCCCAGATCACTTCTTTCTCTAGGTCCAGTGAAATCTTCTACATTTTTTCTAGGAATAAAGATAAAAGTTTTACCATCCTTCCAACAGAACATACACAATTCACGTAACTTCTTAAAGAGAAAGAATACAGGTGTGTGCATAGGTGAAACTGCAATTCCACAAAGAAACGAGTAAACACCAGAGAAACCTGTAAGTGTGAAAACAGGAGAAACATTCTAATCCAATATTAAAGTAGGTCTTCAGCTAATTGCATATACCTCAAGAGAATCCCTAACAAAACTCAGAAGGGGATAAAAACTGCTAAAAAGAATAGTAAATACTTGATGTAAAGCAATTTTGCAGAATGGGTAGAAGAAAGCTACACATGACTACAAGGTGATACGAATACTAACAGATGGCATATTAAAGGGTGATACAGTAATCACCCCCTTATCCGAGGTTTCACTTTCCGGTTTCAATTATCCGCGGTCAATCTGGTGTGAAAATAGGTGAGTCCAGTAAAATAAGTTATTTTGAGAGAAGGGGAAAGAGATCATATTCACATAACTTTTATTATAGTATATTGTTACAGTTCTATTATGTTATTGTTAATCTCTTATTGTGCTTAACTTGTAAGTTTTATCATAGGTAGGTATGTATGTACGGTATAGGAAAAAACCAAGTATATATAGGGTTTGGTGCTATCCGTGGTTTCAGCCATCCACTGGGGGTCTTGGAACGTATACCTACCCCATTAAGGGGATACTACTGTAACCAGCTGCTATTTACTGTTTACTACGGCTCAGACCCACTGACAATATTTTTCACATTTCAAATAATTCTCACAACCTAAAAATTAGGTATTACTTCCATCTTAAACAAAAAGAAATTAAGGCCCAGAATGGTAAGAAAACTTGCTCAAGACAACAACAGCTAACATCTGTTCAGTGTTTAATATGCACCAAGCTCTTCTAACCCTCACAGGGCTGACAATGGCAGTGCTGATGTCCACCCCAGGTCTATTCGAACAATATCTAACAAACATCAGTACAGTAATTTAAAAAAAAAAAAAAAAGGTGGGGGGAGAAGGCTCGCTATTTGATAACTGGCTTCTTGGCGATTCTGACAAAGAAATAAACTAAGGTTAAAGAACTTGTGTAAGACGGAAATAGAGTAGAAGGGTATGAGAACAAGAGATGGAAAAATACGACGATTAAAGACAAAAGTGCCAGAGAATAAAATCAAGGACAAAATAGGCAATAGCGAAATGGCACTGTCATTTCGAACTGCATTTTTTGGCGTTTTCGCAGACTTCTTCAAGTGGTTGGCAAAAGAAAAAGAAATAAAGAAACCCAACAAAACAAAAATCTCGCTGTATCAGAAGGCTAAGATGCTTAATTCTCTCAGTGCCCAACATCTCTGGCCAACTTCAAAGCAGCTCCAACTGTTTACTGCCTTCTGAAGGTGCAAAGGCAACAACTGTAAAGGGAATGTCAAACAGGGCAAACTCGGGTGATGAATGACACAAAGACAACCCCGTCCTGTGGCCTCCAGAGCCGCCAGGAAACCCCACGGAAGCCCGACCCAGAGCGCGGCGGCAGCGCCTGGAGGGCCTCGCATGCGGACCACGAGCGGCACCGGACGCGCGGGAGGCGCCAGCCCAGGCGGGCGGCGGCGCCGGCTCTGCTGTTGTGTTGCTCCCTCATTGGCCAGGCGTGGGTGGAGGGAAGTGAGGAACAGGAAGCAAGCGGAGGCACCGACCTGAGGAACGCTCAAAATTAAAATTTAAGAGCAAGCCCGGGAATTTACGGTGGAGGGGTGCAAGTTCCGAGGGGACGCCGGAAAAGCCTGCGACGTCCACCCCTGACGACCGCCCTCGGGGGCGAACTGCCGCTCAGGAGGGCGATCCGGACGCCCTGCCCGCGGCCCCGGCACGGCAGCCCCGGCGCGGCGGCCCGGCTTCGGCTTCCGCCCCAGCCCGGTCCCGGCGTCCTGCACCGCCGGCCCGGCCTCACTCACAGCATGATCCGCGAGACGTGCAGCCGCACCGGGACGCTCCTGTCTTTGAAGGCGGTGGTGATGAAGCAGCCGAAGGTGAGCGCCGCCATCACGCTCAGCGAGAAGGCGAACAGTGAGTTCGCCCGCGACAGCACCGTGTTCATCGCGATCGTCTCCCACGAGTCCGGACTCCACACGCACACCCAGGCTCCCGTTCCGGCGGCGGACCGGCTCCCTGCGATCCGCGCCGTCTGCGGTGCGCGCGTTCCGGGAGCGCGCGCCGCCGCAGCCCCGCCTCCTTTCCGGTCCTCCGACGCGAGCGCGCGCGCGCCCGCTTCCCGAAACACACCCACAGCGCGCACGGGGCGGCGCGGAAAGGGAGAGACTCAGCCGCGGGCCCGCCCCTCCGTCGCGGCCTAACGCCGCCACCAATCAGCGACGAGTGAGGGAGGGGCGGGGTTTGTTGTGGAAGACCCACCCCCTCCTCTTCTAAATTGCTTCTCCGACCTTTGGGTTCAGAGAATTGGGAACCGGTCGTTCGCTGTCCTTTTTCGGTTCTTTGGTCAGAGGTCTGGGACTGCGACTTCTTGATTACTTATGTACCATTTATTTTCACTTGAAACCGGCAGCAAGTTAAGGTGGTTTAGAATCTGTCCTGACGGGTGGCGTTTGGAAGCAGCACTTTACAAAACGCCTGGTCCTCTCCCTTCTTTGTCAAACCTGGTCAAAGTTAGGACTTGAGCTTTTTTTGGAGGATCTGAGGAGCAGTGGGGAGTGGGGAATTAGCCGCCCAAGTCCTTAAAGCTGTCACGTGCATCAGTATTTCCACCTCCAACGTCAGTCCAATTCCTATTAATGCTTTGCTTTGTATGGATAGCTAAAGATGTTTTAGAAGATAAGGGTTGAGGCTACCGATCCTAAGTATTTGCATTTTAACATGGTGATTTCTGATAAATAAAAGGATAACCTTTCTGGGTTCTTAGGAGCAAAGAAGATAATGGCTGCGGAATTGCTCTACAGCATAATGTATAAGAATTTCGTTGGGTCATTAATAAATAATGCAATTATTTTATCACATTTTCAATATCCTGAAGGGCATTAGGGTTCAAACCGAGCCAATCCTGACTCTGATTATACTATCTGCCAAAACCTTTGTTCCTTTCACAGCTAAGGGTTTTTATAAAAATGGATTCAGGGTCTGCTGAAATAAATTTTTTTTAAAAATTTCAGTCCATAAACCAAACAAAAATATCTGTCCTGGAATGTGATCAGGAACAAACCAGAAAACTGTGAACATCTGATCTTGATACTGGCTTATGTTGTCTCTTGTTAAGCTTTTGCTTCTTTGCATTATTCATGACCATTCAATTAATTTTTGTATAGCCATACAGGTAGGATTATTACCAAGTGCCTACCGTGTACCAGGAATAGTTCTAAGCCTTGAGAATACAGCACTAATAAGGCAGACTCCCTGCTCAAATAGAGCCAACTAATGAAAAATCGATAAAATAGAGACTAAAGAGAGATCCTTAGTTGCGTTTAAAATCTTAGTTTTTAACTTCCAGGCTGGCACAGTTTGTTAACAAAAAAAGAAAAAAAAGGATTTTTATTGAATGCCATCTATACTGCAAGTGATACAGAGATTGTACTGATCACTTTCTACACTCAAAAGTATATAATCAGGTAGAGTTAATAAAATAAAAACAAATCTGAAATGTAAAACAAAAAAATACCCTGGGAAGTTACATAGCAAAGGAGGAAGGAATTACAGCCCTGGTAATGTGGGACAACACAGTGTGCAAATTATTTAACACAAAGCCTAAACAAGACACATTATTATTATAGCATGTTTTAGGGAAATAATTCTTGTTGTTGAACTGCAAGTACAGGTATATCTAAGAGATACTCAGAAGGCTGGTCCTGATAAACAATGCATGTATAAAAGAGTAAGCAGAAATAAGCCTGGAAAGGTAAGTTATGGTAGAAAACCAGGTCAAGAAGTTGACTTTATATCAGGGAAATTACATGTAAAACAAGCATCGCTACACAGGCAACCATTTACCAGTTATATGTGGAGAGTGAGTGATGGACCCAAAAGGAAGACTGATAGGAGGGGCATTTCGGAAACAAACTCTATGTTACTTAGCAACTGCCTAAATAAGAGTGGGGGTCTGCAAAGCATAGAGTGAATGCAGATTGTGAACACTCAAATGAAACTAGTATTATTATTATGACACCACAGTTTTTAACTTGACTTACTGGTAGTGCTAAAAACACATAAAAGTCCACAAAAAGAGCAGGAGAGGGATGGGATAGGGAATTTTCTTATTCTGTTTTATTTTTCCAAGTGTTTCTTTAGATTTTCTAGACATTTATATCACCTACATTAGATATCATTTTGCCTTTTCCGTTCCAATTATTATATTTCCAATTGTTTATTCATTTCAGTAGCTAATATTTCCAACATGATATTCAGTCAGATGGGGACAACTGATATCTTTTTGTTCCTGATTTGAGCAGGAAATTTCCTTTCATTTCTCCATCAAGTAAGATGTTGGCTTTGAGATGGAAATTGTGTGTGTGTGTGTACATGTATCATTATATAATATATATTGCATATTGATAGGAAATATCTATTCCTATTGGGAAATTTTTAAAAATATAAACAAGTGCTAAATTGTTTTCAGATGCATTTTCCCTATCTTATTTCCTCTACTTCTTTCCTCTATCTTATTTCCTCTGCTTATTTAATGGGTTATATGAATAGATTTTATAATATTGGCCCAGTAAGCATTCCTGGAATAAACTCCACCTGGTCATGATGAATTAGTTTTTAATATGCTCTTGTGCTTTCTTTGCTAATTTTGGGGTTTTTTGTTTTTTAGTTTGTGTAATCAATATTCATAGTGAAACTGATGTGTTTTTTTGATTGTAATATTATACTCAAATTAGAAAATATATATTTCTAATATAACAAGGAAAATAAGTTTTCCTTAGTTTTCTGTGCACTGGGATATTTTAAGTAGCATTTGGATCTGGTCTTTAAAAATTTGATAGAAAATTTGGTAGAAATTCCCAAGGGAGTCTATTCTTCTATTTTTTTTAAATTATTAATTGTTAATTCTAATTATGTATACTTGTGCTTTCTACCTTTTTCATTTATTGTTTTAATTAGTATTTTTTCTTGTTTTCTTTCAAAGCACTTCTGCATTTACTAATTAACTCTACTGTTTTCCAACTCATTAATTTTTGGTTTTAACACTATCAACTTTTTTCATTCCACTTTTTTTGTTTATTAGCTTTGGAAATTGGATATTTAGTTGGTATATTTTTCATGTTTATTGTTATGGTAACTGCTTTAGCTGTATCCTAAAATTTCTGACTATGAATTTCCAAGAGAAAGTACCATTTTTCCTTTTGATTGCTTTAAATTAATGTCTGATTTTAAATCATGTAGGCAGAGAATGCTGTTTGTATATTTCTATTCTTTGGATTATTGAGGTCTTCTTTGTGGCCTAAAATGTCACTTTTGTGAAAATTCAATGTGCAACTTGAAAGAAGGTATTTCCTCTTAATAGTATATAGAATTTGATAGATACCTATGAGATCTGCCTTATTGATTATGTTATTTATGTCTTTTACATCTGTAGTAATATTTGTTACCTTCATTTTCTTGGATTCTGAGAGATTTGTTAAAATCTCCAATACTGTGTTTTGTCTGTTTATTCTCACATCTCCTATAGTTTCTCCTTCACAAAAATTGTTGATATATTATTTGGTAAGCAAGTATTAATAATAGTTACATTTTCATTATGAATGGTAGTCTTCAACATTGTAACGTGTTATTTTATTTTTAATGCTTTTTGATGCAAATACTACTAGTCAAACACTGAGGTTGTACTGAAGGAAACTGAGGCTGTTTATCTGAAATAGTATTACAGACCTTAAATTAATACGTAGCATTTTTAAACTAAGTGTCTTGTACTCTTTAATGATTTCAGCTCAGAACCTAGTGGCAGTAATGGGGGGAGCGATTGGCATGCTTTGTCAGCGCTTGAGTAAATAGCGATCAGCTGGGAAAGACATGCCTAACTGTATTTCTGAAGGATAGAAAGAAACCTAGAATAAATGTAAAGTTTTGATCTTCATATTTGCAAATAATTATTCTTCTGTAACACCAAGCTAAGAAGAGGTAAGAACAATAAATCACTTTATAAGGAAATCTTTAAATAAAGCTGTGTGCACATGGCCAGATAATGCTTTTTAAAAAGGGGATAAACTGAAAGATATAATAAAAGCCTTCTTTTTTTTTTTTGAGATGGAATTTCGCTCTTGTTGCCCAGGCTGGAGTGCAATGGCGCGATCTCAGCTCACTGCAACCTCCACCTCCCAGGTTCAAGTGATTCTCCTGCCTCAGCCTCCCGAGTAGCTGGGATTACAGGCGCCCGCCACCACGCCCAGCTATTTTTTTGTATTTTTTGTGGAGACAGGGTTTCACCATGTTGGCCAGGCTGGTCTTGAACTCCCGACCTCAGCCGATCCGCCCGCCAAGGCCTCACAAAGTGCCGGGATTATGGGCATGAGCCACTGCGCCCGGCCAATAAAAACGTTCTAATTAAATATGGTGTTATTGGGAATATCCAAAGAGTCCACAAAGCACCAAGCTCCCCAGGGAAGTTCCTGCAATGGAGCATGTTATAGATCTAGCACATTAAGGACTCAAATGGTTTTCAGAAAGTGACTATGAATTATGTTGTTCATCATAGAGAGTGGGGATCAGGTCTTGTTCATTTTTCTATCCCTTTCAGTGCCCAGGACACTGAGCCTTGCACGTAGTAGATGGTCAAAAAAATTCTTATTGAATTGAGATACCTTGAAATCATAGATCATGATATTTTTGAAAGAATTCTCATGTAAAGCATATATGTCACACACAGGTAACGAACAGTTAAAGTGTAAATGGGTAAAATGGTAAAGTGTAAAGCTAAATTGAATATGTAGGCCAAGGACAAATTGTAAAAGGCTTGAGTGCCAGGCTAATAAGTTTGATCATAATTCAGGAGACAATAACGAACTTTTGAGGATTTTAGATCAGTTGAGTGTCATGACCATGTAGGCTCTCAGTAGATAAGTAATTTCTTTGAGACGGATGCGACTGCCAGTTTGTAGACCAGGCCAGAAGTTATTGCAGTAGGTTTTTGTTATAGTTGTTGTTTTGAAGATACTTGCTTGGTTAATCGAAAGATATAATCAGTCAAGCTGGTAAGTAGACTATTCCAGTGTGATAATTCCAGGAGTGCTATGTTTGTGAATCTCTTTAAAGAGGAAAAAAAAAAAGTTCAGAAGGAAAACCAGTTTTTGGCTAGCAGGTACCCAAATTCCAGACTCTCAAAAGGAAAGGTGGGACATTATGTGAAGATGTTTGGCATAAACCACATCGTGGACAGTTAGTCACAGTGAGCCACTCTTATCACTTAGGGAAAGTTTCCTATCAGTGCGGGGAACTGTTTACCAGCCATGTTCCCAGACACCAGCCGAGGGCCAACCTTGCATACAGGTTTTTCTAAGGATCGATATCTCAGGCCTGTTGCGGTAGTTTAAAAACATTGCTTTCAGGTCATTTTATTTCTGTTGAAAGCTTTTTTGAGAATGATTCCTATAGCACATAAGAAAATGTAAGAATGTATTTAAATTTTTATTATAGTATATTTCCTTCATTTATTTTCCTTTTTTTAATACTAAGTTTGCCTACTCAGCTCAGATCCCTTCAAACAGAACTATTTTATTCACTCAGTAGACCATGGAGAACTTATAAAAAGCCCATTGTCCGCCACAGACCTCTAAGGATAGTATTTCTCCAAGCAGCTTCTCTTCCTTTTGTTCTCCCATCACTGTCACTCTTTTGCGTCTTGGCTTTTCACTCTAATTCTTCATTCCCATCTCAGGCCCTCCTTTCTCAGACTTGCTATTTGAACCTAGCTGTTGAACCATGTTTCTAGCCCACCTGTAGGCACTTGACCCTGAGCTTGCTTGAGCAGTTAGCTCATGAATTCATAGCTGCCTGGCCCACATGCACATGTCAGAATCATTTATTGTGCATCGTTAAGAGCAGAACCAGATAGCATACCAGAGATCATTGGTTTCCGAGAATCTGTACCTCACCCTCCCAAGGAAAATGGACAAGAAGCCCTTCCATATTCTCTAGACAGTCAAGGACGTCCAAAAGTTATTGGGATTCTTTGAACAGTTTTAGCAGTTAATATTCAGCTTCTCTGCTTATATTATCTGGACAACTATCCTTTTCAGGAAAGTGAGAGAGTTTGCTTGGCTCCTTGTGAAGCCTGTAGCATTCTCGTAGTTAACGAACCTAGTAAATTTTTCTGTCTTCTTGGCCTTTTCTGACTCACCCACAAACTCACTGCTGAAACTATATCTCTAATATGCTATCGTGAACATCTGGTCACCAGAGAACCTAGGTTGTAATTTGTATCACTGCATTTTCATTCTAAAGAAACTAGTCCCAGCTGAGGTTAATGGACCTGTGAAATCACTACCAATATAAATGCTGGCTTTAGGGAAATACCTGCTACTTGAAGTCAGGCTAATCCCCATTTATGATACATTAAGACAACTAAAGCTCTAGAATAAATAAGGTCCTATATGGTGAGTTAATTATTTAACTTGAGTTTTTTTGATTATAGGAAAGTTTCTGGATTCCCATTTGCAAACAAAAGCAGCTATATCTGAAAAGGAAACAAAGAGGGAAAATTATTGTGGGAACTGTGTAGAAAGGAGTTAACAGACCTGAGGCTTCTGTTCTTAAAAAAGACCTGCTTGCAAGGTTGGCTCTTGGCTGGTGTTGGATAACTTGGCTGATAAACAGTTTCCTACACTGATATAAAACTTTCCCTAAATGATAAGAATGGCCTAAACTGTTTGTAGAAACAGTGTGGTTTATGCTAAACACCTGCCTTCCTTCTGGGAGTCTGGAATTTTGGTATGTGTTAGGCAGAGGGTGCTTACATTGCCACCCCTCAATGAAAACCTTGAGCACTGGTTAATGAGCTCTTTTGGCTGATAACTTCACATAAATCTGTTACTGGAGGAACTGAGCACATCCTGTGAGACTCCATTAGGACTCTTGGAAGTGTGTGCCTGGTTTCTTCCAAACTTCTCCTCATGCACCTTTTCCCTTTGCTGATTTTGTTTTATATCCTTTAACTGTAATACCCCTAACTGTGAATATGATTATATATATATTTCATCCTGTGAGCCCTGCTGGTGGGTTGGTCTTGGGAACCCTAAACACAAGGACTACCTCCCATTTCATACATTTTCATATTCAGAATGTCGTAAGGATTTCTGCAGAGCCAAGGGAAACTTAGCCCCATCCTTTTCTGTAATGGGAGGGGTATTATTATTATCTTTTTATCCTAAGTCCTATGAGTCATCTCAGTCTTTTGTTCTGGATGCCATACTGCTCACACATTTTGACGTGCTGTACCTCAGTTTTATTCCCCCTGACACTTAGAATCCTTGTCTTCTGCCCTCTAGTTCCCAGTTACCATCTGAGGCTCTACCCGTCATGTTAACTCACATGGACCCATTTCCCTAGGTTTTTGATCTCGAGTTATTTAATAGCTGCTCAGTCTTGATTTTCAGTGTTCTGCTTGCACACATATACCCAGAATTGCAAGGGAGTATGCTTTCACCTCTTGTTCTTAACCATTGAGGCACTCAATGTCTTCATCAGCTTATCTGACCTCCATGTAAAGGGAATAAATCAGGCAAAATCCACTATTAGAGGTCCGTTCTTTCTGTGGACCTATTGCCACTTTCATGCTCCTTACTTATATATATAAAGCTGAAAAGAATTTAAAATCAGTGTATGAAAGAGAAGGTTAGATGAGCCGTGCACACGTTTTTATCACTGAGAATACCTACAGAGTTAAAAATTCATATGCAACTCTATTATTCCACTTGGTAACTTAAAAAATGTATAAGGAAATGTCCGAATCTTTCATGGTTTCCTTTGAAAGGTCTATTCTGGAAAAAAAAAATGTTTTAAAAGAATTCATTCATTTTAGATTGTGGGTGCTGGAGAATATGGTTTTTTTTTTTTTCTCATATTACACTCTGGGAACCCTTATATTGGAAGAAAGTAAAAAGTACCATTCAAGTGATGTGGGTATACTACTAAAACTGAGATTTTTGAAGCAGAAATTCTGCTTCAGTGACTGAAACGTGTCAGATTGTGGGACTATCATAAGGTATATGATATTCTAGGAGTGGGTAGGGAAGAAAAGAACTCATAGCCTGGCATGCAATCTGGTCATAGATGCTAAGAAAATGATCTTGGGCACACTGATTTTGTCATATAGACAGGCAAGATTCAGTGCCCAAGAGTGGTGCAGGGCAGTTGTAATTTTGGCAGTAATCAGCATCTGAGGTAAGTTATGCGTGAACCCTGCAGATATCTTTCTGCATTTATGTCATTCATTTGTGTGAGACATGCTTCACTGTAAGTTACCATATTTAAAAGATGGTCAGTTTTGTGACAGTTTTCCTGGAGGTGATTCCAAATGATTCTTGACATGATTATCCTCAGAAAAAAAAAAACAGTAAATCAATCATTTCTTCCTTATTTTCTCAAACAGGGATAAAGAAGAAATAACCTTTAGTCAACCCACCAATTACATTTCTCCATTTTCAGTGTTCATTGAGCCATTGGATATAAATGTGAATACAGAGAGGTACATACATGACACTCGCACTTCTCTGTTTAACACCTTAGAGTTTACTTACAGTCCTTCTACCAAGCCTAGAATCAATATTTTTAAGGCAAGAATCTTTTTTTTGTATGTTATATAATATAAAAGTTATTTAAAGGTTTAGGGAGAGAGTTGTTAGAATAAAACACATAGATGATGGAGATCTGGAAATACATCTGGACCATTTCCATTAAGTCTTAGAGAAATAATTCTTAGTAAATCTTTTCTCCAGAGTTGCATTTTCTAGGCACATAACCTTGACATATTACATGCTCTGATTGGGCTTAGTTTTCTGATCATAAGAGAAGAAACCAGTGTTGAGAAACTTACAGTAGAGACAATATCCAGGCATTAGGCAAGTGAAGGCTAATGTGTGTCCATAGAGGGTATAGGGTATTAGTACGTATTCGGGGCAAGACTCCCAGGGTAGTAAGTTGAATAATCTGGCTGAATTTAGAAGTAGAGACCATGGCAGACTCTCAATTCAATATAAGGTGGGGATGACGGCAATGGGAAAGAAAAGTTGCACTTTATGAGCACACATGGCTACTCACTGAGGAGACTCAAGGAGCAAAGCTGTCATAGCTGGGCTCCCAGATTCCAGTGAAGGATCGTTAATTAATTATGCTGAACTCTAGAGCACAAGGGCATTGATGCTGTTGATATCTGCCTTGTGATAGTCAGGATAGACTAAACAGCTAGAAAATTGAAGCTTTAGTTAGAGGGAGAAGTCAGGAAGTCATGGGTCGTAACCATCAGAAGCTGAGAAACAGAGGACCAGGGGGAGAAGATACCAGGGTGGGAGGGCAAAGATTAAATGCCTATTTTTATTTCCATTTTAAGACAAAGTATCCATGATTAGGTGAGGTGAGTGAATTAAATCTCAGAAATTTTAAAAATAGGGATATTTATAAATCTAAAAAATACTCAAATAAATAAAAAGATGAGTTGCTTTTAACCCTCCCAATTATTCTGTGAACTTTATCAAATTTTAAAAATGTATTTTCGATCTGTGTGTGTATGAATTTTTAGTTACTCTATAATTCAGTGAGTAACATCTAACTGCAAATGATAATTTAAAATGTTTTAAATTCAGATAATTTCCTATTATTGAACCATTCCAACTATTCATTCTGTATAACGTAGAGCAGCTTGTAGTATAACCCTTGGCCCACTGATTAAATGCATACTTTTTCTGCTTACATTATATAAACGATCTATCATAATACCTGGAATAGTGTAGGGACTCAATAAATGATACCTATTTAGTATTACCATTGCTAAAAGTTAAAAAAAAATCTGAACAAAGTTTTTGAAAGTGAAGACTTATATATTTTACCAATGATCAATGCCATGGTTACACTTTTTTTCCTAAGCACCTTATGTAGTAATTAATCACATTTAGATAGAATGGAGAACTGAGATAAATAATACAGTCATGCATTGGTTAGCAACAAAGATATGTTATGACAACTGCATTGTCAGGCAATGCCATCATTGTGTAAACATGATAGAGGGTTCTTGCAGAAACCCAGATGCATAGCCTAACACATATCTAGCCTATATGGTATGGCCTATTGCTCCTAGGTTACAAACCTGTACAGCATGTGACTGTACTCAATATTGTAGGCTACTATAACACAATGGTAAGTATTTGTGTATCTATATATCAAAACATAGGAAAGGTACAGTAAGAATACAGTATTATATATGTAGTCTTATATATTACATATATGTAGTCTGTCCTTGACTGAAACATCATTTGTGGCACATTACTGTAATTAATGTCCTAGGTATATAAACAAACAGTAGATGAGACAGAAATGACATTAGAAGCACACCTCAACGTGGAATAAAAGACTTTAGAGATTACCTGTAGATATAAACATATTATTTAAATTATTAAAATGACAGGTTTTGGGGCTTTGGGAAGAGGGTATAAAAAGGAAAACTTATCAAGAAACATGCCCTCAGGAAGAAAACTGTGTGCCTAAAAGCTAGACGTGAATAGGATTGCCATCTGCAGATGAGAAGGCAAGGCCTCCAGTGTTTGGGAAGACATCACTTCAATATTGTAGTGTGACAGAAGAGACTGAGAACTATTCTAGTCACATTTATGTAGTCACCACTCCTGTGATGTCTGAGTGAAAGTAACAGCATGACCGCTGATGCTGCAGCTGTGACTGTCACCTGGGCACTCAGCTCTGCAGTCGTTCCTTTTAAGACCAAGCTATAGCTCAAAGTAGTCCAATATTCAAATTTGAGGTCACACCAAAACTATAAGATAGATCTTTGATGTAGTTGAAATAATGAGTAGTATATGACAAAATCCTGCAGAATAAAAGAGAAAATGACTCCCCAAACTGTCATTCATTACTTCATGTGGCTTCAATGCTACCTTTAAGGAGAAGTGATCTCTTTGAATGAGCAAGGCTTATTAGTCAAACATCATTTTTATCATAGCTACCATTTACTTACACACCTACTGTGTGCCAAGCATCGTGCCAGCCATTTTGTTTCATTCACCAGGTATACAATAAATTACAAAACAAATCTAGACCCAAAGGTCATGGCTCACAGCCTAGCAGAGGACATAAACTTCAAGCAAGTAACAAATGATTCAAAATTATAATGAAGGCTATAAAGGAAAAGAAGAGGTTACTAAGTTAAATTATAACAGATGGAGTGTGTAGGGCACCTGTAGGGAATTTCGTTAACATGCTTTCAGCTACAAGGAGAAGAAACTCTGAACCAAAGTGGCCTGCGCAATAAAGAAGTTTCTTCTCTCGGTAACTCATGGAGAGCTGGTGGTTTCAGTGGCTCAACCATATTATCAGGTGCCTGGGTTCTTGTTTTGGCTCTGCTGTCCACAGTATCAATTTCCTTTTAAGCCTGAGTCTTTTTATGGTTATAAGAAGTCTCAAAAAAAATTAGATGTTTATTTTTCTCTCACTTAAAGAGTTGCAACTTGGATTTCTTGTCTTCTTGGTCATGTCCAGCAGGAGAGGGAAAGAGGAGTATGCTAGGACTGAGTCCTTCCCTTCGGGCTAATTGGTGCACTGTGGCAGAAAGACTGCTAGTTTTGCATCAAGATCCATGATCCTAAGTTTTCAGTGGGGCACAGAGCCACCTGGAACAAAGATTACATTTCCCAGCTTTCCTAAGAACCAGGTGTGCCCTTTTGACTGTTTTGGCAATAGAGGTAAGTGGAAGTGATTTCTGGGCTATATTCTCACAAGGAAGGGGTGTACCCTTCCCTGTCCCTTCGTGCTTCCTGCTGCTGCAATGTGAATATGATCTGAAGATCTACAGCCACATGTGAAGGTAACAAGGCAATATGGACCCTGAGTGCTTGACAGCTATAACACCATCCCGGCCCCCGGCTGTCTCCTTCCTCACTTCTTTTAAATGAGGGACAGAAATGAATTTCTGTTTCATTCAAACCACTAATTAGGAGAGTTTTCTGCCATGTGAAGCTCCAAACTAATATATTTTCCTTAAGTCATTGCCCAGGCAAGGCTGGGTACAGTGGATCACACCTGTAATCTCAGTGCTTTCCGAGGCTGAAGCAGGAGGATCGCTTGAGCCCATGAGTTTGAGGCTGCGGTGAGCTATGATGGCACCTCTGTACACCAACCTGAGCAACAGAGCAAGACCCTATCTCTGAAAACTAAGGTTGTTGGCAGACAGAGGAATGCCACGGCTGACCGACTTCTTCCTGTGAGTATTCTTCCCCGGACTAAGGTTGTAGTTACAGAGTTTCTCAAGTGACAGAGGGTGTGTGAGGGACAGCTGGGCAAAATCCAGGTACAATTGAGAAAAAAGTAGGGAAGGGTTGCTGTGTAACTGGCCTACAGAGTGTGATCACTACAGAGATTATTAGTTAACCAGGCAAAGAGAGAAGAGCTGAACAAGATAGACTGAAAGTATGTGTTGGGTCCCTGAGCAAGAATGAGCTTAGCGGTGGGTATGTTCAAAGAACTGGAAGAAAGTCAGTAGGATCAGTGAATGGGGAAAATTGAACAAGATGTGGTCAGGTGATGCAGGGCCTTCATTTATCGCCAAGGTAACTGTATATACATGTTTGCCCAGAGCTGTCCTAGTTTTACCATATTTTCCTGGAAAAATTGTAATAGCACTCCCTTTGACTTCAAAAAATGTCCTGGATTGGTTAATAAATTATAGCATTATACCACAAAGATAGTCCATGTTAAGGAATTTGAACTGTATTCTAAACACAGTGGGAAGTAGTCTTTTTCCTTATTTTCTATTAGCGGATATCTTACTATCTCAAACTTTATCATCTAGCTACTCTTTCATTTCTTTCCCTAGGTGAACCTCTAGAAAGTTCTTCCTAAATTGCCCCAAGGGTTATCCAGCCTCAAAAGAACAGATAAAAGCCTATTTCTGCCTTTTCTGAGTCACGTGATGTTCTCTATAAGATTGCTTCTCTCTGCCTGAATTTCTCATCCAGCAATCCAGTTAGGCTGTAAGCAATCTTGCTATGTTATTATAAACTCTACTCTGTGTATTAAATATTCTTGCTTATGGCACTTCTTTTCAAATCTTTTCTAACTTATTTTGACTGATCTTGTAGCCATCCAGTCTGCTGAAAATCTGCCGGCTGCTTCGTGACCTTGAGCAAGTTTCTGAACCTTTCCTTGGCCTCTTTTCTTATTTGTAAAATTGAGCTACCATAGACTGAGTGGCTTAAACAACAGAAATTAATTTGCCACATTTCTAGAAGTCCAAGATCAGGATGCCTTCAGGACTGGTTTCTAGTGAGGCCTCTCTTCCTGGTTTGTGGAGGGCTGCCTTCTCACTGAATCTTCAGAGGGCCTTTTCTCCATGTGCACTCAGGGAGAGAGAGGCCTCTTAGGTCCCTTCCTTGTTTTATGAGGACACTAGTCATACTGGATTAAGACTCACTCTTGCTGGGCGTGGTGGCTCGTGCCTGTAATCCCAGCACTTTGGGAGGCCGAGGCAGGTGGATCACGAGGTCAGGAGTTCGAGACCAGCCAGTTCGAGACCAGCCTGGCTAACATGGTGAAACCCCGTCTCAACTAAAAATACGGAAATTAGCTGGGCCTGGTGGCATGTGCCTGTAATCCCAGCTACTCGGGAGGCTGAGGCAGGAGAATTGCTTGAATTTGGGAGGCGGAGGTTGCAGTCAGCTGAGATCACATCACTGCATTCCAGCCTGGGTGACAGAGTAAGACTCCGTCTCAGAAAAAAAAAAAAAGACTCACTTTTGTGACTCAACCTTTACTACCTTTTTATAGGCCATACTCCAAATACAATCACACTGAGGGTTAGAGCTTCAATGTATGAATTTGGGGGGGTGGGGACACAGTTCAGCTGATAATGGGGTATTAGGGGTAATAAATGAGAAACTGCATGAAAAGCACTTTTAGAGTTTTATATTCTTTATTTCTATATATAAGATATTCATTGGAGAATTAAAATAGCATTTAACTACAAGTGCAGCTACTATTTAAAACCTAAAGATGATGAATAAGATGAATATAATTTATAATAAAATAGCAACATTGCATATATCTTAACTGTTTTTTTTTTTTGTCTGAAAAAAAACTTGCAATATGAGTTGGTTGCTTTATTATGCCAGAGTGTAGGGGGATATTACTTTATACAAAATGACTTGGAAGAAAACAATATCTTTGACACAAGGAATACTAAGTATATTTGAAAGAATAATCTAATACAAACAATAATGTGTGATTATTGTCATTATCTGTCAATTCAGAAAAGAAAAATAACTTAATTTCTAGTGCTTTCACCACAGCTGACACAGTTGTGATCTATTCAATCTCGCTATTTTATTATAAACTAGATTTATCTTATACATCGTCTCTAGGTTTTAAATAAATGCACATGAGCAACAGCTCATGGACACTAACATGCAGAACCAGGTGACACTCCATCATATTTCATCATAACCCCTGATTTTCTTGAAACCTAAGAATTTCACAGAAAAGAACTTGAATCTTGCCCATAATTGTGGTTTATAGACAGTAAGGAGAATGCAGAAGATATTGATGAACATTATAGCCAGAGAGAACAAGGATCCTGACAGGGCAGAAAATGTCACTTTAAGTGAAGAGGCACTGAGCACAAGACACTACCACCGCTTCCCACCCTGGTCTGAGGAGAAAGCTATGGATATGGAAAGCCTTTTAAAAAATGATAGAAACAGGCCGGGCACGGTGACTCACGCCTGTAATCTCTGCACTTTGGAAGGCCGAGGTGGGCGAATCACCTGAGGTCAGGAGTTCTAGACCAGCCTGGCCAGCATGATGAAACCCCATCTCTACTAAAAAAACACAAAAATTAGCCGGGTGTGGTGGTGCATGCCTGTAATTCCAGCTACTTGGGAGGCTGAGGCAGGAGAATTGCGGAGGTTGCAGTCAGCCAGGATTGCACTACCGCACTCGAGCCTGGGCGACAAGAGTGAGACTCCGTCTCAAAAAAATAAAAAAAATAAAGACAGAAACAAAACAAACCACCACCACCAAAACATCTTTACTAGTGTGAACCCCAAATATCTGAGATGGTCTCAATTACTTTAGAAAGTTTATTTTGCCAAGGTTGAGGATGCACACCCATGACATAGCCTCAGAAGGTCCTGAGGACACGTGCCCAAGGTGGTCGAGGCACAGCTTGGTTTTATACATTTTAGGGAGGCATGACACATCAATCAATATATATATAAGAAGTACATTGGTTCAGTCCAGAAAGGAGGAGACAATTCGAAGCAGGGAGGGTACTTGCAGATCACAAGTAGGTGAGAGACATGGTTGTATTCGTTGATTTTCTGATAAGCCTTTCCAAAGGAGGCAATCAGATCTGCATCTATCTCAGTGAGCAGAGGGATGACTGAATAGAATGGGAGACAGGTTTGCCCTGAGCAGTTCCCAGCTTGAATTTTCCCTTTAACTTAGCAATTTTGGGGTTCCAAGATTTTCCTTTCACACTAGCAATTCAAATAATTCCATTCTGAGAAAAGGACACAGACTCTCCAGTGGAAATAACACTTTCCTGGTTTTCCCGGTATTCCTATGAGAAGCCCTAGTTTCCTAAGGCAAGGAGATGAGTCTCATATGCAGATAGGGAATGTTTGCTTTGACTTCCCCTGAAGCATTTTACTGGTCATATACTAGAAGTAGTTCTATTTCTGATTTGAAAAGATAACACTTTTCCTGTCTTCCTGAGAGCCAAATGGTTACAGCTAGACTAGGTCCCTAAGTAATGTCCCAAGGTATCAGGAGGACTGGAGCACTATCTTCTAGGTATTTACATAGCAAAAGAGATGAATCCCGAATTTAGGAGATGCCTTTAGATGATAAAAGCCAGGATCTGGGTTTATCTAGAAAGACATTAACATTCCCAAAGGTTAGGGTGAGAACCCAGCATTCCTTCCATTCCATTTCTTTCTCTTTTTTTCCTTTTTCTCTCTCATTCTTTCTTTCTCTCCCTCTCTCTTTTTTTTCCAAGTTCTCCTTCTGTCACCCAAACAGGAATGCAGTGGCACAAACTTGGCTTACTGCAGCCTCTGCCTCCTGGGCTCAAGCAATCCTCTCATCTCAGCCTCCCAGATATCTAGGACTACAGGCATGTGGCACCACACGCGGCTTATTTTTTAATTTTTTTGTAGATATGAGGTCTCACTATATTACCCAGACTGGTCCTGAAACTCCTGGGCTCAAGCGATCCTCCCACCTCGGCCACCCAAAGTGCTGGGATTATGGGCCTGAGCCACCATGCCCAGCCTCCATC
Source organism: Homo sapiens (assembly GCF_000001405.40). Lineage (NCBI taxonomy): Eukaryota > Metazoa > Chordata > Mammalia > Primates > Hominidae > Homo > Homo sapiens. The sequence continues at coordinate 176,303,675 of NC_000004.12, read as the reverse complement.
CTATTTCTAAGGAACAAATATTTTGGTTTTGTTCTTCTCTCTCCTCTTAGGAAACGAGTAGCAGGCCATCTCTCTTAAGTATGTAAAATAAGAAAATTTGTTGTTCTCTTTTTCTTATCTGGGGAGTGTCTGGCCACTCATGAAGGAGATGTTTCCAGCTGCTTTCATCCCTTTGTTCCAAGGTAAGTTTTGGGGAAATGGTCCAATAATTTTATTATTTACTGTAAACTAATTAATAACAAAGCTGTCTTGGATTTAGAATACCCATGTGCACATTCAAGATGAATTAACCAAAATAAATATTAAGAACCCAACATCGCCGCTATTCTGCCTTGCCAAGAATGGCACTTAAAGTGTTTTCCTACTTCATGGTGACAATAGTGAATACAGATGACTAAATCTAGAGGCAGATGTGGCCAGGGCCATAGGGTACAGGTGCAGACATAGAGAGAAGATGACCAAAAGGTACCAGAGCAAGAGGGCATCCATGCCACTCTATGGGAGATCTAAGCCACAGGATGAGGGTACCATGAACTAGAGTGTCCCAGGCTGGTTCTATAGTATATGGGCTAACAGAGCTTTCAGAGAGAGAATTGCTGACAGTGTTTAAATTATTCTGGGATATCTAGAAGGATGTAAGAAATGGGATGGAGGAGGCCCATTACTATGCAGATGAGAGCTATTTTTAGGAACTAGCTCTTAGACGTAATAAACTTACCAGTAATCTATACAGATGAAACCTAGGGGACCTCTTTGCTGGTTCCTTCTAGCTGAAAACTATTCACATTTTTATACCAAGGATATGAAGAAAGAAAAAGAGGTAAGATGGTGAAGAAAAATCTCAGAAGGAAAGCTTCAGAATAGGAAGCTGAATGAATGAGGTAAATGCTAGAATAGCTGGTTTTTACACCTATAGCTTGACAAATAAATGCACTAAACTGAAGTTCTATATAAAGCTCAACAGCTTTGTGGCACAATGAAAAAGAGTAGGCACAATCAAAGCATATAAATTCTTCATATAAACTTACAGAATATCTGTATGGAATGCTTATTTAGAATCCAGAGAAATACTCCCAGGTAAGAGGTAGTAGAGATAGATGCTTACTTTGTCATTTGTTGTATACTATCATTAATCTTTTAAAGTGAAGGTTTGGCTTCTTCGTATGTTTACCATTTTGTGAGTCATTTTGCTGCCTGCAATCATAATGCATTCTGAGATGTTGACTCAGCTCTGCTATTTTAAGTAGAGCTATTTGGTAGAGACCTCCAAAGAAGAATTATCTGTTAGGGAATGTCATTATTGCCTAAGTAAAAGTAAAATATTTAATGATTGCAAATGATTGAAGGTAACTTTTTAGATAATGTAATATTAGAATCTAAATGGCCATTTTTATTTGTAGTCTACATTCAGCCCACACAATGCTTTTGTTCACTCACTGTGTTATGAGAATTAAATAATACACTTTAGATTTAGAAACATATATATATATGCTAATAGAATTATTATTCATAAGTGCAATAGTATTAGACTGGGCAAAACAAAAACTAACCATTTTTCAATTAAGCCAACCATGTTAAAGAGTAGGAGTCTGTTGTGTAGGCCACGAAACACTGGTACAACGTTTCCATTGAATTTTTTCTTTAGATCTGATTTAGGGTCATTATGCTAAAGGGATTTTGTTTCTAAAAAGATTGCTTTGATGAAGACTTGTTCACCATCTGTTGTATTGCTGCCTAACACAAAGACTCTTGGTAATAAAGAAGAGAAGCTGTTGAAAGAAAGTTGAACAAGAGCAGGCAAAATCTCTACAACTTTTGGAAGGATTCAAATAGAGCCCTGTACTGGAAACTCTAGTAGATACTCTATTCAAAAACTTGCTTTGGAAGATACCGGAAGGACTGATGCCAGTCCACCTAATTCTGAAATTCACATGCTAACAAATTAACTGTAGAAACAAAATAGAAAACCCTGAACTCCAGCACACTGAGCTTGCTGACCATGGATGGTGCCCAGACACATCCAATGAAAAGATTCCTCGCTGTCTCTGATTTATCTTGGAGTGAGTTATTTGAGGACTCTGTGGAATTATTAAAGTACTATCAGTTTTAGATCTAACATGCTATAAATAAGTCTCTTAAGCAGCAACCCTATCTGGTGAGCTCAAATAATCAATTATAGTTTTGTTGAAAATCTTTTTAATATCTGACTTTGCTAAAAACGGGGTAGATTCATTACTGAAGATATTAATGCAGATTTCAATACTCATTATTCATGAGGAACATTCTAAATCAAGCGTATACAATTCTTTGGTTCCTAAATTTTTCTAAAAATTATTTCAGTGGTCAGTATGTATTATCCAGTGGAAAATGGGGTATATTAATGATATTAATAGAACTTAACCATGAGTGAAGATTTTGAAATGGGCCGGGTGCAGTGGCTTATGCCTGTAATCCCAGCACTTTGAGAGGCCAAGGCGGGCAGATCGCGAGTTCAGGGGATCGAGGCCATCCTGGCCAACACGGTGAAACCCCGTCTCTACTAAAAATATAAAAATTAGCTGGGCGTGGTTGTGCGTGCCTGTAATCCCAGCTACTTGGGAGGCTGAGACAGGAGAATTGCTTGAACCAGGGAGTCAGAGGTTGCAGTGAGCCGAGATAGCACCATTGCACTCCAGCCTGGCGACAGAGCGAGACTCCATCTCAAAAAAAAAAAAAAAAAAAAAAAAAAAATTGGAATATTAACTATGATGGACCTCTGTCATTCATGTCTATTATTTGTGGAAGATTTTTTTCTCAATGCTTTCCCCATGTGGTGATAGTTTCCCACATTGTGCATTGTGCCTCCCCAACACAGAATTGAAAAAACTACATCTCCCAGCACAACTTGCTGTTAAGAGTACAAACATGTGACAGAGTTCACCAATCAGATACAGCTTAATGAGCCTTTGATTTGATCAACTGCTTGGCAAAATAGTGCCATGACATCCATATTTGCAAGCATGGGTGTTTCTGAGTTTAAGGGTAAGTGAAGTGCTTCTGGAATCACAGCAGAAGCAGCATAGTTTGGGTGGTCATTGGTGGCAATGGTTCTTTCTAGATTATGGTAGAGGCAGCGTAAGTTTAAAGTCAGATGAGTTAGCCTCTCCCCCAACAGGCAATTTCTATTATTTGGTCTTGGGAGCAGTTCCTAGGTCAACCTAGGTTTGCCCCACCTGTACTTTCAGTGATTGGACAACTTCCTAATATCTCTTAATAAATCCCTTTCTGCTTAAACAGGCATGGATTCTAATCTCTATAACCAGTAACATTCACTGGCAAAGTATACACTGTCAGGCCTCTGAGCCCAAGTTAAGCTATCACATCCCCTGTGACCTGCACGTACACATCCAGATGGCCGGTTCCTGCCTTAACTGATGATATTACCTTGTGAAATTCCTTCTCCTGGCTCATCGTGGCTTAAAAGCTCCCCCGCTGAGCACCTTGTGACCCCCCCGACCCCTGCCCGCCAGAGAACAACCCCCGTTTTTCCTTTATCTACCCAAATCTTATAAAGCAGCCCCACCCCTATCTCCCTTCACTCTTTTCGGACTCAGCCCGCCTGCACCCAGGTGAAATAAACAGCCTTGTTGCTCACACAAAGCCTGTTTGGTGGTCTCTTCACATGGACGCACGTGAAATTTGGTGCCATGACTCAGATCGGGGGACCTCCCTTGGGAGATCAATCCCCTGTCCTCCTGCTCTTTGCTGCATGAGAAAGATCCACCTACGACCTCAGGTCCTCAGACCGACCAGCCCAAAGAACATCTCACCAATTTTAAATCCGGTAAGCGGCCTCTTTTTACTCTCCTCTCCAACCTCTCTCACTATCCCTCAACCTCTTTCTCCTTTCAATCTTGGCGCCACACTTCAATCTCTCCCTTCTCTTAATTTCAGTTCTTTTTCTTTTCTGGTAGAGACAAAGGAGACGCATTTTATCCATGGACCCAAAAACTCCGGCACTGGTCACAGACTCGGGAAGACAGTCTTCCCTTGGTGTTTAATCACGCAGAGATGCCTGACTGATTATTCACCCACATTTCAGAGGTGTCTGACCACGTGGGGACGCCTGCCTTGGTCCTTCACCCTTAGCGGCAAGTACCGCTTTTCTGGGCGGCAAGAACCCTCCGACCCCTTCTCTCCCTGTCTCTACCCCTTCTCCACTTTTCTACGGGGCAAGAACCCCCCGGCCCCTTCTCTCCATGTCTCTACCCCTTCTCCACTTTCCTGGGGGGCAAACACTCCCCACCCCTTCTCTCCATGTCTCTACCCTCTCTTTTCTGTGGACTTGCCTCCTTCACTATAGGCAAACTTCCACCCTCCATTCCTCCTTCTCCCTTAGCCTGTGTTAAGTCAAAGACTTAATACCTCTTCAACTCACACCTGACCTAAAACCTAAACACCTTATTTTCTTCTGCAATGCCACTTGACCCCAATACAAACTCGACAGTGGTTCCAAATAGCCAGAACACGTTCGATTTTTCCATCCTACAAGATCTAAATAATTCTTGTCATAAAATGGGCAAACGGTCTGAGGTGCCTGATGTCCAGGCATTCTTTTACACATCAGTCCCTCCCTAGTCTCTGTTTCCAATGCAGCTCATCCCAAATCTTCCTTCTTTCCCTCCTGTCTGTCCTCTCGTCCCAACCCCAAGCATCACTGAGTCTTTCCTCTTTCCAATCTTCCTTTTCTACAGACCCATCTGACTGCTCCCCTCCTCCCCAGGCTGCTTCTTGCCAGGCCGAGCTAGGTCAGAGCCTCCGATCCCCTACCCTATAATCCTTTTGTCACATCCCCTCCTCACACCTGGTCCGACTTACAGTTTCGTTCCACGACTAGCCCTCCCCCACCTGCCCAGCAATTTCCTCTTAAAAAGGTGGCTAGAGTTAAAGGCATAGTCAAGGTTAATGCTCCTTTTTCTTAATCCCAAATCAGATAGCTTTTAGGCTCTTTTTCATCAAATAAAAAATGCAGCCCAGTTCATGGCTCGTTTGGCAGCAATGCTGAGACAGCCCTAGACCCTAAAAGGTCAAAAGGCCGTCTTATTCTCAATATACATTTTATTACCCAGTCCACTCCCGACATTAAATAAAACTCCAAAAATTAAATTCCAGCCCTCAAACCCCACAACAAGACTTAATTAACCTCGCCTTCAAGGTGTACAACAATAAACTAGAGGCAGCCAAGTAGCAATGTATTTCTGAGTTGCAATTCCTTGCCTGCACTGTGAGACAAACCCCAGCCACATCTCCAGCACACAAGAACTCCAAACGCCTGAACCGCAGCTGCCAGGGGTTCCTCCAGAACCTCCTCCCCCAGGAGCTTGCTACAAGTGCTGGAAATCTGGCCACTGAGCCAAGGAATGCCCACAGCCCAGGATTCCTCCGAAGCCATGTCCCATCTGTGCAGGACCCCACTGAAAATTGGACTGTTCAACTCACCCGGCAGCCACTCCCAGAGCCCCTGGAACTCTGGCCCAAGGCTCTGACTGACTCCTTCCCCAATCTTCTCAGCTTACCAACTGAAGATTGATGCTGCCTGATCGCCTCGGAAGCCCCCTAGACTATCACAGATGCCGATCTTTAGGTAACTCTCACAGTGGAGGGTAAGTCTGTCCCCTTCTTAATCAACACGGAGGCTACCCACTCCATATTACCTTCTTTTCAAGGGCCTGTTTCCCTTGCCTCCATAACTGTTGTGGGTATTGATGGCCAGGCTTCTAAACCTCTTAAAACTCCCCAACTCTGGTGCCAACTTTGACAATACTCTTTAAAGCACTCCTTTTAGTTATCCCCACCTGCCCAGTTCCCTTATTAGGCCGAGATATTTTAACTAAATTATCTGCTTCCCTGACTATTCCTGGGCTACAGCCACACCTCATTGCCACCTTTTCCCCCAGTTCAAAGCCTCCTTCACATCCTCCCCTTGTATCTCCCCACCTTAGCCCACAAGTATAGGACACCTCTACTCCCTCCTTGGCAACCGATCATGCACCCCTTACCATCTCATTAAAACCTAATCACCCTTACCTCGCTCAACGCCAATATCCCATCCCACAGCACACTTTAAAAGGATTAAAGCCTGTTATCACTCACCTGCTACAGCATGGCCTTTTAAAGCCTATAAACTCTCCTTACAATTCCCCCATTTTACCTGTCTTAAAACGAGACAAGCCTTACAGGTTAGTTCAGGATCTGCGCCTTATCAACCAAATTGTTTTGCGTATCCACCCGATGGTGCCAAACCCATATACTCTCCTATCCTCAATACCTCCCTCTATAACCCATTATTTTGTTCTAGATCTCAAACATGCTTTCTTTACTATTCCTTTGCACCCTTCATCCCAGCCTCTCTTTGCTTTCACTTGGACTGACCCTGACACCCATTAGGCTCAGCAAATTACCTGGGCTGTACTGCCTCAAGACTTCACAGACAGCCCCCACTACTTCAGTCAAGCCCAAATTTTTTCCTCATCTGTTACCTAACTCGACATAATCTCATAAAAACACACGTGCTCTCCCTGCTGATCGTGTCCGACTCATCTCCCAAACCCCAATCCCTTCTACAAAACAACAACTCCTTTCCTTCCTAGGGATGGTTAGTGTGGTCAGAATTCTTACACAAGAGCCAGGACCAAGCCCTGTAGCCTTTCTGTCCAAACAACTTGACCTTACTGTTTTAGCCTAGCCCTCGTGTCTGCGTGCAGTGGCTGCCGCTGCCTTAATACTTTTAGAGGCCCTTAAAATCACAAATTATGCTCAACTCACTCTCTACAGTTCTCATAACTTCCAAAATCTATTTTCTTCCTCACACCTGATGCATATACTTTCTGCTCCCCGCCTCCTTCAGCTGTACTCACTCTTTGTTGAGTCTCCCACAATTACCATTGTTCCTGGCCCGACTTCAATCCGGCCTCCCACATTATTCTGGATACCACACCTGACCCCCATGACTGTATCGCTCTGATCCACCTGACATTCACCCCATTTCCCCATATTTCCTTCTTCCCTATTCCTCACCCTGATCACATTTGGTTTATTGATAGTAGTTTCACCAGGCCTAATCACCACACACCAGCAAAGGCAGGCTATGCTATAATGCAAGCCACCAGCCCGCTTTTTAGAACCTCTCATTTCCTTTCCATTGTGGGAATCTATCCTCAAAGAAATAACTTCTCAGCGTTCCATCTGCTATTCTACTACTCCTCAGGGATTATTCAGGCCCCCTCCCTTCCCTACACATCAAGCTCGAGGATTTGCCCACCCACCCCCGACCCAGGACTGGCAACTCTTAACTCCCTCTTAAAGTGGATAGATGATCTTTGCTGGCAGGGGACCCTCCAATACTTTCACCCTGATGAAGTTCTATTCTTTACTTTTATACTCACTCTTATTCTCATTCCCATTCTTATGCCACCCTCTACCTCTCCCCAGCTATCTCCACTACACTATCGACCTTACTATTCTCTCCTAGCCATTTCTAATCCTTCCTTAGCTAACAACCGCTGGCTTTGCATTTCCCTTTCTTCCAGCGCCTACACAGCTGTCCCCACTTACATGCAGATTAGGCAACATCTCCTGTCTCCCTACACCTCTGAACTTCCTTTAACAGCCCTCACCTTTACCCTCCTGAAGAACTCATTTACTTTCTAGACAGGTCCAGCAAGACCTCCCCAGACATTTCACATCAGCAAGCTGCCGCCCTCCTCCGCACTTACTTAAAAAAACCTTTCTCCTTATATCAACTCTACTCCCCCCATATTTAGACCTCTCACAACACAAACTACTATTCCTGTGGCCACTGGAATTCCCCTGGGTAACCTTTCACCTTCTCGATGTTCCTTTACTCTTCATCTCCAAAGCCCTCTTCTTGTTTACTTATACCCAGCCCTGTAAATAACAGTGAAAGGTTGCTCGTAGATACTCAACGTTTTCTCATACACCATGAAAATCGAACCTCCTCCTCTGTGCAGTTACCTCATCAGTCCCCATTACAACCTCTGATGGCTGTGGCCCTAGCTGGATCCCTAGGAGTCTGGGTACAAGACACCCCTTTCAGCACTCCTTCTCATCTTTTTACTTTGCATCTCCAGTTTTGCCTCGCACAAGGTGTCTTCTTCCTCTGTGTATCCTCTACCTACATGTGTCTACCTGCTAATTGGACAGGCACATGCACACTAGTTTTCCTTACTCCCAAAATTCAATTTGCAAATAGGACCGAAGAGCTCCCTGTTCCCCTCATGACACCGACACGACAAAAAAGAGTTATTCCACTAATTCCCTTGCTTGTCAGTTTAAGACTTTCTGCCTTCACTATTGCTCTCGGTACTGGAATAGCAGGCATTTCAACCTCTGTCACGACCTTCCGTAGCCTCTCTAATGACTTCTCTGCTAGCATCACAGACGTATCACAAACTTTATCAGTCCTCCAGGCCCAAGTTGACTCTTTAGCTGCAGTTGTCCTCCAAAACCGCCGAGGCCTTGACTTACTGCTGAAAAAGGAGGACTCTGTATATTCTTAAATGAAGAGTGTTCATTTTACCTAAATCAATCTGGCCTGGTGTATGACAACATAAAAAACTCAAGGATAGAGCCCAAAAGCTTGCCAACCAAGCAAGTAATTACGCTGAACCCCCTTGGACACCCTCTAATTAGATGTCCTAGGTCCTCCCAATTCTTAGTCCTTTAATACCTGTTTTTCTCCTTCTCTTATTCCGTTTAGTTTTTCAATTCATACAAAACCGTATCCAGGCCATCACGAATAATTCTACACAACAAATGTTTCTTCTAACAACCCCACAGTATCACCCCTTACCACAAAATCTTCCTTCAGCTTAATCTCTCCCACTCTAGGTTCCCACGCCGCCCATAATCCCTCTCAAAGCAGCCCTGAGAAACATAGCCCATTATCTCTCCATACCACCCCCCAAAATTTTTGCTGCCCCAACACTTCAACACTATTTTGTTTTATTTTTCTTATTAATATAAGAAGACAGGAATGTCAGGCCTCTGAGCCCAAGCTAAGCCATCATATATCCCCTGTGACCTGCACGTACACATCCAGATGGCCCGTTCCTTCCTTAACTGACGACATTCCACCACAAAAGACATGAAAATGGCCTGTTCCTGCCTTAACTGATGACATTACCTTGTGAAATTCCTTCTCCTGGCTCATCCTGGTTCAAAAGCTCCCTCACTAAGATCTTGTGACCCCCCCCCACCCCTGCCCGCCAGAGAACCCCCTTTTTCCCTTTACCTACCCAAATCTTATAAAATGGCCCCACCCCTATCTCCCTTCGCTGACTCTCTTTTCGGACTCAGCCCGCCTGCACCCAGGTGAAATAAACAGCCTTGTTGCTCACACAAAGCCTGTTTGGTGATCTCTTCACACGGACGCGCGTGAAATACACAATATGTTAGATCAGGAATCTGAGTGAAAAATAGCTGTTAAACGAGAGCTTTATTTTATTTTATTTTTTAAAAATCTTAGGTTAGTGCAAACCTACTCTAAAAATAACTCTTAATTTTTCTGGAGCTATTTAATTTCTACTCTCTTTTATTCCACAGCCATTCACAAATGCTGACTTTGTATAATACCTATTTAAAAATGATTTTGTGGCCTTAGACTTAACAGTACAAGTCTGTTTTCTGGAATATCAAGCCATTATTGACTTCTGAGACCAAGCTAATGCATCATAAGAACTGTGAACCATGTTCTCTTACGTTCATTAATTCAGTTTACAATATTTAAGCTCAGCTTAGCTACAAAGTGCCAGATAGTGATGAGTTTGCAATTATTTGTTTTCAAACACCATTGAGTATAAAAAACTACAATATATAACATAATCATTTGTGGCCATGGTTTTTAATTCATGCTGATCACACATTTCTTTGGGGATAATTTCTAAAATGAACCCAAAATATTATTTCACAGAATGTTAAGCATGGGTCTTTCTCAGTACTTATTCAAGCTTCATAAAGCAGTATTGAATTCAGGTGCCCTACATTTTCTGCTGCTGCACATCTAAAACGTTGTTGCACCATACCTTTGGTGTTATTCTTTGGTACTTCCTTTCTCTCACTAGCCAATCACCAATTCTACCCCTAAATGTATCTTGTATTTATCCACTTTTCTCAGTTTCTACTCCCATTACCCTAGTTCCAGCCATCATCATCTCGCTGGGATTACTGCAATAGCTTCCTAACCAGTCGTCTGATTCTTTTCTGCCCTAATTCTACACATATCAGGCAAAGTGATCCTCGCTTGCTTTTATTAAAGCCTTGCCATAGCTTCACACTTAACTTAGTGTAAAATCCGATGTACTTACTGTGGTATTGCAGTTTGGGTTCCTCAAGAAGTCTTTGAGAGGTTGATTCGGGCCATGAAAGGCAAAGAGGACAGCTGAAGGAAGTTAGCAGGCAGCACCACTAGCAGCTGGGAGAATAAATGCTTCAGTTCTGTGGGGAAATCTGGGTGGTGCATCACAGGATCACATGTGGCCCAAAACAGTGGGCCCTGCCCACTTCTCAAGCACCTTCCCTCACTCACACTTCAGGCATACTGGCCTTCTATATGTCAGTTCCTAGGAAACTCAAATCCTTTACTGCCACAGGATCTTTGCACTGTCTGTCCTGTGCCTGGAATGCTCTTCCCCAGCTCTTTATTTGGCTGGCACTCTGTCTCTGAGTCTTCAGGTCTCTGCTTAAATATTGCTTCCTCCAAAAATATGTCCTTGCTTCCTTAATTGTGGGTCAGCACTGTTATTTATTTATTGCAACACTGCATTTATTTCCTACATGTCAATCATCAGTCTTTATCTTTCAAGTCATTATTATATGACTTCTTCACAAGGATATAAGGTCCGTGAAAAAAGGGAAACCTGTTTTACTGACACTTGTCCTTCTGATATCTAATATAGTTCTGGCACAGAGTAGGTGCTTGATAAGTCTATATTGAATGAAGTAATAAAAATCTTCACTGTGCTTTTGCATTATGGGAGCTTCATGATCACCCAGTTCAGATAGATCAGGTTGATTATGAATTGGTCATACTGTGGCAACTACATAATTAATACTAATACATAACTAAGATGAATAATGTATCAAAGCAAGCTTAATGTAGTTATTAAAAGGACAGTAATTGTTACAGCAACTGTCTTACTGGAAAAGCACAACATTATTACCTTTAATATAATAATAATAAGTAAATCAAAAACAGGTACCAATGTGTTGCTCAGGGACAAGAATGGAAAAACAACAAAAAAATGGATTACAAAGAAAGTCTAAGTGTGTAGTTATTGGAAAGGGTATCTGGTTGAAGTAAATTTAAATGATAATCACCTTAGAAGGTCACCTCACACAATTATACAGGGCCCATAACATAAATTTCATTAGCAAACTTCGCCAGAAGGTTATTGATGACACAAATCAACACTCCATTAAGACTAAATGTGTCTTGGCCAAGCTGGAAGTTAATTAATAAAGTAGATTATCATGAGATAAAACTGAGCAAGCAAAAAGCCTCAAGATCTTAAAATAAAAAAGTTTCCAAATGTTGTGCGATTATGTATTCCAATTAAACTACCATTGAACAAAGCTGCCTCTTTCTGACTAAGACCTGATATTATGGCAATTCCTTGCTGTATCTACACATAGCATATAAAAGAGAAAAATGAGTTAGCAATAATGCGTGTGATTCATAACTAACAAATATATAGGTCATTTTTACTTGTCATTGTAGTTCCAGGAATTCAAAGGCTACTCTTCGTCTTTTCATTTTTTTTACAAGTAATATTTGGGTTTTTTGCTTATCATTGGGAGAAGTGTGGGTAAAAACTTGAATATAATTTCCTTTCAGTATATGAGCCTTTTGAATTCCTTTTGTTTTAAGATGCAGGAATGTAAATCCCATAAAGACAAAAACTGTGTTGCTTATCATTGTATTCTCAGTTAAGCATAGAAGGTCCTTAATGCATATTTTTTGACTGAATAGTGAATGTCATAGAGATTTGAGAATGGAATTAGATCAGAATTCTTCTGTAACAGTAGAGGATAATTTCATTAAAGAATTTTATCTACTTTGTTTATTTTTAGTGCTGCTAATCAACAGAAACTCAAGTGCAAGGAATTATTTTCTTCTTATGTATACTATAATTGTTTACTGAACTCTACCAGGAATGAATGCCTATTCTTCTAGTACATGTATTGAAAAAAAATACTGCAAAGTTTTTAATCACCTTTCTTTTTATAAGATTTAGGCATAGCCATTTCAATAAGTATTGTTGGTTTATTGAGTATAAGACATAAAACTTTAGTTTCATTCATTCATTCTTCTGCTTGTAGAAGACACTTAAAATGTCAAAATGATGTTGAACATAATTCCTCTCCTATTCTGACCGTCGTTTGAGTGCCCCTAAATGTTCTTACCATTTAACATGGCCTCTTTTCAGAGGAATGCATCTTCTGAGCTGATGCTTTTCCTAGGCATAAAGACTCAATTGGTGTCTCTCTCCACTACTTTATTGACTTCCTCTCTTTCCTGACCCCAACATCAAGTGACTTTTGTGCCAGATCCCCATTGACTTCAATAGGGATAGCACTATGTTTGAGAGGCTGAAAAAGAAACCCAGAGTCAGTGAATGAGATGTAGGGTTTACTGAAGAGATTTACACACAGGTTGGACCAGTGGGGGCAGGCTGGACAGGAGAAGTGCAGCCACTTGTGAAAAGCATGCGATTTTTACAGCATTTTCACCCATCACCCTCTCTTTAGCAGTCTCCTCCTGGCAACCTTCATTCAACACAAAACAAAAGGCCTCCATCTCCTGTACAGCCCGCACTCCATGGAATGGGCCAGGGATTCAAATGTTCTTCATAGATAAGACACAAGAGTTCTTACCTCAGACCATAGGGTCATTCTCAGGGTATGCTTAACTTATTGCTGTCAGATGCATCTGTCACACAGTGATTAATCTGATTGACAAGTCTTTGGAGAACAACATGGATATGCTCACCTCAGCTTCTCCATTTCATATTTTCTCTTGTAGGAGCTAGATTCTTATCAGGAAGGGGCATTCTCTGCTGTTTCTGCAGGAACAAGCATTTCTGTGCCTTCCGGAGCAATCTGCTTCAGTCCAGCGTTGCCTGCGACTGGGGGATACATGTCCCAACTTTTTTTTTCTTTGTTTGAGATGGAATTTCACTCTTGTTGCCCAGGCTGGAGTGCAGTGGCTTGATCTCGGCTCACTGCTACCTCTGCCTCCTGGGTTCAAGCAATTCTCTTGCCTCAGCCTCCCAAGTAGCTGGAATTACAGGTGCCTGCTACCACACCAGGCTAATTTTTTTGTATTTTTAGTAGACAGGGTTTCACCATGTTGGCCAGGCTGGTCTTGAACTACTGACTTCAGGTGATCCACCTGCCTCGGCCTCCCAAAGTGCTGGGATTACAGGCATAAGCCACTGTGCCTGGCCTTCCCAATTATATAATAAACGTAGGAGTCAAATGGATGGTATTCTTCACCCTAGCATCTATTAGTAATAAAGGTGATATTTTGATTCTCATCTTATTTGCCTTCTTTCTGTGGGAGTGTCAAGGTGTTATTTATTCAGTTCCCTCAGAACATCACCATTTTGTTACATTGGCCAGGTTCACTGAGAAATACGTTATAAAGAACAAAACTCCATGTGGAGTGATTAAAGCCTGGGCTTCAGGCTTAGACTTTCATGTGAGCAGGGCATGTTGACCTGGCGCTGGGGCTGACTTAATCTGTAGTCACAGTAGGCGTAATGCCGAAGGCCCATTACAAAGGACACTTTCAGGGGCCCACAAAAAGGTTTTCATGTCTTTAAACTCTGAAGAAAAGAAATACATATAATCCAGCTTGGGTGTGTTCTTTATACCAATGCAAATGTAAAACGTAACTTTTAATATTTTTAAATAGCTTCTTAGAATTTTTCATGAAAGGAGCTTTGAAAGGCAAAAGTGCACAGGGCCCACAAAAGTCATACTTGCATTCCTTCTTGAAGCCCTGTGGAGGCTTTTATTAGTCTGGTCAGCCATTTACCGTGGTGCAGTCGGCTTTTAACTGCTCTGACCTTAGTAAAATGGTTCACGTGGATGTTGGTCTGATGGGTGCATGCACCTTATGGGCACTCTGCTGTGTCCATGGGTGAGTGGCCGCTGCTAATGAAGGTTGAATTACAAGCGTGAGAAGCTCTAAGCGAACAGCACGTGTACAGCATCTCTCTGAAGCAGAGCTGTAAGGATATCAGCAAGGTTGCTCAGGGCACAGGTTGCTACAGCTTCCCCTTAGGGTACACTTGGCAAACATTTCCAGGGCGAAGGGCCTCAATAGGTGCTAGTGTGACACAAGAGGGAATGAGGAATTCATTATAGGGGAAGGTCTTTCTGTATACAGAACTTTTAGATGTTAGGACACAGAATGTATCTGCTGCTTTTACAGGACAGGATAGCTGACAGCTTTGTTCCTACCAAACAATAGCAAAATAAGATTCCACACTTAAAATTGGGATGCCCCAGATTCTGCACTGAGGTGCAAGATGCACTGTGGAACAATAACCTTGAATTCATGTGGCTGATCTGTGGGATCAAATATAAAAATACTGGAAGAATCAATAGATAAACTGTGAAGTGACATAGAGGGAATGAACCAAGCTGCTGGTCAAACTTGCACCACCCAGATTGAAGGAACATCCTTCAGATGATTGTAGAATTCAAGTGGTGAAAAGATAGTAGCTGGAGAAATTTACACTGGCCTCCCCAGGGCTCTCAGGGAGCAGGCATTAAAATTCCCCAATGCAGCTTCAGTTCAGGAGTTTGTTGAGGGCGATTTTCTAGGTGAACCAAAGGCGGAGAACTTGGTGAACACTTCCTCTCAATACTAGTTTCTTAAACCTAAGCAGTTCCGTAAGAAAAGACAGTGGCAGGAACTTCTGAGGCACAAGACTAAAAATGATTGGTTACCAGATTCTCAGGAGGCCATATTACCTTCTAGAGCTCACACATAAAGCTTTAGTATCAGAAATAGAGGCTCAAAAGGGAAATAGAAATTATGATGTTTTACTGGTTGGGAAGTAAAATATTTAGAAGGGCATGGGGCTCATGCCTGTAATCCCAACACAGGGAGGATCGCTTGAGCCCAGGAGTCCAAGACCAGCCTGGCCAACATAGGGAGGCCTCGTCTTTACAAAAAATGCAAAGATTAGCCAGGCATGGTGGTGCATGCCTGTAGTCCTAGCTACTGAGGAGACTGAATTGGGAGGATTACTGGCACCCAGGAGGTCAAGACAGCAGTGAGCTGTGTTTGGGCCACTGCCACTCCAGCCTGGGTGACACAGCAAGACCTTATCAAGCAAGCAAGCAAGAAAGAAAGAAGAGAAAGAAAGGAAAGAAAGGAAGAGAAAAGAAAGAGGAAAGAAAAAGAAGGAAGGTAGGGGAAGGGGGAAGGGAAGGGGAAGGGAGGGAGGAAGGAAGAAAGGAACTTTAAACAAGACTGGTGACTGGAACTGTCTTCATTGCATTCAAATCT
The DNA here is from genome assembly GCF_000001405.40 of Homo sapiens. Taxonomy (NCBI): domain Eukaryota; kingdom Metazoa; phylum Chordata; class Mammalia; order Primates; family Hominidae; genus Homo; species Homo sapiens. Next base: position 176,288,092 of record NC_000004.12, on the reverse strand, counting down.
CTGCAAAAAGACTTTAGTCACAAACACCACTCTCTGAAAGAGGAAAGATTATGTATAGGTGGGCTTTCTTTTCCAGATATGGTAAATTTATAGTACTCGAATTAAGCTCTTGCTGAGAAATTTCTTCCTTTTAAGTTCACAATTGTAGATGCTGTACAATTTGGCATCTTTTGACAGACAATCTGGTGAAGATACAACCCAGATTTTGTTTTTTGTGTATCCACCCTCCTACACTTGATACTACTGAGTTTCTACCTTGGCTTTTGGCAACACTGATACTGGGTGGTAGGAATGTAATTTTTCCTGGGATAATTGCCATCAGCAGAGGATTGGCTTGTTTTCTGCATTTGTTGGGTATGGGGCCAGGGCTGCTGATAATCTTATATGTCCTGTATCTCTTTGGACACTTTGATAAATGAGGAACACAAGAGACCTGGCATTGAGTGAATGCAGCTTTTGATGCCCTAATGGTATTACAGTCATTCAAATGAGAACAAGGCTGGGAAGGCTGCAGGAATTCCAACTCTTTCCATTTCCTGAGAATCCCTCAGACTGAACCTGAGCAGAATAAGAAATTAGGAAAATCATATTTGGATCTTAATTTAGCTTAAGATTTATTTGACTCTGGTAACTCACAAGATCAAGTGAATTTCATTTTGGACTCTAACTCCTTTATATGTTAACATGCTAAGGGATTCATCCCCTTTAAGAAATTTTGAAAGTTAACAATATATTGAAATATGCACAAAACAAGTATATATCTTAGCAAATTATTATAAAGTGATCATTCAAGTTTAAGAAATAGGGCATGGCCCCCTCCCTGTCATACCTCCTGACCTCCAAAGATAATCACTAACCTGGTAAACACTAGAATGGTTTTTAGCACCAAAATATGTATCCCTAAACACAATGGTTCACTTTTACCTTTATTGAACTTTATAAATGAAATTCTATGGTATTCTTTTTTGGTATGGGGAAACCATTTTCTTAACATGATGTTTGTAAAAGTCATATTTGTGTAGCTATAGTTTATTTTCATAATCAACTAAGTGCCTGGGCCTGGTTCACTGACAGTTTGGCTAAACACAAACCATATGGCATCCGTTGGGCTGCCTGGGCTGTTCAGCCTCAGTGCCAATGGTGCAAAACAGAAAATGAACGTGGTTACTCCATTCGATGGGTATAATTCAGTTCCATTCTCATAACTCTGGCCAGGACAGGATGGCCCTCCCCTGGATGAAGCTATTTTTACTGATTCTTGAGCTGTTGCCAATAGCCTAGCTGTTTGGTCTGCCCCTTGGAAAACTTCATACTGGCAAATTAAAGATACTCATTTAGGGGCCACAAACTATGGAAACAAATCACAAATACCAAATGAACCATCTGGGTCACTCATGGGCCTGTAAGGGCCCATCCTGATGAGACCAGTAAGATGAAACTAACTCAAGCTGCTGACTGAATCTGCACCACTCAGTTTTCCTAGATTCATTATCACACTGAACATGGCAACATTAGACTGCTGCCATCAGAGAATGGGGACTGTGATGCAGAGGCTACCACTGCCTCATACGTGGGACTCCTATCAGAAGGTGTCTAATTTGTCTCCCATAAGTAAGGCTGCATGGTGTGGGGCATGGCCCTACATACTCTTGGCAGACTATGTCAGAGCTTTGACCCTCTCCTGGAGCTATCAGTGGTGCCTCACCGCCATTAACATTTTCTATTTGTGAAATGTTTTTTCCAATCTATCTTAGTACATTGCCCATTTTTGCTATTACAACAGAATACCACAAACTGGGTAATTTATAATGAACAGAAATTTATATCTCACAGAAATTTATATCTCCCCTCTGTGTCCTCCAGAGGGGAGAAATGCTACTTCTCATGTGGCAGAAGGTAGAAGGACCAAGAGAGGGAGCCCACTCCTGAAAGCTTTTATATTAAGGTGTTAAACCCACCAATGACAGGGAGCTCTTGGAGCCTAATCACCTTTGAAAGGCCTCACCTCCCAACCTCATTACATTGGCAATTAAATTTCAACATGAGTTTTGGGAGGGACAAACATTCAAACCATAGCACAATCCAGTCAGCTAACCATTGTGGCCCTTGAAGCTAATCTATGCCCTGTGTTCAGCTTTCTGGATTATTTTCAGTCTGACAATGGTGTGCTTTTTATCAAAGCTCCTCAGCAGTGCATGGATAGTCAAGGTACTTGACAGACCTTCCATGCTTCCACGCGTCGGATATTGTTGAGCTTTGGAACAGCTCCCTCAAAAAGTAAAAATAAAAGTAAAAAAAGACTTCTGACTTTATCTCCCTCCTCTCCTCCTGATCCACTGTGGTATGGCAGATTGGTCACTGAATGTGGCTATTTCCAAAAAAGGGACATCCACATCTGCCTCCTGGGTAATGATCAGAATGAAAGGGGTGGGGAGTGACATAGATGTGTTTTGAAAGCTGGGGATTCTGCCCTGAGCATTTCTGGGCATAATGCACCTTTCTTTTCCCATAATAGCAATCCAGGCCAACCTGGTAAGTACACCTTTCTGCTGGCAGCCAAATCAAAAAGGGCTCCTGGTGATTTAAATTTAAGCCACATGGGTTAATTTTGGGGGGGATTGGCATGTTCATAGATCATGAGGAATCCTGTAATTTGGACTTTTGTTCCCTCCAAACCTCACGTGGAAACTGATCCCCAGTGTTGGAGGTGGAGCCTAACGAGGTATTTGGGTCATAGGCTGGATTCCTTATGAATGGATTAATGCCTTCCCGGTTGCAGGGAGTGTGGGGAAAGGGGTGAGTGAGTTCTCAATCTAATAGTTCCCAGGAAAGCTGGTTGTTAAAAAGAGTCTGGCATCTCACACCCTTTTTTGCCTCCTCTCTTCTCTGCCATGAGTGGAAGCAGCCTGAGGCCCTCAGCAGAAGCAGATGCTCATGCCAGCTTCTTGCACAGTCTGTAGAACATGAGACAAATAAATCTCTTTTCTTTATAAATTACCTAGGTATTCTATTATTGCAACACAATCAGACTATGACAAGAATAATGATGACTCTTTGTGAACACTGCTTGTCAAGTCCCACTACAATGGCCCACAGAGGCTAAACTTGAAGATATAATGGGTCTCCCTGTTTTATAAAAATCCCTTTCTATCTATTGCATCAGACCCTTCTGGACAAAAGGTCTGAGTGTATGTAGTGGATAATTGGAAAAAAGGTAAAGATTGAGCTATTGGAATAGCTGCAACCTGGAAACATGAAGAGTGAACACCTTAGACCCTGGGAGGTATAGGAAGAGAGAGACATTAATGATCTTTCCCCTTCAGATCTGCCCTGAGTGCCTTCCTTATGAAGGAAAGGCCTGTTGCAGAAGAAAAAGAAAAATGGCCTGTTGCAGACTTTTCAAACCGTAGTAGGCAGCTTTCAGTTTAATAGGTCTGGCATCTCCAGCCTAAGGGCTCTAACCAAAATTTGACCACCATTCTCCTTAACCATATCATAAATTCTGTTGGAAACAGCAGGAGATGGCTCAGTTCCTGCCTCCTTGTCAATGTCTCCAGATGTCTTCTGCACTCCCCACACTGAGCCATCAAGCAGTTTTTCCATGGAGTGGGCAAATGTCACCAGCTATGGTATGGATAAACTGGACAAGTTGCACTGACTGCTCTCAGGCAGTCCCTTCCAAAATAAGGACTAGATTCAATTATAAAATTAAACTGGGAAGCCTAACGCCAATAGGAAGCCACATTAGAGGCACTGTCAACCTGTGTTCCTCCATCCCCATATAATGTACCTATCACTTAGAGTGGCCCAACAGTTCGAACAATACTTTCTGAGGACACCATGAGAATTCATGGGGTTGCACAGTTTGTGTGGAAGCCATTCATAACCTTGCCTTCCTCCTGAAAACTAAGAGGATTGTACCTAAAGAATGATTTAGAAAAATACCACCAATAGATCATGTATCCCTCAGATGACTGCAAAGATCTCTCCAAAATGAAGCTATTCTTGATTACCTGAAATTTCTCCCCAGAGCAATTTTGCATACTCCGAGGGTAATTTTTCTCATTATTTATGCATATCTGAGGGTAACTATTTCTACAATGAGAGTCCTCCAATTAGAAAGGGTGATGCAAAATTTGCCCCGAACTTTAGCTAAAGTGATCAATGAAACCTCAGCACTGGAAGGCAGGTTTGTGGGAATTTGTTTGTGGGAATTGTTCAGCTGATGGGGTCCAGAACTCTGGGAGGAATGGTTAAAATCAATACTCTAGGCTGTCCTCATCCTATTGCTTGGAGTCCTGTTAACAGTAGTCTTCATTATGTTCTGTAGAAAACAAATTGAATATATTTGATCTTAGCTTCTGTTGATCAGATTAGTCACAAAAGTTGATACATCAGTGGACATAATGGGAAAATTTATTACAAGCCAAGATGGTGTAAAAAGGAGTGAATAAGATTGGCAGACAGTTCTCCATGGGTCTCGTATGCCTGTGCTTTTTTTTGTGTGTGTGAAAAGGGGCTTGCTGCCTTTTTTATATAGGCTTATCCTTTCAAGGATATTTGTATAGCATATAGCTTGGAAGATGGAGGTAAATGTGTTTGGATCAGAGGGTGGGCTTGTTTTGTTTACCATTCAGCATAATAAGCGTAGTGATCTTCCTCCAGGGTAAAGTGTAGGTAAACTTACTGCCCACTATAAAAGATCTGGGTTCCTAAATCTTGGAGTTCCTGAACCATGACATGAAACTACTGCATGCATGGCACATACAATAGTTTCATCCCTTTGTTGTTGCCCTGTGGGCAAGAGGAACTGATGCAAACACTATACTCTTGCTGCTTGCTGTGCCATGAATAATAAAGTCCTGTGACTTGAAATAAAGTGGCTGACCTAGGAGGCTAATGTGTTTTGTTAACAGCCACAAAATTATGGCAGCCTAACTTACTAGATTACAAATAGTGTAAAGTCTCACATTCTTCACAGTTCTTGACAAGGAAGATTTTTATTGTTTATTTTTATTTTTTCTTTATTTCTTCTAAAAAAAAAAGGGAACCATGTGCAGAGCGTGCAGGTTTGTTACATAGGTATACGTGTGACATGGTGGTTTGCTGTACCCATTGACCTGTCCTCTGAGTTCCCTCCCCTCACCCCCCCCCACCCCCCAACAGGCCCTGGTGTGTGTTGTTTCCCACTCTGTGTTCATGTGTTCTCAATGTTCAACTCCCACTTGTGAGTGAGAACATGTGGTGTTTGGTTTTCTGTTCCTGTGTTAGTTTGCTGAGGATGATCACTTCCAGCTTCATCCATGTCTCTGTAATGGACGTAATTTCATTCCTTTTTATGGCTGCATAGTATTCCATGGTGTATATGTACCACATTTTCTTTATCCAGGCTATCATTGATGGGTATTTGGGTTGGAGTGGATCACCTGTGGTCAGGAGTTCAAGAACAGCCTGACCAACATGGTGAAACCCTGTCTCTACAAATACAAAAAATTAGCTGGGTGTGGTGGCAGGCACCTGTAATCCCAGCTATTTGGGAGGATGGTGCAGGAGAATCACTTGAACCCTAACCTTCTCTCCGTGGGTCATGCCAGCCTTCTAGTCAATTTTGATGAGAGAACCTGGATACCTTGGTTGCCAGTGAAGGCTTCACACATTTATTATGCCTTGTTTTTTCTTTTTCTATAGGAGCCCCCCACGGCCTCTGCTTCTAGTTGGCCATCTTGGCCCCGCCTCCTCAGCATATATCAGATTTTTATTTTTTATTTATTTATTTATTTTTGAGACGGAGTCTTGCTCTGTCACCCAGGCTACAGTGCAGTGACACTGTCTCGACTCACTGCAACCTCTGCCTCCCGGGTTCAAGCGATTCTTCTGACTCAGCCTCCCGGGTAGCTGGGATTACAGGCACCCACCACTGTGCCTGGCTAATTTTTGTATTTTTAGTAGAGATGGCATTTCACCATCTTGGCCAGGCTGGTCTCGAACTCCTGACCTCGTGATCCACCCACCTCGGCCTCCCAAAGTGCTGGGATTACAGGCATGAGCCACTGCCCCCAGCCCAGATTTTTATTTTTATTTTTTTATTTATTTATTATTGAGATGGAGTCTCGCTCTTTCACCAGGCTGGAGTGCAGTGGCACGATCTCGACTCACTGCAACCTCTGCCTTCTGGATTCAAGTGATTATTCTGCCTCAAACTCCGGAGTAGCTCCAACTACAGGTAAGCACCACCATGCCCAGCTAATTTTTGTATTTTCTTTTTTTAGTAAAGAAGGGGTTTCACCATGTTGGCCAGAAAGGTCTCAATCTCTTGACCTCATGATCCACCCGCCTTGGCCTCCCAAAGTGCTGGGATTACAGGCCTGAGCCACCACACCTGGCCCAGATTTTTATTTTTAATTAGCTTGCTTGGGAGTCATTGGGCTTCTTCAATGTGTGGATTGATAGCTTTCATTAGATTTGCAAAATTCTCAGCCATTACATTTGCAAATTTTGCTGTTGGCCATTTTTTAAATCTATGACCTCTATTAAATATATGTTAGGTTTTCTAATTATATCCTCAATTCCTCCTGTTCTTGCTTCCGTCTCTTTCATCTTGGGTAGTTTCTCCTGACATCTTCAGAGGTGCTAACTATGAGTTACATCTATCTGCTGATGATACACCCAACCATTGAGTTACTAATTTTAGACACTATGTTTTCTAGTTCTAGGGTTTCTCTTTTTCTTTTCATTTTCATTTTTTTCTTTTGCTTTAAATCTGTGATGTTCTTTTTAAAGATTCCACTTTTCTGCTGAAATGTTAAAATTTGACTTCTATCTTTGTGAGCTTAATAAAATACTAAATAAATTTATCTTCACTATCTGAAATACCTATGGGTCTATATCTGTTTGTGCTAGTTCTCATTCATATTGATGTGTCTTTCTGTGTGTTTCCTTATTATTTTTGAATGAATCCTAACCCTGTTTGAAAAACATGTATAGAAAAATTTAGGCCCTAGAACATTACCTTCCTCCAGAGAGCATTGTTTCTTTTTGTTAGGTGCCTATGGGCACTAGCAATCTTGAATCACCTTAATCCAATTTCAAGGATTAAAATTTTATTGCCCATGCAGACATTGAAGGGGCTCATGTACTTCTGGCTTACTCATTCTTACTGCTAGATTTCAGCTCTTCTGGATGTCAAGTCTAAGTGTTCAGCATTCCATTTGCTATGGTCCTCAATCTTGGTAGGCCTGTTTCTTCAACTTTTATTTCCGCTTTCCTGAAGAGACTGTATGAGGATTGCTTTATCTCCCTGCCATCTCTTCCTCATAGCAAATGTTCCTGGAGCAAAAGTGGTCTCAGCAAAAACAAGCAATGGGAAAAGGATTCCCTATTTAATAAACGGTGCTGGGAAAACTGGCTAGCCATATGCAGAAAACTGAAATTGGACCCCTTCCTTTATTTATCTTTGCAATATAGTTTTTATTTAATTGCAGTATAATTTACACAGTGTAGAATTGCACACATCTTAAATAAAAATTAACTCAAGATGGATTAAAGACTTAAATGTAAAGCCCAAAACCATAAAAACCCTAGAAGAAAACCTAGGCAATACCATTCAGGACATGGGCATGGGCAAAGTCTTCATGACAAAAACGCCAAAAGCAATGGCAACAAAAGCCAAAATTGACAAATGGGATCTAATTAGAATAAAGAGCTTCTGCACAGCAAAAGAAACTATCATCAAAGTGAACAGGCAACCTACAGAAAGGGGGAAAATTTTTGCAATCTACTCATCTGACAAAGGTCTAGTATCCAGAATTTACAAGGAACTTAAACATATTCACAAGAAAAAAACAACCCCATCAAAAAGGAGGCAAGGGATATGAACAGACATTTCTTAAAAGAAGACATTTATGCGGCCAACAAACATATGAAAAAAGTTCAACATCACTGATCATTAGAGAAATACAAATCAAAACCACAATGAGATACCATCTCACACTAGTCAGAATGGTGATTATTAAAAAGTCAAGAAATAATAGATGCTGGTGAGGCTGCAGAGAAATAGGAACACTTTTACACTTTTGGTGGAAATTTAAATTAGTTCAACCATTGTGGAAGACAGTGTGGTGATTCCTCAAGGATCTAGAACCAGAAATACCATTTGACCCAGCAATCCCATTACTGGGTGTATACCCAAAGGAATATAAATCATTCTACTATAAAGAACATGCACATGGATGTTTATTGCAGCACTATTTACAATAGCAAAGACTTGGAACCAACCCAAATGCCCATCAATGATAGACTGGATAAGGAAAATGTGGTACACATATGCCATGGAATACTATACAGCCATAAAAAGGAATGAGATAATGTCCTTTGCAGGGCCATGGTTGAAGCTGGAAGCATCATCCTCAGCAAATGAACACAGGAACAGAAAACCAAACACCTCATGTTCTCACTCATAAGTGGGAGTTGAACAATGTGAACACATGGACACAGGGAGGGGAATATCACACACCGGGGCCAGTGGGGGGTTGGAGGGTGAGGGAGCAAGAGCATTAGGACAAATAGCTAATGCATGTGGGACCTAAAACCTAGATGATGGGTTGATAGGTGCAGCAAACCACAATGGCACACGTATACTTATGTAAAACAAACCTACACGTTCTACACTTGTATCCCAGAACTTAAAATAAAATAAATAATAATAATAAAAATAAAAAAGTAAAATAAAAAGGCACCTGAAAAAAAAAGTGGTCCCAGAGTCCATGCTCTCCTCTTTGGATTTTCTATTTGTCCTGGATTCTTGGTCTGATGCTTTCTCATTTTCTTTATAGCTTTTAGATGCAACTAGAAGCATGGTTTAATGTTTCATCTAGAAATCATTGTCTCCAATGGGAGGTTTGTTCTGAATTAACTAGCCTGCCGTTACCAGAACTGAAGATTTATTTATCTTTGCAATATAGTTTTTATTTAATTGCAGTATAATTTACACAGTGTAGAATTGCACACATCTTAAATAAAAATTTGTTGAGGGTTTTTTCCCCCAAATGTGTATTCCCATGTTACCATCACTGAAAGACAGATGATGTTCCAATATTCCTGGAAAGTTACCACATTTCCTCTTCTAGTCAAATCTCCAACTCATCCTATCCCCCGCAGCAATGTCCTTTAATTTCAATAGTCATATATTTATGTTGTTGACTTTAAACTTCATATAAAATAAATCATATAACGTACTCTTGCTCAAAGTAAGTTTTTGAGATTCATCTACATTTTGCACATATTCGTAGCTTATTCCTTTTATTGTTCTACTGTATTATGTTATGTAAATGTACCAGAGTTAGTTTGTTTCCTCTTGATGAAAATTTGAGTTGTTTTCAGTTTTGGTTAATATGAATATATCTTTTATGAACATGCTCAGGATTCCTTTGAATTTTAATTTCTTGTGGGTAATGAGAGGCCATTCATATTTAAACTTAGGATATAGCTATGTTATTGGAGTTTCTTACACCAAGCTACGTACCAGGCTTCATCTTCCAACTTGGTCTTCAACAGTTGGTTTTACTTGTCATATATTTTGTTATTTCAAAACTTATTTATTTAACAAATTTTTATAAAGCACTTAGTATGTGCTAGACATTATTCCAAATACTTTTAAGTACTGACATATTTAATATTTAATCATTCTGACAACCTATTGAGATAGTTATTATTAGTATTCGCATTTTACGAATTATGAAATGGAGGCATAGAAAGGTTAATTAACTTCCCGAGGTCACAGGAGGAAAAGTAGGAGAGTTAAGATTCAAACCAAGGTGCTCCTCCTCCAGAGGCAATGCTGCCTTTCTAGAGATGTTCATATGTGGCAAGGAATGCCTCCAACATAATCTCATATAACCTTAGAATAAACGACCAGGCCCCTTTCATATGCTGCAAATGTTCTTTACAGTAAACCATTGCACAAAAATTAGGTACATATAAAATGTGCTCATTTGAGTAGCAAGGTTGGTAAACTGAAGAGACTCTCCACAAGTCAAATATGGGCAAAGCGTGCTTACCTGTCGACCCCATTCGGTTCCTCATGAATGTTTCCTCACTTGTTCGGGGAGCGAGTTTTCATTCTCTCCATGTATGAGTTGCCAAATTCATGTGATAAATATGCAAGAGGCTGAAGAGTTCAGTCCCTTCAGTGTTCTTGTGCAGTCTGCCTTCCCTTGCCATTCACAAAAAAAATCTGATCTTGGTTTCATGGACCTCAGTATAATGATATTCATCTTTGTTGGTCTTTGCAAAACACTGCCAAAGCCCATTACTGCCTTTGGTGATATTACAGACAGAGGCCAGGCGGGGGAGCTCCCCAAAGGACTCTACATAGAAAGTGTGACCAAGCCAAGCTCGGAGGCAGTTACCATAAAAAAAAAAAAAAAAAAAAAAAAATGAAGCCAGAATGTAACTGGAAAGCAAAATAGAGGCTTGAGAATTGTCCAAGTGAGAAAGACAAGGAGAGAATATAAACATTAAACTAATGCTGAGGTTGGTGGACAAATAAAGGCTTCACTCGACTTTTTATTGATTTGACATTCTGGTACTAGATAAAGGAAAGAGCAAAACAAAGTGCAGGATCGAGAGAAAATCGATTGCTTGAAAAACTGGGTATTTTACTTGCTGCAAGTCCCGACTGTGTCAGCTGATGAGTTTAACACTATGACAGCACAGTCCTCACCTGCCTGCTCGCTGCTGTAATCCCCACACTGTTGTGTGCCCTATAGCACCTGGCACACGGGAAGCGCTCAAGAGATGTGTGTGAATGAAGGAGCCACATCTTGACTTGCGACGCGGAGCAGTAAGCTGCAGTTATTTGGTAGCGGTAAGCTGGAGTTTGAAAAATTACTCTGGGGCAGGTTTGTTTACTGTTTTTGAAAAGGATAAAATCAGGGGCTCACCAGTTGCGGGGCTGCCTTTAAAAGGAAATTAAAAATGCAGGGCATATTCTCATACACCCTTCCAATGGGCCTGTAACATAACTATTTTCCTGTTTTCATCGTTGAGAAAACAGGCTCAGAGGGATTAAGGAACTTGCCTGAGTTCACACGGCTCATAACTAGAGCAACTAGTTCTTCTGAAGACCTTGCCCTGCCTGCCTACCACTTTCTGCTGACTTATCCTGATTTTCCTGGGACATACAGCATGTCAGCTGCTAGATGCTCATCAGAGCAAATGTCGAGGCTTTAAGGTGGCCGTGTACTTTTTGTTGTCTTCATTTCCCTACTGGTACAACTTCAGTTAATTCACGGGTTGCGTTAGGGTTACGGTAATATACAACAAGATGTATTTGCTGTTACTATTCTTATTATCATTGCCACGATCACATCTTCAGGTAAGAGTTCCCAGTTCCAGAGCCTTGATTTCTTAAATCAGGAGCCATGGATGCCAGTGTGGGATATGTTTTATTTCTAAAACCCAAAATATCTGCTGTCTTCCCAGGATATATCAAACTATTGAGTGACTTTGTTATGGAGCCTGGGAAGATGAAATTACTCAGAATATTTGTGATGTGTACATTTCTTAAGAAGTTACAGCTATCTTTCATACCATGGAGCAAAAAATACATCATTTGTTTTATATATAACATTGGTTATGAATTCTGATTATAGAAATGGATATATTTCCTAACACCAGAGGGGGGCTGATTGATTTCCTTTATATAGTTACATGTCTACAGTAGGCAGTGAGTATGGTACTATTGGAAGTTGGACATTTCACTAGACAAGCACACAGTAAAATTTCAGTGCCTGGCATGCAACAGATTCTAATTTAACTTAAATAACAAAGTAAAAGTAATAATTACAATGTAGCTAATATTTGTTGAGCTCTTACAGTGCAGGCGAGTGAGTGCTTCATATGAATTATTGCATTTAAACCTCCCAACATGTGAAGTAGATACTTTTATCATGGAACTCTTTACAGGTAAGGAAGTGGAGGTGCAGGGAGGGTTACCAGATCGTCCAAGATTACACATCTATGGTAGAGGCAATACTTGAACTTAGTTTATGTTTTACTACACTGGGTAAGATATTTGAAATTAGAGCAAGGTTGAATATGTAGTATCCTTTTCACATATTATTTTATCCCATTAAGCTTAACAAGGAAAAGATGAAGCCCAGCTCATTTTCTGTCTTCTATACACAGGTGGAAGAATAAATTCTACCTCCTGCTTGCCTCGCTGCAGTGGGGATGAGGGAGAGGGGACTCAGCCAGATGCTGAATTCCCCAGACAGCTGACAGGTTCCCAATTTCCAGGTTTGTATTATTGCCTGCAAGTATGAAGATGGGAATATTACCAGCTAGTGCATGACTAGTGCTTATCTTCCTTCCTCCAGGATAGAAGCACCAGAGGCTAGCAGGGACTAGCCAGAGGCTGAGTGGTGGTCACCAGAGTGACTCCTGCAGCCCCAGCAGACATGTGCTGAGGCTCCCCTTTGCTCATATTCTATGGGATCGTAGGGAGCTGGGAGATGGAAGCAGGAAGAGTACTAAGTTGACTGTGTAAACTGCTGGAGAAAGGTGAACTATGTACTAGTATTGCTCATGTTATATAAAAAGTATTAAATTTATAAGTCTAATAAGAACATGTTTAAAATATAATTTTTTTCTCTAAAATTCATAACTGGAGTTAAAATAGATTTGAAATGCATGCACACAAGGCAGTACTTATGTTGTTAAAGAAACTATAATCTTAGAATCCTAAACAGGGTCCTCCTAGACCCCAATTTTATTAGCCAATTGGCCATGTTCCAGGGTAAATCATATATTTTACCTCAAGAAATGATCATTATTAATTCATACACGTGTATAAGAATGCTGATCAAATTGCTATGCAGGGCCTGATGCGGAGGCTTATGCCTGTAATCCCAGCACTTTGGGAGGCCGAGACGGGCGGATCACCTGAGGTCAGGAGTTCAAGACCAGCCTGGCCAACATGGTGAAACCCTGTCTCTACTAAAAAATACAAAATTAGCCAGGCATGGTGGCATGCGCCTGTAATCCCAGGTACTCAGGAGGCTGAGGCAGGAGAATCGCTTGAACCTGGGAGATGGAGGCTGCAGTGAGCCCAGATAGTGCCACTGCACTCCAGCCTGGGCGACAGAGTAAGACTCCATCTCAAAAAAAAAAAAAAAAAAAAAAATTGCTATGCTGGAAGTACTGGAAAGATCACTGTGGTATCATTTCACTTCTAATGTAGTCCCATGCTTTGGATCTTCAAAATGATGTCATTGAAAGGTTTCCCTTTCAATAGTCTTTCAAATATGTGGTTAGTTAAAATGAGATGGTTAGAACAAATTCTTAATCATAGAAGATTTGGGTGAGGCACATCAGCTTTGGCCCAGTGACATACTCCACTATTTAGCCAAAGGCTATTTATAACCCACACAGGGCACAAATGTACACTGTAGATCACAGGGTGTGGCTACCTCAGAGGACAGTGGTTAAACCAGGCAATTATCCATGTTTCAACACTAACATCTGAATAATAACCTGAGAGGCACTGCAGGGCAAAAAACCTGGGTGGGAATCTCAGTACTTCCACTTCAAGATGTATAATCTTGTGCAAATTCCTTACCTTCTTTCAGTCTCTGTTTCTTCATCTGTTGTACAGAAGGGATAATGATACCCGCTTCATAATTTCTCTTTACAAGGACTCCAGAAAATATAAATATATCAGGGGTTTTTTTTCCGTACAAGTGAGAGAAGCCCTCAATTCAAATTGATTTGATTAACAACAGCAAAAATGACTTTATTACTTCATATTACTGTCAAATCTATATTACTGTCAGATCAGCTACTTCAGGTGCAACTAACTAGATCCAGGTGCTCCAATGAAGGTACCGTGATGCTGCCTTTTCAAATCTCAGCTGTGCATTTCTTTTTATTGGCTGAATTCCTAGGCGAGCTATTTCTTTACTGTCAGTTATACCTCCAGCATCTTTAAGCTTAGATCTTGCTATCTTAGCCTCCCCCTGCAGAGGAAGAGCACTTTTTCCAAAACTCCAGCAGAAGTCCCAGAAATATCTTTCTTGGCTAGTTTTGGTCAAGTAACCTTCTCGAGAGCCGGGAGATAAGTACATGGACTTAGGTTGGGCAAGATACGATCCATTAAAGAAATGCTGGGTTTATAAGAAAACAAAAAACCAAATTCCTAACATTTCATTCTAATAAACTGTGTAGAAAATTTCTTGGCATATAGCAAGAATTTTAATGGTTTTAAGAAATCTATTTTTTAAACTCTTATATATGCAGAACTACCAGCTTTCAGCCAAGTTTTTCTGGACAACATATATATACGAATAGAGCTCATTTAACCTAAAGCAATTTCTAGTTAGGGCAGATCTCAATATGTGATGTTTGATGTAACTCAATTTTTAGGAGAAAGGCTGTTCTGTGTTCTGGGGAAAGCTAGTGATTTTCTCCAAAGAACCTGGATGCAGTCTAAGTTAATGACCCTTTTTGTGGCTAAATATCTTTTTGATGGATTATCACAATGCTAGCAGAAATTACTCTTTTGTTCCATCATACTGGTAGTATGGCAAGAGACCAAATGAACATCTAAGGGTTCCATTTGCCTTTATTTTTTTTTCTCACGAGATTTCACAAAACAAAAAAAATGAGGATTATGTTTTCAGTAGTGTTTTAAATGCAATAGTGAATATATTACCGTGACAACTTGCATACTTTTTTCTCTTTCCCTTTATCAGCCATCATTGGCCTTCAAATTTATGGGTATATGACTTTTCTTAGTTTGTATTCACTGTATACAAATAATCCTCAACAACCCTGTTCTAGGGCTAGGAACATGTCGCCATTATGCTGAACATTAGCAACCTTGCTGTTTGAATGTATCCCTGTGGTTTTGTTTTTTGGAATATTAGGAATAAAAAAAGTCAATTAGAGCCTTTAGATGTCTACCAGACATTTTTTTAAAGGGCTGGGCACAGTGGCTCATGCCTGTAGTCCCAGCTACTACAGTGGCTGAGGTGGGAGGACTGCTTGAGCCTGGGAGGTCGAGGCTGCAGTGAGCTGTCATCATGACACTGCACTCTCCAGCCTGGGTGACAGAGCAAGACCCTGTCTCAAGAAAAAAAAAAAAAAAAAAAAAGGTCATCGAAGGTGGGTCACTATATTTCCCTCCTGTTAAGATTTAGCAACTGGAAAGCACTAGAAACACGCAATTTTTATTATAACCCATTGATATTTTCAATCTAATAGCTTGGATCAATACTGTAGCTAAGTCAAAACAGTTTAGCCCCATAATCTCTAGATGCAAAATTCCCTCTTTTATGAGAATTTAAAGGCTAATCTGGTTATATTTGAAAGTCATTTTCATATTCAACTTCTGAGTGACATGAAGCAAAGTCCCTAAAACACAGCAACAATTCGTGTAGTACTCTGGGACACTGAAGGAGAAGAGTGAGCAAGAGACTCGAAAGGAGGAAGGTGGGGAGTCCTAGGGGTCGGCTGTACAGTCTGTCCTCTGATACCTGCATGGAGGTGAGAAAAAGAGGCAGTTCCTAAAAAGGTGACAGCAGGAGGAAAGCCAGGGAGCGTTTCTTCTTGAGGAGCTGCTGTAAGGATCATCCCCTGAACACTGATGTCCTGATTCCCACTCCATTATTTTATTAAAATACTGAGTTGAAGGTCATCAGTGAACTTCTTCTGGCCAGACTCAACATCCTTTCCTTTATCCTCATCCTTTTGTTAGGTTGGTGAAAAAATAACTGCGATTTTTGCCATTAAAAGCAGTTGCAAAAACCGCAATTACTTTTACACCAACCTAATAGTTCTTAATCACTGGACCCTACCTTGAACGCTCAATGTTTTTTAATGTACTAACTCTCAACTACCTTACTTGACTTTCTGTTGTTTTAGTGGAAACCACTCACCAACACTTAGCTTTGAATAGTCCAACAGTATTAGCCCCTCTTTCTTTATTCCCACTTAGTAAGCGCACATAAAGTTCCATCTTATTTAATCATTGTAGCATGTATGCAGCTTACTGGAGTAATTTAGGTTCCTGATTACATATAATCTTGTATGATCTCTTCTGTGTGTGTCGTGGGTGGGGGCAGTATGTGTATGTGTCTGTGAATCTGTGTGACTCTGTCTCAATCTCTGTATGTATGAGTCGTATTTGCTCAATCAGATTGTAAGTGCTTAAAAATAGAAAATTTTAGAGGCAACTTGAGCATGTATTTTAGTTAGAACTATGTTCAAATAGTGTTGTTCTTTATAATTAACTTTTATAGGTCTCTAAAGCTCTCTGAGCCCAACTTTTCTCATTTTTAAAATGTGAATAATAATATTCACCCCCCTAAGATGAAATAAATTCATAAATAAATAAATATATGCATGTAGCATCCAACGTACCCTCAATAAATGATTTTTCCTATGTTTTAACTTTTCTCACATCATTCATTCTAGTACTACAATGTTGAGTTCAGTTTCAACACTTTAGTTTGACTGATTGATCGAAGCTAACAAAATTAGGAAAGTTGAGATATACTGAGCTAATCAACTAGACCTTGCTACCACAGTCTCTCAACATGGTATATTATAAAAACATTTATCTCAGTAAGTCACTTCAATGACTAATCAATATTTTATTTTCCTGACGAAATGAAAATGCCAGGAAAATAGATGCACAATACTTTTAATGTGGTTATGTGTCTTTTAAGTATTAACAGAGTTGTTCATAGTGTTATTTGGAAGCGTTTATAATATGAAAAATACAGCATCTAATTTCCACTTGAAGAATTCGTATGCTATGAGTCATTTTATTTGGGCTTAATTTTTATTTAGTAATTAGCAGACTCAGAGAGGGTGAAATTTGCTGAGGGAGAGTATACCAACAGAACATACAAATGGGAATCAAGTAATTCATAAAAACAAAACCTGATATCTTGACATAAAATCCTAAATATTATACTGTAGTTTTTTGTATTAGTAAAACTAGAAGGATTTAAACTTAATGCACCGATGATTCCAGCCTTAGTGAAATGAAAATGTTTCTTAACCCCAAAGAATCCAGGCTCCTGATTAGCTCATGCGAAGACAATTATTTATGATAGCACTTACTGGTAAAGAGAAAGGACTGAAACCTTAGATGGGCACTTAGACGTGACTAAGGCAGGTTTTATTTCTGATCCCGAAGCACTGAAGAGGAAGTCTGCAGTGACTCAGAGCACTGTGATGGCCCAGCTGTCCACGGGCATACCTCTCTAGTGTGGAGTCAGGCATCATCATGCCAGAGGGAAGACTCACCATAGAAGAATCAGCATGTATTGACTCAACTGACACAGTCTTACCAGTAGTGAAAGAGAGGAACATTTTGTTAATCTTCTATTTGAAGTTAATTTTCACTGACTCCCAAAGCACATATGAAATGGCACACTGGGTCTAATTAATGTCTGCCTAGCCAGTATTCTGCCTCTGAAAATGATACCAGGGGCCATTTTCATAAGAAGCTTGGTAATTTCTTTCTAATATATAGATCTAATTATTATTATTATTATTTTCTGAGAGCCATTCATTCATTGGGGAAAGAAGCAGCCTGCTTTATTTGACATATTTATTTTACAGCCATTTCTCCTGTGTTGGAATGTGTCAGGTAAATCTGTCCAGTCAGTTAAGATACTCAGCATAAAATGGATACACCGAGGGAGAGAAGCACACAACACTTACTAGTATGACCAGTCATGGGTATGCTCCTTATTCCAAGAATGGCCACTTCTATTTTCTTATGTTTGTTTTTTGTTATTTTGGAACTTCTCAAATGAATTAGGAAGCAAGTACCACAATCAACAGGCCCCAAACCCAGTCATAGAAATATGTAACTAAGCTCCCTGTAAGAAATGATATTTTGTATTTTGGCATATCATTTTTGGCTTAAATGCCAAAATATTGCTGCTGTATGTCATTTTCTTAATAATTTATTCTATTTCTCTTTTAAAATATAAGTTGCCTAAGGATACCTATATACAGATGCATTTCATTAATGAATAAAACATATTTGGGTTAACAAAGATTATAGGCCTAAAATGTATATTGTTTTCCTTGGTTTTGGACAGTCTTGATGAAATGCGTATGTTTACTTGATAATTCTTTTGGATATGTCTTTTCTGACACCTCCCTCCCAGGTTTACATGCTTCCTCTTTGTGCTCCCTTAATACCTGTTTTTACCTTCTTTATATTTACCTGATTTCTTTTCCATTTCCTCCACTAGACTCTAAGTTCCTTGTGGCAGGGACCATTCTACTTGTCTTTGTCACTTCAAAATCTAGCAAAGGGTTTGACACATACCAAGTTCTTAAAAAGTGTCCATTGGATGAAGGAACCGTGTTAAGTTATTAATCTGTGATGTTCCAGTGTAATGACTTGTAAGAAAAATGTTTTTTTAAATCAGTAAAAATAACATAATTGGTTAATTTGATGAGTAGTCATTAAAATACAAGCCATGGACTGTGTACTGATTTAGCTCATGGTCTACAAATAGTACAGTGCCATTTTAAAGCCTTAAATGATAGACAACTTTACTCGATATGAATATCATTTACATTAACAATGGGAACCCCATACACTGTCTTCAAATTGTTCTTGATAACTAAATATATAAAATGGAAAGGATATGCATATATATTTCAATATCTGGATTTTGAAATTTGGAGCACAGAGGTGGAGTGTCATTTTATATTGAGAATGGAAAGTCAGGAGACTTGTGACACGTGATGCAATTGCTTCCATGGAATATTTTCAGACCAATAGGAGTTTGCGAAGAACTTTTATGGAGTGTATAAATATTTTGAGCTGTAGGCATCACTACCAGCTGATATTTTCTTTCCTCAGGACCAGCTGTTCAGGAGCATCCCGGACGAGAGCCAGGCACATTTGAGACTTGGATCCAACTAAAGACCGCCGCAGATTCTTCTGCAGCAATGTCGGTGTTAGAAGAAAATCGGCCGTTTGCTCAACAATTATCCAATGTCTACTTTACAATACTTTCGCTGTTCTGTTTTAAGCTTTTTGTGAAAATCAGCCTTGCCATCCTCAGTCATTTCTACATAGTGAAAGGCAACCGCAAGGAAGCGGCAAGGATAGCAGCTGAATTTTATGGAGTAACCCAAGGACAAGGTATGTTTATGATAATCCTCTCTTGTTTCAAGTGGAGTTTAACTTTCATCTGATCCACAATTACATGTTTTCTTTTTAGACTGCTTCAAGGTAAATATTTTATAAACTTTTGTTAAGGGAAATACTTGTAACTCACTTCGTGGCTTTATAAAAAGGAAAATTACTTTTTTAATGTAAATGTTTGGGTTAAAATCAAGGTATCATTGCAAAAGAGATTAAGGAAGGCATACTATATATATAATAGGAATATATATATGTAATAGAAATATATCTATTCCTATTAAGAAACATTTTAAAAAGTTAAACATTTGATCTGCCAAGTCATAGTATTAGAGATTAGTTTTAGAAGTAATTGATTGCACTTCAGTCGTCCTCTAATGTGTACCTGGATTGTATAATTTTAAATTAAATCTTTAGTTATGTGTAAAATAATTGTTATTAAAAAGAGGGGATTTCAAGATTTGGTTTCTCACAACTTTAATAAGATAACCATTTGACTCTAAAATAAAGCACACACACAAAGAAGATTGACGACATGTGTTTTTCTGATGGAATTGTTACTGCTCAGCTCAGTTTGTAAAAAATTGGTTATAAAAGGATAGAAACATAATTAATACATTTTATATGTGTGCAGCCAAGTGCATCCATGTTCTTTAGAAGAAATTGTAGTATGAAACCAAATGAGAAACAATATTACCCATAGACTTCAGAAGGTTGTAAAACCATTTAGGTTCTATTGGGTCGGTACTCTAAAAAATAAAAATGACTCATATGGCAGGCTTTAAAGTGCCATTTTTAAATTCTCATAGTCTTCAGATTCATTTCTGATTTGAAAATCAACAGGCATGCATGAATATTTATAGCCCAAATACCTCCAAAACAACTTAAATTGTCAGCATTGAAATTTACTATCACACAATTTAAACATGTAAACTTGAAAGAAAAGTCTCTTAGAGTAGAAAGCTTGCCTTCTTAAAATCCATGTTCCTACATTTTTCAATGTGGGATGCGACTCATTTTAAAATCTAGGTTACTCTATTAGTACATGGAAAGTTGAGTGAAGGTGGAAAATCTTTTTTAGTGTGTGAGGTAGATAGTGAGTACATGTTTCCTGAGGAAGACTGCAATTTGCAACATGAGGAATTGATGTTCTTATTCAAAATGAGGAAAATTTAAATGTTCATAAGAATCTCTTTAGGGAAAGATAAAATCTCAAGTAAATAGGCTGTATTTAACCCTTTACCTACCACCTCTGCCTTAGAACAGAGAGAACTATATTTTATACATTTATGGAGACTGGGGCTAACATTATCACCCAGGCTGGAGTGTAGTGAAGTGGAGTGGCTCAATTCTCACTGCATCCTTGAACTCCTAGGCTCAAGGGATCATCCTGCCTTAGCCTCCTAAGTAGCTAGGACACACAACCATGCCTGGCTAATTTTATTCTTTGTAGAGACAGAGTCTCAACATTGTCCGCCTAAGGTGGTCTCAAACTCCTGGGCTCAAGGGATCCTCCTGCCTCAGCCTCTGAAAGCTCTGGAATTACAGGTGTGAGCCTCCGTGCCAGGCCTGAACTATATCAAAATGTGACATATACACTATGTGATTAATCTGTACATAAAAAATTTAGTTGGCAAATGGAATATTTGTGTACAAAACAGCAAACATAGAAAACTAAATTTTAAAACAAAAGCCATATTTGCAGATACACGAGTAAACAGCTTACATGATCATAAAGTGGTAAAATTTACCCTCATGGGCGGCCTGTAGCACATTACTTCATAATCAGATCTTGTCTATGTATTATGAGAATTTCTCTACATTAACACATGAAATATTGCCTAAACAGAAGAAACATTTTTGTGGGTTGAAAAGAGTTTTAGAGGAGGCCATGGAAGCTCCTTTTTGTACATATTTTCAAATAAAAAGAAACACTCATCCCCTCATTAGACTTATCTTAGTGTGCTTATGCTGGGAAATCATGGGAATATATGCAATGGTTTCCACATTCCCATATACTTTTAGGATTCTGTTTTAAATTAAATTAGAATTCTAGGATTTTTTGTCTCAAGAAGGAAAGAAAAAAGGAAATCAATATCAATAGGAAACACTTTTCCTGGAAATATAAAATGGAAGCAAAGTTTTTACAAATTTTGTTTTGTGTTATTTTTAATGTTAGATGTATTTAACAAAAATTTCCCCTCTAATATCATGCATTAATCTGTATATGAAACAATAGAATATAGTATTATAATTTTAATTCAATATAAGCATAATTTGTTTCTAATTTTATTTTAACATTAAGAGAGCAAATCAGGTACCTTATAAAACTCTTTCTTAATCTTCTACTTCTAAGCATTCATTCTTTCTTGCCCAGGAAAATTATTACTTTCTACATTTTAACATAGCTTTTTCTTTTATTTACTATAAGTAAACTATTTTTTATTTTGTTTGTGTCTTTATAAGTCACTAATTAGGCTTAATTATCTCTGTTTAATCCAGCAATTTCCTCCTTCCTGGGAGAGATTATCACCTTCATTCCACTTTGAATTGGGTTTCTCATTCCTACTTTCAAGGCTTAGCCAGACTGCTCCCCAACATTTCTGATGTGGAGTTGCCAAATTCCATGAAATAAGAGATGGCGTGTATTATTTTCATGTCTTTCATAATCACCGAAGACCCTGTTGACAACATGCTGGATGCCCTCCCCATGAGCAGTAGTACTTTGGTGTGAAATAAAAGCAACTGTTAATTTTCTTAGATATTATTGCAAATCAGCTGATTGTATTAGACAAATATCTGGTGGTTTTTTTTAAAGCTCTTTCCTATCAGACTTGAGACCAAGGTATGATTACCCATGAGAATGCTGAAAAGCTAAATGGTATCTAAAAATAGCTTAAGATATTTCCTTCTGGATCCTTTTGCTATTTCATTAAACTTTACAAATCTATCTTTTCATCTCTTAAGACTTTTATCACCCTCATCATCATACTGCAGGGGCCTATTCTTTGCTTTGCTTTTTTGTATAACTACCTCCTGTATCATCCTTCCTGCTAAGTGTCCTGATTACAATCTTTATGTATCAGAGGCCTAGTCTATTCTTGAAGCTAGCTCTTTACTTTGAAACCAACAGGGAGACTACCAGGCTTTCAAGGCTACACTGAAATATTACACAGTATACAGAGAGAATGAGGATGTGGAGAAATGTGTTAATTTGGTGAAATCATACCAAAGGCCTAGAAGAAGCCATAAACTTCTTGACTCCCAAAGATACTTCAAGAGGCAGCTCTTCTCTTCTGTTAAGGGCAATACTTTTTAAGTTCTGTCTTAGACTCTGAAGAAGTTTAGCAGTTTTTGCTACAAATGGACAAGACAAGTTCTAAGCATTGATTTTTTGAGCACCCATGATATCAAGACACTGAGGATACGGTATACATAAAAGGCAAAATGTATTGTTCTCATCCTTAAGTTTACATTCTAATTGAGGAGATAGGCTATCTACAGCTAATAGTCACTTTCCAGAACACTCACTGCCAAATGACTCTAAAGAATGAATGGGTCATTTTCTAATCTGTACTTTCAGAGATACCTTCAAAGAGGAGGCAGAGCTTGAGGTGACTCCAGGAATGAGCAAGGCATGGATTTATGGGTGCACATGGACTGTTGGGAGTCAGTAGATTTGGCTGGAGTGGAGAGTTCATGCAGTAGAAAAGTAACAATAAGTTGGGCCCAGATGTGAAGGAATTTGAATGCCATGCTAAACAATTCAGACTTAACTTTGAAGGCAGTAGGAGTCATTGAAAGTTTTTGGTATGAAAGAAGGTGGGAAAATAAAAAAGGGTATGTATTAAACCATAATTTAAAGTAGATTTATATAGTAATATTCTTTGGAGTTGGACGAGAGAGATTTGAAATAAGTTGACCAGTTACGACCTTGCCATGAGGAGATGAGGACCTAGACTAGTTTGGTAATAGTGGTACGGACAGAAAACATAGAATGACAACAAAAAATAAAGGCAAAGAAAAGAAAGAAAGAAAGAATCTGATGATGCCTGTAAATAGCATTCAAATAGCCTTTAAATTGGCAGAAAGAGAAAATGTTACCTTAGAGTAACATTTTCACATATTACTTTTTTCATTTTAACATAGCTTTTTCTCCCAGAGTTAGATATTAACATGTCAATCAGAAGACTGATTAGCCACACAGGTCAAGTCTGCAGGCAGCCTCCAGCCAAGGCCACCCCTTGAAAGTGGACCCTTAGAGCTTGGTGAGTCTGGTAGGTTACATACCTATCCCTACTGGGAAATATCAAAGTAAATCAGGAAGTAATGGAGTTAGAATCTGAATTCTAGTCTTGCATTTGATTTATTTAATGTATTCTTTTCATTCCAATTTATATTTTTAAACACCAAGGCTTCTGATTGTGACTTGGCTCCCATCTTGATCTGACCACAGAAAGAAAATGTGCCAGCTTGCCCTCAGGACTGTTTTAGTCCATCTGGCATTTATAGGTCTTATTGCAAATTAATATATTTGCATCTTGATATCAATCAACAGTATTTTGTGTTCATTGAGTTGTAAGTCCACTTCTGAGATGTAAATTTACTCCAGCTTTGCTGACAGATTTCTGAGCCTGCAAGGCCATGGACCAAATTTTGGATTGTGGAAAATTCATCAAGATAACGTGTCTCTGTGAGGCTGCTTGAGAAACAATCTGGTGACACTCAAGCTCTTCAGGCGCTCCTTTCACGGTTGAGATTTTATGTAGAATACACAATGTATGTAGAATCATCATATAGAATATTTATGCTTGTGATTTCATAAGTTTTGTTTTAGGGTTGCCATTACTCATGCAATTTTTTTTTTTTTTGTCAAGTCTGTGGTAGACACTTGGAAATAGGACATACTATAAATGTGTGACCTTAAGCTGAATGGCAGGTGAACTTGGCATTTTGGAGAATACTGTAACCTGGATAGGAAAAGCAGTAAGAATTTGATGTAATATCTTTTTTTTCTCCATTAATAAACTCCATCCTAGGTTTAAAAGCAACTTTAGGAATTTAGCTTTACAGCCAATGCTAGCAATAGAAGCAGTAGTATTCTCTATACCTGTTTCTGAGGAGCAACTTGTTTCCTGTGACTTTTGGTGCTGCTGGTTACCTCTGCATGAGATTAGTTATCTTAGGGACGTTCTGAGAATCTCAGCAAAGAATCTGTAGCAAATCTGTAGGATGACTTCTTAATAATATCTTTATTATATAAAGGTAAATATTCTCAATATGTGGAAGTTTTTGGACCATTTTCTATACGTAGGTGGAACAACTCCACAGAAGAATAACTGGAATCGATAGAACTGCTCTTGTATGACAAAATACATGACATTATACTCAAAAGTGCTACTATTTTTTTTTCAAGGAGGTTTTAATTTTGTCCAAGCTCTACTTTTTCAGAAATGCCTAAACACTTTTGTGGAAGAAACCATTATAATCCTGCAAATCAAAAATGAAATCTGGGAACAAACTTACAAGTTTAGAAAAGACTCTGTCAAATTTTAATGTATTAATGCTTTTCCTCTCCTTCTGTTTCTTATTCATTTTGTGTTACTATAAAGGAAAAGCTGAGGCTGGGGAAAGAAAACAGGTTTATTTAGCTCATGATTCTGGTGCCTGCTGAGGGCCTCAGGCTGTTTCCACTCATGACTAAAGGGAAGGGGAGCCAGCATGTGCAGAGATCACATGGTAAGACTCAAGAGAGTGGGGGCAGGTGTGTGTGCTTTTCAACAACCAGAACTCTCCGAAACTAATAGAGTGAGAACTCACTCAGCATCAAGGGAGGGAGGGCAAGCATTAATCTATCCATGAGAGATCCATCCCCATAACCCAAACATCTTCCATTAGACTATACACCTCCAACATTGAGGATCAAATTTCCACATGAGGTTTGGAGGGGACAAATATCAAAACCATAGCACTTAATAACTTTAGATTTGGAGAAATGCATAAATATTTTAAGTTAAAAAATTGACATAGGTGGTGATAGTTTAGGAGGGATCAGTTTTCCTAGGAATATTCTTATATCTTTTGTTCATCTCTTCCTTCCTTTAATCATTCAGTTAGTTGCTCATTTATTACTTACAACATAATGTACTTGCCCAACACTTATTTATGTATCTACCAGGTCAAAGGCATTGTGCTAGGCCCTAAGGATAAACTATAGAAACTAACCACTGTCTTTCCCAACAGTGTACACAGTTTAGTGGAAGAAAGATGGATAGGCAAGTAATTTTAAAACATGGAAATTGCTATTTTACAAGATTAAAGAAGGTGCTATGGGAAGGTGCTATACAGAGAAATGTATGTAGAGCTAAGAATGGTTCTGCCTAGGATATGCCAGTTACACAGAAGCCATACTAACAATACACACATTCTCTCACACAACTAAGCATGCATCCTTATTCACAATGCTCAAAAACTTGCCAAGTCCCCACCTTCACTTCCTACCAACTTTTTCACTTCTCAATTTGTTATTTCTGACTCATATATCTCTTACCTAAAGCTTTATCTTAGGCTCAGAGTTCTGTTGTTAAAAGAATTTATTTTTAGGAAGGACACAAGTATGCTTTGTGAAAAATGGAAAATATTTTGATGAAAAAATTTCAAAATGGATTTTGTGTACTTTGATAGGGGACGTTGATATTGTCAACGTTTTAAAATTTTTTACATAGTAAAGATAGAAAAGGAATGAAAACTAGGTCTTAACTTTCTGCTTCTCAATTTACTATCTCTTTTAGAAGACAGTGAATTATTAAAATAAGCTATTTTTCTTATTCATTGCCATAACTGCTATAGCTTTGAATGTAGCTTAGTTGAATAAATACTGGGATATCTACTCTCTTCCTGGCACAATGTTGTGTACTACATGCACATATACCAACATATCTGTAATATATATAGTATTTAATAACTATAATATGTAATACATAACTAATATATAATATAAAATGCATACTATATCATGTATATAATTTCTGTATTATATATATGTATATGTTTGCCATGTGTGATATATGAGTAAAAGCAGAAGGCTTGGATGAGCGGAGCCAAACATTGCAGAAGTAAGACAACCTAAACAGCAAGGAGGTAGAAAACCATATGGCGCTAAAAGGAAAACAGTCAAGTTTTGCAATTGATGTTCTCCTCTAAGTCAGAAAGGGAAGAGATTGAGGTCATCTGAGACTGTAAGCACTTCATAAATAAAGCAGAGCTTAAGGCAGAAATCCAAAGGCAGAACATATTTGGTTATGTAGATGTGGAGATGAAACCAAGCTAAATATAAAGAAAAAAAGAGGAAAAGTTTAGAATGTGGAGCCAAACAAGGCTGTCTCATCTGGAGCAAAGGTGGAAGTATAAATGTCAGGGATGAAGAAACGTAAGTTGAGTGGTTGATGCTAATGGGAAAAATAAACACACATTTCGAAGCATATATCTAAAAGTCAGAAGTTCTGTTAAGAACTTTCTAATACCTTTACAGGATTCAGCATATGAAAAAGGGTCGCTAGCTAATGACGGAAATAATTACCACCATAAATATTTTACAAAATACTTGGTATAATGATTTAATATGTCATTATGTGTGTTTCATGAAGTACATCTCAGAGAAGATGGAATACCTCCCCAACACTGACTCAGCACTGCGCATCCTCAGAGTGGTTCCATGGTAATTCTGTGGACTTGGGCAACAATTTTAGCAATTAAGCCCATTTTCTAAACTGCAGAGGAGAGAAGAACAATTATCCCCAGTGACAGATAAACCATGCCATTAAAAGCAGGTGAAGTATTTGGAACACCTCTTCCTCCAAAGCCACCCTCAAATAATTTTTAAAAATTAAAAAGACAGAAAGCATTTGCTTACTAGTGATGTAGAACTTTTCGCATTTCTTGCCGACGTGGTGGCTCACGCCTGTAACCCCAGCACTATGGGAGGCTGAGGTAGGTGGATCACGAGGTCAGGAGATTGAGACCATCTTGGCCAGCAAGGTGAAACCCCATCTCTACTAAAAATACAAGAATTAGCTGGGTGTTGCAGCACGTGCCTGTAATCCCAGCTACTCGGGAGGCTGAGGAAGGAGAATCCTTGAACCTGGGAGGCGGAAGTTGCAGTGAGCCGAGATTGCGCCACTGAACTCTAGCCTGGCAACAGAGCTAGACTCCGTCTCAAAAAAACAAAACAAACAAACAAAAACAAACAACAGCAACAACAAAACAAAACATTATCAGCTGCATAGGGAACAAGTCATTTATTCTTTCCAGCCTTCCCTCAGCAATGCTACAAAGCAGACCATTGGCTTTTTAGACTGGAAATGCCCAAAGAATATCATGTCAGGGAGGGAGAGGCTTAAGGAGTATCATAAATTGTTAAATGAATACTGAAAGAATCTTCCAGGTGGTCTGTGATTAAACAAGTCCACTCTGTGAAATTTAGGTTAAAGGTGAACATTTATTAGATGATTTTTTTTCTCAATCCTCATTCTACAATTCCTCATTGGTTACCATGGAAAAGGATTTTAAAAATCTGTCTTATAGATTTAAGATAGATTAATATCCCATATTTAAGGTAGATTTAAGATTTTTCTAGAAGGCCGTCAGGGGCTCAGAAGCTAGGGTGGTGTGAGGGGGCAAGGTCCCCATGGGTCCCCTTCCCCCTTTCGAACAGAACAACTCTACTTTCATAAATCTTCATAAGTTGGGCTTTAAAATAGTAATAATTTTTTCTTCAAAGAAAGGGATAAAATAATATTTAAAACTAGACTGTCCCAGTTTATGGAAAATATTATTTGTTACACATATCTTTACAGAACCTAACCATCTGATAATATGAGTCATAGCTGAATATCCTTTCGAAATTCTTTCCTAGGGATTAGATGAGCAGCAAACATTTGGGGCCTGTCAGGCATGTACATAACTATGTGAAATGTCAGGAAGGCATCCTCTCTCTATCAGGGCAGCTAAAATTTCCATGCCACCGGTACCCACTGAGTAAAATAGAAACCTTCAGAAATACACATACTCTTTCCAGAAGGCTTATAGTCTTAAACTATGGGTAGAGTACAAACAAACTGAAATTTAACACCAAAATGCCATTCATGTTTTTAAATAGAAGCACTGGCTCACCTCAGCTGTCAAGTGTGCAGTGTGATTTAAATGAAAGCTGACAATGATAAAATTTAAGTGAAGGCCCATCCATTGGAAATCTGCTCTTCACCATCATAATGCCGCAAAGTCCCTTGTGAATTAAATCAGGTAAGGCTGTCAAAGTGAGAAAGGAAGCAATCCTTCTTCTAAAGCAGTCTCAAGACTTCTTCTAAAGCAGACTCAATGCACTACAAGAGCTGTTAAATAATGACCATGGAAACAGCGGTGACTTTGGTAGTGACTCAACCCCTCAGTAGCAACCAAATACATCTTTGATTAGCCACTGAGGAGATTTATGTGCACTTATGTTTTCCAAATTCTACTTCATTCACTAGAGAAATGGTGTTTCCGTCATTCATCAAGTAAAAGTAATAGTTCATTTTTAGAATGAAATGATGCACCTAATGAATTCTTGAATTTGGAAGTTTTGTGTCTTACTTCCATCTTGACCTGTGATCTAGAATCATGAATTTGGAAAAGGAAAAAGTGCTAATTCTTTAGAGCTCAAATACACAGGTCGCAGATCTGTTGCATCCAGGAAAGAATAAATACTTCATTGTAACTCCAAGAACTAAAAGAAAAGGAGTGAAATGAAACTGTAAGCATCTCTCTCCTTCTCTCTCTCTCCCACCCACCATAGTTATGATGAAAATGCTCAAGTAGAATCTAGTATAGGGGCTAAGTTTTCTGGCTACTTACCATTACTCAAATAAACCAACAAAACAAGACTGGCTCTGGCTGGAGAAAAAAAACCTTTACTGAACATTAAGTCCCAAAACAATAGTTGCATATCTAATTGGTGTGACATTCCAAGAATGTGAAAAGAAATCAGTTTAAGTAAGCTTAGTACTTGGAGTCTACTGAAACTGATGATACTATTTTTTTGAAAAAGCATTTTTATTTTTATTTATGAAACTTAATTGAATTCAGTGATCGAGATTTTGTAGGTTTAAAGCTCCATTTTAGAAAGCATGTACAAAATGACTACAAACCTGGTTCTATAGCATTATAAGGAATATTCCATTACTTTTGAAAGACAATGTTTTTAAGTAGAAGAAAAAAAACTATGTACTTTATAATTAACCTAAGGCTCATGAGACAAACCTGTGATTCTTGCCAAATACTTGACTAGAGACTGAATTTTAACGGGCTACAAGAAAAGTAGATCAGTCAAAACTGCTTTTATTATGGAGAAGAAAATTTCAATTTCCTAGACCAAAGTCACTTGGTCCTTGAAATAACTCTCAATGGCATGCAGGAAAAACACTGCTTTGGATATTGAAGAAAGTCAGCAAATGGTTGTAGAATGAATAAAAGACCTTAAAAAAAGAGAATATGGAGGTTAAAAACCCCTTGCATATTGCACAATGTTTGACCCAGACATAAATTGTTCTGTCATGGTTGTAGCATTTTCTAGCTGTGTGATCTCAGGAAAGTTGCTTAACGTCTGTAGATCTCAGTTTAATGGAGGTATTGATACTACTTGAGCGGATTCATAGAAATCTTATATGAAATATAATTTATTACCTTAATCACTTGCCACAGTGTCTGGCGTAAAGTCAACACTCTATAGATGTTAACTTTCTATATCATACTTTTTTAAAAAATTCAAAAACAGGATAGAATTGCCTATAATTTAGTAACACAGGAAAGCATCAGTAGGAAAAGATAGTAACATTAACATTGTAATAAATTAACTATGTTTGCCAAACGGTTACTACAAGCACATAATATAATACCAGGACCTGTCTACTAAGCAGGTGTTCTACCCCAGGATCATATTAGCTCTTTGGTTAGATCGTTTCAGAGGTCAGCTTGATTTATCTGCCAATGTAACAATTCACTGAAGCTCTAAAGAGCTTAGTAAGTTGTCAGTTTTTTCGGGTAGTAACTAGAAGAAGCAGAATTCCAACCCAGATTCCTCTTCCACTCCATGGTCTTTCTCACCGAATAAACACGGGGTGAGTGGCAAAATCAAAGCCTCGTGTGCATGAGGTCTCTGTGCCATCCATGCGCCTTGTCGACTGGCCCTTTCTATATAAAAGGAAAGATATTGGAGAACTATAACTATTTTAAAAGACAGAAAATACAATGCTTGCCAAAAATAAGCCATTTATTTTATGCCTTTAAGACTCAAGGTATGTTTTTGCAGGTACTCCCTCTGATACAAAGGAAAGTAAGACATTCTGAGCTGTTCCATAGGATTGGAGCAAAGTAATGCAGAGTTTGGCTAGTGTGACCAGGACCTAGGCAGAATGTTAAGGTTGGGAAGGCTAGTTCAGAGTTGGGAGTTTTAAAATTACTTGCAGAAATTTCTTCTACAATCTTATTCTGTCCAAGAAACTTTTCTTGACAGAAATTCTTCAAACAGAAATGTTTTCCTGGGCGCATTTGGTCAAATACCTGGTCATGGTTGTCCTGTGGGAAAGCCTGGGTTGCTCTGAAAGAACTCTTTGATGAGTTACATAACAGCATGTAACAATGGCAAGTCTTGGCAAATTCTTGGCTCTCCATTATAGTCAGTGCCACAGAAAGAGTCAAAGCTGCTTAACCTCCAGCACACAACAAAGCACCAGATAGTAACGTCCTTTGCCAAACCATCCTTCTTAAAAGCCTCTTGTCCTTTTATTTTATTTTCTCATAATCTCTGGCAGCTGATAGTGAAAGACAAAATCTAATGTCAACATTCACAACAAAGAACTGAGTCAGCTAGCTCAGGGATTTGTCTTTTTTCCTTTATTTTCTCTGCTCCTTTCTGCCAGCTGGTCTCTTCAGGAAGTGACCAAAACATAGTTTTTCTTTTCTTTTTTTCTTGGAGTGCAGTGGTGCGATATTGGCTCACTGCAACCTCTGCCTCAGGCTCAAGCAATCCTCCCGCCTCAGCCCCCCATGTAGCTGGGACTACAGGTGCAAGCAACCATGCCCAGCTAATTTTTGTAATTTTTGTAGAGACAGGGTTTCACCATGTTGCCCAGGCTGGTCTCAGACTCCCGAGGTCAAGCCTTCCACCTGCTTCGGCCTCCCTAAGAGCTAGGATTACAGGCATGAGCCACCACGCCTGGCAAAACATAGTTTTCCTTGTCATATCTTACAGAAAGTTTTTTTCCTTATGAGAAAAAAGAAAAACAAACCATTTAAAAATAAGCAGAGTATATTTGGAAATGAAGATATGGAATTATCTCATAGAATCATTGAAAGACCTCAAACTTGAATTCATATTTTGAATTATCTGGAGCCTTATGCACAGGTTTAGAAAGTATCGATCCTAAAACTGAGCTTTCCAGGAACCCTTGCCCCTTTACCAGGCCACTGCAAAGCCTGTCTGAAGGTGGCTAAGCCTCCAATGAGAAAATAATAAAACACAAAGAATGATTTTTGTATTCTTTCTTTGCTATGAGACCATTATACCATAAATGTTAACAATAGGGAACAAAATTATAATAAAAACAGTGGGAAAATTAATGCTCTTAGTTGCAAGATCTGAGATGCTAGCTTTCTCCTATGTGATGTAGGCAGGTGTGAATCTCAGCCTCAAGTCAGAAATGAGTTTTTACTACTCAAAGCTTGGCAGGAATATGATGAAGGACAAAGAACTCTCTCAAAATGGAATATCTTATGGTGAACTGCAAACTTGAGAGTAACGTTTTTGAATAACACAGCCATATATGACAGCCCCTAAAAGTTTCAGGACATAGCTCAGTCTTGCTAGTCTCTAATAGACTTTTAAAGAATAATGCTAATAATACAATAATGACCTTTTGTTCTCTGAGATTATAGAAATCCAGTTCTGTGTGATAATACCAGAATAGGAGTATTGTAGCATAATTGCTATTTTTCTTTCTTTTTAAAAATAATTTCAACCTTTATTTTAGATTCAGGGGATACAGGTTTGTTACCTGGGTATGTTGTATGATGCTGAGGTTTGGGTTACAATTGATCTCATCACCCAGGTACTGAGCATAATACCCAGTAGTTAGTTTTTCAACCCGTACCCACATCTCTGCCTCCCTCTCTAGTAGTCCCCTGTGTCTACTGCTGCCATCTTTATGTCCATGAGTACACATTGTTTAGCTCCCACTTATAAGTGACAACACGCAGCATTTAGTTTTCTGTTCCTACATTAAGTTGCTTAGGATAATGGCTTCCAGCTGCATCCACGTTGCTGCAAAGGACATGATTTTGTTCTTTTATGGCTGTGTAGTATTCCATGGTGTGTATATACCATATACTCTTTATCCAATCCACTGTTGATGAGCATCTAGGTTGAATCCACATATTTACTCTTGTGAATAGTGCTGTGATGAATATACAAGTGCATGTGCCTTTTTGTTAGAACAGTTTCTTTTAGGTATATACCCAGTAATGGGATTGCTAGGTTGAATGGTAGTTCAACTCTTAGTTCCTTGAGAAATCTCCAAACTGCTTTCCACAGCAGCTGAATTAATTTACATTCCCACCAATGTTGTATGACCATTCCCATTTCTCCGCAGCTTCCCCAGCATCTGTTGTTTTTTCTTTTTAATAACAACTGTTCTGACCAAAGTGAGATGGTATCTCATTGTGGTTTTTTGTTTGTTTGTTTGTTTCTTTGAAGATGGAGTCTTGCTCTGCCACCCAGGCTGGAGTGCAGTGGCATGATCTTGGCTCACTGCAACCTCCACCTTCCGGGTTCAAGTGATTCTCCTGCCTCAGCCTCCTGAGTAGCTGGGATTACAGGCACGCGCCACCATGCCTGGCTAATTTTTGTATTTTTGGTAGAGATGGGGTTTCACCATGTTGGTCAGGCTGGTCTCAAACGCCTGACCTCGTGATCCACTCGCCTCGGCCTCCCAAAGTGCTGGGATTACAGGCATGAGCCACCGCACCTGGCCCTCATTGTGGTTTTGATTTGCATTTCTCCAGTGATTAGTGATGTAGAGCATTTTTTCATATATTTGTTGGTCACTTGTATGTCTTCTTTTGAGAAGTGTCTTTTCATGTCTTTTGCCCATTTTCTAATGAGGTTATTTGTTTTTTGCTTGTTGAATTAAGTTCCTTATAGATTCTGGACATTAGACCTTTTTGTTAGATGCAAAGTTTGTGAATATCTTCTTCCATTCTGTAGGTCACTTGTTTACTCCGTTAATAGTTTCTTCTGCTGTGCAAAACTTTAATTAGGTTCCATTTGTCATTTTTTTTTTTTTGCAATTGCTTTTGAGGGCTTAGTCATAAAGTCTTTCATAAGGCTGATGTCCAGAATGGTGTTTCCTAGGTTTTATTCTAGGATTCTTATAGTTTGAGGATCTACATTTAAATATTTAATCAATTTTGAATTAATTTTTGTATGTGGTGTAAGGAAGGGGTCCAGTTTCATTTTCTGCATATAGCTAGCCAGCTATTCCAGAATCATTTATTGAATGGGGAGTCCTTTCCCCACTGTTATTTTTGTCAACTTTGTTGAAGATCAGAGGGCCGTAGGTCTGCAGCATTTCTGCACTCTCTATTCTGTTCCATTGGTCTATGTATTTGTTTTTGCACCACTACCACGCTGTTTCAGTTACTGTAGCCTTAGAGTATAGTTTGGATTCTGGTAATGTGATGCCTCTGGCTTTGTTCTGTTTGCTTAGGATTGTTGTGGCTCTTCAGGCTCTTTTTTGGTTCCATAGTTCCATCTTACTTTTATAATAGGTTTTTCTAGTTCTGTGAAAAATGATGTTCCTGGTTTGGCAGAAGTAACACTGAATCTGTAAACTTCTATGGGCAGTATGGCCATTTTAACGATACTGATTTTTCAAATCCACGAGCATGGAATTTTTTTGTTTGGATCATCTATGATGACTTTTACACTGTTTTGTGGTTCTCCTCATAGAGATCTTTCACCCTCTGGGTTAGATACATTCATAGGTATTTTGTTGTTGTTGTTGCAGCTATTGTAAATGTAAAATGCAAGCTATTGTAAATCAAGATTGTGTTCTTGATTGGGCTCTCAGCTTCAGTGTTATTGGTGTATAGAAATGCTGCTGATTTTTGTACATTAATTTTGTATCCTGAAACTTTACTGAAGGTGTTTATCAGTTCCAGGAGACCTTTGCTAGAGTTCTTAGAGTTTTCTAAGTAAAGAATCACATCATCAGCAAAAAGAGATAGTTCAATGATTTCTATTTGGATGCCTTTTATTTCTTTCTCTTGCCTGATTGCTCTGGCAAGGACTTTCAATATTATAGGAACAGGAGTAATGAGAGTGGGCATCATTGTCTTGTTCCAGTTCTCAGCAGGAATGCTTCCAGTTTTTGCCTGTTTAGTATGAACTATTTTTCAAAATAGCTAAATCCTAGGTTCTTTAAAAGCTATGTTTGAAACTTGGTAAAATACCAGTCAAAAAGTTTACCAGAATGTGTGCACTGTTGTGCTTTATAAATTGTGTATAAAAGAACTTTTAGTAAATCACTGAATTTTGTCCTTTGGAAATAAAAAATCTGTTTTATAAATGTACATTTTTTAGACTACATTTTTAAAAATTGAGGTATATCTGTGAGTTGTTTTTCCAGTATATATTATGTGATTAATATTTGAAGACAGGAGACAATGAGAAATGGAAAAAAGTAAACATCCTCTTCAACATAAAGTAAGTCTCATGTTTCTCAAAGTTTTGTAATTGGACTTAGTACATGTGTATAGTCAGTCTCTTTTGATGTTTTCTTTTCCTAGGCTTTGACCTGAACATGCCCTACCTCACACTTTAATGTAATGCTAATACATTATATTTTTGTTATAATTCACAAACTTTCACACATGCCATAATCCTCATAACTGTGCCCTACATAAGGTAATGGTATTATGTTATGCTTCCTTTGTAGAGAAGAAAAAAGGCTTTAAACTGCAGAGGCATTTGCTCAAGGTTATTGATCTTAGAGGAAAGTAAAAATGTGAGCCCTGGTCTTCTGACATTGCTTCTGACATCATGCATTCTTACCATTTGTGAGATTTTGTTTCTTTATATTACAAAACAGGCAGTGTCCTTTGTCTAGAGCTAATATCTGTATTGGATTGCAATCTGTCTTTCAGAGTCTTTGTACCAACCCCAGCAAGACATGGATTATCTTAATATTTTCCGTGTGGCTTTTTCCCCATCTTCATGACAGCCTAAACAAACTCAATACTGACCATCTCATCAAGTCAATATCATTACCAGCTTGTATGCCATATGAAGACAGATTCACTTCATCTTCGGAATTTAGACAAATGCCAGCACATGGCAGGTTCTTAATGAATATTCATGGAAGGAAGAAAGGGAAAGAGGAAGGGAGAAAGTGAGGGGACTCAAACTTAAGTGAATGGAATTTGTTACCCTTTTCAATGCAGGATGGTACCTGTTCTAACTGTCCCTAGCTGAATGTTGCGGGTGCATGTGCACTGAATAAGTGTTAATGGATATTGATTCTGGAAGTTAATTTTCAAACAACAAGTGAAGACAGAAAATCAATACTGTCCGAAGTTGAATCTATAAGTAATGCCTTCCATTCCTTCTTCTTAATCAGACATATTGTCCCTTTTCCCGATTTCTTTTAACCTCAAAAAGTGGCATTAGAACAGCACCCCTGCACACTCCGCCAAATAAAAATATTTTATATGCGTGTCTTTTTCTTTTTTTTTTTTTCTTTTTTTTTTTTTTTTTTGAGACAAGGTCTTGCTCTGTCACCCAGACTGGAGTGCAGTGCTGTGATCATAGCTCACTGCAGCCTCAAGGTCCTGGACTCAATCCATCCTCCTGCCTCAACCTCCTGAGTAGCTGGGTCTACAGGTGTGTACCACCATGCCTGGCTAATTTTTGTATTTTTTGTGGAGATGGGATCTAGCCATGTTGCTTGCCCAGGGTGGTCTCGAACTCCTGGGCTTAAGTGATCCTCCCGCCTCCGCCTAATGCTGGGATTATAGGCGTGAGCAATCATGCTGGTCCTATGTGTTTCTCTTTAACTAGAATCAGTTAATGGCTGCTAATGTATTCAAGTATTTTTTCATGTCTTATTAACTCGAAGATCGTTTTCCTTTAAGTAAAGAACACTGCTTGTTCACCTTTTGATTCTCCATTTTTAATTGAATACATTTTTATTCTTAATCTTTTAAGCTTTCTGAGCCAATCTTCAAACAATTTTTTTTTTTTTTTTTTTTTTTTTTTTAATGAGACAGAGTCTCACTGTGTCGCCCAGGCTGGAGTGCAGTGGCGGGATCTCGGCTCACTGCAAGCTCCGCCTCCCGGGTTCACGCCATTCTCCTGCCTCAGCCTCCCAAGTAGCTGGGACTACAGGCGCCCGCCACTACGCCCGGCTAATTTTTTGTATTTTTAGTAGAGACGGGGTTTCACCATTTTAGCCGGGATGGTCTCGATCTCCTGACCTCGTGATCCGCCCGCCTCGGCCTCCCAAAGTGCTGGGATTACAGGCGTGAGCCACCGCGCCCGGCCTGCTTTCTGCTCTTAAGATACACTTCTGCAAATACGTTTGATTTTCATTAAAAGTATCAACATAAAACGTCCCAACTGCTGTCAGAAGCTAAACCTCCCATGAGCACATGGTTAAGCGGTGATAAAACTATCTGTGGCTAGAGCCATGGGGAGGAGAAGGTTTATGTGTAAGATGGTTCTTACATGAAGTCCTTGTCCATGGTGCAGATCAGATTTTCTCCTCGGCAGCTGTTGTCCTCAGACTAGAGAACACAGATTGTTGATTTTATTCCTTGTATGGATTTGCGACCCTTTGAAAATTTCAAGCTGGCAGTTGGTAGATAAAACGGTGTGTGGACAAAGTGGGTAAAAAGAATGAAAGGACCAGAAAAGTGTCATTTTATAAGAATGGTAAATGCCCAGTTCTTATGTACATGCCAGGAACTGCTCTAAACAAGTACCATTATAAACACGTTTAATCTTTATGAAAACCTTATGATGTAGGTGCTGGTGATGAGAGATCTGTTTCTGTCTTCCTTGTTTTATATTCACTAGTTTAGATTTGTTCGCACGTGGCGTTAACTAGCAATCTAGTACATTGGAAAGAGTCCAAGTCAGAAGCAGACAATCTCTGTTCCTGTCTTGTTTTGCTGATAGCCCTATGAGCCGCTTTGAGAATGCCACCTCCCCTCTCTCGACCTGTTTCTTTATCTGCAAAATGAAGGAGTTAGACGGGATCACTGGTTTTTGAATCTTTTCTAAAGCCATTGGGGCTTTCTTTTGTGATCTGGAAGGTCATTTTGTAAAGCTGAGAGTGGAAGCTACCCTGATGGGAGACAGCCCACACTTTGCCAGCACACTCTGAGGTACTTTATTGAACTCCTCGGGCTCTTTGAAGCCATTTGTAAATGGCTAAAGAAAATGATTTCTACGTCCACTTTTAGCTCTGAATGCTAAATAATGCTATGCACATTTATTTTGACTTTTGGTGAATCAGTTTCCTGGCCAGAGAAACTTTTAGCACAAAGAACCCAAGCTACCTTTTGTGAATTTATCACGCCCGTGACCTCAGCCACCCTATTCCAGAACGTAAATGTACTTGACCGAACTCAGAACAGCTGCACTGAGTCACCAAATAATGTGTAATCATCATTATTTTAGGACACTCCCTGTGGCCTTGCAGGTGATATTTCACTTAACTCACTTTCTTTTTCTTTTTCTTTTTTTTTTTTTTTTTGAGATGGAGTCTCACTCTGTCACCCAGGCTGGAGTGCAGTGGTGTGATCTCGGCTCACTGCAAGCTCCGCCTCCCGGGTTAATGTCATTCTCCTGCCTCAGCCTCCCGAGTAGCTGGGACTACAGGCGCCCGTCACCACGCCCGGCTAATTTTTTGTGTTTTTAGTAGAGACGGGGTTTCACTGTGTTAGCCAGGATGGTCTCCATCTCCTGACCTCGTGATCCACCCGCCTCGGCCTCCCAAAGTGCGGGGATTACAGGCGTGAGCCACCGCGCCCGGCCAACTCACTTTCTTTTAAGGATCGCCTAAGGTCACTTAAAGAATGCTGTTGGAAATTTTGCTTCCCCAGCCCTCTGGAGCACTCGTCTAACTCCATGTTTTCTCATCCTCTCCACCAAGCACAGTTTCATATGAGGAGAAATTTCCTAGGTCTTCTCGGATGCCCTGTTACTTCTCAGCACCAATGGGAGAAGAACTGAAGTCTCTTATTACCCTCAGTGGTAGAGCAGACATTCAGCAGATCTGCTCTCCCAATCAGGGAGAGCAGAGAGTCCCACTAAGACTGCAGGTTGGAATAAAGAACAGCAGGGTAAGAAGAGCCAAGTGTTTACTCTTCTCTTCTCATATTGGGAGTGTCGCATTTTCTGTTAACCTCTGCCTCTATTTTAAAATCTTTTTACCTGGGATCTTTTTGTTAATTAGTATTTTCTTGATCATAAAATACGCCGCAACTGGGAAAAATGGTCAGAACTTTGTTTACAGAGTTTAATACAAGATTTTGAAACACAAAACTGTATAGGGCAGATGCGGTGGCTCACGCCTGTAATCCCAACACTTTGGGAGGCTGCGGCGGGCAGATTACTTGAAGTCAGAAGTTCAAGACCAGCCTGGCCAAGATGGCGAAACCCTGTCTCTACTAAAAATACAAAAATTAGTCGGGTGTGGTGGCCCACGCCTGTCATCCCAGCTACTCGGTAGGCTGAGGCAGGAGAATCGTTGGGACCCGGGAAGCAGAGGTTTCAGGGAGCCAAGATCACACCACTGTACTCTAGCCTGGGCGACAGAACAAGACTCTGTCTCAAAAAAGCAAAACAAAACAAACAAAATGTAAACCTGTATAACAACCATTCAAGTCACGAAATAGAACCCCAGAAGCCTTCATGTATCTCTTTTCAATCACAATACCTTCTCCTTCTCCCATCAAGACCGAGTGACTAGTTTTTATAGTAATCATTTTCTTGCCTTTCTTTAGTTTCAGCTCCTATGCATACATCTCATATTGATATGGTTTAACCTATTTTTGAACCCTATATTAATTGAATCATTCTCTAAATATTCTTTTGTTATTTACTTTTACAATGAACAGTATGATATAATTGCCTACATATATCTAGGTT
This sequence comes from Homo sapiens, assembly GCF_000001405.40. Lineage (NCBI taxonomy): Eukaryota > Metazoa > Chordata > Mammalia > Primates > Hominidae > Homo > Homo sapiens. The sequence continues at coordinate 176,248,667 of NC_000004.12, read as the reverse complement.
CATTCATTCTCAATAATGTAAATTCCATTACCAATTTGGGGCAATTATGAACAATATTTCTATAAACATCTAGTATAAATAAGTTTTTATAGCTCTAGAAGTGAAATTTCCAGGTCATAGGGCCTGTGTATCTCCAGTTTCTAAGACAGTATTGCCCTGTTTTCCAATGTGGCTGTATCTGTGGTGAAACCCCAGCAGGTTATGAGAATTCACATATTGTCAGTACTCTTAATATTTGCCAATGTGGGCTGGGTACAGTGGCTCACACCTGTAATCCTAGCTCTTTGGTAGGTCGAGGTGGGTGGATCACTTGAGCTCAGGAGACCAGCTTGGGCAACGTGGCAAAACCCCATCTGTACAAAAAATACAAAAGTTAGCCAGGCATGGTAGTGTGCACCTGTAGACCCAGTTACTTAAGAGGCTGAGGAGGGAGACCCACCAGAGCCTGGGGAGGGTGAGGCTGCAGTGAGCCATGATCGTGCCGCTGCACTCCAGCCTGCATGACAGAGTGACTCAATCTCAAAAAAATGAAAAGATAAAAAATAAAAAATTGCCAATATGGTGGGCATGTGGGAGTATATTATGGTTTAATTTTCATTTCCCTGACTAATAATGCCATTTTGATTTTTGTTGACCATTTGTACTTCTTCCTTTGCAATGTGCTCGCCAAATATTTTGCCTTCTATTCTATCAGGCCATCTGTCTTCCCCCTTTTTAAAATTGAGTTTTAGAAGTTATTTTGTATCCTAAAATTGTTAAGAAAATGAAAACATTTAGAAGAACTATTTACAAATATCTTCTGTGGCTTGACTTTTCACTTTTTATTGGTGTTTCTACTGGTGAACAGAAACTCTTAATTTAAAAATAGTCAAATTTACAAATCCTTTCCACTTTGATTAAGACTTTTTGTGGAATTCATCTTAAAAATCTTTTGGCACTTCAAGGTAATGGAAGTATTTCTTCCATATACTTAAAGCATTCCTTTGAAATTCATCCACTTGAATTTAATTTTTTGTATGGTGTAAGTCCATTTTTCACCAAATGCATGGTCAATTATATTCACACCATGTATTGGAAAGTGGGTTCTATATTTCATAATCTATAGTCACTACAGTGCCCAGTTTGTGTAAGTCTAGTGTTTATTCATGCATGAGTCTGCTTATGGGCTCTTATCAATTACATTGCTCTGGACCTATACTACACTAAACTGATTTCTGTAGCTTTAGAATAGGTCTTCATAGACAGAACAAGATCTCCCACATTCTTCTATTTTTTCATAGTTTTGGCTATTCTTGGTAATTTGAAATTCTATGTATCAATTTTAGAAGTAATTTCTGTGGTTCGCACAATACTTGTTGCATTTTTGTTGGAATTCATTGAACCTATAAATCATTTATTTGAAGGAGAATCTACAACTTTGTAATACTTGGCTTTTCAATCATAAATGTAATATAGTTTCTCATTTATATAGGTTTTATTGAATATCTCCCAATAATGTTTTATTATCGTCTCCTGGGGAGATCTTACATATATTTGTTGAATTTATTCATAGGTAACAAATTGTTTTATGCTACCATAAATAATATCTTAATAAATTTTTACATTTTCAACCTGTTTGTCAAGGGCAGAGAGAAATACATTAATTTTTGTATATTAATTTCATACCAAAGAACTTTTCTAAGCTCTCTTATTAATTCTAATAGGAATCTATGGGTTCTATAGGGATTTTTTATGTGAAAAGTTATATTATTTGTGAATAATGAGAGTTTTGTTTCCTTTCTAAATGTTGTACCATTTTTATTTCTTCTTCTTTCTTTATTCTATGGATTAAACCTCTTGTATGATGTTGAATAGATTGGTGGTAGGGAGTGTTCATTTTTGTTTTTCAATTGAGAGGGAAAGCCTTCGACATTCTGTCATTAACCATCACGTCTTCTGAAGGTTTTCTGTTTTGTTTTTGTAGCTACCCCTTACCATTCTTAAGGAAGTATCTCACTTTGAGCTGTGTACACATCTAGACATTCAGTATACTGAGGAGAGTTTGCTTCTGCAAATGCATTTTTAAAAAAGCATTCCCCGTATCATTATTGGTGTAGTTCATGTTTCAGCTTTAATATCTGGAGAAACAGTTCACAGCACCTGAACTCACTAAATAAGCAACTGCACTGTGGTGTGGACTGTCTACACTCATACTCTGTGGTCATGGCTAGTGCTGTGATACTGGTTTAAGTGAAATTATCTTTCAGAGTCCATTCCTTACATCCTGAATACATGTACTGCATGTATCTGATAGGTGGTCTGAAAGGTTCTTCTTTTTCTTAAGATAAGATTTTAAAAAGACTTTATAGAAGATTGCCTCAGAAAAATCTCATCGAATAGCATCATTCTTCCTTTTTCCCTATTATCTCTTGACCCATAAATAGTCTTATAGTAGCTGTAAAAGCCTTTCCCCTTATGGTTAAAATTAAATACAGTAAAACATTTTCCCCCACTTCTTCCAATTCTGATATTTTAACAGCAACACAGCAAGTTCTAATTAGCCTAAGTTAAATAACCATTACTAATTTTACACCAAGATCAATATGGGGGATTTCTTTTTTTTTATCTGTGTAATTTTTTTTTATATACTTTAAGTTCTAGGGTACATGTGCACAACGTGCAGGTTTGTTACATATGTATACAAGTGCCATGTTGGTTTGCTGCACCCGTTAACTCATCATTTACATTAGGTATTTCTCCTAATGTTATCCCTCCCCCAGTCCCCACCCCACGACAGGCCCCAGTGTGTGATGTTCCTCACCCTGTATTCAAGTGTTCTCATTGTTCAATTCCCACCGAAGAATAAGAATATGCGGTGTTTGGTTTTTCTGTCCTTGCGATAGTTTGCTCAGAATGATGGTTTCCAGCTTCATCCATGTCGCTGCAAAGGACATGAACTCATCCTTTTTTATGGCCGCATAGTATTCCATGGTGTATATGTGCCACATTTTCTTAATCCAGTCTGTCATTGATGGACATTTGGGTTGGTTCCAAGTCTTTGCTATTGTGAATAGTGCCACAATAAACATACGTGTGCATGTGTCTTTATAGTAGCATGATTTGTAATCCTTTGGGTATATACCCAGTAATGAGATGGCTGCGTCAAATGGTATATCTAGTTCTAGATCCTTGAGGAATCGCCACACTGTCTTCCACAATGGTTGAACTAGTTTATACTCCCACCAACAGTGTAAAAGCATTCCTATTTCTCCACATCCTCTCCAGCACCTGTTGTTTCCTGACTTTTTAATGATCGCCATTCTAACTGGTGTGAGATGATACCTCATTGTGGTTTTGACTTGCATTTCTCTGATGACCAGTGATGATGAGCATTTTTTCATGTGTCTGTTGGCTGCATAAATGTCTTCTTTTGAAAAGTGTCTGTTCATATCCTCTCCCCACTTTTTGATGGGGTTGTTTGATTTTTTCTCATAAATTTATTTAAGTTCTTTGTAGATTCTGGATATTAGCCCTTTGTCAATATGGGGGATTTCTTTGTGTTTCATTATGTTTGCATAGCTTCATAACGTATCTCATCACTTCCTGGTAATGAATAATTAAGTTTATCTGGGAACTCCTGAAGAGCTGGCTTTAGGGGACAGCTTATAAAGAGGGTGGTGACTGAGGTGAGGCCTGGGTCATCTTTTTTGTTATTGTTGCTGTTGTTGTTGAGATAGGATCTCTGTTGCCCAGGTGAGAGCACAGTGGTGCAATCATAGCTCACTGCAGCCTTGAACTCCTGGGCTCAAGTGATCCTCCCCACTTGAACCTGTAGTGTGCCTGTAGTCCCAGCTACTCAGGATAAGCCCCGACATCCTGAGTATCTGGTGTTATAGGCACATGTCACCATGCCCAGCTAATTTTTAAATTATTTTTTTGTAGAGATGGGGGTCTTGCTATGTTGCCCAGGCTGATCTCAAACTACTGGCCCCAAGCAATTCTCCCACCTCCTCGGTCTTCAAAAGTGTTAGGATTATAGGTGTGAACCACCAGGCCCAACCCCTGGGTCATCTTAACTCAAGTGACTGTTTACAGTTTGGCTATTTTCACTTGGTCGTAGGATAAAATTGAGATTTATCAAAGAGATAGCCACTGTTAGAGGAAGAGTCAGTGCCTCCCTGTACTAGATGTGAGATCGTGTTTTTAAACAGCTGTTCCAGATTTAAATCATACATAGCAATTGAAGTAGTAATTGGCCTATTAAAAACAGCAGTATTTTTATTAAGTGCTATAGGTGTATGTAGCTGTGGATGTAAATGTGGTTTATGTGGTATGCCCTGTACATCAATGAATTTGTGCTTTGGTGTATGAAGCATGTATCACCCCAAACTTATACTTGAAAGATGTCACTTCTGTAGACAAGATTATGGCTATAATTTTATTCTAGCTCTCCTTAATGCTTGAGTCTGAATAAAATTTTAGGCACAGTGTTTTAAAAATCATAAATATAATATATACCATTCAGAGTAGAAGCGAGAAATATGGGATTATAAAAAAATTTAAAAGAACAAAAGAAAGTGAGCAAAGAAACATAGAAATGGTGAGTCAAATACAAAGCACCAAACTAATGTGGGAAAAATAAATCCAAATACATCGGTGATTAAATAGCTATAAATTGAATGGTTTTTCCAGTTAAAAGATTACAATGTTCAGATTGAATTTTTGTAATATCCAGCAATATATTTTTAGAAATGTCCTGTCTAAAACATAAGGATTCAGAAAGGTTGAAAATAAAAGGATCAAGAAAGATGTGCCCAAGGGAAATACTAACTTAAAGCGCTGTTGCTATATTAATATGAGAAAAATAAGACTTTAAGGGAAAAAATTGCCTGCGTAGTGGCTCATGCCTGTAATACCAGCATTTTGGGAGGCCAAGGCAGGCAGATTGCTTGAGCTCAGCGGTTCGAGACCAGCCTGGGCAACATGGTGAAACCCCGTTTCTACCAAAAATACAAAAAATTAGCCAGGCATAGTGGCGCATGCCTGTAATACCAGCTACTCAGGAGGCTGAGGTGGGAGGATCATTTGAACCTGGGAGACGGAGGTTGCGGTGAGCCGAGATTGTGCCATCGCACTCCAGCCTGGGCAACAGAGTAAGACCTGTCTCCAAAAAAATAAAAAATAAAAATAAAGGAAAAAACCTACTAGATGCCACTATATAATAAGAGGTTGAATTTACTAAAAAGCTGTAATAATTCTTATTCACATAATAAAATTGCTTTACAGTATAAAATTCAAAAATTTACCTAATTTTTAAGGAGAAAAATTTTAATCAAATTATCTTAGTAATTGATTGGTTATGCAGACAGACATCTTCATTATATAAACATGTAGAAGAATTTAAAAAGATAGACCTAATTGATATATGGAACTTCACATCCACATTCTTTTCATGGACACTTTGAACATTTATAAGAGTTAAGTATACACAGGACTGTAAAGTATGTCTCAGTAAATTTTAAATGACTAATATTATAAAGTCCAGAGGTTGGCACACTTTTCCTGTAAAAGATTAAAGAGTAAATATTTTAGTCTCCTGGGTCAACTTTGTGGGACTAGTTGCGTACAGTTTCAACTTTGATGTTATGTAAAAGAAAATATAGATAATATATAAACAATTGAGTTTAGTTCTGTTACAATAAAACTTTATTTACAAAAACAGATGATAGGCTAAATTTGGCCTATGAGCCATAGTTGGCTGACCTCTGATAGGGAACATATAACTGGCCTCAGTAATTTTAATGTAGAAATCATTAACAAAATGTAATTAGAAAAAAAATTATTTGGAAGTTAAGAAAAAATATTTTAAAGTAACTCATAGGTCAAGAAATCAAAATTATGTAAAGAATAAAACACTCACTTTCCACAAATTGATGAAGAAAATAAGAAAGCTGCAAGCAGAAATTAATAAAGTGAAAAATGAAGACAGGAAGAATCAACAAAGCCAAAAGCTGGTTCTTTGGACAGACAACCTCTGTCCAAACTTGTCGTTGTTACAGAGGTGCAAATAAACAACAGCTGGATTGAGGAAGAGACTATAATAGCAGATACCGCTGACATTTTTACCATAAGTGGTTATTATATAACAACATAATGCCAATAATTTTGAATATTAAGACAAAATGGACAATTTTCTAAATAACACAACTGATCTAAGCTGAGTTTAGAAGAGAGAACTTAAATAGTTGTAAATTCAAATATGTATATGTATAAGTAGTTTTTAAAATTCCTCAGAAGAACTCCAAGAGCAGATAATTTTACTAGTGACTTCTACCAAGCATTACAGGTGGAAATATTTCTAGTATGTGAACCACAATAATAGAGAAAACAAGAGACTAGTCCCAAACTCCTGTCATGAAGTCAAGCATAAGTAACCTTGTCATCTGTGGTGGCTCCGTGTTGTGTCAGCTTGGTTATGTTGGATCTGTTTCCCTTTTTTGTGTTGTTCCAAGTGAGATTGGAAGAAAAGATAATGTAAGAGTTGGATGGCAGTGTGAGGAAGCTGCAGCTGGGATTCTGAATTTTGCTGTAGGGTACCAGGTGCCGTGGGTGTTTGCACACGTCACTGGTCATTTAGCAACATGCGGAGGTAAAGCTTGTCCTCCTGTCACCGGATCTTCCCCTTTGACCCTTCCGCGTCCCAGGTGTATGTGCAGTTTTGTGGTGAAGGCCACCCTTTTCTCCTTAGGTCATCTACGTCATTGAGGACAAAGATGGTGATAGACAGACACGTTCATGATTTTTTTCCCCATAGCTTCCAGATCACCACTCCATTCTCTCCTATAGGAGAGGAGATATCACTCACCACAAGATTGACATCTGTAGTTTCCCAGCAACCTTTATACAATAAATGAATGACCTTTGGAACAAAGGTTAACTGTTGGATAACAACTGCTCAATTTTTTTTCCAAGATGCTTATGTCAGGCTTACTCTCAGACCTCATCTGCCCTCACTCACTATCACTAGGCCAACAGATTTAGGTACTCATGTTTAAGTAAAGTAGAATAAAAAATAAAATGGAGCAAGAACTGGGCTCAGATATGACTCCTAAAGGTTGTATGAGGGCACGGCCTTGTAAAGAAACCCAAAGCAGCACAGCCTCTGAGAACTGAATAATGGCCCCTTCCAGATGCCTCTTTGCAATGGTGGAAATTTGGCAGTAACAGGTAAAAGAAAACCTTAGGATTTCTCTGTGATGATTTAAGGAGGTTTTATTTTTTTACTTAGTGAGCCCTTAATAGTAATTTTGGAGTAAACATTCATTTTTTTTCTAAGGATGGGAAACTTACACTTTTAAAATGACGTTCAGAAATAAAAAGATTATCACAGACTTTTGTCCTGAGATAAAGGACTTAAAAGTTATATCAACTTAAGTATCATTATTGAAGGCAGTTTGTGAACTGAGTTGCTTTTCAGAAAATAAAAATTATCAACCTGTGTTTGTTAATATTATAGTATTGCTGTTTTTGCGATTATGATATTGCGGTTATAATTATAAAGAATACTCATCGTTTGGAGATAATACTAAAATATTTATGGATGAAATTATATACTGAGATTGGCTTCAAAATAATCCTAGGAGTTTTTGTGGGAAAGTGGGTGAGTTATAGTTGAAACAAGACTAACCGTAAGTTGATAATTGTTGACACTGTGCATGGACGCGCATATATGTTTGAAATTTTTGTAGTAAAAAATGGGGAAAACTGCCAACCCAGATCCAAGTAGGAATATATTTATCCTGATGTTCTTTTTCTGACAATGGAGGAACAATTACTTTTAAGTCCCCAAACTCAGGAATATACCCTCAAAAATCCATATCTGTGGATCACTCATTTGTTAATTTATCTAAATACCACTTCTTGGAAGCAGTGAGCTCTTTAAGTTTGTAATTGGTTGTGTAAGCCAAAAAAGCTAAATTTGTGTCCCCAAGTTTTTAGCTTTAAAAATTGTCAGAAGGTGATCTTGCTTTCTTGTTTTTCAGAATTTCTTGAAAACGTTTACTCACTCTTAACTATGCCTTTCATAATTATGTAGCTTTCTGTCATAATGCCTCTTCGATTTCAACCTTCCAGTTTGAAACATCTATAAGTATTAAGATTTCCCTGCTGCAGAAGTGTCTTCATGTCTTTGATGGTTTCCAGTGCCCTTCTTTGAAACTTTCCAGCTTTAACATCACTTTCCCACTGAGGATTAGTGACCAAACCAGACACAGGTCCCCATGTTTTCAGGGACATTAGCACTGGTTAAAATGGAAATACAATAGTTCCTGGAGATAGAATTGCCTTTGTTTCATATCCTATAAGGTTTAACATTTTATTTTAGTCCCTGTCGGTAGTAACGTTAGACCATCATTCATCTATGGTATATCTTAGATGCTTTTTCTGAGCCATAATAATTCAGAGTCCATTATCTTCTATAGATTACAATTTTTATTAGTTTCCTAGTGTTTTATCTGATACTGGCTCTCTTTAAAACTTCTGTCCACTCATATGGCTTAATGTTCTTCTAGATATCTCGAGATTTCACAGTGCTCTCTTACAGGTACAATCACAGATATCTAGCATTTAAACAATTCTGTCCCTAACGCGTTCACTCACTGTGCATTTCTTTTTATGAATCCATACAGCTGAGCACACAGAACGTACACTGAGCACACTCAATCTATTCACTCTTCTGTTCTTTGTTATTTTCTAGTGAATTAACCATATCATTTTCCTCCAATTCCATGGAGTCATTTTTAAAAATTACTTTTGCTTTTGATCCATTTTTAATTTTTAAAAGAATTAAGTATTGATAGGTTCTCCTTAGTCCACCTTCAGTGCAGCACATCTCCCAGTTCAGTAAGTGTGAGTTATACTCAAATCCAATGGCTTCTTTTTTCCCCACTGCCCTGGAAATTTGTTTACTACCATCGAGGACTACAGAAAGCCTTCTTAAAGCATTCTAGAAAATTCCATATTCAAATTACTCTTTAACAACTCTTTTAGTGCCCACGGCTTAAGAGGTCCAGTACTTAGACCTGTGCAATAACAGCTGTATAGACTCAGTCTCTGTGATCAGAGTGCACAACTAAGTGGGGGAGACACAGAGAAATAGATCATTATAATATACGGTGTCTAAAATTGTTTTCAGAACAAAAATTGTCACAGTACTTATGATAAAACAAAAATTGTCACAATACTTATGATAAAACTTCCTACATTTATTCTGTAGGAATATTATTATGCATTATTATGCATTCTGTAGGAATATGCATTATTCAAAAGCATAAAGCTTTTGTTGTTACAGAATAATAAGTATAAGCTTCAAATTGAAATTTCTTTTAATTAATTTAATTTTAAACAAAAATTAAAATTTACTTTTACTGTATGGTTTGTGTAGATTACCGTACTCCCCTTATAAGTACAAACCAGGCGACAAAGAGCCAGTGGTGAATGACAATTGCTTCATGTAAATATGCTGGACTGAATAGGCCCCTTCAGTCTTTTCTAACTTCACCTAGGAATGTGCCACCCATACAAATAGCCTGGGCCAAGCTGGCTCTGAGTTTCAGTTTCATTGGGAATATCTAGCCTCTTCTGTGGTAATATAATATGTCTACAGCTCACGCACTCTCTTACCTTTTGTGTGTTAGTCATAGAATCTGGTCTTATCCAAGCTCCTCATTTTATAGAGAAGGAAACTATGGTGTCATTAAGCTACTCGCTCCAGGTCACACAAACAGCTGGTAGGATTAGAACTTAATTGAAGATAAGGAAAAGATATGTGTGGTATTCATTAGCGATAACTTGAGGTAAACACTGGCAGTGTAATATGGCAGCAAATGTCCATAGGGTAGTGCATAGGACAGAATTATAGTCATAATTTTTTTTTCTCTTACTTGGCTTGTTACATGAAGACAATAACCCCAGTAATACTTTTTTCCTTTTATATACTAGCAGAAGGTAGAGCCTTAAAAATACTGATGAAAAAAAGATAGATAACAGAATCTGTCACCATATTTCAGCAAGACAGATTTCAGTATGTTAATACTCTGTAACGTGATCACCAGCTCAGTTAATCCTTGGAGTCCTATCATAGTTCGGTCGCTGCTCTTGATTCCATCATAGACTCTGTGCCTTTTTCAACTTTATAGGCCAGTAAAAAATACCAGGCACATGTTTGGTTTTTCCTCTCATCCTGCCAACTACCCTTTCCTCTGCCTTTTAGGGTGAAAAATCTCAGCTGTACTTAAATTGACTGCTGACGTCTTTTGATTTAGAGATGACCTCTAGAAAAATCACAATAGTGAGCTGTGCCTATATAAATAAGAGGACTGTGATTTTGTATTGAAGCCAATTCTAAACTTAGATCCTTGCAAAATGAAAACATGAGCTGGCTACCAGCTGACCGTAATGCACTTTTTTTTTTTTTTTTTTTTTGAGACGGAGTCTCCTTCTGTCGCCCAGGCTGGAGTGCAGTGGTACAATCTCTGCCTCCCGGGTTCAAGTGATTCTCCCGCCTCAGCCTTCTGAGTAGCTGGGACTACAGGCGCCCCGTCCCTATGTCCAGCTAATTTTTGTATTTTTAGTAAAGACGGGGTTTCACCACGTTGGCCAGGCTGGTCTCTAACCCCTGACCTCAGGTGATCTGCCTGCCTCGGCCTCCCAAGGTGCTGGGATTACAGGCGTGAGCCACCACGCCCAGCCCTAAGGCACATCTCATACTTACTCCTGAGGATGAAGGAGAAAGGCTAACCTAGTCACTGATCACTACTGAGCTTTCTGGCTGCAATATTCTGTCTGCAGTCATTATCAACAGGCAATTTTACATTTGATTGATTTGTAGGTTCTTTAAATAGGCTTTTATCTTTTAACGATAGAGCTCATTTCTATTCTGTTTCGACTAGGAAAAGCAATTATACCCACTTTTTACTTTCTATATCACACAAATAGTTAAAGACTTCCGGCTGCAGCATGTCTCTGCTTTAAAAATAGAAAATGCTCCAGCATTTCTGGCCCATCCTCCACATTGCACCTACCAGCCCTGATCCAAGTGTTTCTGAATAGAGTTCAATGTTGAAGACATCTCAAGTTAGCACACAGGAACCTTTGTGAAAGTCTGAAGGGAAGGAAAAAATAGTTAGAAATCCAGACGCTGATATTTCTTCTTGCTAGAGCATTTGCACTTATGACACCTGGTTGTCACAGACAAAAAACGTCAACCAAACTATGTCCGCAGATATTGCTGTTGAAATGAACTGCATTAAGCAGGTCCTCACGAAAAGAAGGCTAGTGAGTATAGAGGAATGTTCTTCTAAACGAAAAGCTAGCTGGGGTATTCTGACCAGTCAAGGTTAGTATAGCAGCCATTTCAAATCTGTCAGTGTCCTGAAATAAACCACATTGGCCTGTTTTTGCAAATACTAACTTTAAACTGCGGGTGCTTTCCAGAATGCGGATTGAAATGCACATGTATGGCATGGCAAAGGACTGCTCTGTATTCTTGCCTTTTCGTGTATGGAAACTGCATCGGCTGACTCATTTTTGTGACTGTATATTAAACATGACTGCAAACTCTTAGACTCTGGTTTGTTTACCTTTCTGTTTCAGCAGGTGTTTCTAAGTTGGTATGGAAACAAGGAAAGATGCTATTAAGCAGGAAAAGACTGTTTACAGGCAATATGGAAATTTTAAATCATGTAAATTAGACATCAAGTAGGAGGATGATTTAGGCAAGAAAATGAGTAGAGCAACTTCCTAAAAGTGTTCTGACACGAAGTCATTAATTATAATGATAGAAAACTATGAAAGATAGAAAGGAGAATGAGCACAGTACCAAAGAGGAGGAATTATTTTTAAAAAGGAATATCCATACATTTGCATAAGTTTTAGTAGAACACCAGTATGATAGATGATAAATTTAAGGGTCGAAAATGCAGATTCAGAGAGAAAATGACTCTTGCCCCCCAAGATTGTAAGAGTTATATTTACTATGTAATAGCTGGAGCTTGAAGAATGTTATTATAAATGATTATGTTTTTCAAACATACAAAGCATATTTTCAAATAGGCTAAAACACTATAATTTCTTTCAAAGTTTGAGAAAGCAACTGGATCCCTACTCCCCACCCCAATACACATTTCCTTTTTGTTACTTTTCAACAACATAATTAACAACAAAATTGAGAAATATACCAGCAAGGAAAAAAGTGGTTGACTACAAAGAAGACAATTCAACAATTCAACAAATGCCTATCCAGTGTTGACTGCGTGCTAGACACTGTGCTAGAGGCGGGGAGCAGCAATAAGTAGTCTCATCATTTCATGGTCCTTAAAGTCCAGAAGGAATGCAATTATTAAAGAAATAAAGACAATCCTGTCATTTCTTAAATGAAGGGTAAGTTACCTAACTATGCACTAAACCGCAGGCATTAGCAACATAATAGAACTGTGTCAATGGCAAAAATTAAAAAAAAAAAATTAAGTAAACTAATTCACCTGGATGAGTCTCACATATCTTCAATGCAGATAGAGACTCTAAAGGAAGTTGAAAATAAGCTATCGTTTTATGTCAAAAATCTAATTTTCTATACAATTTTTTTTCGACATGCCTTAAATATACTGAAAATATAGAGCCAGGCCCAGTGGCACATACCTGTTATTCCAGTGACTCAGAAGGCTGAGGCAGGAGGATTGCTTGAGCCTGATTTGAAGGCTGCAGTGAGCGATGTTCAGAACATCACTGCCCTCCAGTCTGGATGACAGAGCAAGATTCTGTCTCTGAAAAAAAGGAGAAGAAAAAATATATAATAAAAAAAATGCCCCCATGCTATGATTTAAAATAAAAAAAAAAAAGACAAGTCTTAGCAAACTTTCACTAGATTTAGCTTTACATTTTCCCAGTGCTGTTAATGAGAATGTAAATAGGATCAGTCTTGCTGGAGGTAATTTGATGGTATGTGTCAAAATTTTAGGAATTTACCCTAAGCAGATAATTATTCACAAAGATAAGTAATAATATTTGATTTCCCAAAACTAAAAGCCACCTAAACATCATTTGATAGATAATTAAATAAATAAATACACACATAATGCTCTAGCTATATGATTAAATACATATCAATATATCATAATCACTTGTGGTAGAACTATATTTTTTCACATAGAACAATGACCATGAGATATCTTAAATGAAAACAAATCAGTTAAAAACCTTACAAACACTATGATTGTATCTTGATTAAAAAATGTGTGTTTCTAGAAAAAAGTTGGAAAGATACACCCTAAAATGTTTATAATGGTTGTACTTAGAAATAAGCACTATGATTTCTTGTGTATGTCAAATTTCACTTATTTAATGTACAACTTTTATAATCAATAAGGTATTATAGTTAATAGTACTGTATTGCTGTGTTTTGCTACTATTTCAAATATACTATTATTATATGAAAATGTAGAAAACACAATTCCACAATTCTTCCTTTTATTGAAGTAACTCTTCATTTGTCTAGTCTGTTAGTTACATTTATTATGGACTCATTATGGAATAACAGTCCACCAAGTGCCCTATGAGTTCTAGGGTTGAAAAGAATATTGTACCCTAAAATTTCAACTGGACATTCAAAAGAACGGAGTTTGCTTCCTGGCTTTGTCAGTTATTGTTTATAACTTGAGGCAAGTTATTTAATTCCCCTAAGTCCTAATGCAATGGAAATCATAACATTGACTTTCTTAAGAACACACTTTGTGTTAGACACTTCTCATGTCCATGTAACCCTTAGAACAACTAGAATATGTAAGTATGATTGCCCCCATTTTATAGTGAGGAAACTGAAACTTAGCAGTGTAAAAAACAGAGTGAGCCAATATGTGATAGAGTCAGGAGTCCAATTCGGATATGCCTCCTTTCACAGCCCTTGATTTTAACCCCATTACAAAGCTCCATACGGCTGCTCAGACAAGGTTCTAATGAAGCTGGGTGTGATCATGTGACTTTGAGCACTCATTCATGCAACAAACATTCACTGATGTGCTAGGTATTGAGGATATGGTAATGAATGAAATCAACTGAGTCTCGCTTTCTAAGGTCTAGCATTCTAGTAATAAGTGCTGAGAAGAAAAGTAGAGCAGGGAAAGGAGACAAAGCATGAATGTTGGGGAAGGGACAGGGAGGATTTTTTAATAGAAGGTTGTCAAGAAGGCCTCTCTGATAAGGTGATATTTCAGAGAGCACTAAAGTCAGAGAACAAGTGATGTGGGTCTCAGAAAGGAGTACTTCAGAAAGAGCAAACAGAAGGTTGTGTAAGGAAAAGCAAGGAGGCCAGTATGTCTGGATGAGGATGATGGGCCTAGGAAAAAGTGGGTAGAACCCGAGATCAGAGCCTGGAGAGTTCATAGGTCATGACAAAGACTTCGGATTTTATTCCAGGTGTGAAGGGAAGCCATGGGATTCTTTCTAACTTCCAAAGGATTGCTTTGGCTCCCATGTTTAGTACAGACTACTGGAAGGGCATGGGCAGAAACACACTGACTAGTTAGGAGACTTTTGCAATACATCAGATGAGAATAATGGTGGCTTGGACTAGGGTATAGTGGTGGAGGCTGAGATACAAAGTTTGGATACATTTAAATGATAGAGGCAAAATGACTTCCTGGTGTGCGCCTGGTGGGTGTGAGAAACAGAAACTAAGGATTATGCAGAGGGTTTTGGCCTTGAAGCACCTGGATGAGTGCAGTTGCCATTTGCGGATCGGGAGAAGTTAGGAGTAAGGAATCAAGGGTTCGGTTTGGGACATGTTAAGTTGTATTACCTATTTAGATATTCAAGTGGAGAAGTTGAACAGCCAAACCTAAAATTGGGGTAATCAATATGTGGATAATATTTATGTTCATGGCACTAGAAGGGAGCTCCTCAAGAGTTAATGTAGATAGATGCAAAGACTGAGCTTGGATGATGAGGACTCAAGGTGGGAAAAGAAACTACCGCAACAATGGAAAAAAACACTGGGCCAAAAACAACTGACTCCTTTCAAAGAAGCACACGAAACACTCAATATATAAAGTTTCCTTGACAATTATTGCGGTTAAATTTGAGACCATATTATCATTACCAGGTGATGGAGGGAAATGGTAACACTGTTTAAACCAATAGAGAAATGAAAAAAGACTAGCTAATCTTAAGAGAAAGATGCTGGCTTTTAGAAATGGATTGAGATGCCAGGAAAATATCTAGGTGAATCCCCAGAAGTAAATTTTAACATGTGGCGCTGAAATTTGTGGGAGAGATCAGCGTGGGAGCTATGTAGATTAGAGTAATCCATATGCATGTAATAATTGTTACTAAATTTTGACAATATCTATTTTTGTCTCCTACAGATATATAGCCAAGAGGAATAAGATGAGATAAAGCATCTTTATCTTAAATAAGTTATCCTTCCTTCTGTTTAGAAGATGTAGTTAAAAGCTGATGGGGAAGATATATGAAAGTAATTGTTTAAAATGAAATTTGGGTTGTATTTGTGATGTTTCAAATGCATTTAGTACTGTGCTAAGTACTTTACATTCATTACAATTCAGTGAGGCAGGTAGACTCATCCTTGTTTTTACAGTTGAGAAAACTGGGTTTCAAGATGTTAACTGCCAAAGGTCACATAACTAGTAAATATCTATGCTGGAATTTGAACTCAGGTCTATCTTATAGTTAAATCCAGCATGCTCTATCCATGGCACCAGTGATCAGTAATAGTTAATTGAGATAGCTGATAGCTTGAAAATTATTGTGCTTAAATTTGAGACCATATGATTATTACCAGGTGATGGAGGGAAATGGTAACACTGTTTAAACCAATAGAGAAGTGAAAAAGGAATAGCTAGTCTTAAGAGAAAGATGTTGGCTTTTAGAAATGCATTGAGATGCCAGACATTATTTCCCTTGAAACCATGTTTCAAGGATTTCTGTGGCTCTGTGGTTGTCTGAAAGTATACAATAAAGGCTAGTAAATGCCTGGTGATTTTTAATTTGCTTATAAACTTGTGAGTAGAGATGGGCTACATGTTGTCAAGTCTGAAGCTTATACTGTATACACTTTGGGGGCTCCTTTAAGAAAAGTAACATGAAATTAGGGACAGAGTCTTAGAAGGGGAGTCTGTGCAGGTTAAGGGTTTCACTGGCTTCATGGTAAATCCACCTCCATTGTGAAGACGATTGTTGGTTTAATATTTTACAGGGGCCAGGCTCGGTGGCTCACATCTATTCCAGCACTTTGGGAGGCCGAGGCGGGTGGATCATCTGAGGTCAGGAGTTGGAGACCAGCCTGACTAACATGGTGAAACCCCCATCTTTACTAAAAATACAAAAATCAGATGGGTGTGTTGGCACATGTCTGTAATCCTAGCTACTTGGGTGGCTGAGGCAGGGGAATCACTGGAACCTGGGAGGTGGAGGTTGCAGTGAGCCGAGATCGCACCATTGCACTACAGCCTGGGTGACAAGAGCAAAACTCCAACTCAAAAAAAAAAAGTATATATATATATATATAAAATAGGTAAGAGATCTGAAAAAGGTATTGCCATTTTTTACTGAAATGAACATGTTATATGAAATGTCATTGCTTATTCCCTCTCCTTATAATTAATTCCCTAATTTTCCTATTTTGAGAACACTGAGGAAGAGCAGGTGTGGCTAAACTCTGCACCATTGCTAAGCTAGCTCTCTATTGAGTCCACATCCTGCTTCTGCTGATGGGATGTTCTAAGATTGGGAGCAGGTAAAGACTTTTTTGTTTATTTGTTTTGTTTTGTTTTGAGACAGAGTCTCACTCTGTTGCCCAAGCTGGAGTGCAGTATTGGGAACACAGCTCACTGCAGCCTCAAACTCGGGCTCTAGCGATCTTCTCATCTCAGGACTTCCCTAGTAGCTGGCATTTACAGGGGCATGCCACCATGCCCAGATAATTTTTTTTAATTTACATTTTTTTTTTTTTTTTTTTGCAGAGACAAGTTCTCACTATGTTGCCCAGGCTGATCTCAAACTCCTGGGCTCAAATGATCCTTCAGCCTCAGCCTCCAGAGCAGCTGGGGTTACAGGCATAAGCCACCCACCCCCGGCCACAAAGACATTTATAACAATAATATGGTTTTTCCATGGCCATGGACAGAGGTCTAATTGTAGTGCTTTTATTTCAATTCAGGGCACATACTGTAAGGAGAAAAAAATAAGTTAGGACCAGCAGTTTCTCAAATAAAGAGGAGTGATCAATAAGAAAAAGCAATTTTGGAAATAAATCACCTTTTCAAAAGCTGTTTTTCTTTTTGGAGGCCGACGGTCATATTACAAGGAGCTTGGAGCTCCTTAAAATGGCCGAACAGAACTGGCAAATGACAAGTGATTTTTTCTTTTCTTGCTGATAAAAAAAAAAAAAAATTATGAGTCGGATTTACCTCGACAGTGGCTGGTGTGAAGTGCCGTGGGGAGATGGTGATTTAGGTATGGTATCAAACCTTACAAAATCGCATAGATATAAAAATGTGAGTGTTTTTCTCTAGCAATGTGGTGTTTACAAAACAGGGCAGGCTCTCTCCCTGTAAATTATATACCAGATGTCTGGGAACAAGAGTTGCTTCTAAATATAGGCAGAGCCACCTCCTGTGTAGCTACAGAGAGAGAATAACTAGGAATTTGATTAGCATGGTGAAAGTTACAGACACTTTGTAAAACAATTTCACACTGAATAATTTATCCTAAAGAGTTAAATTACACATTTTTTAAAGTAAGGGTTGCATTGCTTTTATCTTAGACACTCAATGAAAGTCTAACACAATTATAAAATTACTAAGTAGTTGCACATAAAGATATTTATATCTTGTTTGGTCTTGAGATGGCTCGTAAATCTCTCTGATATAAAGCATATTGATATTGAAAGATAAGATATTTAATATTAAATATGTTTGAATAGAAATACGTAGTTGCTAAATTTCGGATTTTGAAGGGGAAGAACAAGGTGTGAAAACTTAGTTCATACAGAAATTGGAATGTGATATACATTGTAGTATCCTTTGATTCTCATATGTTATTAGATTAATTACATAAATTCTTCTAAGGGATTACAAGAAAATAAATAACAGGGACATAAATACAGAGTTCAAAACAAATAAAAAGATTCTTTTTCATTGAGTGGTATACATGTTCTAGAAATTACTTCTTTAATAGATTGATAGAGCTTCATTTCTTATTTCAGAAAGAAAAAATATAACAGCAGTTGTTGGTTGCTGGCTTATATATATTTATAAATCACTCAATTGTTTTATGTCATTTAATTAAGGTGACAGCACACAAAAATATTTTAGTCAATAAATGATGTTGTTTATTACTTTAGTTTCCCTATCTTGGGGGAAAAGATTGTTCCCTAAAACTCATCTTAAAATCTCCCCCATTTACCAGCTTATGTTTAGCCAATAATGCTAGTTATTATTTATTGTGCATTTAGAGAGCAGGCACTTAACATTCTCATTTCTAATCCTCCCTCAATCCTGCTTCATGGATTGTGCTTTTCTCATTTGATGAGGAAACAAAACCTCAGGGAGGTTAGATGACTTTATAAAGGCCACTGTCCTGAGCTGGGGTGCCAATCCAGGCCTGCCCAGCCCCTCAGCTTTTTTCCTACACCCGATCCCATTTCTCACTTCCTCCTGCTCTCTATTTTCTTCTCCTCCTTCTGCTCTCCACTCCCACCCCCTTCTTCAAGGAATAGTGAGAGATTGCAAGGCCCTTTGCAGGCGAGCAGAGCTCAGTTCATGAAATGATAGCATGTGCCTTGTTCCTGCAAGATGGGCCAAGGGCTCCCTCATCCAACATTCAAAACTCGTTTCTGAGAATGACAATGACATTAAACTTTTTCATGCCAAAGGAGGTCCTATTAATAGAAATAATAGCAAGTGCACATACGTAATATCTGGCTTCAGTTTTTTTTTTTCCTGTCCCCATCTTGATGGACTTAAGTTTGGATGATAAAGAAAATGGCAGTGGGGACAGAAAGCTAAGCGACAGCCTGGGGGGAAACAGGGGGATGCGATTTGGATACTTATGTTTCTTTATTTTGTCCCTTATGTGGCCTGCTTTCTAAATAATCCTGTCCTTCTCTCTCTCTCTCAACCCTAGCAAGTAATGCTGAAATTGTTCAGAAGACTAATACAATCATTTTGATGAACAAACACATTAGTATGCAAGGGAGAAGAGCTGGCTGGAAGGAATATCAAGTACCCTTCAGCTACAAATATTGTTAGCTTTACTTCCCCTTAAAGGTCATCATGGTATACTAGAAAGGAATGAGTCCAGAATGAATCCCAAAGGCCACGTCTCTAGGCCTTTACATTCCCAACAACATCTGGTTAATTTTCCTGTTAACTAGTGACAATGGAAAAATAGGCAGGGATAATGGGTCGGCATCATATAGTTCAGCACCTGTGTTTAAGAGATAAATTAAGGATAATGAAATATACTATTATACAAGAGGGAAACTGATCATTATAAATATTATAAGTGGTTATTTAAATTTAAACACATTTAGGCATTGATTACTAAAATTTTTATTAATTTATTATTGCTTTGCTGATTGAACTGAACAAAGTGGCTTCACATATGCAATCTGTTTGCAAAGTTAGTATTATAATTTTCATATTTTCTTAAATATTTAAGTGTTCACAAAAAATTGATATATGTTGTGAAGTTCTGCAGAATTTCATTCTGCAATCATGTTGTTTAATGATCATACAAACAGATGCCTGTGATTTTTAAAGCATCAGATTTCATCTTAGAAGCCGGAACTGGCAAAATGCTTTCCCCAAAAGAACATTATTTATGATGATAACGTTTGCATATTACCTAATGATAACACAATGTTCCAATTTCCTATAAGTTATGACCTTGCCACCAATTTTTGTCCTACCAAAAAATATTTGCTGGTGTGCATTATTGCAATTCTGCCTTGAATATATAATAGAACTGTCACACAGTAGAAAGAAGTAATACATAAAAGCTAATCACAGTAACTTGTTGCAAATGAAAACTCAAAAGAATTATGTGTCTGGCTTACTAATTTTTCTAGATAAGCAAGAAATAACACTAGATGGAAACTTATATCTGTTATTGAGAGAGAAAGTATACATTAGTCTTCTTTTGGGAGTTGTAATGTCTTTAATTGTAAACCTCAATTATCGTTATTCTGTAATTCAAGATAAACACCCATGCAAGAAACTGGCTGGGAGTTCTATCATTTCAGGGACGTATTCAAGGAATTGCTTTTCTTCTTATAAATATGTGATAAGACTTAACTGTCATTGTCTTTTTTTCTCTCGACATCAGGGAGCAGAAGAAATTTGCTGAAAGGGAATCAGAATGAAACAGACTATATATTAAAATAGTAAGAGATGATTAATAAAGACTGTGTAGACAATAGAAATTCCCTGACTATCTAAGAAACAGAACCCAATATGAGAAAAGTACTTTTAATTTTCATCCCACTAAATTAAAAAGATCTTGCTAAAACTTCGAATCATAGTTAGCCTTTGCCTCCCTAATTTGTTTACTTACAATTTAGCATGGATTACAACATTCCTGCACTATTGCTATAGTATCTTGTTGCAGTAAACTTTATCTTGTCAAGCAACAGCCTACTTTTGCCGAGAATAAAATGAAATAAAACTTCTCTTTAGACTGAAGGGTTTTATTTTGGAGGGGGTGTTAGAAGGAAAAATACAGTAATGAAATCAATGACAGGAACAAAATGTCCCAGAGAGATGTATGCTGTTACCACTGGCTAAAATGTTTCACAGACTCTGTGCATGAGAGAGAGTGTGTGTGTATTGAGAGATAGGATTGCTATCTCTCAACAAGTGAAAAGTGTTGTCACTGCAGGTAGGAGGCTGCAGTTTGAATTTTACATCCACCCCTTTCTAGCTGTGTGACCTTAGGCAAGTTATTTAACTTCTGCATGTCTCAGTTTCCTCACCTGGAAAACAGAGATAATAATAGCGCCAACCTCAAAGGATCAGGGTGAGGATAAAACAAGTAAATTTATGCCCAGCAACCAGGGCAGGACATGGGCATATGGTGAGGACTGTGTAAGCGTTCTCTGCTTTTATTTAGGCAATCAGGTTATCATTAAATAAGTTGGTTTTTCTCAATGTTAAGATTGTTGTTACTCCAGCCTGGTGCAGAGGGCAGAAGTCATTTACCAGTCATCAATCCCTTTGTATCTGGTAATATTACAGAATTTTCTCAGAAATACAAATCCTAAGGGAAAGCAGGCAGAGTCTCTCTTCTCTCTGTTGACTTACAAGTAATGGTAATAGCAGGTAATGTTGAATGGTGTTTACTATGTGTGTACACTAGTCTAAGCACAATGTATACTATCTGATTTAGTTTCTCATATCTCCTTGAGGTATATACAATTATTATTTCCATCCTCAACTAGAGGAAATGAAATCTAGATGAAATGTAATGATTTAGAGAGTCATATGGTCTAACTCCAGAGCTGATGCTCCTAGCCCTGACTGCCATGACCACTCATTGTCTTCTTTGTTTTGCCTTTTGGTTTATGCAGAGTGATTTTACTGCAGGGGAGATAACTAGCTGTCTTGGAAGTCTTTCCTTACCACAATGGTGATACCCGTTTTATAGCAACAGGCAATAGAATGCTTAAGCACTAGGACACTGTTGAGTCATTCAGGAGAGCTTGGGTGCAGAAGCAGGGCTCATGCTTCACTTCAGACGCGGGGCTCAGCTACTTGCCCTCCATGGCAACATGTTGCAGCCCCTACACCGCAGAGCCCAGGCAAGCTGGGGTGGGGGGACCACAGGAAATAGCAGAAGGAGCTGGGAGTGTGGCGAGGTGGGCATTCAAGCTGCTATTCCTGCTAAAGGGACAAAACAAAATTGAGAGGAGGGGTTCAATGTGAAAAAACATGAAACAGAACTTTTTTGTGGCTGATCTGGTGGCCTTAATTCTCTTTTTCTCTGTCAGGTGTATTAGTCAGGGTTCTCCAGAGAGACAGAACCAATAGCTGATAAATAGATAGATACCTAGATACATAGACAGAGAAAGACGCAGCTATATGAGAGGAGATTAGGGGAATTGGCTCACATGACTATGGAGGCTGAGAAGTCCCTCAACAGGCTGTCTGCAAGCTGGAGACCCTGGGATGAGGTAGCGTGGCTCAGTCCAAGTACAAAAGCCTCAGAACCAGGAAAGCCAATATAATTCTCAGTCAGAGGTCAAAGGCCTGAGAATCCAGGGGACCACTGAAGTCCTAGAGTCTCAAGGTCAGAGAAAGCCTGGAGTTCTGATGTCCAAGGGCAGGAGGAGGAGAGTGTCCCAACTCGAGGAGAGTGTTCCAACACCAGGAGAGGTTTTTTTGTTCTCTCCAGGCCCCCAGCCATATGATGGTGCCCATCCATACTGCAAGCAGCTCTCTCTACTCAGCCACCTACTCACAAGACAATCTCCTCTGGAAACACCCTCACAGACACACTCATAAGCAATGCTTTACCCATTCTCTAGGTGTTCTTTAATTCAGTCAGGTTGACACCTGAAATTTACCATCACTAATCCATCCCTTGTCAACGTGGCACCTATATGCATCTTCTTAAGCTATACTTAATCTCCAAAATAAATGCAGCAACAAGGTAATGGTTGGAAGAAAAATGTTGCTAGTGAGTCACTAGGGTTAATAGTGAGTGCAGATAATTCAAAAGGCATAGTAAGCCGGGGGCAGTGGCTCACGCCTGTAATCCCAGCACTTTGGGAGACCAAGGCAGGTGGATCACTTGAGGTCAGGACTTCAAGACCAGCCTGGCCAACATGGTGAAACCCTGTCTCTACTAAAAATACAAAAATGATCCGGGCGTGGTGGTGTGCGCCTGTAGTCCCTGCTACTCGAGAAACTGAGGCGGGATAATCTCTTGACATGGGAGACAGAGGTTGTACTGAGCTGAGATCATGCCACTGCACTCCAGCCTGGGCAACAGGGCGAGACTCCATCTATTAAATAAAATAAAAAATTTAAAAAGGCACAGTAAGTCTGGGGTGGGTCAATTCCAGAGCATGCATCATGGCTCATGTTGGGAACTGCCTATCTGGTTCCTGCAATAAGAGTCAAATTTCCTAATGTACAGTATAAGTATCTGGCTCACCCTGTTGAACACTGAGTGTGAATAATTTATGTGATCTTGGTATTGATTGTGTCTACTGGGATTCACTTTGACTCTTGGATTTTTGTTTTCTTTTCTTTCTTTTTTTCTTTTTTGACAGGTTCCTGGGCAGATCGATCACCACTACATGAAGCAGCAAGTCAAGGTCGCCTTCTTGCTCTGAGAACATTATTATCACAGGTAATATATTACATATAGTTTAAAATATACCCCCTTTCCATGTGCACAGAACATGGTCAAAACCAATCAATGCAAATATGATAAAACCACTTACATTTTACTTCTGCCCTTTTATTTTAACTCATGTCAGAGAAGTCAATAGTTTCTCACTTATCTTTGAAACTTCTTTTATAAATATTTTGATATAATTGTATGTCTTAGTATTTCAGATTTCTCAGACAGCATATTTGTTCATCGATAGACATTTAAAGAAGTAATGATTGGATTTATGTGTTATTGATTGAGCTTTCTAAATATGCTTAACTCTGCACAATATGTGCAGCTAATTACAGACTTAGTTCAATAATAACATATCCAAAAAGAAGTCACCAGTTCAGATGCCAAAGCAATCTTTTTTAACATTGTGGTGATCTGTAATATGCTATGGGCAATTGCCTAACAAAGCTACAGGACAATCATTTCTATATTTGCCTGTTCATCAGACTCACCAGAGGAAAAATAAAAAACACAAATCCTTATTGAAACAGAAAACACTTTGGCTTGGGTATTTTTTTTTTTGAAGCTTCTGATGTAATTCAAATGCACAGCTAGGCTGGCACAATGGCTCACGCTTGTGATTCCAGCACTTTGGGAGGCGGAGGCAGGTGGATCACCTGAGGTCAGGAGTTCGAGACCAGCCTGGCCAACATGGTGAAACTCCATCTCTACTACAAATTAAAAAAAAAATAGCTGGGCACAGTGGCTCACGCCTGTAATTCCAACACTTTGGGAGGCGGAGGCATGTGGATCACCTGAGGTCAGGAGTTTGAGACCAGCCTGGCCAACGTGGTGAAACCCCATCTCTACTAAAACTACAAAAATGATCCGGGCATGGTGGCTTGCACCTGTAGTCCCAGCTACTTGGGAGGCTGAGGCAGGAGAATCAATTGAACCTGGGAGGCAGAGGTTGCCGTGAGCCAAGTTCACGCCATTGCACTCCAGCCTAGGCGACAGAGCAAGTGAGACTCCCTCTCAAAAAAAAAAAAAAAAAAAAAAAAAAATCAAATGCACATCCAGATCTGGAAGTCATGCGCTACTGTTTCCCAGTCTCAAGGAGAAAGAACATTCTCAGATGGCTACGAAGAAAGGAAAGGTCATGTTGCCCAATTTAAAAAGCATTGCCTGGGTCTCAAGACCTGGATCCTAGGCTGGCACTTGAGGTGAATCACAACCTACCTGAGCCTCCTTTTCTCATCTGTAGAGTGAGACACTTCCTTAGGGCCTTCCAGTTCTGTGATAACCATGTGACTGTTTTGTTTTGTTCATCACTTGATGGGAGGAAAATAAACACTAAAAAGGGGTCAACAAATTCTAAAGGGTAATTCCTCAGAAAGGGCCGTGTGGTTCTTTGAAGAAGAGCAGTCTTAGGACATTTTTCAGTGTGTGTCTCTAATCCACTGACAGTTCAGCCAAGAATCATGAGAGGCTGTCCCCAGAGCCCGATGTGAAAGGGAGTCTTGGCCTTCTCAGGTGCTTCTGACATCTGGTCCCTCTAGTGTGTGGCAGTGTGGGATTAGCTTCCCAGGTCTGACTGCTGGCTAGCCAACTCAAAATCTTTGAAAGGATTATGTTTTCTTGCCTTCATTTAAAAATTCTTCATGTCTATATTGGTGTTACAGATTTTGGTGATCTGTAATATGTTATGAAGATTTGGCTTTGAGGTTCTTCCTGTTACAGTGCTTAGTATGATTGTCAATAGACAATGAAATACCAAAGATATCAAGAAGGCAAACAATCTCACATCCTAATAGTATTTAATTATTTTAGTGTGATATTTTGAGTTTGATTGGAATACAGTGAAAAAGTGTTTACTTAGTTTTGATTGAATAATTACAATAAAATGATGTCTTCATATGCTGGGCATTATAATGATAATTGCTTTACATGCATGATCTCATTTAATTGTCATGATAATCTTCAAATTTAGAGGTTAAGGTATTTGTCCAAATTAAAACTATTCGTGATGGAGCCACACTTCAAACCCAAGTCTAATTGATTTTATAGTCAGAATTCTTAACCACTAGTGCACAACTTCATCATACCTATTTAGGGACAAAAGTTCACAAAACTGTTTACTATAGTTTAGAGTATTTTTCTCCCATTCTTGGCTGACCTATAATTTTATAGCCTCAATCAAAACAAGTTGGCCGGGCGCGGTGGCTCACACCTGTAATTCCAGCACTTTGGGAGGCCAAGGTGGGTGGATCACGAGGTCAGGAGATCAAGACCATCCTGGCTAACACAGTGCAACCCCGTGTCTACTAAAAATACAAAAAAATTAGCCCGGCCTTGTGGTGGGCGCCTGTAGTCCCAGCTACTCGGGAGGCTGAGGCAGGAGAATGGCATGAACCCGGGAGGCGGAGCTTGCAGTGAGCCGAGATTGCGCCACTGCACTCCAGCTTGGGTGACAGAGTGAGGCTCCATCTCAAAACAAAAACAAAAACAAAACAACAAGTCTTTAGTTCTACAAAACGAGTGTTTAGTTCTACAGAACAAAGTACAAAATAAGGATAAAAAAATATTAAGAAAGCAACATTTAAAGAAAATGTGCCAGAATCTATTGAACCAAATACTTAAGGCATTATTGGGTCCAGACATGAGGGTGCCACAATAATAGGGCTAAGGAGTCTGAACAACGGATTGACCCTATGGCATTTGAACTGGCCTATCCTGCTAAACTGGAAACTCGTTTGCCTGAGATTCTTTGATGTCTAAAATATATCACTCTCTAGTGACATCCATATAGATGATTTTTTAAGTATATAACTCTTTGCTCACCTTTCAAAATTATGCCACATTTAGGGTTATAATGTAAATGCAGTAACCTTAGACCATGTCACCCCATTGCACGAAGCCTGCCTTGGAGATCACGTGGCATGTGCCAGAACTCTGCTGGAAGCAGGAGCTAATGTAAGTACCTTTCAAAACATTAATCATTTAACATCTACTGACGGAGGGAATCCAACAGAGTTCTCATTTTACTTTTCTTTCCTTCATTCTCGGTAGTTTTCAAAAATAGCAGAATAAAAATAAAGCTCTTGAATTCCTTAGTCTTCTTATTGCACTCTAAAAAGGATTTCCAATCATTGCATAAATGGGTAGCATGCTGCATCATAATATAGACTATTCTGTAGGTTATTTCCTGCTTTCATGACTGTAAATAGCAATCGATGAACATCTTTAGGTCTATAACGTTTGCCCATCTTTTGGATGATTTTCCTTAAATAAAGTCTCAGAAATAGAACTACCAATTTTACCACTTTAAACTAGCAATGTGGCTTCATTACAACTTCATCATCATTACACTTTTTTCTTCATTTTTACTCTTACTGAAAAGTATCTAATCATTGAATTAGATCTTATTTGCCATTTGAGCATGCATTTTTTCATGATTTCCACTAGTTTTATGCCCATTCCAATGAATTATCTGCCATATCATATTTCTGTCTGTTTTACAGCTTTTCTTGTTAATGCATAAGAGCAAAGTATACTTTGTCATATTTAATGTGCACATTTTCCTACGTATTTCTGTTAGCAAATCACATACCTTTTGACAATGCCTAAGTCGGTTACTCATGTATGACTTATGAATCTTATGTTTGGATATTTTGGTTTGGTTTAGGTAAATGCAATCACGATAGATGGCGTGACTCCGTTATTCAACGCATGCTCCCAAGGCAGTCCAAGCTGTGCAGAGCTGCTTCTGGAGTATGGTGCCAAAGCCCAGCTGGAGTCATGTCTTCCATCCCCAACGCATGAGGCCGCCAGTAAAGGTAACTTAGTTCTGGGATTAAGTGACAAGGGAAGAAAGTTTCTTTAGCAACCTGCAGTGCTCTGTTGATCTTTCAATGAATGACACCACAAGGGAAGCCTGGGGTGAGGTGTGTGGGGTGGATGGGCATTAAGTTAAACTCCTCTACTTTGTGTTGGCAGGTCACCATGAATGTCTTGACATCCTGATATCCTGGGGCATAGATGTTGACCAAGAAATTCCTCATTTGGGAACTCCTCTCTATGTAGCTTGTATGTCACAGCAATTCCATTGCATCTGGAAGCTTCTTTATGCTGGTATTTTCCTTTAAAACATCTTCCATTCTGTCCATACACACAAGCAGTTATTTATTTCTCTAAATGAGCATCTTTAAAAATTAGATCTCATTGCTAAAAAATGTTCTTATTTTAAGCATTTTCACACATGAATAGAGAACCAATAAAAAAGAACCTCATTCTTGATAAGCAATAAAAAAGAACCTCGTTCTTGATAAGTCGGCTTCCTAGCTCACAGATAGATACATAATCTCTATATTTTGCATGCACTGCATTAGCAGACATTTGGGTATGTAATGGATTCTGAAAGCTCTACTTTTATCATAAAATTAGGATCCTCAAGATTGAATATGATGTTGCCAAGTATGTATATGTCTTGGAACAAATCCATCAAAAGAAATTTTCAGGATAGTAACTGCTTGGACAACCTCGTCTTCTGCTAACCTTAAAAACTCATGCACTTTTCTAGACTTTGTACTTTCTGTCCTGCTTACTTGAAAAGACTTACTGCCCTTTTCCACTTACTTGAAACAAATCAATTCCTCAAGGTTTGTTTCAAGTAAATTCAGCTTTAGTCCCCTGAAAAACATTCCTAACCCACTGAGGCCATAGTGGTCCCACTTACCATAGGACTCAGAGTCCCCTTACGATTTGGATCATACCTTTTTTTCCCATCCCTCTTTTCTTTAGCGTCGTTCCTCTCTCTCATCCTCTCATCTGATAGATGTTTAGAATATAAATAAAATGAGTAAATGGAGTTCTATGCTATTTATTGTTTATGAGAATCATTCGATCCCTGATAAATGCTGACCTTTATTTTTAGTAGCCCTTTTATGCACTACTCACATTATCTTAGCTAGCTGAGAAACTTCTTGCAAGCAGGGTCTACATCTACTATTTCATTCTCATTACACCTACTCAGTCTTAGACATGAGTTCTGTTAATAGTCATTGACAGATTGTTATTTTTTGGCTATGTTCTCCCTCCCATGAATTTTGTATGATCAATAGAGTTTATGCTTTCTAGCAAGCTTGTCCAACCTGCGGCCTGTGGGCCCCATGCGGCCCAGGATGGCTTTGAATGCAGCCCAATCAAAATTCATAAACTTTCTTAAAACATTATAAGTTTTTGGTTTGTTTGTTTGTTTTAGCTCATCAGCTATCATTAGTGTTAGTGTATTATATGTGTGGCCCAAGACAATTCTTCTTCTTCCAGTGTGGCCAAGGGAAACCAAACGATTGGACACCCCTGCTTTAGAGCCTTTCATTCCTTTGCTAGAAATATTATTCTTTCCACCAAACATTTTATACTGGGTTTTAAAATATATGGGCCTGTAATCCCAGCACTTTGGAAGGCCTAGGCAAGTGGATCACTTGAGGTCAGGAGTTTGAGACCAGCCTGGCCAACATAGTGAAACCCTGTCTCTATTAAAAATACAAAAATTAGCTAGGCATGGTGGCATGTGCCTGTAGTCCCAGCTGCTCGAGAGGCTGAGGCAACTTGAACCCGGGAGGTGGAGGTAACAGTGAGCCGAGATCGTGCCACTGTACTCCAGCCTATATATATATATATATATATATATATATATATATATATATATCATACAAATATATACATATTTATATATCATACATATATATATTTATATATCATACAAATATATATATTTATATATCATACAAATATATATATTTATATATCATACAAATATATATATTTATATATCATACAAATATATATATTTATATATCATACATATATATATTTATATATCATACAAATATATATATTTATATATCATACAAATATATATATTTATATATCATACAAATATATATATTTATATATCATACAAATATATATATTTATATATCATACAAATATATATATTTATATATCATACAAATATATATTTATATATCATACATATATATTTATATATCATACAAATATATATATTTATCTGTCATACAAATATATATATTTATATGTCATACAAATATATATTTATATGTCATACAAATATATATTTATATATCATACAAATATATATATCATACAAATATATATATATATTTATATATCATACAAATATATATATATTTATATATCATACAAATATATATATTTATATATCATACAAATATATATTTATATATCATACATATATATTTATATATCATACAAATATATATATTTATATATCATACAAATATATATTTATATATCATACATATATATTTATATATCATACAAATATATATATTTATATATCATACAAATATATATATTTATATATCATACAAATATATATATTTATATATCATACAAATATATATTTATATATCATACATATATATTTATATATCATACAAATATATATATTTATATATCATACAAATATATATATTTATATATCATACAAATATATATATTTATATATCATACAAATGTATATATCATACAAATATATATATATTTATATATCATACAAATATATATATATTTATATATCATACAAATATATATATTTATATATCATACAAATATATATTTATATATCATACATATATATTTATATATCATACAAATATATATATTTATATATCATACAAATATATATATCATACAAATATATATATTTATATATCATACAAATATATATATCATACAAATATATATATTTATATATCATACAAATATATATATATTTATATATCATACAAATATATATATTTATATATCATACAAATATATATATTTATATATCATACAAATATATATTTATATATCATACATATATATTTATATATCATACAAATATATATTTATATATCATACAAATATATATATCATACAAATATATATATTTATATATCATACAAATATATATATATTTATATATCATACAAATATATATATATTTATATATCATACAAATATATATATATTTATATCATACAAATATATATATTTATATATCATACAAATATATATATTTATATATCATACAAATGTATATATTTATATATCATACAAATATATATATATAGAAATTACTGTTAGTAATTGTTGATTGATTGTTATTTTCAGACCCTTTTCTTCCATAAAATTGACATAACCAACAAAGTTTATGCTTTCTTTATGGAAATTTTGTTATGGAATATAATTTTTTCACGAAACATTTTATATTTGTTTTAAAAATATTGAAAATGATTACATTTATTGAAATTTGAAAGGAGCAGAAGGGCCATAAAGGGACACTTTAACTGTACTGCTTCATGAAGACATCATTAGTTTTAAAGATAGTATCGGAAAACAGAGTTGAAAAGAACTTATGCATTTTTATTGGTAGACATTTCTGGTATTGTAACCGTTTATGTACCAGAAAATGGGATGGTTATTTTTAACAGTACTAAACAGCATTTATTTATTGCAAATGCATTGAATGACCAGCATGTGCCAGGCTTTGCACTGGGATAAAGTAAGTGTGCAATAGGTAATGTAGCATGTAGGCTGTATTTTAACATAAGCATTTTTAAAAGCTTTCCTTTCATGCAGATATCATCAATGTGCCTTTTGATTTAAAAGGCTCAATATCTTTATATACTTACTGACTTAAACTACATAAGTGAGAAATGGCAGGAAAATCTATATACATTTTACCTAAATAGCTCACATATTCATGAGTTTCCCAAGAAAACCAAAGAGCTTCATTGCCTTAAATAAATGAAAAGAATAATAGAAATAAGCACCTGAATAATTCTAAAAGCTATCAACCATGATGAAAATAAAAATGAGTGAACTTAATTGTGCACTCTTTATAATAGTAGTTAGTATGGTTACTTTTGGAATCATTTAAAAGTTAAAAAGAATTTTATTATGATAGTTCAAGCATACAGAAAAGTATCAGAGAGTCACATAACAAATGTATGTACCCTCTGCCATTCAGATGTGCCCAGTTTATATATATGTATATGTACATATGAGGCATATATGTGTATGTAGATACTGTATATGTATATAAAGAAATAACTCATAACAAATAGAGTTGAAGTCCCCTTAATAACCTTCCTCTATTGCCTTTCCTTTTCTATCCCCACTGAGGCAGCTGGCTTATTTAACAACTTTTATTTATATTTATCTTCACTCCGTATTACATGTAGGTGCTGACGTACAGAAAGGCAAATATTGGGATACTCCATTACATGCTGCTGCTCAACAATCCAGCACAGAAATTGTAAACTTACTGCTAGAATTTGGAGCAGATATCAATGCCAAAAATACAGAGCTTCTGCGACCTATAGATGTAGCTACGTCTAGCAGTATGGTGGAAAGGATATTGCTTCAACATGAAGGTAAGAAAAATACATGTGGAAACTTACAAAAACAAAATATATTTGCCTAAAATAGATGAAAGTGAGAGAGTTTTTGTTGGCATGGAAAGTAACAATGGCATAAAATGTGGAATATTATTTGTGAAAGTAGATGATTTTTAACTTAGGTTTTATCTATAAAGAAGATATCAGCCGAGTGTGGTGGCTCACACCTGTAATCCCAGCACTTTGGGAGGCCAAGGCGGGTGGATCACAAGGTCAAGAGATCAAGGCCATCCTGGCCAACATGGTGAAACCCTGTCTCTACTAAAAACACAAAAATTAGCTGGGCATGGTGGTGCGTGCCTGTAATCTCAGCTACTCAGGAGGCTGCGGAAGGAGAATCACTTGAACCCGGGAGGCGGAGGTTGCAGTGAGCCAGGATTACGCCACTGCACTCCAACCTGGCAACAGAGTGAGACTCCATCTAAAAAAAAGAAAAAAAATGATAATTTTAATTTTCTCTTTCATCTTACCTAAACTCTCATATATTTTTGGTTAAATATATTCAATTAGTTTCAGTAATGCATTATATGCACTTCTGGTATAATATCTGCTGATTTATATTTGGAGCATGCCCCATTTTATAAGGACATGAACCTTCTATAACATATTATAGAAATAAAATTAGTAAATATTTTTACATTTGAGACTTTTGTTCTAAAATAGGATTTCTTAATCCTAGTCCAGGGACTATAATATTTCTTTTAGGGTAAATATTAAACTTAATTTTAAAATTTCCCCTTTTAGTGCATAATACTTCTCAGGACTTTTGATTTATATCTCCTTCAAAAAGCAGACTTTGTTTCTGAGGCTTTAAATTCAACAATTATTTCCTAAGCCTGAGGATTATAATATTTTAAGGAATGTATATGGAATATATCTCAATTATAATAAGATCTTATAAATAAAAGCAATATAACTGCTTACATAAATTTCCCTAGTATAGTGGTCATGCTATCCTAGGTTTACTACAAAGCATTGTAGTTTTTATGGTTTTATGTTATGTACCTTACAACATAAAAAATTCATTTCTATTTTAATTAACAAATAGATTCATGTCTTCTTGTAGCTACCCCAAGCTCTCTTTACCAACTTTGCCGACTCTGTATCCGAAGCTACATAGGAAAACCAAGATTGCACCTTATCCCACAACTCCAGCTGCCAACGTTACTGAAGAATTTCTTACAGTATCGATAAAACAGTAAAGTAATTCTAAATACCTTGAAAATCAAAATTTCTATTTCTTTTGCTTAAGGAATAGTTCATATAAAAATATGCTAAAGATAGGATAAAAGTGAGTGTGAGATCACCCAGGGAAGCAGTAAAATATCAATTTTCATTTTAAGTGTATTAGTACTATTGTTTTATCATTTATGCTGTCTTTGGATTATAGCATATTTATAATATCTATTTTTTGTTATTTCAATATACCCTCCTGTTTATTCAGGAAAAAATAATAAAGTCACTATCTTATGTTTTCTTTTGGATTGGAAAGAAATAAAGCTCCTAGTAAAGTTATTCATATTATATTTAAAAAGGTCTATGTTCTTCAACTAATGGGTTAACTTTTTAATTTTGGCTATTGTAATTGGCTAACTTGTTACTGATATTGACATAAAATATGAATATGGCTTAGCAAAGAGCAACTAATATGTTTTCTGAAACCAGGATGATGCTCATTCAGGAAATCCACTATGTTGAATGTCCACTGGTCATTAGAATGAACACTTCATAAAGATAAATTGCCCCCCTCTCCCCCACTTACCCCTGGCAAAGGACTCACAAGTCACTTCTCTTCTCCATAGTACATGGACTTGTTACAGAAAAGTGATAGGATGAAAGGTCAATACTGCCCTCTCACCCTGAGATATTTAGAACATTACACACCTTCTAAGGCTATGTTAAGACTGCCTCCTTCTCAGGAGTAGCCCCTGATGATCTCTTATCAAGGCGGTTATATGCATATTACTCCAGCCTTCTTCCATTTCAGAAATTGTCAATAGCTAGTGATACTTGGACTTAAGAAAATGAACTATATATCTAATTAACAAACAGGCCCTGGATCATATTCCGGGGATCATCACATCAGTCCAAGGATATAAAAAAATGGAAGATTAAAAACTCAAATTGTGGAGTTTTTAAAGAGTGGGTGCCACTTAACACATTGGAGACCTTAAAAAATGTATATAGAGAACTTAATCGCACTGTTTCTAATTCTTTTTACACAAAACAAGGGCTTAGAGTATACTGTATTTGCAAGTAATAGCAAGAGAGTATTGTATAAAAGAAGATATTACTAAGCTAGTCCTCTGCAAGGGTAAATACTACGTTTATTCTCTTCAGCTTTAACTATACTTGAGTGCAATAAAAAACTTAATAAAATTTTATGCCTGTTTTGTAATTCAGGGCCTATTATGATTTTAGAAATAAGATAATCAACGTACAACTCTTTGTAAAACAAAAGCAACTTTGGGTGAGTTTTATAGATTTATTAAATTTTGATAAAGTAAATATTTTGACCACTATTTTCAACAACCCAGGGCTTATTTTCTTCTGACTTCTTGGCTAACTTCCAGACTATGGGAAAATAAATTATGATTGTATGTGACCCCCAGATCACTAAGCTTGCATTTTGGCAGAAAGAAAAAAAATCAGTTGTGATTTAAAACGTTTGTTGAGATTTTCAAACATAGAAATAAAGCTGTAGCATATTCACTAAACAATGTTTTATATGAGGATAGGGACCTTTAAATATGTGTTTTATAGAATATCTCACACATTTGTAATGGATAACGTGCATTAAAATGGAGTTCTTATTATAGAATAACCTGGTTAAACAGATATTAAAGCTGCTTTTGGGTAAAACAGGTTTCCACCAGTATTTTCCCTGAGCTAGAGGAGAAGTCTTAGATTTTAAGAGTAATACAACCCATCTATCTTATTAGTCTTGTGCCAATAAGAGAAGTAAATATCAAACATTAAAATGGTCACTTTACAATTTCAGTATGTCTGTACCTTGTATCTTAGCTTGAGTATGATTGTCTTATCAAAGTAGTGTTCTAACTTTAATGTATTGTATGTTTGTTATTATATTAAAGTGTGATTATTATTCATTGGAATAAAACACTTTGTGTTTGTCTCATTATTTTATTTTATAATGAAAAGTCATGGAGTGACTCAGTTGCACTAATTTTTTTCACCACCAGTTTCCAAATCACTGAATCATGAGCATTAAGATAGAGTAGCACAGAATAAAAAATAGATACCTCAAAGACCTTCTAATCCAAGACATATTTTATATATATGTGACATATAATACATATAATATATGTGATATTTAATACATATAATATACATATATACATATATGTATACACACACATTAAAGTTCAAGGACAAAATTTCACAAAGTAAAAGAAACAAAATAGTTACTATGTGACATAAGATTTAAGAAATTTAGTAAAACAATAACTGTAGATAGACACTGTTGAAACAATTTTTTTGGATTAAAAAAGTAATTAAATTCTATTGTTTTAATAACCACAGCATATATTTGGTGTTTCTGAGAAAGTAAATAGATATGTAGTAGAAAAGAAAGGCCTCTTCAGAGTAGAAGGTTTTCTTTGTTCCATCATAGCACTGAGCTCAACTGACTAGTGATCCAGCTACAAAATAACTTAAAAATTATCCTTTCCCTTGGATTATTCCCACTTTTTTACTTCAGTTTCTCTGTTATTCTTATTATCATTTAGAATTTACTTTATTTTAAGGTTAGCCCTTTCTCTTAAAAACCTAACTGAACTTTCTCACAGTTTCAAGATTGATGGAAGAAAATTTATTAAGAAAATTCAGTGCATTACTAGCTCTTCATCTGCCCCATGACCTTAAGCAAATCATTTCATTTCAGCTGTGTAGGTCTCTATTGGGGGAATCTGCCCCAATATTTCAATGTAGGTTCTTTCTATTTTCCATAAGTATCGGCCAGCTGAGGAATAAAGAGAGACACTACAAAGAGAGGAATTTTACAGCTGGGCCTCCAGGGGTGACATCACATATTGGTAGGACTGTGATGCTCGCCTGAGTCTCAGACCAGCAAGTTTTTATTAAGGGTTTCAAGAGGGGAGGGGGTGTAAGAACAGGGAGTAGATCACATGTTTCAAAGGGCAAAAAGGAGAACTACTGATAAGGGTCTAACAAAGATCACAAGGCAAAGGGCAAAAGCAGAACTACTGATTAGGGTCTGTGTTCAGTGGTGCACATATTGTCATGATAAACATCTTAAACAACAGAAAACAGAGTTCGAGAGCAGAGAACCAGTCTGACCACAAATTTACCATGGCAGAGGTTTTCCCCACCCTAGTAAGCTTGAGGGTACTGCAGGAGACCAGGGTGTATTTCAGTCCTTATCTCAACTGCATAAGACAGACATTCCCAGAGCGGCCATTTATAGACCTCCTCCCAGGAATGCATTCCTTTCCCAGGGTATTAATATTAATACTCCTTGCTAGGAAAAGAATTTAGCGATATCTTCCCTACTTGCTCATCTGTTTATAGGCTCTCTGCAAGAAGAAAAATATGGCTCTTTTTGCCCGACCCCGCAGGCAGTCAGACCTTATAGTTGTCTTCCCTTGTTCCCTAAAAATCGTTGTTATTCTGTTCTTTTTCAAGGGGTACTGATCTCATTTTGTTCAAACACATGTTTTACAATCAATTTGTACAGTTAACACAATTATCACAGTGGTCCTGAGGTGACGTACACCCTCAGCTTATGAAGATAACAGGATTAAGAGATTAAAGTAAAGACAGGCAAAAGAAATTATAAAAGTATTATTTGGGAACTGATAAATGTCCATGAAATCTTCACAATTTATGTTCCTCTGCTGCGGCTCCAGTCAGTCCCTCCATTTGGGGTCCCTGACTTCCCACAACGCGTCTCAGTTTTCTCTTTTTTTTTTTTTTGAGACAGAGTCTCAAATCTCAGCTCACTGCAACCTCTGCCTCTTGGGTTCAAGCGATTGTCCTGCCTCAACCTCCTGAGTAGCTGGGATTACAGGTGTGTGTCACCACACTTGGCTACTTTTTGTATGTTTTGTAGAGACAGGGTTTCACTATGTTGGCCAGGCTGGTCTTGGACTCCTGACCTCAAGTAATCCACCTGCCTTGGCCTCCCAAAATGCTGGGATGGCAGGCATGAGCCACCGCATCCAGCCAGTTTTCACATTTTTTAAATATAGGTTTCCTTCCCATTTTCAGTTCTGTGTTCAATTTCATTGAGTCTTTTAATAAGGGTGAGGGAGTTCAAATACATTTTAAAAATTATTTTTTGGTTTATGAAAAACATATTGCATGTACAAATTTTATAAATTACATGTTCAGGTTTGCAAAAAAGTTTGTTTCATTATTC
Organism: Homo sapiens; assembly: GCF_000001405.40. Classification (NCBI taxonomy): domain Eukaryota; kingdom Metazoa; phylum Chordata; class Mammalia; order Primates; family Hominidae; genus Homo; species Homo sapiens. The sequence continues at coordinate 176,211,392 of NC_000004.12, read as the reverse complement.
TGAACAGAATTTAATTTTTACTCCAAGCTTCCTTTTCACCAAGTGAAATCAGGAAATTCCTGGATAAACTCAGTCAATTCAGTGTTTTCTCAGTCTCTTCAAGTAAACTTTTCAGTCAATTCAAAGCTCTGCCCACCCCACCCCCCACCCCCCCCAACTCCTGTGCCATTTCTTCCTGGAATGACATCTAAATTCCAGAAGACGTCTGTGAAATCCAATTTCTGGTGGGAGCATGCATATGCTCTTGTCCTCTGGGAGACTCGAGTGTGTCAGGAGAGTTAGGCGGGTGATATGGGGCAGTGATTAGGTGACAGATCACAGAGGGCTTTTGCACTGATTTAAGAAAGCTCCTGCTGGGCGTGGTGTGCACCTGTAGTCCCAGCTACACAGGAGGAATGAGGCAGGAGGATCACTTGAGCCCAGGAGTTGAGGCTGCAGTGAGCTATGACCACATCACTGCACTTCAGCGTAAGACCCTGTCTCAAATAGAAAGAAAGAAAGAACAAGAAAGAAGAAAGAACGAATGAATAAATAAATAAGAGAGAAAGAAAAGAAAGAGGAAAGAAAGAAGAAAGAAACGAAAGAGAAAGGAAAGAAGCAGGAGAAAAAGAAGAAAAAGAAAGAAGAGAAAGAAAGAAAGGGAAGGTAAGGGAAGAAAGGAAGAAAGAAAGAAAGAAGGAAAGTTCCTAATGTGAAAGTCAAAACACAGACTAGATCCTCCCAGAGCTCATTTTCCCTCCTTGCCACTGCAAATGCTGTTCCCTCTGCCTGGAACACATCCTTCTCCATGGTCTGTCTTAATAACTGCTGCATTACCACCAACAATTAGCTAAAAAATCACTCTTCCAAGAAACCTTCCTCACCCTCCTCCCAGCCAAACCTTCCTCACCATCCCCCAGTCTGGGTTGCATATCCATCTATTCTCTTTGGAACCCTGTGCAGGCCTCTTCTAATCACATCCCTAGTACTACAGAACAAATTTTTATTTGCTTGTCTGCCTCCTGCGTAGGCTGTGAGTTTACTGTAGGTGGAACTGTGTCATGTTCACAACTCCCTCCTCATCAGTCAAAGATTCATCTACATTTCCTTCCCCTTAAAGGCCATCACATGCTTCTTCAATTAGCTTGAAACACAAAAGTTATTTTCTTCTCTGCCCACAAGGGATGTGTGTGATTGTATGCGGAAAGATAGCACCCTTTCTCCTAGAGTGGGAACAAGAGAAAGGAGATGTTAAACTAATTCAGCGGCTTTGGCTTCCTTGATCAGTCTCCCTACTGCAAAGATTGAAGTTAAGTCTTCGTGGGTAAAGAGAGTGGCTCTATTATTTGGCGTGGAGACATCTGTGGAGTTAGGAACCCGGATCCAGGTCCTTTGGGACAGTTACCACTGAGCTCTCCCTCAATCCCCCTCCACTGGGCAATGTTAGATGACAATCCCTTCCACAATGGGTGGAATCTGGGACTTAGGGTTAGAATGCAACCCAAATTCTACAATCAGACAAGACCGGCTTTCTCAAACACACTAATAAAAAGAAATCCACCCAAAAGTTACTCATCTTTACTGAACAAAATATGTCTTAAAAATCTGTCACACCTACAGCCACTGCCAAGTCCAGCACGTGCAATGTGAATCATGTACCACCCGCTTCATAGATGCTTGGGCATCTCCCCCAAGAGCAGACGACAGGCAGGCAGGTGGCTTGTGGTGTGTGGCAGGGGTTTGAAAGACAAGCTGGGACAAGGAGGTGCTCTGATGTAAAGTGCTGAAAAATTAAACATCCCATAAAGCACTTACCAGAGAGATATGAGACATAACAAATGATATGAAATGGAAATGCCATAACAATAAGATTGTGGAGGCATGAGAAAGAAAGAGACCCAGAGAGCCACAGATGTATGCCAAAGGCATAGAAAGTGGAACTGCTGTCTCTAAGGACAGATTTTTCAAAGACTTTCCTTGTTCACCTGCCTGACCCTCCACCCGTCTGAAGCAGCCCAACCTGAGGCCAATTGCCACAGCAGCAGAAGTAGGAGGATCACAGAACTTTCAGAATCATGGAGAATCATGGAACTTTCAGAGCTGGCAGGATATCCGAAGAGATGAGCACTAAACATGAACTCTTTGGCACTTCATTCAGATAACACCCAATTCCCTCCAATTATGATAAAGAATATCAGCGAGTTTCTACTGGACGAAACAAAAAGAGATAACTAAAATATACAAGTAATTGGCCAGGCATGGTGGCTTATGCTTGTAATCCCAGCACTTTGAGAAGCCGAGGCGGGCAGATCACGAGGTCAAGAGATCAAGACCATCCTGGCCAACATGGTGAAACCCCATCTCTAGTACAAATACAAAAATTAGCCAGGCGTGGTGGCACGCACCTGTAGTCCCAGCTACTCAGGAGGCTGAGGCAGAAGAACTGCTTGAATTCAGGAGGTGGAGGTTGCAGTGAGTGGCATCAAACCAAATCATATTCCCTTAAGGCCTGAAGGAAACAGAGGAACAGGAGTAGATAGCTTGCAACATATTGACAATAATTCCTCCCGTGCAGTCTTTTGCAATGTCACTTGCCTTCTCCTCCCAACAAGAGGAGCGGGCACGTTACCCATGTCTTGCATTTGGATGGGTCCTGTCTCTTTCTGTGACTAAGACATGGAGTAGCGTGATGTTGGGTTAATTTCAAGCCTAGGCCTCAAGAGACCTTGAAGCTTCTAATTTTATCCTCGTGGAAGACTGAGATACATCTGCTAAGATACACCTGCTTAACTGGTCTTAAGCCAGCAAAAAATTATCAACAGAGATAGAAAGGCTCAATCTCTCTATTGTCATTGTCCTTGTGAGACTGGACCCTAGACAACCAGGTCTAAGAACAGAGTGAGCCACCACGCCTGGGTAGATGGTCATTTTTAGCATGTCCAAAATATCTGTACTAAAGATGGGAGAAAGCAGGAATAAAAACATGATATAACCTATTACAGAAATATTTATCTTGGGAAGGAAATTAATGCTTTTCTCCTGTGCTAATCCCACATGGTCCCTCCTATAAAGGCAAATTCATGGATATCTAAAGGAATAGCCCAGAGGGAAGACATGCTCCCATTGTGCAAACACTATTTTGGGATTCATTACCTGCTTCACGAGCTCTGTCATGGAGGTTCCTTTTATGGGTTATATAGAACAATTTACAGTAACTAATTAAAATATTTAAAAGGAATTTCATAAGTCCAAGCAGCCAAAGTGCGTCTTGATGGGGAATGTAAGCACTGAGGTGAATCGCGTGCCCTAGGAAGGGAGCTGGCAGCTATGCCTCTGCAGTTGATGCAAATAAGGGTGACTCTTACTGCCAACACTCATTATCTTTATAGCTCCAGAGATAAGGCAATTAAAAGCTTGAATCTGGTGAGGTCAGAGCTCTAAAATCTCTGTCTCTTGCAGGCCAGTGATGTAACTTTTTTTTTTTTTAAGACCGGGTCTTGATCTGTCTCCCAGGCTGGAGTGCAAAGGTGCAATCTCTGCTCACTGCAACCTCCACCTCCCGGGTTCAAGTGATTCTCCTGACTCAGCCTCCTGAGTAGCTGGGATTACAAGTGCCTGCCACGATGTACAGCTAATTTTTGTATTTTTTAGAAGAGATGGGCTTTTGCCATGTTGGCCAGGCTGGTCTAGATCTCTTGCTCTTAGGTGATCCACCCACCTTGGCCTCACAAAGTGCTGGGATTACCGGTGTGAGCCACCATGCCCAGCCCAGTAGTGTAACTTTTTAAAGCCAATATATCAGGATCTTTACTTTTGATATCCTCTCAAAGGAATTGCTCAAGAGAGAACTTTAGAGAATATAAATGCCCTACACATACAGAAGAAAACATCCAGTGGAATTGCTGTCCTAAGTGGATTCATGCAGGCTGCATGATGAAGGGCTGTGACTGGCTGCACATTCGTTCCAATCACAAGGTGGGTGGGATAGCAACTTTCTTCCATTTTTCTTCTTCCATATGGAGGGAGCTCCACAAGCACAGCATCCCCAGGCTCTGTCCTCACTCCCCCAGTCCTTGTCCTCCATCCCTGCCACCTGCAGCACCCCTCACCTCACAACAGAGGGGAGGGATGAATGGAATTGGTTAACTGGAAGAAGGGAGCATGCATAGCCCCTTCTTCTCCCTACCTGATCTGAGCTACCCACAGGGGGCAAGTAAAACTGATGCAGTCCAGTTCCTAAAAACCAGAGGTATTAGTGTTTTTGTGCCAGAACACTAACAGCACGCTAGAGAACTAACCAATGAAGATTCCCAAAGACTCAAGGAAGAAAAGGATGGGGGTTTTGGTGGGCATAAGACTTGACATCAAACAGGAGAAGATCGAGAGGATCAGAAAAGAGATCCCTTATTGATCCAGAGTAGAAGAAGTAGTCAGTCAGGATATTCGATATCAGGACAGGTTTCTACAGGGAGGACCCTGTAAAAATATTCAACATGAGTAGTGTAGGGAGAGAATATGTGAAATGAGAGGAATGAGGAACAAGGCTGCTTCCCTGCAGGAGTAGCCCAGGGTATATCATACGGCAGGAAAGACCTTCAAACTTGCTTTATCATGGCGTAAGCATACCTGATAGAACAAAGGGAATAAAGACTTGGAGAAAATAGTGTTTTCCAAGCTCCCTTTACCGATATACAAGATGGAATTAACCACACCAGGCTTTTAAAAAGAAAGAATTGGGTTTTATGGAGGTGCTGGGGGATACTGTGGAAGGAAGCAGGGACTCCATCTCTCCCTCTCCCATACTTGTGCTTAGGCTGGATTCTTAGTCACTTCTTTCCCCTAAATGGATGAAGCTAGCCTTCTGGACATCATTCGTCATCTTTTGGGCCCCTAACTTCAGTTGGTCATTAAAGAGGAGTTTTGAAAATGAAGTCAGTGCACCTTAGCAGTTCCATATATGGCAAAGATTTCTTCTTCTTCTAGTTGCTCCTCCCTCAACCCCATTCTCCTCTGTTCTCATGATAATAAGGAGGAGCTTCATCATGCTGGGTCCCCTATCTCCAAAGGCAGTAGCTGACTGCACACTGATCCTGTCTGCAAGGCGGGCAGGATGGCATCTTTCTCCCGTTCCTATTTTACTCTCCCATGTGTAGGGACCCCCACTAGCACATTACTCCAGGGCTCTGTCCTCACTCCCCCAGCCCCATCCTCCATAACTGCCACCTGCAGCAGTCCCCAACCCTACAAGAGAGGGAGCCACTGAATGGGATTGGTTAACTGGAAGGAGAACTGAGCGTGCATAGCCCCTTCCTCTCCCTACCTGGTCTGAGCTGCCACAGGGAACAAATGCTCTGTTCTGCTTCTCTATAACCATGTATTTGACAGCAGCTGATTCTGCCTGCATCCAGGTCCCACAAGCCTGTGACTAGGAGAGGCTTCATTCTACACCTGGAGTTGAATACTAGGAAGATGCTTGCCCATGGACATAAGCACCTTCTCAAATAACAACTCCATCAGTGACAGATTTGAGGGTTTTTTTTTTTCCCAACTGCTTTGATCTTTTGTCTTACTGAGAATTGTTTCAGATCTCAGGAGGGAAGGGAGCATGTTTTTGAGACTCTTTATAGTTCAACAGAGTAGCTTACTCCTAAGACCTGTTCATGATAAGCGGGGCCAGCTTTGCATTAACTCTGTCATCTAGCTGCAGTGATGGTTAGTAATAGCAGGAAGTAAAATATTCATAAGGTCTGCAACTATGTGTATAATTTCAACCTTTGCTTATCACAGTTCACACTGTCCATAAATGCACATGCTGTTCTCCTTTCTCCACCTCCCGAGGTGGGATAAGTGTCTGTGGAGCTCAGTTCTAACGTTGCCTGCCCATCCCCCGCCTTCCATCCTTAGGTATGTGAGGGCCGCCCTCTTCCTTTCATTGTGTTCTCCTTGGAGACTTCACAGGAATCCACACCATCTGCTCACAGCCCCATCCTCACCTTGGAGTCCCCATCTCCCACTCAGCAGTACACTTTTGCAAGTTTGAGTTAATCTAAAACAGAATATCTCAACCTCCACATTATGGACATTTGGAACCAGATACTTCTCATTGTGTGAGACTGTCCAGTGCACTGTCGCATGTCCAGCAGCGGCCCTGGCCTTCACCCACCAGGTATCAGCAATCTGCTCCCTCCCCCAAGTTGTCAGCACCCCACCCTGTCCCCTCTCCCTCCAGTCGTGACAAACAAGGTGTCCCTAGACATTGTCAAATGTCCCTTGGGGCCAAATTTACCCCACTGAGAGCCACAAATGTAGAGTAATCTTTCAGTGACTTCATTAGAACAGACTTAATTCCTTTGATATGCAAACAACTGAGGACATATTTGCTGTGTGCAGACAGGTATTAAAGGAAGTGTGGATTTACAGTATCACTGAAGAATGGGGCCAACTATATAACTGGTTCCAAGCATGGACCCCCTCTAGGCAACGAGCCTCCCAGGTTGCACAGCTTGCACACCTCAGAGACCAGGCCTGCAAGCCTGGGTTGGACTTAGACATTCAGAAGCTGTTGGGGCTTGTGACCTCCCTGCCAGTGTGACAATAAGAAATATTTTCCTAACTACCTTATAATTTTTGAGGTATCTCTCTCAAAGTGAAGTCAGTACTTCTCATCATTATGTTTCAAATTATTCTGTAGAACCATATTCATTATGTACATAATGACACATTGGCTAAGGTAAAACATTACTCCTTGTAAGGAAGAACTCAATTTAATTGTCAGCCAAATGGTCCCTGTCTAAGGAAATGAAAGACAGTAATTTTACCCTTTGAGTCACATTCTCTCTGAAAAAACAAAAAAACAAAAAAAAAAAAAAAAAAGGATTATTTTTTTAAATCTCACAAACTTTCTTCTTGAGTTGTATAGGACAAATTATATGATCAACATGCTTTTTTTCCATGCCTCTTTATTAACACTTCAGCTGGGGACTCAGCTGCAAGGCCCCACACTAAGAGGAGCCCCATGCTTGCTTTTACGGATCTGCTATCACCTTGAAATTCTTAATTTTTGGTCAAGAAGCCCACATTTGTATTTTGCACTTTGCCTTACAAATTACATAGCTAGTCTTATTCTGTTGTGCATGCACCAGCTCATACACTGGTACGTGACATCCATCTGGAGGGAAGTTGTCCTCTTTTGTTAAATCAGATGGAAATGACTTAGGTAATTCCTTTACCCTATCCTGGGACTTAACACAGCTAGAGGGAAAAGGTCACACTTGGAAGGCAAAAAGCAGCAAGAAAAAAGCTAACTTTTCTCCTTGAGAATGTAACTTCTCCCTCTACTCTCTTGAATCCTTTGTGGGAAAATTACCTGCATCAAACCAAATCATATTCCATTAAGACTTGAAGGAAACAGAGGAACAGGAGTAGATTGCTTGCAAAATATTGACAATAATTCCTCCTGTGCAGTCTTTTGCAATGTCACTTGCCTTCTCCTCCCAACAAGAGGAGTGGACATGTTACCCATGTCTTGCATTTGGATGGGTCCTGTCTCTTTCTGTGACTAAGACATGGAGTAGCGTGATGTTGGGTTAATTTCGAGGCTAGCCCTCAAGAGACCTTGCAGCTTCTGATTTCATCCTTGTGGAAGCCTGAGACCACCATGTGAAAAAGGGATGAGAAACCATGTGGAGTGAGAAGCCCACCAACAGCCAGCACCATCTGCCAAGGATATGAGTGAGACCCTCCTAGACGGCGCAGCCCAGGTTGAGTCACAGAGAAGTGAAGCCTCATGAGGGACCTCAAGCACAACCAGCAGAACTGCCTGAGTTCAGCCCAAATGCTGTCCCACATCATTGTGAGAAACAAAATTTGTTGCTGATTGATTGATGCCACTATGTTTTTGAATGATTCAACAATGGATAACCAATAAGAAACAGATACTTTCTACTGCGGTGTTATGAATATTTTTCCATCTTATTTCTTCTTTTCACTCCACAGTTCCTGCATTTCCTGGTCTTGTAAGGAAGTGAAAGGGACCCCCTACGTTTCTGTGTGGGATATTCAACATCTGTGATTGGCGGCTATATTGACTGAAGGTAGGAGGACAGCCTTCCCATTAGCAAGAAGTGTTTTTAATGTAACCCCTTTATTCTTCCAGTTACATACGATCAAAATTCTGAGTTAACAAACCAGGCGAGAAAAGAGCAAAAGTATAAATAAATGCAGTTACTGAAGATAAAATATTTCCTACCTAGAATCCCCCAAGTTGAGTGTATGGTTGAATTTTCAAGGAAAAGCTAAAGGAAGTTTTTCTTATCTCCTCACACGCTGCACATCCAAAAGGATGAGCCCCCCCCCTTTTAAAAAGAGGTTTCTAATCACAGCTGAGATGACTCACACCCACACTTTCTAAATATCCCACGTGCCCTCTGCTTTCCTGGGACTCTCACACAGGTAGGATGAGACTTCATGACGGACAAGAGTGGAAGTGACATGTGTCCCCTGCAGCCTAGGAGACTTAAGAGCCAGTGTATATCCTCCATCTCCCTTCAAAACAGCAACTGCAGAGGCCACATGTTCTGGGCAGTGCTGTCTGCACCAGCCTAGATTCCTGCAGGCGGAAAATTCCCCTCCTCACTGCCCCAGAGTAGGCGGGCAATGTCAGGAAGAGATAAACCCATGGCGTGTTAAGCCACTGAGATTTCTGAGTTTGTTTGTTTTAGTTATGATTACTTGCCTTGACTAATATATTAATTTTTTTATGTTTTAACTTTTTTGCGTTTTTTTTTTTTTTTTTTTGAGACTGAGTCTTACTCTTGTCACCCAGGCTGGAGTGCAATGGCACGATCTCGGCTTACTGTAACCTCTGCCTCCCTAGTTCAAGCAATTCTCCTGCCTCAGCCCCCTGAGTAGCTGAGATTACAGATGCCCGAACCACGCCCAGCTGATTTTTGTATTTTTAGTAGAAACAGGGTTTCACTATGTTGGCCAGGCTGGTCTCGAACTCCTGACCTCAGGTGATCTGCTCCCCTTGGCCTCCCAAAGTGCTGGGATTTCAGGCATGAGCCACCGCGCCCGGCCTATGTTTTAATTTTCTATGGTCATTATACAAGATCCAGTGGCCTCACATATTGCCCATCACTTCGTCTCTTTGTAGCTCTTAGATTCATCCCTATACAAACTCACAGTATAATCAGAAAGGTTTAATTTTATCTCTGTGTATTTGTAGAGAGAGAAAGATATCTGTTCCTATCAGTTTTCATTTGTAAAGTGACATTATAGCTCACTATAGTTATTATCAATTGTAACCGACTTGATCTTTAGCTGAAGTTACAATTATATTAGTGAACATTATCAACAGTTTCATCTATACAGATAGAGACATGAAGTTGCCAAATACATTTTTAATACATTATTGAGGAAAATGCTTCTAATATGCACCTGGCTTGAATCTGATAGAGTAAATTACATTAAGTGGAGATAAACAACCAAGACTCTACATTACTTAGCTTCAAAATCAGTCAAATCAGAGTTTAAGGGCTGGGCGCCATGGCTCACACCTTTAATCCCAGTGCTTTGGGAGGCCAAGGCAGGAGGATGGCTTGAGGCTAGGAGTATAAGACCATCCTGGGCAACATAGTGAGACCCTGTCTTTACAGAAAATTTTCAAAATTTACCAGGCATGGTGGTATGCACCTGTAGTCCCAGCTACTCAGGAGGCTGAGGCAGGAGGATTGTTTGAACTCAGGAGTTCAAGGTTACAATGAACTATGATATGATTGTGCCACTGTACTCCAGCCTGGGTGACAGAACGAGACCCTGTCTCTAAAAAACAAAAATAAAAATGAAGTTTAATATCTGAGATATCAAGACATTTAAGTAAATGATTGAATCTTGTAGTCATTTTTTTTTTGAGACAGGGTCTCACTATGTTGCCCCAGCTGGAATTTAGTGGCACAATTATGGTTCACTGCAGTCTCAACTTCCCAGGCTATAGCGATCCTCCTTCCTTAGTCTCCCAAGTAGCGGAGACTACAGGTGTGCACCACCATGCCTGGTTAACTTTTTTTCAATTTTTTGTAGAGATGGAGGTCTCACTATGTTGCTTAGGTTAGCCTCAAACTCCTGGGTTCAAGTGGTCCTCCTGCCTCGGCCTCCCAACATGCTGGGATTAAAGGTGTGAGCCATCGCACTTGGCCTTGTAGTCGCTTTTTAAGAATTTGATACCAATATTGAGTATAAAATATTTAAATAGTAATTTAAGTAGATGTAGTCTTATTTAAGTTTATAGTTATGATTGCCTAAATATCGACCATATTTTCAATTCATATGTTTAGTGTACTGCATTCTTATTGCTACGCCTTTCAACTTAGAAAAACTGTTCAGAGTTGGTATGAGTGTTAAAATTATTTCCTCCATCAGGAGTGCCTTAGAATCTGGGCCAGAGCCTCTCAGTATAGCCACTTCTGAAAAACCACAGTCTGATGATAATTATGAAATACTATTTTGCTCTATGATGAGACTCCTCAAGAAGTTAAGCTTAAATACAGATGAAGACAGAAGCAGTTCAATGCTGCAACCAAAACGGGGAGTAAAGATCAGGAAATGGAAATGGATTTGTAATGCTTTTTGGTATACCCATCCATTTTGAGTTGTTTGCATTTCTGTGCATCTTGCAAGCAGATGCCCTGGCAGCTTTTGTTTCAGAACATCTTTTTAAAGATGTTCATATAGTGAACAGTGTTAAAAAATATAGTATCTTCCTTCAGAGGAGACTGCAGGTTTGTTTACTGACCAGTATCGTAAGAACAATGTTTCCCTCCAGGGCAAAGATTTGGCAGTTTTCCTTGCAGCCCATTATAAAAGACTGGGCTTCCCTAAGGTTGGGATTCCTCAGCTGTGATGTAAACCCATGGTGTGTGAGGCTTCCACCTCAGCCTCTTCACGTCATCCCGAGACACCTGTGGGCAAGAAGTACTAGCATGAACAGAGCTCACGCTGCTTCCTATGCTGTGAGCTGTAAAGTCTGTTTGGCTTATGCAGGTTAGAGGAATCCTAATGAATGAGTGTGGATTACTGTAGACTTAATTAACTCCAATTACAGCTGCTTTTCCATTGGAAGTGTCTTTTTTTTTATTTTTTATTTTTTATTTTTATTTTTTAGATGGAGTCTCACTCTATCACCCAGACTGGAGTGCAGTGGCATGATCTTGGCTCACTGCAACCTCCACCTTCCAGGTTCAAGCAATTCTCCTGCCTCAGCCTTCCGAGTAGCTGGGACCACAGGTGCATGCCACCACACTTGGATAATTTTTGTATTTTTAGTAGAGAAGGGGGTTTCACCATGTTGGCCAGGCTGGTCTCAAACTCCTGACCTCAAATGATCCACCCGCCTCGGCCTCCCAAAGGGCTAAATTATAGGTGTGAGCCACCTCACCTGGCCTGAAGTGTCTTTACTGGAATGAATTTCTACAGTCCCCAGCAAATGTTATTCTGCTGTTAATCTGGAATGTACTTTTTCCTCTCCATAACAGTCTGCGAAAACCACCAAAAGCAGTTTGCTTTTATCTATCAGGATCTATAGCACACATTCAAGCTATTGCCTTAGGTTCAGATCAATTTTCTTGCTCTTTGCCACAAGATTGGCAGAGATTTTTGAGTGTCTTAACATGTCATAGAACATCACACTAGTCCACTATATTGATGATATCCTGCTGAGTCGACCTCATGAACAGGAAGAAGCAAGTTCCTTAGATACTTTAGAAAGATGCAGGTGAGCTAGTGGTAGAGAAAAACCTCACTCCAGGTACCAAGCAATATGTCATTCAGCATCCAATCAGGAAAACAGAACTAATTCCAGGTATTCAACAGCAAGAATTTTAACAGCTGATCCTTGAACAACATTAAGATTAGGGGGACCGACGTCCTGCATGGTAGAAAACCCAACTGTAGACTCCCCAAAGACATAACTATTAATAGCCTACTGTTGGAAGTCTTACCAATAACATAAACATCAATTAACACATATTTTGTGTGATATATATTATGTACTGTATTCTTACAATAAAGTAAGCTAGAGAAAAGAAAATGTTATTAAGAAAATCATAAAGAAGCGAAAATATATTAACTATTCATTAAGTGGAAGTGGATCGTCAGAAAGGTCTTCATCCTTGTCTTCACACTGAGTAGGCTGAGGAGACGGAGGAAGAGGAGGGATTGGTCCTGCTGTCTTGGGGTTGGCAGAGGTGGAAGAAAATCCACATATTAGTGGGCCCGTGCAGTTCCAAATCCTGTGGTTCAAACCTGCATCGGCTTTATAAGGAACTGGTGGTGTTGAAGAACCGAAAAACTAAAATGGGACCATCAAATTAACACAGAGCTAGACACTTCAGGAAGCAATTACCACCCCCAGGGAAGAAGTTGAAGTTATAAGAACGTAAGAGTTGGAGGCTTAAGAGCCTCAAGACTTAGACTTGAGGATGGGGCGTACACAGCTGGTGCTAATACTTCAGGAGCTCACATGAGCTGTCCGAGAGTAAAATTGGGTCTCAGACTTCCAAGGAGGGCCACTTCTTGGTGGTTGCTAAAACCTCGGAGAGAATATGATGAAACTTGCACCAGGAGTGCTAAACAAACAAACCAACCAACCAACCATACTGGAGACTGGAACCAATTGCCCCGGCCAGGTGAAGCTTTGTTGCCATGGTTACACAGGGGCTTGAACAGCAAGCAGAGAAATAGCAAATCCCTGCTCCCCACCTCCTGGCCACTCTCTCACTCCCCATATTGGCAGAATTTACCATCCACCCAGCAAAGGAGAAAATGCCGCAGCGTTCCAACTCCGGCATCACAGAACTGAGAACAGAGAAGGGAGTGTTTCTAACAGGGATGTATTTGCTTAACAATTGGCACACTGATTACAGGAAGATTTCCAACTCTTTAGCAAAACTGTTTACAATTAAGCCCCAATCTAGCTGGGCGTGGTGGCTCATGCCTGTAATTGCTGCACTTTGGAAGGCCAAGGCTGGAGGATTGATTCCTCAAGCCCACAAGTTCAAGACCCGTCTTTATAAAAAATTTAAAAACTGACCAATCATTGTGGTTTGCACCTGTAGTCCCAGCTACTTGGGAGGCTGAGATGAGAGGCTGGGGTGGGAGGTTCACTTGAGTCCAGGAGGTCAAGGCTGCAGTGAGCCCTGAGCACGCCACCGCACTCCAGCCTGCGCAACAGCATGACTCTGTCTCAAAAACAAAAACAAATAAACCCTAACCTATAGATCTAACCTACCTCTCTAGCCATTATCATCTAAACCTTTGGTTGACAATGTCTCTTTGGTTGATAATGCCTAAACACTTTCTCTAACCCTAATGGGTTCTGTTCTTTCCTAAAACTCATTTAAAAAACCCCTCATATTTCTATGCAATTGCTCCCATTAGTCACTCTGTGTGAGATTGCCCCTTCATCATCCAAATAAATTTCCAAGATCACCTTTGAAGCAATCATCTATGCTTACTGAGCACTACGTGCTGCACATTGTTTTAGGCTCTTTATAGATTTCACTTATTTAATCTCTACAGCTCTGTGGTGTATCCTATTTATTTCCATATTTTACAAATACAAATGTTAAATAACTTGCCCAAAGTCATATAGCTAATAAAAGGTAGTGTGAACCCAGAAACTCTGAGACAGGTCTCAGTTAATTTAGAAAGTTTATTTTGCCAAGGTTGAGGATGAGCACCCGTGACACAGCCTTAGGAGGTCCTGACATGTGCCCAAGGTGGTCAGGGCAGTTTGGTTTTATACATTTTAGGGAGACATGAGACTTCAGTCGACATGTGGAAGATGAACATTGATTTGGTCTGGAAAAGGTGGGACAACTAGAAGCAAAGGCAGGACAACTCAAGCAGGGAGGGGGCTTCCAGGTCATAGGTAGATGGGAGACAAATGGTTGCATTCTGTTGAGTTTCTGATGAGCCTTTCCAGAGTAGGCAATCAGGTATGCATTTAGCTCAGTGAGCTAAGCGGTGACTTTGAATAGAATAGGAGGCAGGTTTGCCCTAAGCAGTTCCCACTTTGACTTTTCCCTTTAGCTTAGTGATTTGGGGGAGGTGGGGGGGGTCCCAAGATTTAATTTCCTTTCACAGTAGAAATGGCTATTCAAAGCTTTCATCTTAAAAATCAGCTTAAAATACCACCTTCTAAGATCCAAATTAATGGTCATCTCTTTTGAGAGGACTTCTTACACTCTCCCAGGCCAAAGTATTTGCTTCCTTTCTGGTGCTAACATATTTTTACCATGGCAGAGCTTTTCAGTGTATGTAATCTTTTCACTGATATTTCTATCTCTGAATCTCTTATAAATGATCTGCCGCACAGAGCTGTCCAATCGAAATTCCTGTAGTGATGGAACAGTGCTGTGTCTGTCCTACCCAACATGGCAGCCACTAGCTACATATGGCTATTGAGCAGGTAAAATGTAGCCAGTGGAACTGAGTTTATTTAAATTTAAGTTTAAATAGCCACATGTGGCTAGTGGCTACCATATTGGATGGTAAAGATCTAGCACATACTCCAGGATAGTTCCTCAGAAAAGGTTTACAGAATGAATGAATCATTCATTAAAACTTTTTTAGCCTAACAGAAAACACTTACATAGCTTCAGTTTTGGTTTTCTTTTTTAACCACATACAGAATACACTGGTTTACTTTATTAATAAGCATGTATATGAATAAACATTAAAAATATTACATAGTATCATTATCAAGATCTATCCCATATTTTACCATGTGTATGTATCCACAGGGCCTGTCACCTGGCTCTCTGCAGCCTCAAGTTCCTGAGCTCAAGCAATCCTCCCACCTCAGCATCTGGAGTACTTGAGAGTACAGGTGTGCACCACCACACCCAGCTATTTTGTTTGTTTGTTTGTTTTGTAGCGAAAGTCTCTCCACCTTGTGTTGCCCAGGCTGGTCTTGAACTCCTGAGCTCAAACGATCCTCCCGCCTCCACCACCCAAAGTGCTGGGATTACAGGCATGACCCACTGTGCCCTGCCAAGCAAAAAAAAACAAAAAACAAAAAACAAAAAACAAAAAACTGTGGCTGTAAAAATTTTTAATGGATTTTAATAATTAAGCTTACATATTTATAATTGCCTATGCCAACTTTGCAGTTGTTTTCATTGTGTTCAGATAGATCCCAAGTGACTAGATGAATGCGTGGCACATAATATGGACTCAATACATATTTGTTGAATTAATGAAGGAATTATGCCTACTAGGAGATTTTAATTAAGTGTGAAAATCTAACCTACACATCGTTTTCAAATATTAATGTTTACAAATACTTAATGCAATAATTAAGGAAATAGTTATGTTAAATTTTGTGGACATTCATTTCCATTTCAAAGATTTTTTTCCCCCATCTCTTCCAATTCCCAAACAAAAACTGTCCTTGGCCTCTGGAGTCTTCTCACACCACTCCTCAAACTAGACGACTGAAAATAGGCCTTTGGCTGGGCAGAAACCAACAATATTTAAAATACAAAACTTATGAACGATGACATAAGAAAAAAAAAGCTCTAAATAGGTTAACAGTGAGGCCAACTAAATCTGAGACTGAAAGCGCTCCCCAGACCGCAGCCACACCACTGGGACCCCAGCTTTGCCTCCCTCGATACCCGGCCCCGCGGTCCAAAATCTGAGTAAAGCGGAAGTACGGGCGGCTGCTGCGGCGCTTGCGCAGGCGCTGAGGTCTCGCCCCATAAGACTCCGCCCCGCCCCACGAGACCGCGCCGCCAGCAATAAGGCCCAGCCCCGCCTTCTGCTGTTGCCGCAGCAACCCAGAAAGCGTCATGGCTGCCGCCGGCCAGGAAAAAGGGTATTTGACACAGACTGCGGCAGCCCTAGACAAGTCACCGTCACTTTCGCCACAGCTAGCAGCTCCCATCCGAGGGAGGCCTAAGAAGTGTCTGGTCTATCCGCATGCGCCGAAGAGCTCCCGCTTGTCTCGTTCCGTTCTGCGTTGGCTTCAGGGTCTGGATCTCAGCTTCTTCCCCAGGAACATCAACAGGTGCTTGAGTAAGCCAGTCCTAGGCCCCCCCGGTGGGCGCCCCGCCTGCTTTCCGCCGCCTGCCAGGCCTCAGATTGCCTACCCTGGCCTGGCTTATGTTTCAAATCAAGACCCCCCCACCCACGTACACACACGAAAACACTATTAGGGAACAAGGCTTTAACAAAATACCACGATACATCTTGTTTATTCAATTAATCAACCAATCATTAAATTGTGGACAATATAGAATGCTTTGGTGACTACAAAAATATTAAAATAGTCAAAGCTTTTTCTTTAGTGATATTGGGCATTAATACTGGTAAGGACGGCCGGGCACAGTTGCTCATGCCTGTAATCCCAGCATTTTGGGAGCCGAGGCAGGCGGATCACCTGAGGTCAGGAGTTGAGTAACAGCCTGACCAACACGGTGAAACCCCGTCTCTACTAAAAAATACAAAAAATTAGCCCAGTGTGGTGGCGGGTGCCTGTAATCCCAGCTACTGGGGAGGCTGCAGGCAGGAGAATGCTTGAACCCGGGAGGCGGAGGTTGCTGTGAGTCGAGATTATGCCGCTGCACTCCAGCCTAGGTGGCAGGGTAAGACTCTGTCTCAAAAAAAAAAAAAAAAAAAAAAAAAAAAAATACTGGTAAGGATCAGTTTACCCTTTGTCGGAGATGGCATCTAGTTTGAGAGTTACCAACAAGTTTTTAAAGTTGCTGCTTAATTGTAGGCACTTTGTATGTAACTGGCAGCTAATATTTGCTCTGGGAATGCAAACTAAATTCTATAAAAAGGCAATGAATCTTTTGCAGAACTCTGGTTTAAAGTAGTCTCTCCTTATCAGAGAGGCATAGGTTCCAAGATCCCCAGTGGATGGCAACTGTGGATACTACAGAACCCTCTGTCAGAACACATTTCTGTTTATGTCTTCCATCCACAAATTTAATGCCTTTTTAAAAATCTTAACTAAGCACTTATCACACACTGTGGCTGAAAGTTTTTCAGTTTGAGGTGTGATGCCGAAACTATCAAGAATTTCTTTTTCTTCATATTTCAGGAATATGATTCATTCCTACCATTGTAACCATTCTTACAACTTTCTATTAAGTCAAGAACTTTCATCTTTTCACCTAAAGGAATAATTTTATGGTTTCTCTCTGGCATATCTGAATCACCAGCATCACTGCTCTTGCACTTTGCACACAAGCGCACCACACTGTACAGTTGATCTGATGACTAAAAGGTGACTGATGTCTACAACGTGGAGACTCTGGACAAAGGGAGGACTCACATCCTAGGCAACACAGAGCAGGCAGGGAGGTTTCATCAGACTGCCCAGAACAGAGTACAATTTAAAAGTTACAAATTATTTCTTGAATTTTCCATTTAATATTTTCCGACTGTGATTGACCCAAGGTAACTGAAACTGCAGAAAGCAAAACTGCAGATAAGCGGGGGACTAGTTTACTAATTTGTCTTCAGTATTACTTACAACCATGCCTCTGAAATTTTAAAGTGCATATGAATCACCTGGGGATCTTCTTGAAATGCGGATTCAATACAAATTAACAGTTTGGGTTCATCAAAAGAACACCAAAGCCTTTGAAACGTAGATAATCTTAGCAAAATTCCACAGTAGGTTCTCCTTAGAGCAACGATCCAACAACACTCACTTTACAAGATACTTTTAGTATGGAATATTAGACTAGTATTAATTATAAAATAATACAAACTGCATAATTAACTACACTTTATTTCATTTCCTAATTGCCACGGATCAGAGATTTTTCAAATGGCTTCCTAATTGCAGAAATATTCTGTATATATTACCCCTGGGAACTTGAATTATCATCCTTTGAAAACGGGACCTCTTTAAAAGTCAAGTTGGATAACTGGGCACAGTTGGAGAAGGTACGTTAGCAGTCATTTACACTTTTAACTGTTAAGATGTTTGTTTTAAAGTGTGCCATGCTAATTTCCTGGATCTCTACGTGTATGTGTGTGACTGTGTGATACTGAGTTGGCAGCTTGTTCCTGTGTATTACAAAGTTTATTAAATTCCAACTGTTTATGTCATGAGTCACCTATGAAACTGAGCATAATTATTTCCATTAGCATGATATATACTGATTGGTTTTCCTGCTGAATATTATCTTTTAATAACTAACGTGTTAAACACAAAAATTACTTCATAGGTAAATAAAAGGGAGATTAAAGTGAATTCATAGTACTTGGAGATTTTTATAAAAGTTCTTATGATAAAAACATTTTCTTTCTACTATTAAAGTTCCTGGCAAGAAAAAAATTTAAATTACCTAAAGAACTAATCCATGGAACAATTCATTGTAAAGCTGGAGTGCCTGAAATATTGATAGAAGAGGTTTACACTTTATTAACACATCGAGAGTAAGTTCTTTGTAATTTCCTAGTAACACAATTTAATGTGAAACTTTTGATAATATAAAACTCATTGCTAAAATGTTGCTTGTCAACAGTATTTTATTTTTTATTTCCAGAATTAAAAGTATCCAGGATGACTTTGTGAATTTCACGGACTATAGCTACCAGATGCGTTTACCCCTGGTTTCCAGGTCTACAGTTTCGAAGTCTATTAAAGATAACATTAGGTTATCAGAATTACTAAGCAATCCCAACATGCTGACCAATGAACTTAAAGCGGAGTTCCTCATCCTTTTACATATGTTGCAAAGAAAATTAGGCAGAAAATTGAATCCAGGTAAGTTTTCCTTTGAAACAGCTGAGTTCTTCCAAGCTCTATCAGGCTATTCTTGAGCACAGATGAAAGAAATGTCGGCACTGGCCCATTTTGCTATCTTCTGTAACTGGTTTAAAGGGAAATTACTTCTTTAATGCTAGCAGTGAAATGATTTATTAGCATTGGAGTGGTTTATAAATCAATCTTTTTGGTGAAGGCATAAGTTAACACAGTATACAGACACTTCTTTTTAGAAACGTATATGTGTATGAAAAATTCTTGTAACCTTTCACAAGAAACAAGTTCATATATCAAGTAACTAAGGAGTTTAAGAGTTAAGCAGGACACTCATCCCTTGGGAAAAGCCTGGATTACTATGATTCACTGTGGATGCTTTCTACAGTGTGGACAATGTTATCCTTTCCATAGTAGGCTTGTTTGGATGTAGATGGTAGAGCAGATTGGGGCAATCATGGCAACTTTCCAGACGTATCACTGAAATCATTCTCTAAGTACCCAAACAAAGCATTTGCCATCTGCATTTGCCAGAGTCACTGGCAGGTGGCAGAGTAATTGAACTTTCACTCTACATGTTTTTGTTTGTTTTTCTGGCAGTTTACTCAGGATACCACTCATGTATTGAAATTTTATTTCACTTGATTCCAGACATCTAGAGACCGCATCATTTCTGTGGCACCCAAACATTCGGGAAAAGAGGCAGATGTAGGTCATTAGGATTTCTCTCCCCTGTGAACTTTTTCTGAAGAAAACCATTTTCTCTCTGGTTTCTAGCCAGAGAGGAAAGCACCAATTTTAACATCTCCTAAAATTGTGAGATGGATATTTTAGGTTTTGTCCTTCCTTACTCTTGTCCATTCTTCCATCTCTTATATTTTGTTTTCTCTTCCTTGATTTTTCTCATCTCTGGCTTTACTCATAAATTCATGAATAAAGACGTGATTCAGGTTATTAATGAGAAGAGTTTTATCTTGAAACATTTTGCATGTTTTTAAACATTAAAATTTTGCTGTGATATTTATCACACATGCACGTATATAATGTATATGTACAATTTAAAGAAGATGACTAACGATGAAAACACATTTGTATATCCCTACACAGGTTAAGAAATAGAACATTACTAATGCCTTTACCTTCCCCTTTGTGTCCTCGGACTGCATTCTCCACATTCCCTTCCAAGAGTAACTATCATCCTGCTGCCTTTGTTTATAATTTCCTTAACTTAGAAATCTAGGCCGGGTGCGGTGGCTCACGCCTGTAATCCCAGCACTTTGGGAGGCCAAGGCAGGCGGATCACGAGGTCAAAAGTTTGAGACCAGCCTGACCAACATGGTGAAATCCCGTCTCTACTAAAAACACAAAAATTAGCTGGGCATGGTGGCGTGTGCCTGTAATCCCAGCTACTGGGGAGGCTGAAGCAGGAGAATGGCTTGAACCCAGGAGGCTTAGGTTGCAGTGAGCCGAGATTGTGCCACTGCACTCCAGCCTGGGTGATAAAGTGAGACTCTGTCTCAAAAAAAAAAAAAAAAATCTATACATACTATTTATATATTATTCTTTATTTCATTTACCTATACATACTATTTAAATATTATTTTTTACTTCATTCATATATATTTTTAAGTTTAGTTGATTTTATGAAACTCTGTAGTAGGCAGAATGAGCCCCCCTGCTATCCATGTCCTAATCCCTGAAACCTGTGAATATGATACTTTACATCTGCAAAGAGACTTTGCAGATGTAAAGTTATGGACCCCAAGATAGGGTGTGTTTGCTGGCTTATTCAGGCAGACCTGATCTAATCACACAAACCCTTAGAAGCAGAGATCTTTCTTCAGCTGGAATCAAGACACATGTAGGAGAAGGAGAAGTAAGAGATCTGGAGTGTGATAGGGTCTCAACCTGCTATTGCTACAAGGGACAACATGGAAAGCATGAGAAGGTATGTGGTGCAGCTTCCAGGAGCAAAGAATTACCTTGGGCTGACAGCCAGGCAATAAACAGGGGCCTGAGTCCTGCAAACATAAGAAACTGCATTCTGCCAAAGAGCTGAGTGAGCCTGGGAGAAGATTCATCCCCAGAACTTCCAGAAAGGAATGCAGCCCTGCCAATACCTTGCTTTCAGCCTCGTGAGACTCTAAATAGAGGACACAGACTTCTGTACCATGAGATAAAAATGGCTGTTTTAAGTCATGATATTTGTGGTAATTTGTTATGGCAGGAATGAAAATCAAATACAAGCTTCATAGTTAACACTGTTCCCATAATGAGATTATAAATATATCCTCCTATATTTAAATTGATTAAAGTGAAACCTTTTAAAGTTTAAATTGATTAAAGTGAAAACCTGTAATCTGTTAAGGGAGGAGACCACCCCCCTATCGTCTTATGCCCAATTTTGCCTCCAAAGAAAGAAGAAGTAAAAACTAAAAGGCAGAAATGAAATCCACAGGCAGACAGCCCAGTGCCGCGACCTGGGCCTGGTAGTTAAAGATCGACACCTGACCTAATCGGTTGTGTTATCTATAGATTATAGACATTGTAAAGAAAAGCACTGTGAAGATCCCTGTCCTGTTCTGTTCCATTCTAATTACCGGTGCACGCAGCCCCCAGTCACGTACCCGCTGCTTGCTCAATCAATCAGGACCCTCTCACGTGCACCCCCTTAGAGTTGTGAGCCCTTAAAAGGGACAGGAATTGCTCACTCAGAGAGCTCAGCTCTTGAGACAGGGGTCTTGCTGAAGTTCCCGGATGAATAAACTGCTTCCTTCTTTAACTTGGTGTCTGAGGGGTTTTGTCTGCGGCTTGTCCTGCTACACTGTTACTTCATCTGCAATCCATATGAAGAACCAATTGCCTCAGCTGCATGTTTTGAGTAGTCTGTTCTTTTCCCACTTATTTGTAATGCCCTCTCATGTTTCAGTTTGCATGTATGTATGGGTCTGTTTCTGAACCTTCTATTCCAGTTTGTCTACATGTGTGTCACTTCAGCATCTTAATTATTATTGCTTTATAATTAGTGTTGATACTTTGTAAAGTCCTAAAATTTGTTCTTCTATGAAGTATTGTTTCTATTTCATTTACAGTGATTTATTGTTATGAATTTATTAATACTGCCCGTTGTTATATGTATTCATATCTAACATACTATTTTGAGTTTTTTTTTTCTCTTTTTCTGTTTCTTCTTTTCATCTTACCTATCTTTTCTTCTTTTGGACTAAGTTTTTTTCCAAAGATTTTTTTTCCCACTAATTTTGAACATTTTAAATCTCTACTCTTTTTAGTGCTAATCTATACATTTTAGCATGCATATTTATCTTAGTCTAAAATTAATCTTTACTCTCTTCCTGAAACTGCAAGGACCTTAGAACACTATGACACTGATCCCTCGCTGCCACCCCTTCACCTCCTTTCAGTTCGTTGTCTAGCATTTCAGTTCTGTCCAGTTATATTTTAACACCACAAATCAGGCATCATTGACTTTTCTGTTTAAAAGTCTATCTTTGTAGAAAACTAACCTGTATCTCTGTTGTCTTTTGAACACATTTTTTCTTTAACTACAGATCATCTAAACCCTTCCAATTCTTGAGCAGTGCTCTTTTTCCAGTCTTGATTCCTGAGACTGCTGATTTTAAACATTTCTCATTTGTGGCCAAAGTAATTAATTGTGATAACTATAGTTCTGGCAGTGTTACTGGCCAGAGTTGTGTTTAGTGTTGACAGAGCATGACTGGTGAGTAGGAATTAACTTAGCAACTTCTTCAAGCCTCAGTGAAGGATGAGTTGCAGAGGAGGAAGTGATCTTTAGAAGCACAAGGAAATTGCTCAAGTATTTCAGTTTACAGGATTAGTTAAAAAGAAATATGGGAAACATGGAAATAATTTTAATTCACAAATATGTGCAAAATGAAAGATACTGTATGATTTTATCAAATATAAAAATACATAAAACTAACCTATAATGATAGAAGTCAGGATAGCATTTTCCTTTTAGAATACTGTCTTGGAAAGACATGAGGGGGCTTTGGGGTACTGGTAACACATCATTTCTTGATCTGGATGATGGTACCCTAAGTGTATTCACTCACACATTCATTGGAGTGAATTATACTTACTGTTTGTTTACCTTTTTGTATATACATTATAATTGAATAAAAACTTACCAAAGACTAACAGGAACATAAATATATTACCTTTAAAGTAACTATTTTGTGTATTAAATATATTGTGAGCAATGTGGGGAGGGACTATTAACCTAGGTATTCACACTACTCAGGAATATGATAAACAGAAATTTAAATAATTTACTTAATTTTTAAATTATGGCATCTTATTTTGACAATGGCCATTATGGCTTTTTAAGAAATAACTTTTGTGTTCATATTTTATAGAATGGTTTGATGTGAAACCAACAGTGGGAGAAGTTACTCTCAATCACCTTCCTGCCCAAGCCTCTGGGCGCAGATATAATTTAAAAGTTAAAAGAGGAAGAGTTGTCCCTGTTTTACGTAAGTTTTAACTCTTTGCTTCTTAAAATTGATTTTTTTTTGCTTGACTTTCTTCAATTAAAGTTTTAAAAAACGGTTAAATAGTTAAAATGTTGGTATAGGTCAACATTCAGTCCTACACTGCCAATTACACTGGTATGCAGTTCTTTATGATAAGTGAAGGGAACATGTGGTCTGCTAAGTCGCTGCCCCCTCCCCAGCCTGCTACAATCAGATCCACTGAGTTCTGATTTATGCTTAAATAGGTGAGTTGGAAACACGTCAGGCTCATTAGAGTTCAAAGCTCAGTTCTTCAGTAGTCAGAGGATGAGTCAGTCAGTCCTGAGACAGATATAGATACTTGCATACTAAGAATTCTCAATCAGTTGTATTACAAGAAGTCACTTGATTAAACCCTGTTAATTCAGAAAGCATTTATACTACAGGAAACTGTAGCCCATGGTCCAAATTCAGCCTGTTGCCTGTTTTTGTATAGTTCACAAGTTAAAAATAGTTTTTACTTTTTTTCTTTTTTGGAGACGGAGTCTCACTCTGTCACCCAGGCTGGAGTGCAGTGGTGTGATCTCGGCTCACTGCAACTTCCACCTCCTGGGTTCAAGCGATTCTCCTGACTCAGCCTCCTGAGTAGCTGGGACTACAACGCACGGTGCCACGCCTGGCTAATTTTTTGTATTTTAGTAGAGATGGGGTTTCACCGTGTTGCCCAGGCTGGTCCTGAACTCCTGAGCTCAGGCAGTCCACCCTCCTCGGCCTCCCAAACTGCTAGGATTTCATGGTTAAAAAAAAAATCAAAAGAAAAATAGTAATTCCTGACACATAAAAATGCTATGAAATTCAAGTTCCCGTGCTCATAAATAACAGGGAACAGAGCCACTCCTGCTCATTTTATGCCTTGCTTACGGCTGCTTTGACCCTTCAACAGTTGGGTTGAGTAGTTGCCAAGGTGACTGTCTAGTCTAGAAAGTTGAGTTGCCAGATTTAGCAAATAAAAACACAGGGCAATGCAACAAATACCTCTGAGGACATATTTAGGACACACTTTTACTAAAAATTATTCATTATTTATCTGAAATTCAAATTTAACTAGGTGTCCTATATTTTATCTGGCAACCCTACCACAAAGCCTAAAATATGTACTCTCCAGCCCTTTACAGAAAATGTGTGTGGACTTCTGCTACAGATTATGTTTCCTGACGTGTTGAGGGATTTCGCCGGGGATAAAAGTTATTTGTTTACATAGAGTCTTTGAGAGCAGTGCCAATGTTCCTTTTTTTAAAAAAACAAAAAAAAACCATGATTTCTCAGAACCTTTAATATGCTAATATGCATTGTAAATATTAAAGGGGAGAGAAGCAGAATGAAGTGTTTTCCAAACTCTATTTGATCACACATCACTATTTGGTTTTGCTTTGTTTGGTGGCCTTGTAGAACTAGTGTTCCTCATAGCACACTTTTTAATGTCCAAACATCAGGCCAGCCCATCAAAATCCCTTTAACTCTTCAACCACCTGAGGCATAGTAAACATAATAGAATCCAACGGAAGTGGATAACAATGTTTCCATGAATAAAATGCATCCATAGTTTCACCTTTAGATTCTAGGAATATATCCTCTCCTTCAGCCTGCCTCAACCTTCTTCTGTTGGTGACATTTGTGGTGAAAGTTCCAGCAGGGAGGGAGGTGAAGCCACAGTGGTAGGGTGAGCATAGGAGGAGGGGATCAGGAGGTATGGAAAGGAAACTGCAGGTAAGTTTTGTTTTTGTGTTTAACTTGCTTGCCTCGTTCCCCTTATGATTAACTGAATTTCACTGGGAAAGGGAAAGAGCAGGGTCACCTGCTTTGGACATGCAGTGAAAAGGTAGAAAAGAGTAGTAATGAGTCACAGCACGGCTTCCTTCCAGTATAAGAAAGAGATGCAAATAGGCCAGAGACAAAAACTGATGCCTGCTGATATTTGAATTGCTAAAGAGTATTTCTCATTTTTGTTATCTTTTTTGAAAATCTTCAAGGTTCACATATGAGTTTTTAGAAAAACTACATGCTATCATTACTTCAGATCAGGATTCCAAGTAAAATGAATTTTTGCTTTTACAATTTTAATAATGTATAAGTGGCCATAAATAACTCCTCCCATTTTATTCTCTACTGCTCTTTTTTATGATTCTCTGGTTGCTCTTTTATGATTCACTTTCATCTCAATAGTCTTGCTCTCTTTGGAAAAAGAGATGGGTTTATGGAAGCCTTCATTGGACAAGGTAGATCAGGATGGGAAGGTGAACATACATTTATTTTTTTTACTTGTCTCAATCCTGTTCCAGATAATATACTTGGATTCTCTTAATCTAGGCACATAGTAAATTAATGAATGATGTGGATTCAGCTTTGGTAATTATATGGATGAGAACTATTAAGTGTTAAATAATTTTTTCTAAATTTGTTCAAAGGACTTCATTTCAGTTTCTGATAAGAGAGTAGAGTAAATAGTTCAGGTCTGCTACCATAGTTTGATAGTTAATGGAAGGAGGAGAAGCAAAAACACTAGACTGTAGGAACGTAACTCTGTTTTACCATCTAAGATTTCATATAATGGCACTGAAATCACAGGCTGTTCACCTGAAAATCTTCTAATTATCAAACAGGGGGGCCAAAATTAATTGTAAGTTAGGTTGTTACCTTTGCTTTTTTCTTTTTATAACACTCAAGTTCCTCTACTTGTTCACCAAAATTTAGTTATCTAGCAAAATTATGGGCCAATGGAATATAGATGTCTTAGTTGCCACTGGCCCCTCCCATTAGAACTGAGTGACCTACAGAGTCTGGGTGGCTAGCTGGAATGCCTCAGTGTAATCAGAGCTCCATAAACTGTATTATGAATCATGGACGTTTGTCAAATCTAAGTATAAAATTGTGCTACTGTTGCCTCAGCTGCTTTCTGAAGCAATATCTAAGAATAGTTGGGTCATATTCAGTATCAGATGCACCAAAATAAGCCCTGGAGATTTTTAGGCTGATGACTTTTGGAAGTGGCTGACATTCAGACTTTTTTTAATCCATGAGTACTATAATGCGTGATTTAAATATTCTTGTTTACCAGGCATTTAGATTAACTGTGCTTGACCTCTTGCCAATCATTCTGCATATATTTGATACATTAGACATGTTGATGCTTGTATGAATATTTAGTAACCATGAATTGATTTTAATTTTGCTTATTTAAATGTCCCAGCAAATATAGGTAGTGGTGGCAGTTCACATAGAGAAATACATGTGAAGCAAGCTGGACAACATTCTTATTACTCTGCTATGAAACCTATCAGAAACATGGACAAGAAACCTTGAAAAGCACCTGTCAAATGGCTTTGAAGAAGTGATGCCACCATCTCTAGCCATAATAAAGAAACAGAATCACCTAGTATTGGATGTATTTCAATAATAAATAGAGTGGTGTCTTTTCCATAATTGTGTTAAAGAACATTTCTTTTCCATTCAATTTGTTTATTAAACTCCTATGCCAGGCATTGTTGAAAATACAAAATTAAATAAATTAGTACAGAATGAGCAAAAATAATTTTAAAGGTATAAACATAATTCACCATGATGAATAAAGAGTTCTTTCTCATAATTTTGTAGGAATGGTGAATCTACTTTTTCATATGCTTTCCTTATTAGAAATTAAAGGTTACTGCTTTGCCTATTATATAGTTACACATCACATTCATTAATTAAATCGTATTCTGAATGATTATTATACTTTGGCCCATAGAACATCTTGATCATCTCTAAGAACAGCCTGAACTTAAACCATTAAAAAAAAACAGGTGTCCCTTCTATTGAAAACAAGTTGTGGGGAAAGAAAATCATCCTTTTCTTGGAATTTGATTCGGTGTTTAGCAATACATTTAGTTCAATTTAAAAGTTCCCACTGGTTGCTGCTATGCCCCATATTTTAACTGAAGGGAAACAAAAGCAGACTGATGTCCTGAAAAATTAATAATCTTTTATATATACATGGTAATTTTATGTTTTATATGTGGAAAATTTTCAACTGGTATTATTTATGTTTGATACTGGCTCATTAATAGTCTCATTTGACTCCCAAGATGAATATTACTAATGTCAATTTTCAGTTAAACTTACCAGATTTTCTGCATTTTTGAAAGTTCAGACTGTTTTATTAGCAATTCTACCTCCAGAGACTTCCTTGTTAAATTTTGCATTTTTAGAGAGATAATATTGAAGAAGACTAAGAAAGCCCGGATGATACAGATAACTTACTGGGAATGTGTTCAAAATCCAGTTTTATCTGAGGTAAGAGATCTAGGTCAAATGCATATCTTAATCAGCTATAAGTAATGTATCTGTTGTCTTGCACTCTCATGGGACAATCTAAAGTACAAAATTATGAGAATAACTTTTAACCTATATAGTTCCTTTGGAAAAGGTTTGAGAAACAAGTCTCTGAAGCTCAGCCATGAAAAAGATCCAGAGAAGAGGATTAATTTTGGGTAGAGTCAAATAATAAGTTTCTTTGTCCTCCTGGTGCTGTGTTCAATCTCCTGAAAGAGCTCATCACTCATGGCCCGACTATGGTAAGTTCCCAAGAATCCTGAGGGACCTATAGAGACTGGAAAATAGGAAATAGTCTGTAGGCTTCATTACATAGTGATTATGTAAATGAAGATACAGGATGGTCAAAGTGGGTAACCTCAAGAGTTTCTTGAGGATGAATTGTGCAACAGAAGCCAACACTACAGGCATATCTTAGACCATTTACTTCAAAAAGAATCTTTGACAGAAGGAAGCAATGAAATTTTCTAGGAGCTATAGCAGCTGCTATAGGAATAAAACATTTTCTTTTTTGTTTTGTTTTGTTTTTATTTTTGGTTTTTGAGACCTAGTCTTGCTCTGTTGCCCAGGCTGGAGTGCAGTGGCGCAATCTCAGCTCACTGCAAGCTCCGCCTCCCGGGTTCACGCTATTCTCCTGCCTCAGCCTCCCGAGTAGCTTATGGGAATAGAAGCTACTATGACATAGCATTTGTATTAATGAGTAAGCACTTTCTCCATTTTTATAGTAATTTTGGGGTATACTGTAGTCAGTGTTTCTATAGTGAAGAATCAGCCTCTGGAACAATTCAATGAAGTGATTTTCCTAGGTTACTGAGTAGGGTAACAACTCAGTTGGACAGCTTAGCCCTTTCACACCTCTGATGACTCTGATCCAAGCATTTATGGAGAAACACTTGTCTTTCAATGGTGTCTCGGGAAAGAAACAACTACTCATCTTAGCCGGTAACTATGTCATATCAGGATTTAACTGTAATATTTATTAAAATTTCAAGGACCTGAAATACGTACATACATATAAATCTAGATAATGACATGCCAAATTATAGCACAGTCATGATATATAATTTTAGCATGAAAGTACATATTTCATTTATGTACAAATATCTCAAAGATTTGGTACAATAAGCATTAATTAAGAGTTGACTATAAAGATGTCTTCTATATTACTGATATACTAAATATGAACTACTAAATTTTACAAATAATTTGTGAGGCTTTTATTATATTCAGAATACCTTTTGACTTAAAACTGAAATAATATAAATGTTATAAGGACAACAAAATACAGTCATTGCTCTAATGCAATCATGTTCCTGAACACATCTGGACAATTTCATAGAAATATATATATATATATATATATATACACACACACACGCACATATATATATTTCATACATACATGTATATATATACACATACATATATATTTCATTTGTCTTGATTGACATAAAAATCATATATTTTCACAAGATGTAACTATTTTGATGTTGTAATTTTGTGAACCACCTAGTTACTAACTTTTACAGGCAAAATATTTTTCCAATGCTTTAAAAATCATTGTCTAATGAGACTCTTCCTTTACAGAGGCATATTTAAACCTGCAAAGTAATTTGTCCACATTATTGGTAATATGAACATTTTCAAATAGTAAAATAAATTCATATAATTTGCTTGGGTTTCATGCATATGAAATCTAATAAAAATACTTTTATGAATTAAAAAATTTGTTTTTCATATTAAGGTACAATATATACAGATTGACATAGTCAAATGACATTTATAATTCTATGAAAAATTAATAGTTATAGGTAATAAGATATAGACATTGTAGAAATCAAAGATAATAGAATGATGGTCAAATCCATCCAATTTAGATTTCAGACAGAAATTGGGTGGCTATTCTGTTGTATTTATGTGCTTAAAGACTTGCAAAATTTTTTCTTCATCTTTTATACATAAAAATATTATTTTCCTGCATTCATTAAAAATACAGAAGTAATGATTGTTTATATACTTAATGATATCCTTTTAAGTATGTAAGCACAAAAAGATAGGCTTATTTATTTATTTTAAAATAAAAAGAATGACAGTAGGATTGAGACTGCCATTTTTAAGTGAGGGGTTTTTAGTACATATGTGCCAGTTAATAATCCTCCTCACCTAAGAAAAATTTGAGTTACAGATATCTCTAAGAGTTTAAAAAAATACATCTCAGGTACTCTTTTTATATTATCCATTGCATCTCTGAGTTGTGTATATTCTCTTCTATAATATTAATTATTTTTATATATATAATTTTTGGAGATGGTGGTCTTGCTCTGTCGCCCAGGCTGGAGTGCAGTAGTGCGATCTCAGCTCACTGCAACCTCCGCCTCCTGGATTCAAGCGATTCTCCTGCCTTAGCTTCCTGGGTAGCTGGGACTACAGGTACACACCACCACACCCAGCTAATTTTTGTATTTTTAGTAGAGACAGGGTTTCACCATGTTGGCCAGGATGGTCTCCATCTACCGACCTCAAGATCTGCCCATCTCGGCCTCCTGAAGTGCTGGGATTACAGGCAATTTTTTTTTTTTAATAAAATGGAATTTAAGCCTGTAATGTCTTTTTAAGGAATCAAAAGTGGTCATGTGATAAATATGATACATAGATACATAATATATATTTTTTCCAGTTTTAAGAAGTTTTGTTAAGAAGGTTTTAAAAATATTTTAAATGCAACAAGTTTAAAGATAATAAAAGCCACAAGTATTCTAGTTATATGAGATTATTCTTTAGTCAAACAAAACCATCTATATTATAAATCTTGTGAAACAACTTGAGTATCAAAGTACTTCCAGTATGCATTAATTTAATAAGTTTCAAAGTCAGAATTCTAGTCCAACTGAAATATCTGTAGTCACATTATCAGGCTTTTCATAGCTTCACACTTTTAAACAACATTTTAAAAGTTAAATCAACATAATATATCCAAAAATTCAACCAATATCTATTTACAAACATTTACTTAAAACTAATTTTCATCAAATCAATTGTGGTTTTTGTTGGTTTGTTTTTTGAGACAGAGTTTCGCTCTTTGTTGCCCAGGCTGGAGTGCAGTGGTGCGATCTTGGCTCACTGGAACCTCTGCCTCCCAGGTTCAAGGGATTCTCCTGCCTCAGCTTCCCAAGTAACTGGGATTACAGGTGCCCGCCACCATGCCTGGCTAATTTTTGTATTTTTAGTGGAGACAGGGTTTTACCATGCTGGCCAGGCTGGTCATGAACTCCTGACCTCAGGTGATCCACCTGCCTTGGCCTGCCAAAGTGCTGAGATTACAGGTGTGAGCCACCGTGCCCGGCCAAATAAATTGTGTTTTAAATAAAGTTAACATAAATTGACTAGAGTATACTGTGTAAATTATTGTACACATTAATCAAAACTAATATCCATGCATGCTGAATCTCTTAAAATAGTCACTTTATCACCTAATGCAAGTTTTCATATATATATTCGACTGCATTTTGTGATTTTTACCCGCCAATTTTTTTCAAGCCTATATAACTTACACCTTTACAATGGGACAGTTAAACTTCAGATAAAAAAACTGGTAACATTTTCTTTTTTTTAAAAGTATTTTGAATGTGTATCCATTTATTAATATTTACTAAACTTATAACTGAAAACTTTTATTAAAACAGCTAACGTTAGTGGTTTACTATGCATTTTATAAAGGAGAACGTAAGTGTTTGTTAAGTTGAAGATCACTGTGCACACCTTACATTTCAACATTTCAAGATATTCAATCATTCAAATATCCATTAAGTACTTACTGTATGTCTAGCACTATTCTAGGTGTTGCACAATTTAATATGTTTCAATATTTCAACCATATGATATTTTGGTATCTTTTATGCTGTGTGAAACTTTTATATGCTTTTTAGATTATTCAGTCCTTTATAATTTAAATGTTTCCTCCTTCCCAAACGTAGCTATTACTGTTTATAAAGGAGGCACCTATTTTTCCTTTAAATTATATATATATATATATTTTGAAGTTAATGACTAAAATTCACTGCTATTTCCCACCTCTCCCAACCTGCAATCCTTCTCCCAACCTCTGGCACTTGAGCAACAAAGATTAAGGTAATGCTAACCCATGAAAGTTTTTCTTTAAAAAAAAAAATCAAGCATGGACAAAAATCTTCTATCAGAATGGATTGAGTCGTATTCCAGTCCCTAAAGGTGAGAATGGATTCACCTTTGCCCACATCAAAGCATCATTCAAGGAGATAGCAGATTTCCCGTCTTCAAGGAAAAACACAGGGCCCTGCACAGTGAGAGTTGAGGAAAGAGAAGATGAGATTATAAATTTGCAAAGTATTTTTAAACTTTCAGAAAGAGAATCACTGCAATAAAAAAAAACATAATATTTAGGCAAAGCTAATAAAAAAATGAAGACTATGAGAAAATTAGTTTTTTTGAGCTGGACCCAAATATAGAAACATTTTCAAATGTCTTAACATTATGTCATTATACCCTAATATCTGTTAAAATAGAATTGTTTACAATTTAAATTCTTTAAATACAATAGTAATGCCAATGACAAATATGTTTTGTTAATCTGGTAACTGCCACAAAGTTTACCTATTCTATAAAAGCATATATGTCTAGTAATAGGCTTAAATATATTTCACTATTTTACTCATGTAGCCTATGTCGATACAGCTGGGGAAATTATTTAAGCCAGAAACTTTATATGTGCTCTCCAGAAGATGATGAATATTGTTCTATATTGTATATATCGTTTAAAATATGTTTAGCCATGTGATTTTCTTGCTTATTTATAATTTAGTTGCATCAGTTATGATATATGCCAGGGTAGTTATAAAGAACTAAATGTGAAATGTTTTCAGTCTATATTACCTAGCTCTGATAAGGAAAAGCATAATTTCAAAAACACAAGATGCAATACAAATTATGTTTTCTTAATTAGGTTCTAAAGCTGTTGAGTTTGGGGTCTGATTTCAAATGATACAACTTGTTGTTAGCAAATTATTTCTAGATAATGGAAAGCTCATCATAGGAGTATGTAAAGTAGACAGCTCCTATTAGTAGGCACTAGAAATTTCACAATTATAACCCAAACACGTCAACTTTCTGTTGAAACAGAAATATCCTGGCAGAACAGTACTCCATCTATACCAGTCACGTGGGCCTCAGTGTATATGAGATAATTAGTAGCTCTTTTCCTGGATGCAGGTTTGGCTACAGAGAGGTTAGATAGTGTCTTTTAGGTCAAGGTCAGATGGAGAAAAGAAACCTTAAGAAAAGGAGGAAAGAAACCTGAAGGTACCACGTACTAGAAATGGTATACAAAGGGCAGAGAATGGCAATGATGACATACTCCAAATATTTCATAATGTTTCTTGCTCTTTACTAAAAGTTATTTAATTTCCTGACTTGGTTCTCTATTTGTGAGCATAAATGGATAATAAAGGTGTATACAACTATATGTCCTGTCTTTTGGAAGATACTGGTTATGTTTTGAGACTAAACTAGCTTGCAGTGGCAAGCTAAGCTACAGTTAAGGTTTACATCAGTATCCAGCTACTTCATTTATTTTGGGTGGCTATGACAAAACCTGCCTTCTTCATTGGGCTAGCATGGAAGCATTAGAAATGTGACTTTTCACATTACATTAGAAATACATAAGAATCTGCTCAATAAGCTGTGTATATTATTGGGAGGTGGGATCTTTTTTTTTTTTTTTTTTTTTTTTTTTTTTTTTTTTTTTTTTTTTTGAGACGGAGTTTCACTCTTGTTGCCCAGGCTGGAGTGCAATGGCTCGATCTCGGCTCACCAAAACCTCCTGGTTTAAACTTTCATGCAGGTATACATATTACATGAATTGCTTCTGTGGTAAGAGTCAGTACAATGCTTGTATTTGAATTTATTTTAGGCAGAAAGAGGCCACTTGTACTAACTATGGAAGCACTAGAGGTAATATTTCCTTACTGGACCCCAGTCCTAAATTACCTACTTTTATCCAAATTAGGCTTATTTTAAGATATTTCAAAAAGTAAACATGTAAAATGGTGAAATACACATGTTATGTCTGATGTTAGGCTTTACCTGGATTTTTAATCCCGTAAGACAAGAAATGTGAATATCAGAATGACTTGGAAGATTTGATCCAGTCACATAATCTGGTCCAATAATTCCTTTCAGTGACTCTTCTTTTAGTCTCTTTAATAAAGTTGCATAAATCATTCTTTGTGAATCAGAAGGGGGTGTATACGGAGAGTCTTCTAATGATCTATATTTTCAACAGATATCAAAATTTCATTTTGTCGAATCACAGAATTTTTGATGTTTAGATTAGAAATTATCCCTGATGATTATTTAGTTCCCCTTTATTGATGGAGACAAATCCCTTTAGACTTAATTTATAGTAAAACAAAGGACTACATGGCAGAAAAGTACGGTATTGTAAATTATTACTGCATATATGCCAAACAAATCAAGATTCATTATTCTGCTAAAATTAATGAGACCACACATACTTCCAACAAGTTTGTCTATAACATCAAATACCTTCTGCATTCCAATTTTTATATCATATTTGCTCACCTGTTGGTGGACTGTGTGCAAGCTCTCCATGCATCCAATTCCTCAGAAAGATATTCAATTTTTAAAGGTACTGACACCTCCCGACGTTTTAATAGCTGACTGAACGTGTGAAAAGGAAATTAACATCTGATACCAAAAACTAAGATATCAGAAAAAGCAAACAAACTTTAAATGTGATTTTAGATTTATATATTTCTGTATACAGACATTATACGTTATATATAATATACATATAGAATATTTTCTAGTATATGCGTATATATGCTCACCTGTATATTTAGCACAGTCCCTGGCAAGTCAAAGTTATTCAATAAACATTGGGTGGATGAGTAAATGAGTGAGTGGATAAATAAATGAACTGCATAATGTATGAAGAATGGTTGGACAAGTTAAGTGATGTTAAATAATAGCCACAGTGAGAGAGAACACTTAACCATGACCCTGATCATTTAATCTTGAATGACAGAAAGAGAACACGGGAGAAGGAGATTTGAGAAGAAAGATGATTTGAATTCTGAGCATACTGACTTTAGGCTGGAGTTTAGCAAGCTGCTGAATATACACATAGGAGTTTGAAGAGTACGCTATGCCTGAATATAAGACACTGAGTTACCTCCATAGAGGTGATAGGTGAAGCTGAAAAGTGGTGAGGTTTCTGAAGGACACCGTATAGAAAGGAGACGGGAGGGAGTGGAGCCGTGGGAGGAGAGTGGGATGGAGAGGAGGAAAAAGGGAAGCAGAGGACGAGAGAATGAAACTTTGGGGACTCACATATTTAGTGGGTCAAGAAAATAATTATAAGCAGCAAGACAACAAAGATGGAACTGTCAGAGACGATACATTCTTTAATATTAGGAAATTATCAATTTCTCTTTCTAAGCTAACACATTCCCTAAACTTAGTCACATTCTCTCAAGTCTCTCCTGCCCTTGCAAATAAAAACCGTTCTTTTTCTTTTTGATATTAATTTAATGCTTAATTAAGAATTTTTCTCTTTACTTTTATCATTATATATAGCTGAACATATTAAACATTATTTTACATCTATGTGATATATCCTACTGCTCCTATAATATCTTTT
Source organism: Homo sapiens (assembly GCF_000001405.40). Lineage (NCBI taxonomy): Eukaryota > Metazoa > Chordata > Mammalia > Primates > Hominidae > Homo > Homo sapiens. The sequence continues at coordinate 176,176,075 of NC_000004.12, read as the reverse complement.
AATACTGTTAAATGTTGCTTTCCAATTTTGGTTATGCTACCTATGTAGAAAGAGATTTTTCCCTGAGCATGCTGATAGTATTAATTCCATATTATTCCTTATTTGTACTAGGTGACAGCTAGTGCTTCACCTACGCAATAGGGAGAAGTTAGGAATGAGAAAACCTGTTTCTCTTAGAATCCTCTGCCACATATGAACTCAGAAAAACTGCTTAACCGGCCGGGCATGGTGGCTCACGCCTGTAATCCCAGCACTTTGGGAGGCCGAGGCAGGCAGATCACGAGGTCAGGAGATCGAGACCATCCTGGCTAACATGGTGAAACCCCGTCTCTACTAGAAAAATACAAAAAATTAGCCGGGCGTGGTGGCGGGCACCTGTAGTCCCAGCTACTCGGGAGGCTGAGGCAGGAGAATGGTGTGAACTTGGGAGGCGGAGGTTGCAGTGGGCTGAGATTGTGCCACTGCACTCCAGCCTGGGAGACAGAGAGAGACTCCATCTCAAAAACAAACAAACAAACAAACAAACAAACAAACAAATAAAAGACTGCTTAACCACGGACCCTCTGCATTTGTTAAAATGGTTACCTACTAAGCCATTTAGCTAACTACTAGACTTGGAAGAAGGTTTTTATGGAAGGCACCGTGAATTTTATTTTATAGTATAAGAAGTTTTAAGTACAAGGGCTGAAGTTAAACAAGTTGTTATAAAATGTAGGAGTATGGCTAACAGGTTATGCCTGAATATAAAATATTAAAATAGTAACCTGCTACTTACAAACTCCCTTTACTCTGCCTTTTCTGCTGTAGAGATTGAAAAGCTAAAATATTCAGTTTCCTATTTTCTTTTAGTGAGATGTGGGCATAAAACCCTAAGGAGGACTTTCCTTCCTGAATAAAATGGTCTTGCCAGGAGAAAGTCCTTTGTGGTCTCTTTCACTCTTACCTCTTTCCTACTCAGAATGTAGTCGTAATTCATGGAGGGCTAGCATCTATCTTCTAACCATGGGATACTCAAGCAAGAGGAAATAATCCAAAAAATGTCATAGTGGAAAGAAGGGAGTATCAGGTCCTTGAAGAAATCACTGCACGGCAGTAAAAGCCTTAGAAAGCCTGTCTCAAGTGTCTTGACATGAAAGATCAATAAATCCTAGGAGTTTAAGCTAGTATTCAAATTATTATTATTTACAGCCCAATGCATCCCTAATTTATGTGCTGCTTTATTATAAAGCACACGCTGAGTAAATAGATGGATACTTGTAATAATATATTTGATACTTTGTATAATCCACTTAGAGACTATCCATCTTAGCAAGAGAAATTGCTCTAATGTCATGATGGAGGAAAAAACCTTTTTTACCTTGTGTACTCATAAAGTGCTGGAACAATGCTTTGGTACTGTCTTCTGATAGCCAGTAATGCACCAATGTAACCACATAATATCAGCAACTCATTTCGAGCTCTAAAAGAGAATATATTTATTTTTATAAATTCCACAATTTGAGGCATAGAACATTACTCTGATACACAGTTCATGTACTTTATATATTCTGAAAGGTGACATTTATAGCAATATATGTTTAGAAAATTTTCTAAACTTAAGGAAAATTATTCACCAGTTCTTAATTCCTATTCAGATATTTATGCTATACCATCAATTAGACTATAAAATAAGCATATTTAAATAGTATTTCACTGTTGCCTGCTTGTTGTTCTGTATTTCCTGGCTGTTTCTTCATGTAATTTATCCCTAAATAGCTCCTTTGGTCAGGTGGAGGGAGTCCTGGAATACCGTGTAGACTCACAGTAAAGAACGTCTTCTGCATTCTTGCTGAGGGAGTTAGCCAGTCTCCCAGGCTGCTGCATCATTTTTTCCATTTAGGCTTTAAAACAAAAAGAGCCCAAAGCCTCTCTTGTAAATTATACAAGAGTCTCTGAGGGCTTTAGTTATATAGATAATAATGTCTTTTAATAGTACCTGAATCCAGGGATGATGTCTATTTTGTACTTTCCAGCAATTTTACTTCTTTCCCACAAGCTCAGTATGGTGCTTTGCATACAATGGATAATTAACAAATATGACCATGAGTTTCTTAAGGACTTGAGATCCAAAAGCTTTGAACTTGCTTTCTTTAAACCAGGTGTGCATGTGTGTGTACATATATAAACATACACATACTAGATATTATTAAGTGGGACCACTAATATTTAATACTCTGTTTCAAGTTGACCTCTACATTTTTTTTCTTAAAAACATAACAAACGGCCAGGCGCAGTGGCTCATGCCTGTAATCCCAGCACTTTGGGAGGCCGAGGTGGGTGGATCACGAGGTCAGGAGATCGAGACCATCCTGGCCAACATGGTAAAACCCCGTCTCTACTAAAAATACAAAAATTAGCCAGGCATGGTGGCGGGCGCCTGTAGTACCAGCTACGCGGGAGGCTGAGGCAGGAGAATGGTGTGAACCCAGGAGGCGGAGCTTGCAGTGAGCTGAGATCACGCCACTGCACTCCAGCCTGGGCGACAGAGCAAGACCTCATCTCAAAACAAAGAAAAAAAATATATAACAAACAAAAATATAATATTTCTACAAGTGTAGCTACCTGTCCAAGATAATCCTATTTCCCGATCTGAATACCAAAAACAATGGAGCCACTTTAAAATTATCAAATAGATTCACTTATATATTTTGCAGAAAAAATACTCACTCAGTACACGTATGCAAGAGTAATTTTTCAGTACGAATATAGCTCAGTAGGTCAAGAACAGGGTATATGGTATCCAAAGTCCAGTCTGAGCTACTGATGTATTCTGGAAAAATTAAACCAGATGGAAGATTCATTAAATAACAGTCTCAAAATTTATTCATCCATTTTTAACTTATATAATTAATTTTCTGTCAGTCAGTCCTACTTACCTCTTTATTTTCTAGATCACAAGTATTTTCCTATTTATCCTCTCTCAGGTCCCCATACCATAAAATCAGAAGAGATGCCATATTTCACATCAGCATCACTCTCCTTTTTAAATTTAGGATGACTAGTTCTTGATTTTAAGTTGATCATTGATATAGTTTGGATGTTCGTTCTCTCTAGAGCTCATGTTGAAATGTAATCCCCAATGTTGGAGTAGGGAGGTGTTTGGATTATGGAGGTGGATTCCTCATGAATGGCTTAGTGCAATCCCCTTGGTGATGAGTGAATTCTTGTTCTGAGTCCACACGAGATCTGAGTGTTTAAGAGCGTGGCACCTCCCTTCCTCTCTCTCTTCATCCCTTCTCTCTGCCCCTGCTCTCACCAAGTGATATGCCTGCTCCTGCACCACCTTCTGCCATGACTAAAAGTTTCCTGAGGCCTCACCTGAAGCTGAGCAGATACCAGTGCCATGCTTCCGGTACAGCCTGCAGAACCATGAGCCAATAAATCTACTTTCTTTATAAATTACCCAGCCTCAGGTATTTCTTTATAGCAATGCAAAAATGAATTAAAACAATCATCAGTATGAAAACAACGATCAAATAAATGAGTATATTTAAAATTCTACTACCAACTAATTACTTACCTTTAACAAAGCTAATACCAATAGGAAGGGCTTTTTCAGGTTCTTGACTTAACAAGTAATATTTTACAGTTTCAAATATATTGTCATCTGCACGGGCTGTCTCAGCTAACTGCATACATTCTTCCACTGTGGGTAGCTTACACTAGAAAATAATTGATTTGAAAACAATGTTACTAAAATTCAAACGGATAAAAGCAATAGTGTAAGTACAAAATACTTTCAGCTTTCCTAGTATGGTTTTCTTATTAAAGTTATCTAAAATAGATGTAAATGAAATTATTTGAATTAAGAGAATATATTTATGGAAATACCTTTAAGATCTAAAAACAGTAAGAGGGGATATTAGTTAATGAGTTAGTAGTTTTCCATCACACAAATACCTAATAAAAGAAATAGAAGTAAATTGTCCTGATTGTGATACTGGAGTTAGTACCCAAAAATGCCATTTAGCACCCAAATGATGAAATTAATTATGTTAGAAAAAATATACTGACCATAACGGCGCAAAAACGACATTAAATGCACCAAACATAAAGGGTGTGCATTATTCCATGTCCTCTACGCTGTAATTTAACGTCACTTGGCTTTTGAAACAAAGCAACCTTATTTCAGAGACACAAAAAATGTAGAAGCTCTAAAAGTTTTTAGCTTTGACATTTTGAAATGCCATGAAATGGAGATTTTTTCATCCATGAAATTTCATTACTATAAAATAAAAAGCCACATTCCTCATTAAAAAAAAATCTTTTTCTGTTAAAACTGAGAGTCTGATCCTCTCTCAAGTAAGTTGGTCTGCTTCCTTATAATGTATTAAGCATTAAGTTACCTTTTATATCAAATTCTGATGTGTTTATAATTGTTGAAGCTTAAACGTTCAAGTTTGTTGCTAAACAATGTGGATAAAATAGTTTCATGGTTTGTTTCAATTTATTTATTAATACATTCATTTAATCATTTCAAATTTCTTATTTAAAAATTAGGTAAAATGAACATTTTACATCTCAATCTCTCTCTCAAACAAATTACAACAAACTGAATTAACGGGGCTCTCATATATATAACGTTTGATATTGTTTCCCCATCCTTATTCATGAAATGCCAGTTATTTACAAAGCAACTACTATAGGGTAGGTACTGTGCTTGGCTAGATAGAGACATAGGTTCTTCACCTTGATATATGCTCATGGCATAGAGGAAATAAGAAATCACTCCCATTTAAATATCGTTTTTAAATAGACTATAAGAAGAAGAAAAAGATGATCATCCTTGTAATTTTTATCCTATTTTAAAATTCTAAAAGTTATATAAGTACCTCATATGTGAATATATAGTTTTTAGTGTTACAGACAGTCCCCAACTTATGTTTTGACTTTATGGTAGTGTAAAAGCAACATGCATTCAGTAGAAACTGTACTGTGAGTACCCACACCACCATTCTGTTTTTCACTTTTTGTACAGTATTCATTAAATTACATGAGATATTATTATGAAATAGGCTTTGTGTTAGATGACTTTGTCCAACTGTAGCCTAATGTAAGTGTTCTGAGCACGTTTAAGGAAGGCTAGGTTAAGCTATGATGTTTGGTAGGTCAGGTGTGTTAAACGTATTTTTGACGTAGAATATTTTTGACTTATGATAGATTTACCCATTGTAACCCCATGGTAAGTCGAGGAGCATCTGTACTTGTGAAATTGTTCAGTTATTAACACTTTTACACATACTCACTAGTCTTTCTAAAAAGATATTAATGAAGTCTGAACAGAAAGTCTAATTATATCCTTTTAGAATGTGTGATGAAAAGACGAGGTGAATAATATTCTAGCCCTATCATTAAAAGCGGTCTTAGCTAACTGCCTATATTCTTCTACTGTGTGTAGCTTGCACTAGAAAATAATTGATTTGGCCAGGCGTGGTGGCTCATGCCTGTAATGCCAACACTTTGGGAGGCTGAGGCGGGTGGATCACCTGAGGTCAGGAGTTTGAGACTAGGCTGACCAACATGGTGAAACCCTGTCTCTACTAAGAATACAAAATTAGCTGGGTGTGATGGTGCATGCCTGTAATCCCAGCTACTTGGGAGGGTGGGGCAGGAGAATCGCTTGAACCCAGCAGGCAGAGGTTGCACTGATCTGAGCTCGTGCCATTGCACTCCAGCCTGGGCAACAAGAGTGAAATTCCATGTCAAAAAAAAAAAAAAAAGAAAAAAGAAAAAATAATTGATTTGACAACAATGTTAGTAAAGTTTATAGGAATAAAAAAATAGTACATATACTAAATTTTTCCTATTACTAGTGTGGTTTTCTTATTAAAGTTGTCCTAAATGATATAAATAAAATTATTTGAATTAAGAGCATATATTTATGGAAATATCTTTAAAATCTGAAAATAATAAGTGAGGTCATTAGTTTAAGTCTTAAAGCTTAGACAAGCCATTTAGCCTCTCTGAGTCTTGATATTAACATCTGCACCTTCTGCCTCAGAGGATAGCTGTTAGTGTACATTCAAACACTACCAGTTAATGTATAATTAAAAAACTCCTACTTTCTTTCATATGCATTTTAATTTCAATGTAAAATAGCTTTTAGTTGTCATGTTAAAAAAACAAAGCACAGCTTTTAAAAAAAATAATTCACAGACTACAAGGTGTATAAAGTAGTTAAAATATCCCATCATCTCACAACCCACTGGTAATTTCGGACATTTATCCTTTCACAAGTATTTTCCGCGTCTCAACACAAACACATTCACATACACATATCCACCCACACGTTGTCATTCACACACACTTTTGGCCAATCTGTATTAATACAATACTCAGAAAATATCTGTTGCTTAATGAATAGGGATACTCACCCACTAGGGATAAAAAAATCACGGTTCAAATAAGTGAAAAACTTCATTATTTTAGAAGTTCAAGATGAGAAAATATTGTACTTATATCTTATCATTTTCTTAAAAGAAACTGTATCTTCCTAAATATGCTATAAACATAAATAAATACATACATTCACATTTATTTTCAAACCAAAATCATATGGCATATGCATAGTTTTGTGATCTGCTTTCTATTTAACTGTTTCATAGCCATGTATCATGCCAATAAAAATAGAGCTTCATGATTTTTAATGGATTAATAGCACTGAAATATAGAAAAGTACTGTAATTTAATATAAATAATCTTCCTATTGAACATTTTGGTTGTTTTTGTATATAATATTGATGCATAGATTCCTATATTCTGCAGATGAGTATTTTTAAAGCACTTTGGAAAAATGCATGTAAATTTCATTATATTTCATTAATTCTTTTAAGGATTCTAAGTTGTCTATTTTAAAAATTTATCCTACAACATACTTCAGTATGCAAAGTGTACAGTGGAAAACACTTGGGATTTGGAGTTAGACTTGCTGAAGTTGAAATTCTCACTCCACCGCTAACTAATTTGGGCAAATTCCTTACCTTCTCTGAGTTTTCTTTGTATAATTATCCCATGCTTTTCAAAGTTTTATGAGAATGAAGATACAAATACATGTAAAGATTTAGAAGAGTGCCAAGCACATAGCAGTTCAGTAAATGTTACTTCCTATTGTACAACACTTTTGTTGTACTTGTAGGTACCCCAAAGGGACCACACATTTGTTTCTCTGCATGCATCTCTATTTGCTTGAACCTACAATTAATTAAATCATAGCACTGCATTCCAAACCAGAATATTTAACATCATCAGCATACCTTATCATGAAGGTCATTTATCTCTTCAGTACATCCTGGGTAGAAAGCACAGAGTTTTATTAAATGTAGTTCATTATCAGGAATCATCAGAAGAAGATCAGCTGCCAAATTCCTGTTAACGTAACAAAAGGGGACACTTCATTGAGGAGAAGATTTAAAAATAACATTCATAACTATCTCAAAGAAGGGCAATTCATATAATATACCACTCTTGCTTTTTAATTTACACAAACAGTATTAATAGCCTACTTAATTATGAAACTACTGTAAATGCAGATTACCCAAACCAAAGGTCATGAACAACAAATGTATTTATAAATTCCTAAATATTAAAAACTAAACTTTACATACATGAGTCTTAACATACTTATAATTAATTTTATCATTACAGAACAATTCTCTAATCTAAGTAGTTTTGAATATGTTCTTTGGAGTGAATTATAAAGCAAACATTGTGAAAGTTAACTCTCGTCAACTTTTGTTATGCTTGTCAAAATTGATAAATTGTATCAGCCAGATCAGTGAAACCAGTAGAATATTGAGTTAAGTTCATAATTTTGGGTATCCCACATATTTCTTACATGATAAGTGGAAATTAAAGATAGTTTTCTTATTTCCCTTTTTTTTTCTTTTGAGGCATAGTCTCATTCCCTCTGTCGCCCAGGCTGGAGTGCAGTGGTGCAATCTCAGCTCACTGCAACCTTTGCCTCCTGGGTTCAAGCAATTTTTGTGCCTCAGCCTCCTGAGTAGCTGGGATTACAGGCACGTGCCACCATGCCCGGGCAATTTTTGTATTTTTAGTAGAGACAGGGTTTCACCATGTTGGCCAGGCTGATCTCAAACTCCTGGCTTCAAGTGATCCACCCACCTTGGCCTCCCGAAGTGTTGGGATTACAGGCATGAGCCACCGAGACCGGCCTATTTACTTATTAAAGATCCAATCAGTGGACTAAAGCAACTGAGGGTTTTAAAAATATAAAATGGTATGTACTTAGAAGATTTATATTAAAATATTTTCTGTAAAATCCTCTTCAAATCACTAGGTGAGGAGTAAATGGATGCATACATCATAACTGAGAAAACACTTAACTTTCAATAATTCAAGATATTGTTTTTTTTTTTTTTTTTTTTTTTTTTTTGAGACGGAGTCTCGCTGTCGCCCAGGCTGGAGTGCAGTGGCGCAATCTCGGCTCACTGCAGGCTCCGCCCCCTGGGGTTCACGCCATTCTCCTGCCTCAGCCTCCCGAGTAGCTGGGACTACAGGCGCCCGCCACCTCGCCCGGCTAATTTTTTGTATTTTTAGTAGAGACGGGGTTTCACCGTGTTAGCCAGGATGGTCTCGATCTCCTGACCTCGTGATCCGCCCGCCTCGGCCTCCCAAAGTGCTGGGATTACAGGCGTGAGCCACCGCGCCCGGCCAAGATATTGTTTTTAAAAAATTGATATATAGCCATACAGAAGAGGTGACATTAGAATAGGAGATATTTCACATAAGAATTTATAAAGCTGTGTGCTGGGGCCTCTGGGAGTAAAACCCTACACTTCATCTTCTTTGTGAAAACGTCAGTAAAATCTACATTAGTCATTTAAGTAAATCAATTCTTTTTTAAAACTTAAGAGGTGCTTAATTAAGAATATAATGAATATAGAATAGGAATAAAGACAATTGGCAAGCTCTGGTGTGAAATCCAAAGTTTTACTAAAAGTAAAAAATACACACACGTCACAAACTATCAGGACAGTAACATTTTCAATTAGGCTTACTTTAATGTTTTTAGAATAAGAAAAACTTTAGTGAAGTTTTTTACATAAAATATTTTGATAACTCATCATTTTACTAATAAATAGTTTTCTAGATAATGTCAAAAGAGAATTGATAAAAGATTACAATAATTTTTCATATTATTTTCCTCTAGCCATTAAAAATTACACATAATATCTTTCCAAACTGCCACATTTTCTATTACATTGGGCAGGTTCCAAGTTAGAGTAGTTTAGCTGTTCATGCTAAAATGCATGAATGATGTCATGTGTTTCCTCTTATCAAAATTTCATAGTTTTAAATAACGTCCATGAAAATATAGAAATTATCATTTGTTTTTACTGTGTATAAAATAGCTGTGCTAAAATTCTATTCAAACTTCATTGAACTATAGACAAAATTTGACTTTCTTAATGTAGAATTACATCTTCATACAGTGAAATTTTAGCAAGGCCAGCTAATTTCCTTCAATGTTAATCAAATTCACTCTTTTTTGAGAGTTCAGTACACAAATGGGGAAAAATGTACATATAAAAATGATATAGACCAATTGAATGATCTAAAATATAAAATTTCACTATCAGAAGAGATATTTCATTCTGCTTAGCTGAGTTAGCTATTATTTGGTATTGCAGGAAATCACAGTTCATTTATTGTACAACTTTTAAGTATAAAATCATGAGTGATTATAGGAACTTTTCTCATTACTTTGTAGTCAGGTTTCATGTGCTATAAATTACACGTGAATTGGCATACCATAAAATAATGTGAAAATAGTTGATAAATATTTCTTAATACAGAGATAGTATTCAAATAATAAAATAAAGGAGTATATACATTTTAAAGGAATGTGTTCTTAAATAAAAGTAGATAATACCTGTATCCAACACATGGAAAGCTAAAGGAAAATATTAAATATGAATACCATGATTATACGATGAATACCACAAAGAAACAGACTTTTACAGTAAATGTAAAAAAAGCGCTGTTTATAGCTTAAAAATTATGCACATCTTTATAAATGATGTAGCTATCTTTTAAAAAATCTGTGCAGCTCTACTAATAGCCAGGAGGATTACAGCTTTCTCCTGAAAGTAAAGCTAATCAGCACCACATTTAAACTGTTTCCTAGTTTCTGTTACACATATCTATGGATATATTAAAAAAGAATTGTTGGGATGGGGGCGTTACAAGGAAGAAGTTTGTTTTTTCTTAAAAGTAATTAAGACATATAGTTAACTGAAAAATGTTTAATCATATTATGTAACATACTATGTTATGAGTTTGAACTGCTCAGTAGGAAGCAGATGTAGATAAAGACCTTTATGATGACCCACTTCCACTTAATGCATAGTAAATTGATTTCTCTTCCTTACGATTTTCTTAATAACATTTTCTATTCTCCAGTTTACTTTATTGTAAGAATACAGTATATAATACATAAAGGATACAAAATATCTGTTAATTGACTGTTAATGTTATCAGTAAGGCTTCCAGTCAAGAGTAGGCTATTAGTAGTTAAGTTTTGAGGGAGTTAGAAGATATAGATGGATTTTGGACTGCTTGGGGGGTTGGCACCCCTAACCCTCATATTGTTCAAGGGTCAACTGTATACTGTATTTCTCTTTTGCTGCCAAATTTTTTTTTTCCTTGAGACGAAGTTTCACTCTTGTTGCCCAGGCTGGAGTGCAGTGGCATGATCTTGGCTGACTGCAACCTCCATCGCCTGAGTTCAAGTGATTCTCCTGCCTCAGACTCCCAAGTAGATGGTATTACAGGTGCCTGCCACCATGCCTGGCTAATTTTTTTATTTTTTATTTTTGTATTTTTAGTAATGGGTTTTTTTTTTTTTTGTATTTTAGAGATGGGGTTTCACCATGTTGGCCAGGCTGGTCTTGAACTCCTGACCTCAGGTGATCCACCCACCTTGGCCTCACAAAGTGCTGGGATTACAGGCGTGAGCCACTGTGCTTGGCCCTTTTACTGCTTTTTACCTTCACTTTTTAAAAACAAATCCCCTTTCATCTGATGATGACTTTTAGCATGAAATCAGCCACCTTCATGAATAAATAATTTCAATTAGGCTTCATGCTTTGAGACGAAGGCAAGTCCCTAGGTAATTGACTATTATAGCTCTTGATAGAGAGATAACTAGATACTCTCAGAGGAGAGTCACCATTAAGTACACTGAAGTCTGAAACTGATGGTAGGGTACTACTACATTTTAGTGGGGGAAGGGAGCTCTTACATTACTGTAAGATATATGTAAAAATTAAAACAACTTTGAAATTCCTGATTCACTATAAAACCTTCAGATTCAGACAAAAAAGAAGAATGTAAGTGTTGTTCTTTTCCCGAGTTGGCTGCAGATAAGAAAGTGGTACAGGTTGGGTATCCCTCATCTGAAACGCTTGGGACCAAAGGTGTTTCAGATTTCAGACTTTTTTGGATTTTAGAATATTTGCATATACATAATAAGATATCTAAGGGATGGGACCCAAGTCTAAATACAAAATGTATTTATGTTTCATATACACCTTATCCACACAGCCTGAAGGTAATTTATAGAATATTTTTAATAATTTGTGCATTAAACAAATTTTTGTGTTAAGTACTTTCATGTGGAATTTTCCACTTATGATTGTCAGGTCAACACCTGAAAGGTTTTGGATATTGGAGCATTTTGGATTTTGGATTTTTGGATTAGGGATGCTCACCCCAAGTAGTCTGACAGCTAAGAATGCAAACTTCAGAGCTGATTTATGTAGCTTTGAATCTTGGCTCTACCACTTACTGCGACCTCAGGAAAATTAAAACCTACCACATAGAACCTAGTGAATTTTTACATATAAAGTACTTAAAATCGTGCTTGGCACAGAGTAAACAGTATAGAAGTGTTAATTAGTATTTATTATTATCATTACCACCTGTGGTGTTCAATAGTTATAGTCATCTGTATAGCTCCACCTCCAGGGTGGTGTGTGTGTGCATGGGACTTGCAATGGGGAAAGGTCATAGTCCTGATAAACAAATTCATTTAGAAACTTCTTGAGATCCTAAGTATTTGAGAGAAAGAAAAGATAAAAATCTAAAATAATCTTTATTCAATAAACATCTAAGGAATGACGGAATCCCATATTTCCTAATAGAGCCTCCATAATAATGGATTGTTTGACTTAAGGCCAGGGCTCTGCAGATATGAGCTGGAATTGCTTTGCCCTGGATTTCCGGGCTACCCCAGGTAATTCCCAGGGTCTCTTTCTTTGGGTATTGCCAGAGTCTGGGGGAGGTGTCCTGTTTCAAGTGTCCAGCAAAACCATTTTTTGTTGTTGCTTTATATAAGTGACTTTATTGTACAAATTTAAAATAGGACACAAGATCTGACAAGAAAAAAGTGTAGATATGCGGAATTTTAACATGTGGGAATATGTGTTCTGATCATCTTAAGAAGAGCACATTTGTTGTCTCATGATACTTTAAGTGCTTGAAACACTACGGAATTACAACTGGGCTACTTCAGAATGGATCATGGCAAATTTCATTATACAACCATGATAGTTCTCATCATTATGACATTGTTATATCATTATTTCCTTCCACAATCTTATCCTTTATAAACAAGGTGATCCTATATTCTCCCAATGCATATCTTATCAAATGGAATTTATAATGTTTTAAAAATGTATTCCATCACTATGAAATTATTCTTTGAATTTCAAAATTCTTACCATACTGAAATCATCATGCACTTTCTCGCCAGTAATTCTAAGGCATAGTGGGTTGCTGGTGCTGCAGACTCTCCTAGTACTGTGCCCACACAGACTGCCAACTCCAGTTCATTTCCGCGAATCAGGTATGCCATAGCAAGCTTGCTCAATAAGAAAATAATTTCTTCAGTTGCATAGAAGCTGGGTAGGATCATCATTCCCCTCCAAGCTCATAAAGCAGATAAAGCAGTATTAACCTATAAATCAATTATTCTTATAAAATATTGACTGTAATATTCCTATAAAGTAGCTATGTAAGCGTAATTGCAATTTTCAGAGGGAAAAGTTATTAATGAGACATACAGAAATTTTTTTTAGGTCAGAATTGAAGAGTTTAGAACCCTTGGTTCTATTTTTGTAATTAATTAATAACACTCTATGATATTCTCAATATGTCCTTCAATCTCCATATCAGAAAAAAATGTAAATTTTTAAGAGCTTCTTTAAGATTATATAGTTATCTATCATTTCCTAAAGCAAATATATCTAAAGATAAATGCACAATAGAATCTGTATCTTTAATTAACATTTTCCTTATTAAATTAATGACTCAAGTGGAAAGTACCTTAAAAATATAACTTGTGAATAATATACTGAAAAATAAGTGCTTTCATTTGTATTTTTTCTTATAATCCTAACAAATATATGTGAAATAGGTAAGGGAGGTATTCATATTTTCATTTTAGAATTGAAGACATTTGAGATTCTGAGGGTTAAATGACGTGCCCAAAGTCAGTATGTGTGAGAAAAGACTCAGATATTTTGTGTCTACGTCCAGTGATTCTTCCCTTTACTACACTGGCGCTTCTCATCTATGTTGAAATGTTTAAAACAAGGTTGTTATAAATATGTGTCTTGTGGTAGAAATAAAAGAAAACAAGAGCTCATAGTCTATGTGTGCTTAAAACAAGAGCTCATAGTTTATGTGTGCTAATTAGGAATGTAATTACTTAATTACTCAGGCTTCGAAGACATGCAAAACCAGATCTCACATAGAAAGTCACCATATCTTTTCCTCTCAAACACCATGACATATCTAAAAAACTTTTCATTCACATAAACCAGTTTTAAATGTCGTACCTCAATATTATCTATGGCAAGATGGCAACATGCGGCTAGTACTGCTCGACCATCTTGAAAATACCATTCTGCCAGTTCTTTACTGACTTTGTGCAGGAGTCTAGAAAGAAAAAAATGTGTATTCTATATAAACACAAGTATTCCATTATAAAAGCAAACTAATACTTTTTAAAAGGTATGATAAAAAGACCAAATAAAATTTAATTTGACATGCTTGCTTTAAAGACTTGTTTTTGGAAAAAATAAATCAGGAAAGTGGTCTTTACAAGTATACGGTCTGATAAGCCTCTATCTCCCTCTATCCCCACAACTGTCAGAAAAGAAGCCTGATTTTAAAAGCTTACCATTCTGCATTGGACAATTTATGATTCAGCCACAGGGGAAGTTAAGCGTAGAAGAATTACAGGTCAAATTGAAATTTTGAGAAATTTATGTGGTATCCAAAATACAGCTAGCATGTGTTAGCTTTTTAAAATGTCAAATTTAGAAATGGCAGAGAATGGCAGTAAAGATCCAGGCAAGAATACATTATTCCCAACACATTATTTGCTTAACATTTCATGATCCTCTTCTACTTGATGAGTGTCTTAAAAGTTTAAATATCCTATTTTCTAGCTTAATAATAGGAGCAAATAGAAAGGATGGGGGAAGGCAGACTACTGGATTAAAAAAAGGTTAGAAGGCTGAAAAATTCTCATTTCCATTTCTTTTTTAAAATAACTATCAGGATTTCTTCTTTAAAAGAGGACCAAACATTATTCTAGATACCAATACTGGGGTCATGGGATTATAAACTACGTTACTGTGAACTTACATACACTAACTTTAGAGTAAAACATTAATAAGCAGTCTATCTTATTTTCATCATTGGTCCTCTCCAATAGGTTTGATTAGTTTCTAAGTGTTTAGGTGCCTTACTTTCAATCTCTCTAGTAAAATGCATTTTGCTTTTCTGAAAGCTATATAAAATGTGTATAAACAGAGTCTCCATGCCTGAAATTTCCCTGTTCATCTAGGAGTAAATGCTGTATGGAACTGGATCATGGTGAGGAATGCGGTTGAGGCAGTCAAGTCATCAGTATACAAAGAAGGATGAATTATAGAGACTTCAAAAATTCCTAAAGGGAAGACAACCATAAAACATATGGACCCAGAGCAAATAAATCACTCACTCATTAAAGTCTTCCTTGTAGATATCATCAGAATATGAAGCTCCTTTAGGCACGGAAACATGTAAGGGCTGCATATTTCCTTCACAAGCAGCCTAGAATTTAATTAAATGTTGAATTATTCTTTAGCTAATTGTTGATAATTGACACATTTCAGAATATGATTTTGAGCAAAGTATACTTAAATAATGTTTGAAATTTATACTATAATTTGGAGATAATCTTAGAATTTGAGGAGAAATGAGATGTTAATTGTGTGTAGCAAAAAAAGCTTCAAGTGAATTATTACTAAGTTGTTCAAATGCATGGTGTATAACATTCAGCAGCATGTGTAAAGTTTAGAGTTCAGAGATGCTTGTATGTTTAAAGATCTAAAATAAGTTCGGCTGTGTGTGGTGGCTCATGCCTGTAATCCCAGAACTTTGGGAGGTTGAGGCGGGAGGATCACCTGAGGTCAGGAGTTTGAGACCAGCCTGGCCAACATGGTGAAACCCCATCTCCACTACAAATACAAATATTAGCTGGGCATGGTGGCGGGTGCCTGTAATCCCAGCTACTCGGGAGGCTGAGGCAGGAGAATCACTTAAACCTGGGAGGTGGAGGTTGTGGTGAGCTGAGATCGTGCCATTGCACTCCAGCCTGGGTGACAGAGCAAGACTCCATCTCAAAAAAATAAATAAATAATAAAATAAAATAAGTGCGCTGTGACCAGAAAATAGTATGTTCTCAAATGTTGAGAAAGAAGGCCAGGGAGGAGGGCAGAAGCCAAGCCCTTTATGACTTTGTCAATTATGTAAGGGTGAGCCAGTCAACACAACCTTCTCCCTTCTACATGCTCAAGCATTCATGTATGTGACTGGGGTAGTTCTGTGGTTTTACCTGTGCAACAAGCAGAGCTTCTTTAAGCTGACCTCTTGACATGAAAAAATGGACTAGCTTTTTCACATCACCAATGGCTATGCAGTATGGAATGACATCATCCTTATCTTCCTGGATTAATTGGTCAGCTCTCCTAATAAAATAAGGACAGTTTTTTAAACAATATATTATTTTGAAGGTTTTTAGGTGAATTGAGATTTTCTGAAAGTATGGCTAAAATTTGTAGCAGATTTCATAAAGCCCTTTGGCATACCACTTTTAAAAAAGACATTTTATAATCAAATTACATGTGGAAGGCAGATAAAAGTTGTATGAAATAATAAATACTATAGGTACTTGTTTGTCTTTAGAACATGACATAAAATATGCCTGAACATTTTAGATCTTAAAATCAATGTAGTTTATTAAAATGGGCAATTAATTTATTCAAAAATATGTTTTATACAAGGTACGTGTGATAGGATATCAGGTGGATTAAGCAAATATGTGGGTATCTACATTGTTAAAGACAGATAATTTTAATTGTTTTAGGAAGCATAACAATGAATAGAGAGGCTTGAAACTCAAGTAGCTTAAAAATCACTAAGATGGAGAATATAGAAACATAAATATTAACAATAAAATGTAGAATGTCTTAAGTGCCTTAAGTGAGGAAGATTAAAGGAAAATAATGTTCCAGACATGTGAAGGGAGAAAGGGGATGGTAATCTTAGAGATTGTGAAGGGTGTACATGTGTCTGTTTCTGTAATCTGTCTCTGTCTCTCTGCACCCATTTCTCTCTCTCTCCCTTTCTCTCTCTCTCTCTCTCTCTCCATCTGTGTGTGTGTATGTGTGTGTGTGTGTGTGTGTGCATGTGTGTGTGTATCTTCCCATCTACGTCTCAGGTATTTTCTCAATGACTAACCCCCTAGCTAATTCTGCCCTCAATGTTTAACCTCAGTTTTGTTTAAAAATAACCTGGTCTATTTAATTTATGCTAGCATTTACATTAAACCAGAATTCAATTTTTAATCTTTGGGTAGGGGTAGCAGATATTTTTCATGCTGAAAATGGAAAGTATTTTTCATGATATTTGCCAGCTCACTGTTAACAGTCTCCAATTTCATAGAGTCATCGAAGTATTCCTCAACAGCTATGTTTTTACTATGTGACTTTGATTTTCTTGTTATAGCTGTTTAGAAAGAAGCTGGTTAGAAATAATAATCTACTTCCCTGGGCATTTGAAACTATGATTGAGAGACTGCCAATCTGGATGAATGGCTGGATCTATAAAGCATAAATGCAGGAGTTGTGGAGAGACCACTTTCTGGCAGCTACATGGCTAAGAGGCAGAGAAAATCAGGAGTTGGCTTTCAAAGATAAATGAAATAGACTTGGAAGAGTTTTGTGTATTCCCATTTGCCTCCTCCTTTTCCTTCCCCACTAAATCTATTCTAATCTTGCTTCAGTCTCCTTCTTTCTACCAAAACAGCTCTTACTAAGATCAACAATAACCTCCATGTGATCCAGATTTCTTCTTTGGGCTACAAAATCAAGACTGGCTATTGAACAATGCCACTAAAATCACAAGGAACTTCAAGCTCAACATGTCCAAAGAGAACTAATGATCTTCGTGCCATTTGATTCAAATCCTCTTCTAATGGTTTTGCTGTTGTTGTTGTTTTAGTTGTTTGTTTTTAAATCCCAGTGATTAGCAACAGCTTCTATCCAGTTTTTCAAACCTAAAACCTAAAAATTATGTTATACCTTCCTCATCTCTATTACCAAATCCAGTTACTTTTAACTCCTAGATATATCAAATTTGTCTACTTTTCTCAGTCCCCACATCACTACATATGGCGTCCACGCTACTGCTGTCTCTTGACTCAGCTATTCTAATTGCCTTCTAACTGGCCTCCTCATGTCTGCTATTGACCTTCTCTAATCTGTTCTTGATATTTTAGCTTGTGCGGATATTCTAAATGAAGAATTGATCACATCACTTTCTACCCTATTTAAAATTAAAACCCTTTAATGTCTTGTGTTCCTCTTAGGAAAAAGAAACAATAAAAAAGCTTACTACGTTTACAAGGCCCTAAAATGTCCAGCTTGGGCCTACCTTTTCACTTTCCCTTGGCATCACTTCCCCCTGGCTCCTGCACTCCAGCTACAGCAGCCTCCTTTCACAGAGTTCCTGTACTCTGCTTCCTAAGCCTGGGATGCTTCCTCTAGCCTCTTCACTTGGTTATGTCCTATGTATTCTTTATAGCTCAGTTCATATACACCAATCTTGGTCAGGTTTCCTTTGTTCCAATTTATCTGAGGATACACCACATTTTAAACTCACAGATACCTAACATAGAAAGCAACGTAGTAGCATATTAATATGACTAGATGCTAATAAAATATGTCAATAATCACATAGAATACAAAATATGTTTACTTTTATTCTGCAATATTAACACGGAGTGACTCCACTTTGGTCTTAAATGGAAATCCATTAAGTTTTTGCTGAGATTGAAATAATATTTTGTGAAATAAATATCCTCTGCTAACTTGACTTTCTTAAGGATTCGGTGAGAGCAATAACATTCACAATTGTGCTGTGAGGGTACAGGGACTTACAGCACTGGGGATTCTTAAAGCTCAGGAGAGGGAGCCTAAAATCTGAGGGCTACAATCAGCCTGTTGCTTAACTTACTGTTGGGAGCAGGTGCTAGGGAACAGTCTACTTTCCCATGGCAAATGTGTTAATCCTTCTGAATTTTATGTTTAGCCTTTGATTGATTTTTACTTGTGTCTATAAGAAGCAGTTGATTTTTTGCCACTAAACCTTGTTGCATAAAAGAAAAATCCAAATTTCTGTTTTTAATGTCAGAAGAAAGGTAATTACATAATAATATATAGTACTCTATAAGATTAGCACAGTGATTGGCATATAGTAGGCATTAATAAATATTTGTTAAATGAATGAATAGCATAGAAGAGAGTAGAATAAAATAGAACAGAGAATAATGATACATTGTAGGTTGAAATGTGTCCCTCAAAACAATATGTTGAAGTCCTAACCCACGATACCTGTGAATGTAACCATATATGGAAATAGGGTCTTAGCCGATGTAATTAGTTGAAGTAATATGCGGTCATACTGGATTAGGGTAGGACCTCAATCCAATATGACTCATGACTTATAAGAAGAGGAAATCTGGGCACAGAGACACACAGGGAATAATGCCATGTGCAGATAAAGGAGAGACTGGAGTGACGTGTCAAAAAGCCACAAGATGCCAAGGACTGCACGCAACCAGACACCAAGAGAGAAGCATGGAACTAATTCTTTCTCAGAGCCTCCAGTAGAAACCAACTTTGCTGACAACATGATTTAGACTTCTGGCCTCCAGAACTGTGAGAAAATAAATTTCTGTTGTTTTAGGCCACCCATTTTATGGTAATTTTTTTTTTTTTTTTTACGGCAACCCCAGGAAACTAGCCCACTTGAGAAAAAATCTTGTCGGGTTATTGCATTCTGAAACAAGAATGTTTAGTTAATTTCCTCAGTGGTCAGACCCTTCTTTATCATCAGTGCCTCCCTCATATCCATGGGAAGAAATGGCAGGAATTAGTGCCTACAGAGAAAATTTTTGAGATAATTAATAGAATAGTATTTTACGAACCTATGCTAACCTTCAGAAAATCTTGCCACTTATATTTCAATAGCAATTTATTAATCAGTGAGTATGTTTGCTGATCTGTCCTTCTCTCCACTGACATGGGGAAATTTGCCTTCTGCTATCTTCATCAGAGGTCAAGTCAAATCCAAGAACACCAAAATTACTTGTAACTGATTCATTTCATTTACTGTATCAGTAGATACAAAATTTAATTGTTATTTAAGACAACATAAGAATAAGAAATTTCAAGAGCTACTGCCATATTTATATACTGCTTCTATTCTAACATGATTTTAAAACATCTGTTTTAACACGGACTCTCTCTGCCTTACCTCTGCATTAACTTCTTCCAGTATTTCACAGAGACTCCTGGTGCAATTGACAGGGCTTTGTCCCACTACAATAGAAGGCAAAAAGGGCAGGAGCATATTAATTTTGGTTGCTCTGTGTAATTCTTAAGACACTTAAAAAATAGATTGGTATTTATAATATAGTATTTTTATATTTGAGTTCTTGAGTCCTGATTTGGTACTTTCTGACTTCTTTTTGTTCCGTAGTCTTAAAAAAAATCTTTAAAGAGCACTAATTTTACCTCTGTCAATAATATAAAAGAAGCTGGGCATGGTGGCTGATGTCTGTAAAGCCAGTGCTTTGGGAGGCTGAGGTGGGAGGATTGCTTGAGGCTAGGAGTTTGAGACTAGCCTGGGCAACACAGCAAGACCCTCATGTCTACCAAAACATATATATATATATATATATTTTAATTAGTCAGATGTGGTGGTGCACACTTGTAGTTCTAGCTACTTGGGAGGCTGAGTGGACAGGATCGTTTGAGCCCAGGGGTTCAAGGCTGCAGTGAGTTGTGATCACATCACTGCACTCCAGTCTGGGCCACAGAGCAAGACTTCGTCTCCAAAAAAAAAAAAAAAACACAAACAAATAAACAAAAAAACAAAGTAAAAAAGATTGTATTGACATGGTTAAATTCCAAGTACCCCTCGGTTCCTTAGGGAAGGATTAAATGGCTGCTCTCATCACTTACAAAAGTATCTTGAACTTGATGGAGTTTGAAGAAGTTGAGAAAAATATTTATTTTTTATTGCTATCTTTTAATTCCATTTTCCACAAATTTTTGAAGTCTCTACATATTAAAATATTTTAAAATAAAATATGTAAAATTCTATTATTTAGGGAAAATCCAGTCCTAAACCTGAGAGAAAGAAAGAGAAAAACGGAAGGAGAGACTGAGGGAGAGAAAGGAAGGGAAGAAAAGAAATAGTAACTAAAATATGTACTTTGAAAAATATGTTGACTCATATTCTAATACAACTCCAGAGTAATTTGTTCCATGGTGTTCAAAATATTAACATTTTTATTTCACTGCTACTTACATGAACAAATATACCATCTATTTCTATTTTATCCTTTCCTACTCATTTTAATAAATTTTACTTATTGTCATTTCTTCATTTAACTGATAATATAATACTTGTCTTCATATTTAAAAATTGGACTTCTATTGAAGAAGCTCATTGTTTAATAAAGGCTGATTGTTACTGTTATATGAAAATACAGATTTCATTGGATTCCAGTCTAGAGTGGAACTGAGAGGAAAATTTTCTGAAATATCACTACATGAATCAAAATTTTATTTTAATTAAGGGTTTTCAAAACACTAGGGTTCTATTGCAATTATCACTAGAAAATTGGTAATTAACCAGAAAATAATACGTTAAATTTTAAACAGGCAATTTTTAATACTACGTATTTAAAATCATGTTACCTAAAAGGTATCTTAAAATATGTTTTCAGGGGAAATCTCTCTCTAACAGAAGAAAGAAGTTGCAATGTAGATTAAATTAACTTTGAATTCACCAAGCTCTTTCAATAGAAACATGTCTAATAGATAAGCTTAAAAAAATAAACAACATTCCTAAGAAATGATTACAAACGATTCTATGGACACCCATATTTCTTTTTTCTTTTTTTCTTTTGAGATGGAGTTTCACTCTTGTCACCCAGGCTGGAGTGCAATGGTATGATCTTGGCTCACTGCAACCTCCGCCTGCCGGATTCAAGTGATTCTCCTGCCTCAGCCTCCTGAGTAGCTGGGACTACAGGAACCCGCCACCACGCCCAGCTAATTTTTGTATTTTTGGTAGAGACAGGGTTTCACCATGTTGGCAGGGCTGTTCTCAAACTCTCGACCTCAGGTGATCCACCTGCCTCAGCCTCCCAAAGTGCTGGGATTACAGGCATAAGCCACCGTGCCCGCCTTAGGACACCCATATTTCTAACAACTTGTACAGTTTCATGGATCATTAAGTACATCGATGAACCTGCACAACAATAAAATTATTAAGCTTCCCAAACAGATACCTGATTGAAATAGGCTTTGAGTTAAAGGCAGTTTAAATTATATTTAATCAAATATAAAACCCAGAAAGCTAAAGAATTACACTGTTGTACCAAAATTTATTAATTCCTTTTCTCCTTGACTTTTGATAGATCTTCTCTGCAGTAATGCTGTTTAAAAAAGCAACTTTTAGTTAAATATTTACTACTTTACAAGGAAAATTTTTACATTGCTCCTAAATTAAATACTTTTAAATTTATAATGCCTTTTTGATAACATTTTAAAATGGCACATGTTATTATTTGGGGTCAAGCAGTAATTCATTGTTTTTCTTGAAGTATATGGAAAGTAAAAAGGTGAGCTAAATTTAGTTTTGATTTATTTTAATGTAACCATATTGCTTAGTTTTACTTTATATTATTTACAAGTACTCTAAATATCATGCTTTGTAGCTACACAATTAACTAACTTAAACTTTTTAAAAGATGATAAGCTATGAGATAAGTCCATGCCATTCTAACGGTTGTTTTGGTGAGGCAGGGAAAGGAAGAATTTTCACTGAACTAAAATGCATATACAGAAAAGGGAAAGGTCCAATAAGTTTACACAAACTGAGTATGCCCATGTAATCAACACTCAGGATCAAGAAACAGAAGCCCCATTCTCCCGTGTT
Source organism: Homo sapiens (assembly GCF_000001405.40). Lineage (NCBI taxonomy): Eukaryota > Metazoa > Chordata > Mammalia > Primates > Hominidae > Homo > Homo sapiens. The sequence continues at coordinate 176,153,446 of NC_000004.12, read as the reverse complement.
CCATTGCAGTCACTACCCATCTACTAAAGGGTAGCAAAAGCATAAATTCATCCTAACCTTTTTGTAAAGATCAGTTTTGTTGATTTAGCCCTCCATTAAACAATCATCATCCTTTATCAGATGATATTCAGCAGAAACCCTTCTTCTGGCCAGTGTGGGATTTAGTTATGACAAGTAGTATTAGCAAGCGGATTCTACTGTGAACAAATTAGCCAACATCGTTTTTTGTTTGTTTGTAAGAAGTTAAGATTCCAGCCTAGGGCGGTAGTTCTCAAACTTCAGCATGCAAGAGAATAACATGGAGGGCTTATGAAAACACAAGATGGCTGGGCTCCAACCCCGCAGTTTCTGATTCTGTAGGTCTGAGGTGAGACATGCATAGGGATCCCAGTGATGCCAATGCTGCTGTCCTGGAACACTTTGATAACTACTCTCCTAACATCTACACTTAATATCATATTGGTAGAGAATCAATTAGATCTGTAAAAAAATAAGCTTCCTTTTTTTTTTTTTGAGATGGAGTCTTGCTCTGTCGCCAGGCTGGAGTGCAATGGTGCGATCTCGGCTCCGTGCAACCTCCGCCTCCCAGGTTCAAGCAGTTCTCCTGCCTCAGCCTCCCAAGTAGCTGGGATTACAGGAATACGCCACCATGCTGGGCTAATTTTTATATTTTTAGAAGAGGCGGGGTTTCTCCATGTTGGCTAGGCTGATCTTGAACTCCTGTCCTCAAGTGATCCTTCCGCCTTGGCCTCCTAAAGTGGTAGGGTTACAGGTACAGGTGTGAAAGTGTGAGCCAGCACGCAGGGTATTTACATTTCTTTCCCTTTTTTTTTTTTTTTTTTTTTTTTTTTGAGATGGAGTTACCCAGGCTGGAGTACAGTGGCACGATCTCGGCTCACTGCAACCTCTGCCTCCCAGGTTCAGGCAATTCCCCTGCCTCAGCCTCCCAAGTAGCTGGGACTAGAGGTGCGTGCCACACGCCTGGCTAGTTTTGTTTTTGTTTTTCTGTATTTTAGCAGAGACAAGGTTTCCCCATGTTGGCCAGGATGATCTTAATCTCCTGACCTCGTGATCCACCCGACTTGGCCTCCCAAAGTGTTGGGATTACAGGCGTGAGCCACCACGCTCAGGCTTTTTTTTTTTTTTTTTTTTGAGATAGGGTCTCTTTCTGTAGCCCAGGCTGGAGTGCAGTGGTACGATCACAGCTCACTGCAACCTCTGCCTCCTGGGCTCAACTGATCCTCTCATCTTAGCTTCCCAAGTGCACACCACCATGCCTGTCTAATTTTTTGTGATTTTTGTAGAGGTGGGGTTTTACCGTGTTGCTCAGGCTAGTATCGAACTCCTGGGCTCAAGTGATCCACCCACCTTGGCCTCCAAAGTGCTGAGCTTTTTATTTTTAATACTTAAAATTGAGTATATTCTTAACGTTTAGACTACTATGTTAAACTCATTAGTTTTACTTTCATAGCACATTACCTCTCCAAGTTCAACCATAAGTTCACAGTATCTCTGAATTTGTCCTAATCTCAAGTGGATTTCAGCAGCTTCCTTCAGTCTTTCCTCTTTAGCAGGTACACCAATACCACCACCAAATTTAGACATCTTGACTGTTGTTAGTTCTTGAGCTTCAGACTGGTTTTAAAAAGAAAATAGAATTTAAAAAAATTTGACATATTTTGTTTTGTATGTGTCACAATAATTTGTTGCATATTTTGAAATAACTAATAGAGCGGAATTGAAATGTTCCTAACACACAAAAAAAGATAAATGCTTGAGGTGATGGATACCCCAATTACCCTGATTTCATCAATACTCATTGTATGCTTGTGTGAAAATATCACATATACCCCATAAACTATTATGCATCCATAATAATTAAAAATTTAAAAAAATTGTTTTACAAGAGTTCATGATAACAGATGATCATATAAACTTTACATGAATACATACTTCAAAAGCATATAGCTCTGGGAAGTAAATATTTAAAAATATTTTTCTCTATAAAATGTGATACGTTTCTAAACATAATATTTTGGGGTGTGTGTGGGGGTGGGACACGGGAGGGGAGAGATTGAACCCCATTGTTCTTAACCCTCTCCAGGTGTTGTAGTTACACAGAACAGATAAAAGGTAATGATAAAGTAATATACAACAGTACAGACAGGCCTCTAGTAAAAACAAAAAGTTACTGGCTTACTTTAATTAGCTCTTCTCCTGTCAAATAGATTTTGTGGTTACAGTCATTAGGTGTTTAGTTTGCGATTAAAGAAAGTAACTTCCTCTTCATGGAAAAAACTGCTCTTTATGAGCATTAGATCCACATCTCTGGCACAACTGTCTCCATGCTCTAACGATTAACTATACATATTTCAGAAAATATACAAGCAATTTTTTCTTTCTGGTGCCAGAATGGGTTTTGTTGTTAGTGCTGTAGATTGCCCCAGGGATGAGGTAACTAGTAGTTTTTACTGAAATTCATTAAGAGCTATAATATGATCATTTATTATAAAACATATCCCAGAACAGCCTATTAGGCCCTCTGAGACTAAAATTAGAATAGTCCACATGTCACAGTCATCTGCTAATAGGGGAAAGATAAAGCATTTCAAGGAGTTCCGAGTGACCTTGAAGGAATTTCATGAGACTCAACCTATGATAACCATGATTGACTTAATCTGTTCTCAAGTAATTCACTTTTATGATTCATTTTACCCAAGATGGATCTCCTCAGTGTTCATTTATTTAAATCTACCGATCTAATCATATATATTTTTAAAATCATTTTTACATTTTAATAGTGAAAAGGCAAAAAATTTGCTTGAGTACATCATATTTGCATATTTTACTCACTGTTCTAAATTTAATCAGATGTTTCAAGTGCATTATTCCTTTGCAGTAGTTCTGAGGAAGTAAGCTATCATCCTGTCCTTTTATCACAGCAACCAAGTTCCATAAATTGTCACTGCCACCTGGAGGCTAAAGAGTTGACAAAAAATAAATATGGAATAGTGAATTAAAAACCTCATAATATTTTGCATCTTCAAAAATATTATAATGCAGGCATATCTAAATTTAAAAATTAACAAAATAACTACATGTTATCTCATGTATTGTTTCTAGTTTTACATTTGCTTTCTTATAGTGCACAGATTATGGTAAGAGTTACCCAATGAATTAGAATGGTACATGTAAATATGTGAATAAAAATAGTTGTAATGATTCATGTTGGCTAAAGGGAAAATATTCGCATTTAATTCCTGTAATACTTACAGATAAACATTCTGAGAACCATCTTAGTTTTTTCACTTGAGAATTAGCAGTTAGTTTTTCTATTTCCTGTCTAATATCTCTTGACACTTTACCACACAGTAGAGGAGGAGTGCCTGGTTCTATAGCATAATCTGAAGAACAGACATAATTCAGTGAGAAAAGATTTCTCATAAAACTTATTTAGAAATAAACTCTAATACATGTATATGTTCCATACCAGTGTTCCCAATAATTTCTTCCCAAGATCTGTCTGCCAGAATATTTATTTGTACAGGAGTGACTAAGGCTGTTAATGACCAGAGTCTCACTGTAGAGTCACGGGAGCAAGAGGCCATAGTGAAGGGGCGACTGGGATGGCAGGTTAAACCTGATGAAAATAAAAACCTATTTTAAGTAAAGTGAACATTGAAAAATATTTTTTATTTATATGTGCTTCATAAAACTTCTACAGAATTGAAGCTATGAAGAAATATTGTGAGTAACTGAAAGGTTCTCAGTCAACCTATCTGCATTTAATATACTGGCTGAAAATAATATAAGAATGCAATAAATTATTTTATATATTCTATAAATATGAATATAAAATTGAATAACCATTAGAGGCTGGAAATGGTGGCTCACGCCTGTAATCCCAGCACTTTCCTGGGAGTCTGAGGCGGGTGGATCCCTTGAGCCCAGGAGTTTGAGATCGGCCTGGGCAACATGATGAAATACCATCTCTACCAAAAATACAGAAATTAGCTGGGTGTGGTGGCATGTGATTGTAGTCCCAGCTACTTGGAAGGCTAAGGTGGGAGGATCTCTTGAACCTGGGAGGTGAAGGTTGACGTGAGCTGTGTTTGCGCCACTGTACACCATCCTGGGCAACAGAGCCAGAGTGAGACTCTGTTTCAAAAAAACAAAATAATAATAAAAAAAAGAAAGAAAGAAAAAAGAAAAAAATTATTAGAAAGCAAATGGTCATGGATGAAAATGTTAAAAGTATATTTCGTGTGGTTAAGCAGCAACAAGTATACTATAAAACCAATAGCATACATAGTATCTGTGAGTTAGTGGATGGGCAGATGACGTTCTAGTTAAAAGATGAAGAGTTGGGGACCTTTCAATTCGAATATCAACAAATATGATTCTCTCCCACACTCAGTCCCGCATTGCCTTGGCTAAAAGGCCATTGTGATCAAGCATATGGATCTGAACCTGATCTAGATTGAGGTTACTTTTTCTAAGAAATCATTTTTGGATTCTTAATCTGCCCATTTACTCCCATCAAAGTTTAAGGATGAGAATAAATACAAACAAGAATGAGAGTGAAGAGATGTGCAAATGGTAAGTAATCTGATTTTCCATAACCAATTAATTATATTAAAAAAACGGGATTATATTAAAAAACAAAACATTGTACTAAACATCCAAGAATAGAGGAATGGTTAAATAAGTGGTATCTACTCTATTACTGATTTCCTGTTAAACAACTTACCTCTGGAGTGATGTCAATGGAAGGGAGAAAAACAAAAGCCATACATGTATATATGCCCATCGCAATATGTGTGCATTGTGTGTGTGTTTGTGTGTACACAGAAACACAGACACACCTGCAGACAGTGGGGAGAAAGACAACACAGTGCTAACAATAGTCATCTTCTGATAATTTTTGTTGACTTTTTCTTCTGCACATTCTGGTATTATAATAATAAACGTGTATATTTTCTAATGTGAAAAATGTTATTGTAAAATAAAACACTGTATAACTTCTTCAAAAATACTGTATTCCTCAGAAGTTATAAGCATCATTAGTATGTCAATATAACAAATACATGAAAGAATGAAAGACACTCTACCATATACATCTGCACCGTGATCATACACAGTATCCACACAAGTTCCTTCTCGAGTGTCCCATACTTTTATAGTATAGTCCCAGCTGCCAGATATGAGCAGATATGGAATCTCAGTATTCCACATTAATCCTCTCACAGGTGCAGTGTGTCCATTAAGAATATTGATGCAAGCATCCTGAGTATAATCCCAGATTCGAACGGTACTGAAAACAGAATATTATGGGTGTGATAACATTCAAGTTATAATGTATCTAGAGTATTAACATATTCTTAATAGAGTATAATAATTATTTGTTAGCTTATCTAGAAGCATTTTATGTCTCAAGATATAAGGTTCTCTTCATTTTAATTTAAAAAATAATAATTGTATATATTTATGTGATATTTTGATGTATGCTTACAATGTGGAATAATTAAATCAAGCTAATTAACAAATTCATCCCCTCACATACTTTTCTTTATAGTAGATGGAAATGAATATTTAACTAGGCTAGTGCTAGCTTATTTAAACATATTTTCCTTCTTGACTTTTACTCATTACTGGTAGTAAACATATTATTTCACAGTTTTTTAAATTATTATTATACTTTAAGTTTTAGGGTACATGTGCACAATGTGCCGGTTAGTTACATGTGAATAAAATTGCTTTGTTAAAACGAAATACCAAAAACAGCTATAACCAAAGTGGAAAATATGACTAATAATACAGATACAGTAATTTAATATATTAAGATGATTTGTAAATTATAAAAGTATAACATGTATGATGATGGGTATTATCTGAAATGTCACTGGATATTTATGCTTTAATCAATACAGCAAATAATTCCTTCATGTTTTTGTCAGTGATATAAGTTGCTTGGTCAGTGTAGAATAAATCTTAGATCAAGTTAAAAAATTTAAATATAACTGGATTCGTGAAATTACTTGTATCTATTGATTGTACAAATGTTACTGAAATTAAAATTTAACTTACAATCAATTTAAGACCTCCAACTGCTAATTTTGCTTAGACAATTCACAATAATTTTTTAGTCACAGATATATGCCAAACTGACAACAAAATAGTAGTACTTCAAAAGTATTACTATTTTGCACTATATAGGAGATAAATGATGTATTCTTATTTCTTAAGGCATATCCCTTTCTGCTTTATATAAAGTTTCATTTCGGCCAGGCGCAGGGGCTCATGTCTGTAATCCCAGCACTTTGGGAGGCTGAGACGGGCGGATCATGAGGTCAAGAGATCGAGACCATCCTGGCCAACATGGTGAAACCCTGTCTGTACCAAAAATACAAAAATTAGCTGGGCGTGGTGGCGCACACCTGTAGTCCCAGCTACTAGGGAGGCTGAAGCAGGAGAATAGCTTGAACCCGGGAGGCAGAGATTGCAGTGAGCTGAGATCATGCCACTGCACTCCAGCCTGGCGACACAGTGAGACTGTCTCAAAAAAAAAATTTTTTTTTTCATTTCTTCTTTGTCCTCTTAAGCTTGCACACGACAATATATCAAAGTATATTACAATCTAAAAATTTTGTTGCTAATTTCTTATATATGCTAACATTTAAATATTTTACATTTGATATACTTTCATAAATAAGAATACATTAAAGGGATTTGTATCAAAATAACTTACTGTTATTGTAGGGGCCACTAGAACAGGTGTCTTTCCTTTCATGACATGTTAGGTAGTTAGGCTTTGAAGTCCCAATGCATGTTTTTTGGTCAAACCCAAGAAAGGCTTTTATAGGCCCCACTGCAAATGAGTGTCTGAGGCTCTCCAGGCTGCAGCGCAGCATCTGTGAGTTCTGCCATGAGTACGGCAGTATAACTGATTTCCCTACCATTCTGACTTATTTCAAGTCATAACCTACAGAAATCTCCTAATTATTTATCTTATTAAATTTGGATTTATGCCAAAAATTCAACGAAAATGCTTAATCATTCAATACTAAATCTGTGGTTCCCAGCTACTCGGGAGGCTGAGGCAGGAGAATCACTTGAACCTGGGAGGTGGAGATTGCAGTAAACCACGATCACGCCACTGCATTCCAGCCTGGGTGACAGAGGGAGACTCTGTATATATCTATATATCTCCTATAAATATGTACATTTCTAGGAAAATATAAGCTTATGATTTTAAGGACTAGAAAATTAGAATCCAAAAATACATACCCATCATCAGAACCACTGCAAAGAATTCCCTCTCTCAGAGGAGACCATTTAACATGAAACACTTTTGCTGTATGCCCACTAAATACTTTCAATGGTTGATCTGAGCTGGTGGCTACATAATAAACACGAACATTTGTGTCTTCACAGCCAGTGGCTATCATGTCTCTGAAATATCATCAATGGAATATTGACATAGGATAAATATGATATATAACTAATAATTAAAGGTATACCATAGTTCTAATTTCTAAAAGTAGAATTTTTGCTTCCTTAGTGAAGTTAGACTAAAAACTTACATATGTAAAAAATCGTGTATAATCACGCTACTGCTCATTTACAGAAACTGCACCAGTATGGTGTGTTTCTTTCTGTGTTTTCTTTTAACTGGTTGAATTTTTATTTTATTTATTTTAGGTCAGAGGTAATGGTATTTCTATTTCTATAAGTTCTTTTTCAAGATGACCAGACTCATAATTTTCTGAATTTTTCTCAAACTTTACATTCTGCAACACTTAGGTCTTAAGAAGCATCCCAAATGGTGAGTGATGACATTTGCTTACTTGCTGGTGGGCAAATTATTATTACATGCCTTAGCCCATTTGTTAGATTGTTTTTGTGGCATGGGTACAAACAACAGTATTCTCACTGAAAGTTTTCTGGAAAAGCTCCCTGCAGACCAGGGTTGTCTGATTGGACAGGAAGTCACAGTCCAGTTTTCCATTCCTTTTTGATGGCTTCCCTTCTTTAAGATGCTTTAACTGTTTGATACAACTATGAAGCCCCTGGAAATAGAATTTGATCTTTTAATGTTCTTTGCTCAGTATTCTCACAATAGTGAGAATAAGCTAAGCAACTACTTGTACCTTCATGATCAAACTTGGAATACTGCTAGGAAAGGAATTATGAGTAGTAGGAAGACCTGTGGAAATCACGGACCTGCCAGAATAGTCTATTTGAGGAACATCTACTCTAACCATCATTATAAACAGTCTCCACATGCTAAACATAAAGAAAGGCAGTTACACACTGTGGATCACAACTGTCATCAAAACCCTTTCAAAACTTCAAACTGTTGACTTTGTCACATGGGTTATAATACTTATATTTATTTAAGCCCACATGTAGAAATACGGCAGTTTGCAAACTGGCATGCCAATCTGCAAATGTGCAGATTACATCTTCTCAAGATCCACTGATAAACAAGACAGTTTCTACATTTGGGAAAATATAATTTGCATATATATATTTACATGCATATATGAGTATATTTTTATATATATGTATATACAGATACATAAAGTCAGAAATGATATCATAAAGATTTAAAGAATGCACATAAAGATATCTAAATTATACAGTCAGAGATACCTTATAAATAAACTTTGGTATGTTCAAGGTTCACTTACCTACTAAGACACTAAGTGGAATATGAATACGGCAATTAAAACATTTTAAAAGGTTTCTAAAATTAAAAATGAAGTTTATTAGATATGCTTGGTAGTAAGCATAATAGTTAAATATAAAGGACTTCCAGTGTCATTTGAAAATATAGCTTTCTTAACTAACTAAACATATTATATTAATATCTAGCTTTTATTTCAACTGGCCAAATGGGTTATTAACTCTATAAAACAGAGAAATAGGAATATGGAACTGTTCTAATTAGTCAGATACAAGGTAATTCTATTCATTTGCATATTTAACAAATATTTATTGAACATCTCCTTTTTTCAAGGCACAGTGAGGGTCAGCAACTGAGTGTTTTGCTAAGAATATGCTGTTTAACACAGATAACGTAGTTGGCGATCTCATAGGGCTTACATTTCAGAGGGTGAGACAGCCAATATGCAACCAGCCAACAAATAAAATTTAATTTTATTATATTAAGTGCTCCAAAGGCATATTATATGGGAAACTTACTTCATATGGGGGTCAAGGAATACTTTTCTGTGGTTTTTGAGCTGAAAGCTGAAGGATGGATAGCAGTTATCTATCTCCCACCCAGGTAGGGTGTGTGGTGTAAGGTGGGAAACAGAATCCTAGGTAAGGGGGCCAGTATAAGTGAACCTTGGGGTGAAAATCAGATGGCTAGTTCCATAAACTGAAAGTGAGTGTGGCTGGATGCAAGGAGTAAGGGAAAGCAAGCCTGGGAATGAGATTAATAAAATAGGAAAAAGATTATTCAGGGACCTTCTTGTAGTGCTTGCTAAAAGTTTTCATTTTATCCTGCAGTTAATGGGAAAGTATTGAAAGATTTAAGCAGTAGAATGGTGTGCTCAGCTCTGTGTCTTAAATGTTCATTCTGACTGCAACATGGAGAGGTGGGGTAGAGAGAGAGGAGGTGATGATAAAGGGTGTAAACTGTAGAACTGACTTAGAAGGTTTCTGCAGGACTCTAAAAAAACCCAAATGTTATTGGTTTAGTGGCAAGTTGATGGTTAGGAAAAAAAAGAGTATTTATAATTTTTTTCTTTTAAATTTGAAACAGGGTCTGGCTCTATCACCCAGGCTGCAGTGCAGTGGCACAATCATGGCTTACTGCAGCCTCGACCTCCTGGGCTCAACCCATCCTCCCACCTCAGCCTCCCGAGGAGCTGTGACTACAAGTGTGCCCCACCAGTTTGACTAATTTTTTCATTTTTCATTTTTTTTTTTTTTTTAAGAGACGAAGTCTCACTATGTTGCCCAGGCTGGTATTGAACTCCTGAGCTCAAGTGACCCTCTGGCCTCAGCTTCCGAAGTGCTTGAATTAGAGGCATGAGCCACCATACCTGGCCAAGATGAATATTTAGACAGAGAAAATTACAGGAATTGGTGGCTGATTGAAAACAGAAAGTGAGATATAAAAAGGTGTAAAAGAAAAGGCTAAGGATTCTGGCTTTAGCAGTTTTCCTTGTTAGCAATATTGGCCACTGAGATGGGAAATACTGGGGATGAGCTGATAGTGAGCTTATTTTGCATATAACCTTAACAGCGTGTAAGGCCGGGCGTGGTGGCTCACGCCTGTAATCCCAGCACTTTGGGAGGCCAAGGCGAGTGGATCACCTGAGGTCGGGAATTCGAGACCAGCCTGACCAGCATGGAGAAACCCCGTCTCTACTAAAAATACAAAATTAGCTGGGCGTGGTGGCGCATGCCCATAATCCCAGCTACTCAGGAGGCTGAGGCTGGAGAATCGCTTGAACCCGGGAGGCGGAGGTTGCCGTGAGCCGAGATCATGCCATTGCACTCTAGCCTGGGCAGCAAGAGTGAAACTCCGTCCTCAAAAAACCCACAAAAAACAGTGTTTTTTACACATTCTTCTGCACTTGATGGAGGAAATACATAGGTCTATCATTTTGTAAAACGTGTGATTTGACTCTGAACACAAGTATAATTAGGCTTTAGTACCTTACTCTATATTTCCCACATTTCATACAAAATAACATAATTCACATTGTTTTTGACAATATCTTAAATAACTTTGAATTTTTAGATATAATTTATATCCCATTAAAAGAGGCTTGAAACACAATATTCTAGGAAATGCAATGAGTTAAAGGTCTGATTTTAGTGGAGATTTGACTTGGATGTAATTTTAAATCTAAGCTGATTTTTACATGATAAATACTTGGCTGTCAAACAAGATTGACCTTTTAAAACCAGGCACTTAAGTTCCACATCGTGGAAAATTACCCAGTGCCAGAGGCATTAGCATCGGGTGGGGGACAATGCAAAGTCACAGTGGAACACTGGCATTGCACAGATTCCTAAGTGAGATTAAAAAAAGGGCCACATTTCTATGATAGAAGCCATACATGCAATGGACTCATTTCCATTTTTCATTAGTTAGCATTATTTTTTTTCCTAAGTATTAGAAAGTTTTTTTGAGAGTAGGAAATCAATATTTGTAAATCATGTAAAAACTTCATGGAATAAAAATAACTAAAATAAATGAGCAATTACAAGGCTGTTTCTCATTTGCTAGGCAAAGGGGATATTGTATAAATAGAGTGATAGATATTACCTTTGGAAATAGCACTAAACTTTATGGTTATTTAAAATTTCCAAAATGTAGTTATTATTTATTTCAGGAAAAAAAACCACTTACTTATTGTTTTGGCTCCAATCACAACCAAACACTGCAGCTGGATGTTTATATTTGTGTAGCACTTTACCATCAATTGTTCGAATAATACTAGAATTAATTATAATATGTTAATAGAAAAACAATACTCTAAATACATTATTCAAGGAAACAAAGTCAGAATTGTAAATTTCAAATAGAAATATTCCAGGATAGAGATTTTGTCTACAAAGCAAAAAGAACATTTGAAAGTACTGTATAAATGTTACCAATTATAAGTATATTTGCAACTCTTAATATTAATTATGGTAACCTACAATTAATATAAGGTAATAAATTTTGATTTAAAAACTATTTTCTTGGCCGGGCACGGTGGCTCATGCCTATAATCCCAGCACTTGGGGAGGTCGAGGCGGGTGGATCACTTGAGGTCAGGGGTTCAAGACCAGCCTGGCCAACATGGTGAAACCCCATCTCTACCAAAAAATACAAAAAAAGTAGCCAGGCGTGGTGGTGCACACCTGTGGTCTCAGCTACTCAGGAGGCTGAGGCAGGAGGATCACTTGAACCCAGGAGGTGAAGGTTGCAGTGAGCTGGGATTGCACCACTGCACTCCAGCCTGAGCGATGGAAAAACAACAAAAACGCTTTTTCTTATAGAATTTTTTTAAATTGAGGAAAACATAGTGTAATACATTTTAAAACATAATCATATAATTAACATATACATTAGATTTTTAGCTTCAAAATGAGGTAGTTCAAAATTTATAGTGTTTAAAACAACTATTTATGAAGTTGGTTTTATGTACCATTGCACCAAAACCAAGACATTAAGTTATAACTTTTCATTGTATATTCTCAGCAATATAACTAAAATTCAGAGATGATCCCCCATCCCCTGCCATAAGAAAAGGATTCTATATAATTTAACTGCAAAAATAAAAGCTCTACTATCCTAGTCTATTATTACCACAGTGCAAAAGCTATTGATTCCATCAGAAAAAAAGCGTGTACTAATTAATGTATTATGAAGTTTTAGAAGTGTATGGAAAAGACTGTCTTAAATGTTATTAGGCCCACCAACACTTTTGAGGTTACTGGGGATTGATGGTGACTTATGCTTACAGGTGTTTAGTCACTGAAAGTGATATCTGTCAAATATATAATGCCTTGAAATACATGGTCAAACTAATTTTGTATCACTTAATCAAAAAACTCTTAGGCACTTTTGTATTTTGGTATCTATCAATTAGCACATAGTTCCTTTCAAGGAAAAAAAAATCACTAATATTGTTGTTTCTGAAAATTTTAACTTCCCGGTAAGGATCTTTGGTTTCCATAACTACTGTCTTTTCTACTGAAATTAAAAAGTGAGGATGAGAAGACTGGAGTGGCTTTAGCAAAACCTAACAACTTCTGTATTCTCAAGAACTATGAGTGTCTATACCACCTATCCACCTATCGAAGATGGCTATACCCATAGACAGCTACAGGGGAGGAGCATCTGATTTTAAAAAGTTTTTTAAACCAGGCATTTTTTCCTTACATATTTTTATTTGAAAACTTACTTATTTCTGGAACTTAACAGAATTAAGAAAGCACATATTTCTAAAACACAGGGTCAGTGAAGTTATTTCCTAACAAAAGGCATTTCCCACATGCATGACTTTATTTCTCCTTGCAAAGGCTTTTTATCCCTTTATAAATAAAAGCATCTACACAACTATAAACAAGTTTTTACGGCACTTAATATATGCTGAATCACCTGTGAAACCAAAATACTACTCTCCAAACAATGTGATGATAATTATTAAGACTGTGAAAAGTCCTTAAAGTTTCTTTGAGGCAAAGAAATGAGTCTTTTCATAATAATTCAAGTAGTATTTTCATTGAGAAAGCAATTGAATGCCTCATTAAACAAATTTTAAATACCCTTGCATTGTTATTTATTAATGATACATCATAGCAATATAGTATGTGCCTATATGGGCTTAAAAATAACGCCTCTGAGAGTTGGTAGAGCTGTACAAATGAAATCTCATGGATACACAGTTGGAATGATCAAATGAGTGCTTTATAAACAGTGTAATTTCATATCATGTATCATACATAGTACTTACCAGAAACCATCACTGCTGCAGGTTGCTATTCTTTTAGAATCTTTATGACTCCAGGCAATGCAGAATATTCCATTTGTTCCATGCTTCAAAAAATGTAAAATACCTATCAATAAGAAATAATTCACCCCTTTTTTCTCTTATATATTTACTTCTTCTAAGTATTACTTTTCTGTTAGGAATGTGCTTTAGATGACACTAACAGAGGCATTACTGTCAAGAGCAGAAACCTGATTATACACTTTAAAAATGTCTAAAGCTGTCACAATTTAAAAGTGTTTTAAGATACCAATCTGTTGTTTTAAGACATAAATCAGGTGGCTCCATTTCTTTTTGTTGGATACAAGGTAAAGAGTCAAAATGTCCTTCTTAAGTCATCTGTAGAATTAAGCTCTGCTTAATGCCTTTTCCCATGAGTACCAGTATGGTGATGAAAACAGTTATCTATCTGCTTCCAAACACAGTGCTACTTCAACCACAGTATAAGAAATGTTGCAAGCAGTTATTATTGGTTGTTTCTCTAAGTTTCAAAGTTCTATTTTATAAAGAAATCAGAATAGATTTCATGTTATTCCTATAATAAATCACTTTATATTTGCTTGATTTTCTGCTTTCTAGGACTGAGGAAGGGCCAGGGGATATAGTTAATAGATGGAATTATAAGAATTTTTAAAACTAGAAGGAATATATTACACATGAGAATGTCATTCATCAACGGTGTGATCAGTAAATAAAAGTTGTAATCAACCCATTTCTAAATTTTAATTAAAAACAGTTCTACTTTATATAGTACTTAAATTCCATTAAGAGGAAACTAAAGTGACTTTTTATCTTGTAGCTTAAGGTTGCTGTGTAAATATAGTTTTAACTTCTTAAAGCAATCTCCAGTTTGCTGTTTTACCTCTTTGGGGATCAAAGAGGGTAGGTTTATGCAGGCAGATTTAAAAATGGGACTAGTCCTTTTATTCATTCAGTTTATAGGGTGGAGGCCTTCTGTCAGCTTCATTTATTCCCATGAAAATTGCATTTATGACTCTCTACTATCCCATAATTCTTTTTGTGGAACACACGTAGCTTAGTTAATTAATGCTGGCATTGTTAATTTTTCCCTTATTTATGACATAGGATTTAAGCAATTTCGCTAGTGAATGTTGGGAAAGACATAAAGAAATACAAGACATGTCCTTGATACTAAAATGCTGGGTTTCCACAATCAGGCTGGAAGTGTTTAGGTACTAGTGGGCAGATATGTGAGATTCCAAGTTGCCAAGATGCCATAAGAAGAAATCAACTGATCTAATGAGTAAAGATATACAATTTTTGAATCTGGGCCATAAGTTTCATTTTTAGGCTCATCTCTTCTTATAATCCACTATTTATTATGGAATAAATTGTTGTTTTGGTGATGGGAGGGAAGATGGCAGGTTGGGGCATTGCTAAACTGAAAGGGTATTGTGTTATATGTAGAGAAAGGAAAGGATGTAACTTTTATAATCCTTTGTCAAAGTTTCCTTTTTTGAGTGCAAAATTGCTCACAGTGGTCTCTAAAGTTTTCCTAAAAGCTCTGCATTTGCTACGCTACTACAAGTAGTGGGGGAGCAGGACTACTAAGGAGCATCTTCAAAGGGATAATACTCTCTGTATAAATGTTTTTAAAACCCCAAATATATAGGCAATTTTCAAAGAAATTATATACTTAATAAGCTTCAATAGTAATCATCTAAAATAAAAGAAATTTCAAGACACAGACAATCTTAGATCATTTTCCCCTGATTCATACCTAATATTTTGTACTCAGATCATATGTATTTTTCAAATATTAATGGAACTCAGTAAAATATGGGATGACAATATAACTCCAAGACAAAGGAGAAATAAAATCTGTGATGCTACAAATACAAGAGAGCAGGTTCTAAGGCTCTGCACGGAATAATTGAATTTGAAAACTGGAAGAAAATCTAAGAAACTATATAATCCACCTTCAACATTTTTTAGGTGAAGAAACAGGTTTAGGGCAATAAAGTGATTCTCCTTATGTCAAGAGCTAATTAATAACAGAACCAGGACTATAATTTGGGACTTGCTCTGAGTTTAGTCTTCTTCCTATTATTTTGTATTTGCCCAGATTTTGTGGAGGATGACTCAAAAATTCCTTTGACTCTCTACTGCAACTTCAGGTGACTCAGCTACAATTTTCAGAATTCATTTTAGTATGTGAGTATTCTCTAGGATTTTCTTCTAATTGAGAGAACACACATACCACCTGATTATTAAGTGATATTATATTAAGAAATAAAAATATTTACAAAATAAATACAAAATAGTATAAAACATTATATTATTCAGTAGCAATAAATAAATCTTACCTCATTAAATCGTTGTATAATTTTGCCCTTTTGAACATTCCAAATAAAAGCACCATTTCGGGAAGTTCCCCCAGCAATACAATTTAAACCACCTTAGGAAACAATTTGTTAGACATTATACTAAATGTTTCCCACAAATGTAATTCTTTTAAAAAATGTAACTTGTGAAAATGTAAGAACTGTGATTTGCAGACTAGTTCTTTAATTTTTTATAATTGAAATTATTAACTGTATAAAATTATAGATAAAATAATAAAGTTAATGTATCCATTACACAGCTTCAACAATTATCAAAATAGGGCCAATCTTGTTCTGTCTATAGCATCTGCTGAATTTATTTGGAGTAAATCTCTGACAGCATATTATTTCATCCATAAAAACTTCAGTATGCATCTCTAAAAGACAGGGACTTCTTTATTGATCAAGGCCAAACTATCATGAATATTAACAATAATTCTTCAATATTATCATATATTCAGTCAGCATTCATACTTCCATGATTATCTAGTAGTATTTTAATGGTTATGAAAGTATTTCTATGAACAGATCACAGGAAAAATACAGTTTCTCCATAAAAACATAAACAATGCTTTCTGTTTTAAGAAATAAAAAAATTTGTGAAAATAAAACTACTGCTAAGTGAGTAGTAGATGGCCAAGGATTTAAATAAGTGCCTTTTGTAAGACAGTGATAGAAGAGGTTTTCTCCATCAGAACAAAGGAGCAGCTGTCATCTGCTATCTAGGAATAAAAATATGAAGAAACTACTTAATGATAAATGATTATACACACTAAAAATGTTCTCATCATATTTCTAACATTTTTAAACTGCTCTCCTTTTGGGGTTCTTAAATTATTGGGGATATGTTTCAAAATTTATTTGCATTTTTTTTCTTTTCGTCTGGTATCTACACTAAGATACAGAGGAAATTATGTAATTATCTATATCCTACTCTACTTCCATCCTTGTCAACCCTCATTTATCTTTTAAATATCATCCCCACTTACCTCAAAGTCATGATGCACCAGTAATCACATAACAGAAAATGACAGAATTTCCATTTTCTAACATTTTTACTTTCTTGATGCAAATTCTCAATGTAGAGAGTGAAAGAATGCTATAAGTCAGATTAGATCTTCTGTGTTATGATTTGAAACAATAGTTTTTACAGTCATAAGTTTTATTTATGTTTTATGTTTCAGACAAATACTTTTGTAGGATGAAGAGTATTCAACTAATATGAGCTCTAGTGCAAGGTGACTGCACTGGCTGGTCCAATTCCTATATTGCTAGCCAAGGTAACCTACAGTGGAGGTGCATACTGCAATAATCAACAGAATAGGCTCAGTTATGTTCTGCTTAAAGGACAAACATTGTCATTAAGAGTTGTAAGTAAAACCTTTTTCTGTAATTCTCCTCATTGTAGGAGATGAAGGATACATAAAGCAGTGGTCCTTAACCTTTTTCGTATCATGAAACTCTGAAAATCTGAGTACTAAGATACTCTTTGACAGATATAGGCGTATATACACACACACTAAAAATTATTCATAAATTTCTCAGAGATTCCCAAACTCTCTGATGAAATATAAAACCCTTGGAGGCCCAAATATTCAAAGTTAAGAATCCCTGTGTATGAAGAAATAATTTTAAAAATAAGGATGAGCTACATCCACATTACATGTAGTTATTGAATTAATATATTACTATTAAGCCAAATAAGTAAACCATTACATATACTTTAAAAGTGAAAAATTCATTTAGGTGTGTGAAATTATTTGTTATGGGGAAATAATGTTTTGGGAGAAAATGTCAGAGGTTTCATAGGACATCTCTCCTTTATATGTACAGCAAGGTATAAGGTGGCATCTAAGATCAGAGATAAGATCTTATGATGGCATAAAAGTTCTTCAATACTTCAAAGGTGGAGTTAATACAGAATTACATGGTTACAAGTGAACTGTTACTTGATATATAACCATAAACAGGATTTACATTAAAACTTTCCAGAAAACCTCTATCATGTAAATTGTATTATACTTCTAAAGGCATAGCTATAGAAATACAACTTATATTAGACAGGTAAAGATAATCCTGATTTACTGTGGTTTTTCTACATGACTTGTTATATAGAGGAAACCAGGAATCAAAGTGCCTCTGCAGATAGACTCTTCTTAAACCTCGCAAAAAGAGAATCAACAAATATGTTCACACTAATTTGCTCTACATTCATTTAGAACAAGATGAGATCAAGAGGAAGAAAGTAACTCAAATGAAAATAAAACTTTAAAAAGCCATTTCATTGTATTCCTAATTTCAATAAAATATCTCTTACCTGGAGCCCAAGAAAGGGAATAAATAACACCTTCATTACCCGGGGATGTGTACACTGCTGTTAATGTGTTTATATCCCAGACTTTTATAGTGCCATCAAATGAAGCTGTTGCTAAAAGATTAGGATCGTCAGGTTTGAATTTGCAGTCAAAGATAGTTTCCACATGTCCCTAGGAATATGGCATAAAAAAGTCATAATTATTGAGGAAAATTCACATTATTAATAGATGAACCACAATGTTTACTCAAATTGACACATGTATACGGTTTTCCAAATATTAATGCAAAAATATATAGGCAAGAAAAACAGAAAACTGGAATCACTACAGTGATTGAATGTTCTCTGTGCCATTACTGTATTATTTTGTACAGACCTAGATTTTAGTCAACCACGGTTCCTCAAATCAGCAACTAAACTCAAAGATGTTCAGAAGTCTCACTTTTCAGTTTCAATTCAGTGCAAAAGATATTTTCTATTTTTATTAAACTTACAGGATACTATGCTAGAAATCTATAAAGCAATTAACTCTTAATAGTTACCATATGTCATCTGGCACTACAATAGAAGACCAAGATGAAACTCAAACTAAAAGTCATTTAATGCAAATATTCCTTTTTTATACTAATAACGTACTCCAAAAGCACCTCATAATTTTGGCAGAAACAGAAGAATCAGGCATAACCCCAATTGTTAATGAGCCTTGTTCCAAAATTTTCTAGCAAGTCTATTCTTTGGAACCTGAATACTTGTTCCCATTACACAATGATTTGGATCCCAAACACCCACAAGACTATAAAGTGGTATATGCAGATACATGTAAACATACACCAGTAAAGTAGTGCTTAACTACTGTGGGCCTTTGGGAAAATCCGTTAAGAGTCCAACATAAATAGCCGGAATTACAACTATTCTAAATGCTGGGGAATGGGAATCGAAATTTCTACTTTAAGCAAACGAAACTAACATTTGGGATCTAGAGACGGAGTTGAAGTACAAAGACAGGGTTTTCTAGTCCTCAACAAATAGAATAAGGGTAGAGAAGAAAGTCCTTAAAACTCTGTGTACTTCCATTAATACCAGAAATCACAACCCTTAGGAAACTACAAAAGTACTCGTAAAGTTTCTCCTTTAGGTGGAGGTAAAGGAAAGAAAAATCTCAAGGGTTAGCAAGAAGTAAAAATGTTGTTAGAACCACTGGTTCACCTGGCTGAAGCTGTCCTATGTGGTCATTTCCAATGTTAGGAACATAATCCAGGCAGGGACTTACATGCAGTTTTAAATGTTATTTCACTGCTATGCCTTAAAATTTTATTTTTTGAAATAAGAAAATTCACATAGCAAGAACAAAATTGTAAATGTTTCTTCTGTGTTTTCTTCTTACCAAAAGGAAGGTGAGTAAGACGAGGAAAATTTTGTGGCATTTTTCTTAATTTTAATGGAGCAAATATTCATATGGAAGTACACCTTTTAGAATGTTTATTAATAAGATTTTTAAAATTATGTAAGATTTTAAAAAATATTAATAATATTTTTCTCATCCTATGTAATCTGGAATCTTTGCAGATGCTTCATACATACAGCAGTTCAGAGTTGTTTCTTCTGGTAACACTTCGAGAAATTTCAAATTTGGATCTGTGTTAAGAAAATTGAAACTATAAGGAAAAAATGACTGCCTCCCTCTGACTGGCAGACATTTTAAAGTGAGAAAAGCAACTGAAATAATTTATAATCAAGCGGCTTTTAGTATTTAGTATTCGGCATTTATTAGAATTATAAATTAACATAGATTTTAAGTAAAACATACTTTAATACGAAGTGTCATAGAAAATTTATTGAATTTAGATTGCATGACTTCTCTTCTACTAACACAACTTTTTTTTTTTTTTTTTTTTTTTTTTAGCTTAGTAGAAAGACCCAGATTTTTATTTAAGGCAGAATTTACTTTTTAGATTAGGAGTTAATGGTGGAAGTGATTTTCCTTTCTCTTTTCTTCTTCTTCTTCTTTTTTTTTTTTTTTTAGAGAGAGGAGACCAAGGAGAACCACAGAGGACTTTGCTTGTAATTAAATAGTGAAGTGGTAAAAAAAAAAAAATAAAAATAAAAAATTGTTTTTTTTTTCTTCGAATGGTATATATGGCACTTGGGGCATGTGTGATTCATGTTAGTATATTTTTTCTTTTTTCTTTTGAGTTGCTGCAATGTAATTGTCTCCTGAACTGATTTTAGGAATTGGTGAGCTAAGCACAGTTTTATTCAGAAATGAAGAATTGTCTTGTTGAAGACCCACTGCCAGATTTAGTGACTCAACCCAGTGCTGATGTAAAGCAACTCAGGACATATCAGCAAAATTCTACAGAAGTCATTCTGGTTGGTCTAGTGAAACAAGTGTAGGAAACAGTATATCCTGCTGTTCTTACTAGTTTTTTTTTATAGATTTAAGTGTATTCTTATGTTTTTCTCCCTTCCCTTTCATAAATTTGTTTGAAAACAAATGGTAATTTGAAGTATACAAAAAGTTTACCACACTAGGAAAGAGTTTATATAAAAAGAAAAGTTAAAGTGAAAAGAAAATTAAATCATCTTCAAATGAATATCTACAAAAGGAAAATTCAAAAATAATTAAGCTACAGATTATTTTAAAAATATTTTTGCTATAAATCATTTTTTCATTTGAGGATAAAATTAAACGAGCAGTCTTGAAAAGATACAATATTATTGATTCTTTCTCTCCCTTCAGTTACAAGGACAATTACATCTCTAGATTCTTTTTCTAAGATCAAAGGAAAATAATTAGCATTTAAAGGTTTCTTAAATGTCCAGATTAGTCTAATTCAAACCAGTGGAAAAAGACAGGGACATTTTTAGAAACTCTAAAGTAGGGAAAATTAAAGAGGATTGTTTTTGACAAATATTAATTACAACGCAGTATGTATTATTGCATGTCTTCATTCATTCATTCAACAAAATTTAATAGTCTTGCTATGTGGCAGATACTATATTAGGTAGTGGGGCTGTACCACAGAACACAACCAGACAAAAATGTGGGATCTCAAGGAGGTTGTATTCTATCTTATATAGGGGCTTAATTATCATAAAAACAGAATTCATAGAATCACTTAAGTATCATAGCGATTCAACAATAGAAACAAATCTTAGAAAACATAATCCAACGTTACTCAATTAACAAATGGGAACAATAAGGCTTTGAGCAACTGGCAGAGATCAACTTGTCCTTTCTCTTGAAAGGACATTCTATTCTCATTTTGCTTCCAAAATATACTACAGCTATGTAATTTTCCATTGTACATAAAATATAAGTAGACATTAAGACTTTTGAAGTATAGTGGTTAAAAGTTATTTTAGTAGTTTTATCATCATTCTATGCATTTTCTAAAATGTTTCAACCAGCTACAATAAATTTCTAGTATATTATTACTTACAAAAATAATTTCAAATAATATTCAGACAGGTAAAAGTAAAGATCATGGGTTTACACAAAAAACTATTATGTATAATAAAGGAATGACTACATACATACCAAGTCTCTAAGAAAATCCCACTTCTTAGCTCCCATATCATAAAGTCCAACTCCACCATCCAAGAAACAACACACTGCATGACCAGGAGGAAGAGAAAATGCTTGATTCTGTGTTAAAGTTGGGGGTGGAACTGCTTCGCTTGTTGAGGATGTATAATGATTTTTGGTTGGAGATTGGACTGAAACTAAAAATAGAAGAAAAAAAATCCTATTGGAATGAAACCACAGAGCTTAATTTAGAAAGATTCTTCATTAAAAAAAAAATCCAGAATCTGTACCAGTAAACCATTTAGGCAATGATCATATATTCTCCCACATAAGCAGTTCTTTGGGATTGCCAAAAAATGTAATATAAGCACAAAATTGGATATTATTTTAAAGTACAGATGGAGCAAATAGATGAAAATTAGTGTGTTGAGGAATCACAATCTGTTGTGAATATGTGGTTTCTTATCACCCTATAAATTAAAGCTCAGCATGATTATTTCTGAATTATAAACTTCCTTCAAAATACTGACATAATAGCTTATTCCCTCCTTCCACACACACAAACATATATGCATATAATTTTTTCTTTTAATATAAATAACTCTCTGCCAACAATTTCCAAGCCAGTGAAAATAATTTTTTTGAGATTATGCATAATTCATTTTAATTTATCATAAATTAAGAATCACAACACTATCTGACCTGCACTGGCATCTCAATTTTCTTTCTTCCTAGATGTTTTTTTGTTTGTTTTTTCTTTTTACTGTTTATAGACTTGGATTTCTCCTACTTTCAATTACATAAATATCACTGTGATTATTTTTATATATTATTTATCCCATATTTTGTCTTCTTCCAAAAAGCTCTTCCTTAGAATGTGAATCCAAATATTTTCTTGCAAACATAATCCAAAATAATGACACTACAGTAAATTATAAGACCAATCGATTATTAATTGTACACTGGAATATGGAAAATATTTCTCAGTTTTTTTTTTTTTTTTTTTGAGACGGAGTCTCGCTCTGTTGCCCGGGCTGGAGTGCTGTGGCATGATCTCGGCTCACTGCAAGCTCCGCCTCCCAGGTTGACGCCATTCTCTTGCCTCAGCCTCCCCAGTAGCTGGGACTACAGGCTCCTGCCACCACGCCCGGCTAATTTTTTTGTATTTTTAGTAGAGACAGGGTTTCACTGTGTTAGCCAGGATGGTCTCGATCTCCTGACCTTGTGATCTGCCCGCCTTGGCCTCCCGAAGTGCTGGGATTACAGGCATGAGCCACCGCGCCCGGCCATTTCTCAGTATTTTTAATATTAAAATACAATTTTTCTTAGTTCATTTATTATGGATAATATTCATTTCTCAGAATCTGAGAATTACAGAAAGTCCAAACTAGAATGAACTACAAATGACAAAAGAGGCATTTGGTAGCAATGAATTTGGTTCACTAAATTTCGTTGATATTTTGTTTAAAAATTAATATAATCCATCATTGGTTTTTCTAACACTTTAATTGACATTATAGGTGGGTTAGACAACTTTTATGCACCAATCTATTTGTAAATCATGCTTTTCAGAATTCAGCGAGTACGTTTATTTTTTAAAATTTCATTTTCACAATTGTTCTTTTTCCATACTTTCTGTTATATTAAATTGAAGGGAAAACCTAGAAGTCAAAGAAGAGGTAATCTGAAAGGAATTGCTCGAAAATGACAAGACTGGTATGTTATTCTTTGTATTTTCTGACTTTGTCTAATGGACATGGGCTACTTTTATAGTAAGAAAAAAAATGAAAGAAAAGAATCTGGTATTTCAGACATTCCATGACATGGCAGTTCAAAGCTTCTAAACAAATAAAGGAACTAACAATGACAAAAAAATTCCAACATCCCTAAACAGTAAGCCAGCATCCAGCATATTACTTCTCTAGTCCTAATATTTCTAGACCCTCCAGTTTCCAGGTTCTACATTTATTAGGGACTTCACAATTTTGTACAAGGGGTATAGGTTCAAATATAGAGATTTTCTACTACTTGCCATTGCCTACCAATTAGACACCAAAATAACATTACTTTGAATAGCCATTGCTAATTACTTGGTATATTATAAAGATAGAGTAAGAAGGAAACAATCACTCTAAACTTTTCATCACTGAAATCCCTTCCCCATGCTTTTAATGATGTGTTATACAGAATGGGAACACTACCAACCATGCAGAGTAATCATGATAGACTTAACTGGAAGTCTATTATTTTTCCCTTATATTTGAAAAAAATTCTAATTCTAAACCTCCCCCAAATTTCCAGATTTTTCCTTTTTATAAATTAAGTGTATTTTATTTTTTCTTAATTACAGAGGCAACGAATGATACAGAAAATATACACAGAAATAAAGAAGACACAGAAGATCCATAATACTAACTACTAACTTAGTGACAACTGGTATTCAAATATGTAATATGTATTCTAGATCCTATAATTTGAATATTTAGGTTGTTTTAACTTCGTTGTAAACTGTACAGATTTTAAATGAGCCATGTTTAAAACATAAATTCTCCCAGTTCAGATAATCTTATTTAATCCTATCACTCTTAATATTTCTAACTTATTTTCATCAGTATCATTGATTCATCTTTTCCATGTAGATAATCTGAAATTATCTAAATATTCTTACTTAGTAGCATTAAAAAATGTAACTTGACTCTAAATATTTTCAATTTAGTAACAGTAGATCTTGTGTAGCTTTGATGGATCCTTGAGCACATATATTGTCAAAGCCTTTTTTAAAAATTGCTTTTCAGTGGCATATAGTATTTGATATCTCACTATACCATTTTATTTGATAGAAAACACAATATTTTTTAAAAATTAAAATTTTGATAACATTTTTACTTACACTTTTTTCTTGGAGGAGAATTAAGTACATGTAAGCAGTGAAATCCTGTTTTCTTTAATTTAAGATTATCAATAGGTGTTGTTCTTGAAACATTCCAAATGCGTAAAACACCCACTTGAGAATCTAGTCAGATCAGGGAAAAAGCACATTTTAACAAGTTTTGTATGAAACTAAAATGCCTAGACATAAAAGTATAACAAAATTTCAACTGGAAATATTTTAGGACTAATTACTGACATCCTTTTAACAACAATACCATACAGTAATACAACCTAACAACCGAAATACTATTTAACCTTTAAATTTTTGGCATGTTTTACTATTTTTTTGCTCCAAAACCTTTTATAGGTTTAGAAACGGCCTGTTTTGGCAGCTTCCTCCAATAAAGACCATTATAATAACTCAACCACAAAAAAAGACCCTATTGACATATGCTTGTTCTAGGAAAGGCCAGCCACAGAAAACTCTCCATTTCTAACCTTAAATAATCAATCTTTCCACCTTTGAAATGTTTATAAACTGCTCCACTGTCCACTTTTAGCCATTAAGGATTGTCAAATATACCTGAAGACCAATTACAGTCTCCTTTCTTCCAAAATTCCCATCTTAATTACTGCTATGGAGAAAAGTCTGGCAGTTACACAAACGATTAAATATAGAATTACCATATGACTTAGCAATTCCTCTCCTTGAGAAATACTCAACAGAATTATAAGCAAAGGTCCATACCAAAACCTGTACATACATGTTCATAGCAGCATTATCTATATCAGCAAAAAGGTGGAAACAATGCGTCTGTCTATCAACAGAGGAATGGATAAACAAAACCTGCCATATCCATATAATGACATATTATTCAGCCATAAAAAGGAATGAAGTACTGATACATGCTATAACATGGATGAACCTTGAAAACTCTATGTTAAGTGAAAGAAGCCAGAAACAAAAGGCAACAGACTGAATGGTTCCATTTATATGAAATGTCCAGAAGAAGCAAGTCCACAGAGATAGAAAGTAATTAGCAGTTTATGCTTGCACATGTGTGTATCCGGGACTGTAGGGAGGCAGTAATGGAGAGTAACTGCTGATGAGTACAGGGTTTGTTGGGGGAATAATGATATGTTAATTAGATAGTGGTAATAATTGTAGAGCTTTGTGAATATACTAGAAACCACTGAACTGCATGCTTTAAAAATGGTGAATTTTATATGTGAAGCATATTTCAGTAATAGTAATAAAATACAAAACAATTTCCGTGCCTATTGGGCTGGGCATGATGGCTCATGCCTGTATTCCCAGCACTTTGGGAGGCTGAGGCAGGTGGATCACTTGAGGTTAGGAGTTTGAGACCAGCCTGGCCAACATGGTAAAACACCGTCTCTACTAAAAATAGAAAAATTAGCCAGGTATGGTGGCATGCACCACAGTGCAATCTCAGCTACTCGGGAGGCTGAGGCAGGATAATCACTTGAACCCAGAGGTGGAGGTTGCAGTGAGCCAAGATTGCACCACTGCACTCCAGCCTGGGTGACAGAGCGAGACACTGTCTCAAAAAAAAAAAAAAAATTCCATGCCTATTATTAATTATATCCTGAAAAGTTAAAGGCAATTAAGATATATAAATTAAGAATCCATCTACTTTCATGTGCAGTTGCCCCTTGTTATCCATGGGAGATTGGTTCCAGGACCTCCCACGGATAACAAAATCCAGGAATGCTCAAGTCTCTTACATAAAGTGGCATATTATTTGCATATAACCTATGCATATTTTCTCGTATACTTTAAATCATTTCCAGATTATTGTATTAGTCTGTTCTCACACTGCTATAAAGACATACCCAAGACTGGGTAATTTATAAAGAAAAGAGGTTTAATTGACTCACAGTTCTGCATGGCTGAGGAGGCCTCAGGAAACTTACAATCATGGTGGAAGGCAAAGTAGAAGCAGGCACCTTCTTCACAGGGCAGTGGAATGGAGTGAGGGCAAACAGGAGAAATGCCAGACACTTATAAAACCATCAGATCTCGTGAGATCTCACTCATTATCATGAGAACAGCATAGGGTAAACTGTGGCCCCCATGATCCCATTAGCTCCAGCTGGGTCCGGCCTTGACAGTTGGGGATCATGGCAATGACAATTCAAGATGAGATTTTTGGTGGAGACACGGTCAAGCCACATCACTTATTATACCTAATCCAAAGCCTACACATCACATTATTCACATGGGTTCAACATAGTACTTGTCACACTGCAAAGTCAGGTTTTGCTTCTTGAAATTTTGTGGAATTTTTTTCCCCTAACATTTATCATTCATAGTTGGTTCAATCCACTGATGCAGAACCCACAGATACAGGGTGGCGTCACTATTATGTTAAGTATTAAAGAAGTGAATAATTTATTTTAAAATTTTGAGAGGATAAAGAGTCTTTGCCTATTATTTTACGCTAAGCAAATATGGGAAGAATTTATACAGTAGCCAAAAACATTCTGTTCTTTCAGAGGTCTCTCTCTCTGAACACAATCAAATGGTAAAAGTAGAGAGTCATTTAGTTTCTAATTATTCCTCAATTCCCCCATCTTCCCATCCCCTATCACTACTTAGCTTTGCTAATTCTCTCATGACCTCTTGACTAGGAAAGCATGAAGGAGTATCCATTCAACCCACGGATCAGTGAGTGCTATAGTTTGAATGCCTCCCACAAAATTCTTGTGTTATAAACTTTATCCCCAATGCAACATTGTTAGGAGATAGGGTCTAATCAGAGGCAGTTAGGTCATGTAGGCTCTACTCTTATGAATGGATTAATATAGACAGTGTAGGAGTGGGTTATTTATTGTGAGAGTGGCTTTGTTATAAAAGCCAGCTAGGTCTCCCCTTGCTTTCATGCTCTTGTCCTCTCCTGCTTTCAGCAGCACAAAGTTCCTCACCAGATGCCTGTGCCATGCTCCTGGGCATCCCAGCCTCTTTACATTAGCCTTAAACTAATCTAAACTAGTTTATAGTTTAGATTACTATAAACTATAAACCTTTTATGGTTTATAGATTACTCAGCTTGTGGTATTCTGTTATAGCAGAATATTCTGTGGTATTCAGTTACAGCAACACAAAATGGACTAAGACAGTGAGGCTAATAAAGCTCCCATCAGGTAATTGTTTTTATGCTCAGTACCTTCACTGTCATCCTACTATGCCTGAAATGGAACTGTCTTTGTCTTTTGCACATACACAGACATGCTCACATGTGTGCACATATATAATATATTCCAAGGTATTTCCAGAAACCTGGCAGAGTGGACCTTATTTTTCATTTTTATTTGTCATTTCATTTTATCATTAATGACATACAATATAAATAAAAGTACACTAGTAATTTACTACAATAAATAATAATTGAGCTATTAATACATTTTACACAAAATCAACCTATAAAGGACAATTTCCTAAATTCAACGAAAGAATATATACACGTATTTAAAACTCTGGGTTATGGGGATTAGCTTACCTCCAGTTATAAACATCCCAGGAGCACTGGGAACCCAGGCTAAGCACTGTACAGAAGCTGCTGCACTGGGAAGATTAAATGTTGTTATGCAAGAAAGTGATTCAGAATCTACCAGGCGAATTCCATAATGCAAATTAACCACTAGAAGATAATCAGTAGATAGTGGGTCCCATTCCAAGGCCGTAACTGGATCCTCTTCATCTGTCCCTTCAAGAGATTCTGGTCTCAAAACATGTTTCTGATTTTTATTACCTGTTAAAATACAGAGATAATTATTTCCAAAAAACTTGCAGAAAAGATCAATAATTTAGATGATGCTAACTTTTTCCTTGTACAATATCTATCTCTGAGGGTATTGAAAATACAAATGTGGTGCTTATATGCAGAAGGCGTAACTGACATGTGAATGCAGAAAGATCTGTTTGTCCTAATGATGAAGGTCAGGCTCAATGCTCTGTTTTGGCAATTTCCAGTGCCTTGAATGTGTCTCCCATTTGTTACCGAAAAGCAGTAAGAAAATATACAGATAAATAACATACTCTGATCTTGTCAATAATTACAAATTTCACTGGGTTACAGCAGCATAGAAATAGGGAAAGTGCTTATTGAAATGAAGAATATCATATAGTGATTTAAAAGGATAAATGTTAGAGCTGGCTGACTGCCTGGTTCCGATCCTGTTCTGCTTCTTACTAGCTTTGCTGCCTCAGACAAGATACTTAATCTCCCTGTGCCTCAGTCTTGTGGTTTTTTTCTTTTTTTAATAATGGAGAAGATAACAATACTTATCTCACAGAGTTTTAAAACCGATTAAATGAATTTGATTAAAATGTTTAGAATAGTGGTGCACATTTTAAACAGCATCTTAGTATTTACTATTATTCCTTTCTCATTCGTCTTACCATTTGCCATAATTATAATTCACACCCAACCAGTAGTATAAATAGGGAAGCCAGAAAGATAGGGAGTTAAAACAAGACTAATTAAATAAAGCAAAGGATCATCAAACAAACTTCTTGTTCTTTGTAATTTATGTACACAACTGGAAATATGGAAAAAAAAATTCTGCTGAGATACCACATGGGAACTCCACTGGGCAAGTCCTCTCATTCTCAAGAGAGGCAGTGAAGCATCTAGTTAGAGAGACTGCGGCCTTAACAGAAAGTACCAATTAGTCATAAGTATCGTAAAGGAAGTGTGTTTCTTCTTTAAAAAGCACAATTGAAAGATAATACAACTCTTGCTGCAATCCCATAATTACAGAATTGAGACCAGAAATAAATGTCTCCTGTGTGTTTTTAAAGGGGAGACTATGATATCGTAAAATATATGTTTGGTTTTCATCCCTGTTTCCTGGCATTACAACTCCTAAAATCCTTGGAATCTCTACAGTGTCTTTTTGTATGCTAATGAGTTGACTAGGTAGCTGGTGGCCACTAGGTGGCTTCACAATGGGGACTGGTCACTGAAAGACCAAGGCTTGATTAGAGAGTTGGGACCTTCAGCCTCATCCCCCAATGTCCAGGGAGGGAAGAGGGACTGAAGGTTAGGCTGATCGCCAAGGGCCAATGTTTTAATCAATATGCCTATATAATAAAGCTTCTATAAAAACCCAAAAGAAGCAGAATTTGGGAGTTTCCAGAGAGCTGAGCACACGGAGGCTCCTGGAGGGCGGCATGCCTGGAGACAGCACGGAAGCCCCATGTCCTTTCCCATATGCCTTGCCCTTTTCATCTTTTCATTTGTATCCTTGTAATATTCTTTATAATAAGGTAAGAAAGTGTTTCCCTGAGTTTTGTGAGCTACTCTAGCAAACTAATCAAATGCAAGGAGGGGGCCACGGGAACCTCGATTTATAGCCAGTCATTCAGAAACACAGGCAAAATAAGCTGGGGCTTAACAACTGTCATCAGAAGAGAGGACAGTAATGGGGCCTGATCCCTCAGTGTGTGTGTTGTGACTCTATCTCCAGGTAGTGTCAGAATTGAATTGGAGGACGCTCAGCGAGTGTCTGCTGTAGAGGTGACCGCTTGCTTCATGTGTGGAGAAAGCCTCTCACACATCTAGTGTCAGAACTGTGCTGTGAGAGTACAGTAGGAGAAACTGAGTCTGTTTTTTCCACTAAGTAACAGTTATATAGAGAGTGTCATCAACAACATTCCTAAAATAAAACAAGGCAAATTTTATTAAGGCACATTCATGGAGTAATACCAAAATCAATTCAATTTAAACATGATTGTAATAAAGATTTTTAAAAAGGTTCTCCGATGAACTTGGCCTGAGAATACAATTTGAGATAGCTAAAGCAGTTTTCCAATTTTTTTGCCCTGGAATCTTCTGTTCATATGAGAATGTTTACAAGAAAATCCAGTAAATAATACAGGATAACATGGTGCTTTTCAGGCTGAAAGGGAGAAGAAGGCTTAAAGCTCAGCTGGATCATCTATGAAGCCCTCCTACCCTCAATACACACACATAAGTATACAAACATAGAAAGCACAGTTTAAAAATTACTGATTTAAAATGATGAACTACATTATCGTGGCTAGTTCTCATGAATATTTATTTTTTCTTCTGAGAAGGACTAGACAACAGAGATATTGAGGTCATAGGTTCCTGCAAGAACCTGGAGGAGAGAAATCCTATGTTGTAACGTAGGTATAGAACCATCTGTGGTGCCAGTAAGTCATCAAGAAGATAAGGTTAACAACTCATGAAAAGTAAGAAGCCTAGCTATACTGGTATTAATGCTAACAGTTTCAAACTCACAATCCAGAATGTAGTGTTAGAATTAAAAGGTAGTGATTCCTTCATGATCCATTCCCTCATGTATATGCAAAAGGAAAATACTTATCAGGACTGTATCTTTTATAATGTTTTGTGCACATTAATTGCTAAATAAATCCTACAGAATAAATGAGGTTAACAAGTCTGTATTGGGTTGTTATGGGTTGAACTGTGCTCTCTCAAAAAAGGTGTTAAAGTCCTAAGCCCCAGTACCTGCAAATGTGATCTTATTTGGAATTAGGGCCTTCGCAGATGATCAAACTAAGATGAGGCCCTTAGGGTAGAGCTTAATCCAATATGACTATGTCTTTATAAAAGGGAAAATTTTGTCACAGAGACATGCATACACACAGCAGGGATGCCACGTGCCATGTGAAGACTGCAGTTATACTGCCACAAGCCAAGGAACAGGAAGCCAGGAGACAGGCCTGGAACAGATCCTTTCTTTGGGCCTTCAGGGGGAGCATGGCCCTCTTGACACCTTATTTTATACTTCTGCCCTCAAGAACTGTGAGATAATAAAATTTATGCTGTTCTAAGCTGTCCTGTTTGTGATAGTCTTCTTACATCAGCCCTAATAAACTAATATATGGGTGGAACAGAAAAATAACACATGCTGACTTGGGTATAGATGGTTTCACTTGGTTTAACAACTGGAAGATTGGGTTATTGAAAAACAATGGTCTCTTCTGGAAGGCACATATCTCAGACTGTTCAAATATTAAACATTCTATCCTCTAAACCTAAGAGAGGGAAAACAAAGGTAGTCTTTTTTCTTTTCTGTTATTTCTATGTCAAAATAAGCATGCACTGTCTCAATGTTTTATATTTTAGATACACAATAAAAAGTCTCAATGTCTTATGGCTTGAAACTTTCAAAGATGACTAATAATAATAAAGCAAGAAAAAAGATAACCTCAGTCAATGATAAAGGAGAGGGTAAAAATGACAAATCACAAAATGTATAAAATATCTAGAGTGCAATTTAGAATAAAATAAAAACACACTCCTCATATCTTCTTCAGATCTAGTTTGAAAAGAAAGTGTCACAATCCTGATGAAATCTTTGGGTGCAGGCCAGGGAAGAAGTGGAGGAATATCACTAATGACATTTGGTTACATAATGCAGAGAGGTAAGAGGAGGAACCACACAGCATACAGCCATATTTATTATAGATTGCATTCCTGAGACTAAGGAAGACTGCCGGAGACAAAGGTTACAGAGAAAGAAGTTGTATTCACCAGATCAAAACAAAGAAAGCTATGAATTCTATTGCCTAACTATCAGCCTTAATGACCAACTATAAAACAGGATCTGTTTCCAGTGCAAGGACAGAACAGATAAGTTGCAGTGCAGGTGCTTGGTACAACAAATCCAGAAGAAGCACCAGTCATTGATCCCTCCTCATGCTAATCTTTGACAAATCAATGAAACTGTCCCCACGTAAACCTGGTACAACCAGAAGGAACAACAGAGGACGTGTACAAAGAGCTGAGAGAGAAGCTGGGGAAGAAGCATATGAACATTTATTTTTATCTTTCTTTGAAAGGTAAATAATAGATCCCATTTAAAATGTATTTAGAATATAATGGCCCCAATGTTTCAATGTTTTACACAATCCTTTTTAACTTTAGAAACATTATTTCCTGAAGAAAGATTTATTTAAATTTTCACAATTTCATTTGTTCAATTTCAATTTCTTTTTTCTATTAATTTCAGATAAATTAAATGTAATTTGTTTTGTGAAAGTAGTTATCGTGTTCCTGAGAAAGCACTTTCATTCATCCATCTAGCCAGCCAGAAGTCACATACATCAACAGAGATACTAGATAGCTAAAAGTATGTTTCCCAAATGTTAAAATACTTATTTTTGAGGGGAAAGCAAGCAATTCAGGTAATTTTTGATTTTTTAATCATACTTTTGTAAGTGAACATTAATTTCTCAGACCCTTTCATTCAGCCAAATCAATTAACTAACAGGGGTTCAAAGGGTTATCATTTTTCTTTTATGCCAGTTTCAAAGCCTTTGCCAAGGAGCCGTGGCATCAGAATGGTATTTTTACAAGCAGATGGGAAAATATTTAGTATTAGTAAACCATCACATCCTCTAGCTGTATGTCCTTGTTCATTCAGGTTGTTTTTTAGTAAATGTACAGAAATAAAGAATTGATTAAAAATACAAATAAGGGAAAAATGACTGATTTAGGTTAATTCCAAGTAAAATATTCACAGCTGTGTTGAATGTATTATATATATATATATATATATATATATATATAAAACTTCAAATGAATATTTAGACTCAGTACAATACTGGGTAACATTTTAACAATAATAATATCAAAATTAAAATTTTGTCACTTTTGGTTTTATTCACAATGGGGACTGGTCACTAGAAAGACCAAGCAAGTACAAAATTATATATAAGAAAAATATACTATTTAAGATACCTTGCTAATTAAATTCTTACCTGGATGAAAAATTGATAGACTTCCATCAATATGACCAAACACAACTTTCCCCTTTTGGTGTGTATGCCATCTGAACATACAGATATCAGACAAGAAGCTATGAGCATCTTTGTGTACAATCACTCCACTATCTGGTCCTGAGATGGTCCAAATGAACAGTGGGCCTCTGTGGGAAACAAATGCCACCACATCCTCTGCATTCCAGCACCAACTAAGAGAAGCAGGGATCCCTGGAATACATTAAATACAGATACATAATAAAGATACAGCATAAGATTACACCATTAAATATTACTTGCCCTGTTTACATTTCTAAAACAAATTATTATTTTTAAGATACATTACTTTCTTATTTGGGAATTGGATTTATAAAGAAATCCCAAAGACTGCAGGGAACATAGGCAGGGAAAG
Organism: Homo sapiens; assembly: GCF_000001405.40. Taxonomy (NCBI): domain Eukaryota; kingdom Metazoa; phylum Chordata; class Mammalia; order Primates; family Hominidae; genus Homo; species Homo sapiens. The sequence goes on along the minus strand of NC_000004.12, from coordinate 176,119,685 downwards.
TCCATGATGAAAGAAAATGTATCTAGTTAGGTTTAAATACTACTTACATGATCATTTGCTTCATATAGTCAAATACATTTATAGACTTTTTTATTTTAGTAGACTATATATTAAAGATTAGAGCAATACATTCTTACTGTGTATTTGTATATAAGACCTCTAGGCATTCTAGGTATACAAGGTAGTGTGGGATAAGATTCCTGCTTTAGAGAATTTTAAATGTGTGTTAGGGAGACAGGGATTAGTGAATAAAAATATAAATGCTACTATAAGGATTTAAAAACAATGGACTTAATGTTATAATCTATGTCTTATCAGGAATTTAGATTCAAATCTAAGCCTTGCCTCAGAAAAACAAGTCATTTTATTTCTCTAAATTTCTGTTTCCTCATCTATAAAATGGAGATAACAATAAAAATAGCTGACCACTTATTTCACATGAAAGTCAAGGAAATAAAATCATTTATGTAAAGGTACATTTACATTCCATCAATAAGATGGAATATAAAAGTTAATTGTTAATATACCTGCTATTGTGATCAAATAAATCATATATAAAATAAGTATTATGAGAAATTTATGAGAGAGAGATTGCACATCTTCCAACACTGATATATTAGCTGGCTGCATCAAAATCATGAAATGGAATATAACATATCAGATCATGTGGAGTTTGAGCCAAGGAATTTATTTATTTATTTATTTTATAATAATTATTATTTTTTGAGACGGAGTCTTGCTCTGTTGCCCAGGCTGGAGTGCAGTGATGCAATCTCGGCTCACTGCAAGCTCCGCCTCCCGGGTTCATGCCATTCTCCTGCCTCAGCCTCCCGAGTAGCTGGGACTACAGGCGCCCGCCACCATGCCCGGTTAATTTTTTTTTTTGTATTTTTAGTAGAGACGAGGTTTCACAGGAATTTATTTTTAACAAGCTTCATCAAATGATTTTGATATGCAGAAAGGTTTAGAAACCACTGTGCTACTGTCCTGGAAAGAAATTAGATTTGAATTATACCTAGAAGGAGGGGTAGAGTTTAAATACATGGAATAAGCAGTATTTCCCAGGAAGAGAAAATGATATGAACAAAGACACAGAGTGGAAATTCGCTGATTGACAGTAAGTTTAGTTTGTGTTAACAGTCTATGTGCTCCAAGAGGCAAAAACAAAGCCTAATGCCTACTTCAGGGCCTGACCCATAATGAGGACTCCATAAATATTTGCTGAATGAATGAATGTATACATGAAAAACGCCAGTAAAATAGTTGATATGGTTTTAGGATACATTAACAGAAGTAGAATTTACCCAAAAAAGAGATGAGGTACTCTGTATGGATCAAACCACCACAGCACAGTAGAGGAAAGACAATAGAATACTGGTTCTCCGACTGTATATTTAGAGAAAGACAGCAAGGAAAGCGAAAGGACCAGAAACAGTGTCATATAATAATAATAGAAAACACTTTTATAGTGACTTATGTACAAGCACTTTCAAGGAGTGTTGCAATTTAATTCTCCCAACACTATTCTGAGATAGGTAGGTAGTATTATTATCCACTGTGACATAAAGTGACTTTTTCAAGTTGGTGACAATTTTTACATTTTACATTTGGAAAAACTAATATGCATTTTCATTTAAATGGATTGTTAGATTATTAGAAACAAAAGGAAGAAGAAGTAAAAATACAGAGGCAAGATCAAATTCAACAACTGTATTTGGAAGTTGAAAAAAAAAGTTCACTTAATGCAAATTTCTACTTTGCTTAAGCTGGATTCTAAAAAGAAAAATAAGCCTAAAACATTTCAAAAGTGTTACTTAAGATGGAAATCACCAAAAATAGTCATAATTTTTTTGCAAATAAAATAGCAAAGCTTTCAATCTTCAAATTAAGAAGACATTTGGATGAGGGAGATATTGATAGCTGAAAATTTTCAAAGAAAGGAAAAACATGAAAAATTTGCCAAAAGCTTTCCACAATTATCTCATCATTCTGGGACTGTTAATTAGAAAGTATTATTTAGTTGTATATCCAGTGACAAAAGAAACTATGGTGCATATAGCTGATGAATAAATAAAATCTTCCCCCATGAATGGATGTGATGTATATAGTGTCTGATGATAAATCCATGGATACACTAGGTGATAATAAAATTAATCATTACTTCTGCAAAACATTTAGAATTTATGTTTATTATATGCAGTTATAACCTAACGTTGACTTTGTGTTACATCTTTACGAGAACAATAATATCGTGCAACATTTTAGTTTATGGCACATACAATATGGAAAGAATTTCAAGAAAAATTTGTTGTGTTATTTAAAATTAATCTCACACAAAGCTGGATTTAAAGTACTTGGAAATGCATTATCAATCAATATAAACAGTAATGGAGTAACCTATAGAATTTGTGATTGCTGGACAAACAGATATGACCAGAAAACATGGGGAGATATGAAAAGTCTTAATTGAGGCCATCAATCACAATTTATATATCACAAAGCATTGTGCCAAAATAATTTGTTTTTTTCTCATGGAAAGCCTTAAGAAAAATTGCTAATTACATTAATGGAAGCTCACCGAATAGCTGACTTTTTACAATATTTTGTTCAGAGATTGGGGCAAACATTACTCACTGTCTAATACATTGGTTGTTCTAAGTAAAAATAAAAAACAGGGTACATAAACTTGGGAATGAGATCCATATACTTCTAGTTGAAAATTAACTTCATTTGACAAATATCTTTAACAGTTGAGTAATAAAATTTATGTATTACACTGATATTTTAAGCATTCTTAATGACCTAAATTTGAAAAGACAAACCAAAATACTAAAAATATCAAATATGTCTAAAAGTTACAAAAGATATTATTTTACTATTATTATGGAAACAAAATTTAAAGATAATTGCCTATAAATTCCCAGTATTTTTGCCTTAGACTATTACAAAGAAATTTGAACAAAATAAGGTTAGTGAGATTGTCATGTCCAGTTTTATATCTCAAATTTATAACAATTATTTTTAGAGAAGAAGCTGAATTGAAAAACATATCTAGCAGTAGCTTTCAAAACCATAATCAATTGAGCTAAATATGGTGCTCAAAAAGAGAGTTAATTATTGTGACACTGAACACAGAATAATTATTACTTAACTTTACCATTATGATGGGATAAGATTAAATGCGAGTTCCCAATTCTAAGTAGAAAGAGTATAATGCTATTATTCCAATTCATAAAGTCCAATTTATGTGAATGAGGATGTTCTACCTTGACCAAATTAAAAATAAAGGCATGAAACCAGCTTAACAATGCATCAAATATATGCATAATACTTTCTTTGTAATTTAAAGGTTGGAATAGAGTAATGAACAGCCAAGGCTTGTTACTTGTCTCAATAACAAAATCTTTCTGATTATTATTTTTATATTTATTTTGGAAATTCTTACATTATATTTAAACATTAATAAAATTATTTGGTATTGGCTATGTTTTTAGTCGATCATATGTTCTACGTATAATTATTTCATGAAATTTTGTTTCAGCTTTGTACCTATGGGCATGAGTCATTATGTGAAATTTATTTCTTATACAGATTACCATTAAGAAGTTTGAAAACAACATTTTAAAAGCTGAACTAATAATATTGATAGTGCTTGTTGAAATAAAAATATTTTATTCCATAAAATAAATCCCAGTTGTAATTATACCTTTTGTACTGTCGAGTTTAGCAATGACTTTTTGTTCTGCAACATTCCAAATGATCACTAAATTATCAGTACTGCCACTTGCAAACAGATCAGGATTATGTGGACACCAAGAAATTGCTGTGATTGTTTTTTTATGTTCAGACATAATTGCGTGAAGTTTGAATTCATTATAACGGTGATCCAACTAAAACAAAATATATAAATAAAATATTTTAGTGCTCCTTTTTAAGATAATACACTGTTAATATTCACATTACACAAAACTAAAGCTACATACAGGAAAATTATTTCACCTAATAATAAAGATATGAACATATTTCAAGCCTTGGTCTACATTCAAGTGTATTCATGAATATTGAACCAGCTAAAAAAAAACATTAAAAACTGAGAGAATAAAAACATATCCATTTTAAAAACAAGTAAAAATAAATGTTTCACATTTAAATATGCATAATAATTTAGAGCTTTATTATATTTTCCATAGCTATATCTTTTTATGAGAAGAAAAAACCCTTGGTTTTGGAATATTTTTTTCTGCAATTTTTCACTTATACTTGAATCAAGAAAATTTGGGTTAAATACACCAACTGCTCATTATTACACTATTAAGATGTCCAAAGCTTCCAGAGCAATGATGTCATTCACTCTTTTTATTTTATTGTTTTTTTTGGATGGGACATTATATTGTGTTTTTATACATAAATAGAAAAAATAAACAGCCTAATTTTTCTTATTTCTTTTGTAAGTGTGCCTCCATTAATTAGTGAATTAATCTCTATCATTTTTAGCATGTTTTGGAATATGTTATTTATGTCCTTTTGTTGTAGTTTCTTCCCCTTTAGCATATAATGAGCCTTTCACAGTGCTATTCTAAGTTTTAAAAATCATTATGATATTAAATATTTATTACATCAAACTTTTTAAAGCTATATGCTTGCAATAAAATCCTAACTGATAAACAGCCTTCAAATCTCTACACGATTGAATCTCTGCTATCTTGCCAAAGTAATTTGAAATCATGTTCCTCCCTGTTCACTCTGAACTTCTTGTTTCTCTATTACAGCCGATCACCTCCACTTGATGGCCTTCTGCTTGCTGCTTCCTTGGCTTCTAAATACTCTATCCACTGATTTGCTCATGGTTATTCATTCTCCTACTGAGGTCTGAGTTTAAATGCACCTCTTCTGAGAGATGTTTTCGGACCATGCTATCTTAATTCATAACTCGCCCCAGAACCTATCCCATGACTCTATCTTATTATACCTGTTTTTTCAGCCTCTGTAGAGCACACTTCTTTCTGAAAATTTTACCTATTTGTTTACTTATTTATCTTATCACCTTTCCTTACACCTTACAGGAATATAAGTTCCACAAGAAGACTCTGCCTGTTTCTTCACAGTTGCAATCCTGGTACAGAGTAAGGCTTGGTCAATTGAAGAGATTCAGTTAATATTGAAAGAATAAACACTTAAGATCTGTTTAATATTTAAGTAACTTAATTTTTGCCATCGCAGATAATGCTGCAGTGAACATTGTATGTAAAATTTTTGACTAATCACATAAGTATTTCCTAAGGCTTTTTCTTCTATAATTTCTCTCTCTTCCTATAACTTCAACTATTCTTGGACAACTTTGGATTAAAACATTAGTAAACATAACCCAAAACCAATGAAGTTTTCATTTGATTAGCACTGCAGCAATAGCAATTTTAAGTTGACTTATTTAAATACATAATTGTGTTTTCTATACATTTAGGAATAAATAGGTTTTTAAGTTTTAAATTATTCAGCAATTTAAGTCACCTATGGTAGATACAGTGAGTGTATCTAATGTATCCAAAAGAAAAAAACCTACATTATTTAGAAATTCAGTAAAAGAATCTATTAATATAGTAAATGTGTGAAGAAGCTATGCTGCATATCAGTGACCACTGACATTACCATACAAATTATCTACATAGTAACTGTAAGCACACTAGAGAACACTGAACTATTTGCAGGAATTAATCTACTGATGCATTCCTATGATGTTTACAATTCAGTAATATTGAACTGTACAATTACATTGAGATTGACCATAAATTACTCTACTTTTAGGGTACATTAACATATCAGTGCATTACAAAACAACAGTTAAAGAAAAATTCTAATACCATTTCCCATTATCATTTAATCATTCAGAAAAATATAATACAAGAGTATCATTATCCAGAGTGTGACCGATTATCAGACTTTGACTACACATTGGCACTAAGTGTTATTTAATAAATATTTCCTCTGAAAATAATTGTATCATGTTACATTTATGTAGCATAATTTTCAAAGCACTGTAATTGAGATGATAATATTTAAAACACTACTTATTAACATAAATTTCATATTAATGTCACCATTTAATTATGTAATTTTCTATTGGCATACTTTGAAACAAGGTTTTATAGTGGACATTGTAATGAACTGTCCCCTAAGTTTATTTGCATCAGCTTCTAAATTAGGATAATTTTTAGTTTGTTTCAGTCCTTAATGACATGACAACTTTCATGTACATTGTTTATATTACTAATTTTACCTCAATATTTTAAAATATTCATCATAAAATGTCATCACAAAATTTAAGACATAGAAACTTGAAAAAATTAAGTTATGGCTTCATCCACTGAGTTTCTTTACCATCCTTACCTCAGAAGAATAGTTTGACTTGCTTGATAACTTTCTCTTCTTTAGGAGGAAATAAAAGACAAGATAAGGACTTAGGGTTAGGAGAGAAATTGTGTAGGTGGGATTTGGGAGTGACAAGCTTGGGAGTATATAAAGAGTGTAAAGGAGGTAGATGGGAGAAAAAAACAGGCATTTAGAAGTCTTGCTGCTGTGTTGTGTATGAAGGGGGTGAAAATGAAGAAGTGTGAGTTATATTGAAGTTCCATTTTGGTAGCTAGATATTTCTACAGTCTTAAGAAATGGACTACATAAAATCTTACTCTATATCGTGGAAAATGGATTGTTTTATACATTAATGCTATATTTCTTAAATTTTGAATAAAGCATAATGCAATTAGTAATGTACGAATATGTAGTAATGAAAAGAATTTTTACTCTAGAATAAAACAAGATAGTCTTAACTAAAATAAGTTGGAGTTTGAAGATTCTTTCCTTAATTCATTCATTTAAGACATTTAATGAATGTCTTCTAAGTGCCAGAAAGTGCAAAAATGTGAGAATTAAAAGATGGGAAAGACTCCTAATAAATGAAAGCATGCAGAGAGGCAGTCCATTTTATGAGGTCCTTTACTGCTAAGAAAGAGGGGAAAATAGAATATGGAAAAGAGTTCATACAGGAGCTGAGATTCGAAAGATGAGAAAGTGTTCTCTAGACAGGCAATGTAAGCAAACTGAAAAATTAGTGTAAGCAAAGGCAAGATATGAAAGACTGAGATGTCTTAGAAAAATGTAATTGGTTTGGTATAACTGGAACACAGAGTAAGAGAGAGGCAGGAAGATCACAAAAGCATTTGAATGCCATTTTATGAAGTTTAGATGTTACTATTAGGGAATGAGTAGCAACTGAAAGCTTTAAAATTTAGATTTGCACTACAGATAACTGATTACACTGAACAATAAATTAGTAGGAGCCAAACTAAAAGTAGAGACTATTAAGAGATTATTATAATAGTTTAGGTGAGAAAGATATGAGGAACATATTAGAATCACTCTTGGCTACCAAGGGCACGGGATGTGAGTGGAAGAGGGAGTCAAAGATAACTATCACATTTCTGGTTTAGATGCATGGTTAGCTGGTGACACTGAGATACTGACTTTGAATTTAAGAGAATCACTGGACTTTGATTTTAACATGCTTATGGCACTTCTATATGAAGAAATTCAGGCGGTTTTTGGCTCTATAAATTGTGAACTGATAAGGGATATCTGAATGGAGCTAGGACACGAAAAACATAGTTATACAAGTTTTTCTCCCAATAATATCTCACAATATATGTCTGTCCTAATTTTACTATAATGATCTCTAATGGACTACCCAAATTCTTCAACTGAAAAAAGAATTTTCTTATATCAAATTTACTAATCATTTAATAATGTAAGTGTTTTCTAAAGGTTTAACTTTTAAAACCTATACGGTATAAATCACAAAACTTTAAAAATATAAATATAAATGGAATTATAGCATTATGTTTTTCATGTAACAAGGACTTAAAATATGTATTAATTAAATATTAATTTTACCGGATATAATTAAAAATGGAAAAGAATTATTATTTTACCTGATAAATATAGATAGCCAGGGTCGCACAATATGCAAACCTGTCTCCACTGGCAGCACATACATCCTTGTTCCATGGCTGACATCCAGCAGCCAGCAATCCCACTTGCCTTACCTGGGACATGTTTGCCTTGAAAAACAAATTTGAAGAAATGTCAGTGATTTCCATTATTGATAAACTTCCTCATTGTTTTACATCTATCTTCCCCAACCCTTACCTGTGTGCCCTGAAAAACATTTTACTAGTACTATTAATTTTGACTTTTATTTTCAGAGAACAGCAGTTGAACTCCCTAAATGTCTGCAGACATCAAGGCAACTAATTTAAATGAGGAAAGCAGGAAATATGATAATGAAGGAACGACAGCTGACATTTGGCCAAGGACTGGGAAACACATACCCAGTGACAGGAACTCCAGTGAAATAGAAATTGCACATGCTATATTAATAGTATCACTGAAGAAGGCCATCCCATGTTGCAAGATTTATGGAACTTCCTAGAAAAACGGAAATACCCAGATTTTTATGTGAAATGTATCCATTTTTCAATACTGGCAATTCATTCAAGGCATCACGTTTAAATTTAAAACACTGTGGACCAGTAATGGAAGGGTTGTGACCTGTGTCATAGAACTTCAGTTTTTACATCAACTCTTCATCCTCACAAAATCTATTTGAGGTGCATAAGACAGGTATATAAGCTAGGTTAACAATACTGTTCACTGTTAGGATCGGGCAGAAAGAAGCTGAAAAGTATCTGAACAAAAATTGTCTATGTGGCAGGACAGAGGATGTTGGAATAGACAACCCCAGAGATGCAGACAACGTAGTGCAGAAGCAGGCCTGGGCTGAGACTTCAGGAAATAAGGAATTAGACCAAGCTTTGCACCACACATAGAGTGTGACTTGGAGTCAAGCATTAAACCTTACGTCTCTATTTCTCGTATCTAAAATACAGCTTCTGAACTATATTTTCTACCAGATTCCTCTCAGATCAAAAAAATGCTATGAATCTATATGTAAACTCTAAATTCCTCTAAGATACTGGAGAACAGACAGTAAATGGTGAGGCTGTAAGTCTATGATCATAATGAAAACTCATCATAACAAAATCATACTTAAAAAACACATTTGTGCAGAGTATTAAACTATGTGGTTATCTAATAAATGACATTCAAAAAGAAATTATTGACAAAAAATGCCTTTTAAAGGTAGAATCCAAGCCATTATTAGCTATCTTTCCATTATGGCCTAAAATACTGGTCTAGGAATAAAGATAGGCTGGGCGCGGTGGCTCACGCCTGTAATCCCAGCTCTTTGGGAGGCCGAAGAGGGCGGATCACGACGTCAGGAGGCTAACATGGTGAAACCCCGTCTCTACTAAAAGTACAAAAAATTAGCCGGGCGTGGTGACGGGCACCTGTGGTCCCAGCTACTCAGGAGGCTGAGGCAGGAGAATGGAGTGAACCTGGGAGGCAGAGCTTGCAGTGAGCAGAGATGGCACCACTGCACTCCAGCCTGGGCAACAGAGCGAGACTCTGTCTCAAAAAAAATAAAAATAAATAAATAAAAAATAAAGAGAGGAGCTCCTAATATGAGAGACAATCTTCCATTTACACTACTACAAAGTTACACCAGGTAAATTCAATTTTTCACTATTGTCAATTTCATATCTGATTTTTAAATAAGGAAAAAATGTAAGTAGTGATTATAATCTTAAATATTTTAGCTTGGAAAATTAAGTAGAAAACTGAGAGCTATAATAAATTTGGTTTTACGTGACTAATATATTGGGTAGTCAATATTTAGTTTATGCTGCTCAAAAGCTTTGCATAATGTTAATGTCAAAACCACAACATGTAAAATATCACACATACAAAACCTACACACATAAATTTATACACATCTGATCTACATCTCAAGTCTTATAGAAGCTTGTTCAGTGTACACCCTGAACCTTCCAACTCTTAATCTAATTCTTTTAATGCTCAGCAATTAGTAAATTTTAAATGGTTACATTTTCTCCCATAGATCACTAACTCATATTTATTTACGAAACTACGTTCTTCATTTTATCTTTTCTATTTCATATTTCCACTTCTGAAAAGGATCTACTTTCTTCTCATCTCCTCTTCTCTTCTCCAATTCTTTCTGTCTTCATCTCATTAAATCCCCTTATCTGAGCAGAATTAGTGATAGATTTAGGAAAAAAAGTAAATAAATTACTTGAAGTACAAGCTGGCATGACAAACAAACAGGGCTACCAATCTTGAGTGCTTTTATGTATTCAGAAACTTTCCTCCTCGTCTAATGACACCTGTATTTCCTCAAACATTAGCATTCAGGGTAAATAAAAAAGATATACACTTCTTTTTTTTTTTACACTTAGTAATGTTACAGTATCTTTCGCTGAAAATGTACATTATTTCAGCCACAATGTGAGTTACATTGACTTTTGGAGATTATGTGGGGATCTATTAAATTACTATTTATAACATTTGCATCTAAGTAAAAATGTCTTTTGATTTCTGTTTAACCAAATATTGAGTTTATATTTGGAAAAGAAACATAATTAAAGAAAAATCTTTAAACACACATTTAAAATGAAGTTATTTGGCCAAGCACAGGGGCTTATGCCTGTAATCCCAGCACTTTGGGAGGCCAAGATGGGTGGATCGCTTGAACCCAGGAGTTCAAGATGAGTCTGGGCAACGTAGGGAGACCCTATCTCTACAAAAATTACAAAAATTAACCAGGGGTGGTGGCGCGTGCCTGTAGCCCCAGCTACTTGGGAAGCTGAGGTGGGAAGATTGCTTGAGCCTGGGAGGTGCATGTTGCAGTGAACTGTGATCATGCCACTGCACTCTAGCCTGGGAGACACAGCAAGTCTCAAATAAATAAATAAACAAAAGTCATTTTAAAATTTTCACTTTCTGGTAATGTTTTTTACACATTTTTAATAATTAACAATTCCTAGAAAAACAGCAAAATTGAGCAATAAGTACAGAGATTTCCCATATACCCCTCATAGCCTCCCCCACCCCATAACACAAGTTTCCCCACTATTAACACTCAGCACCGGATGGCACATGTTAAAACTGATGAGCCTATGTGACACATCATTATCACTCAAAGTCCACAGTTTACATTAGAGCTCATTCTTGATGTTCTCCATCATACAGGTTTTGACAAATGTGTAATGATAGGTATCCACCATTACAGTATGGGCAAGAGCAGCTTCACGGCTCTAAAAAGTCCTTTGTGCTCTGCCTATTCATCCCTCCCCCTCCCCAATTCCTGGCAACAACTAATCTTTTAATGTTTCCATAGTTTTGCCTTCCCACAATGTCTTATAGTTGGAACTGTACATTATGTAGCCTTTACAGACTGCCTTCTTTCAGTTAGTAATATACATTTAGTTTGGCTTCATGTCTTTTCATGGCTCGATAGCTAATTTCTTTTCCTTTTCTCCTTTTCTTATCGTGGTAAAATACACATAACATAAAATCTAACTTCTTAACCATTTTTAAGTGTACAATTCAAAGGTATTAAATACATTCATAATGTGCAACCAGGAGTGTAAGGTTGCAGTGCGCTATGACCATGCTACTGCACTCCAGCCTGGGTGATAGAAAGAGACCCTGTCTTGGGGGATAGGGGAGAGGGAGGCAAGTGGGGAGGGCAGGAGGAAGGGAAGAAGGGTGGAAGGGAGGAAGGAAAGAAAGAAGGAAGGAAGGAAGGGACAAAAGGGAAAAAAATAAGGAAGGAAGGAAGGAAAAAAGGAAGAAAAAAGGAAGGAAGGAGGGAAGGAAAAAAGGAAGGAAAGAAGGAAAAGGAAGGAAGGAAGAAAAAAAGGAAGGAAGGAAGGAAAGGAAGGAAGGAAGGGAAAAACACTATCAATAGTACCCAAAGAATGGGAAAAAATATTTGTAAACCACATATCTGTTAAGGGATTAACATCCCAAATATAGGGAGAATTCCTAAAACTCAAGAGTGACAAAGAAACATGATTTATCTGATTCAAAAATGGGCAAAAGACTTGAATACATAATGTCCTTAAGTTTCATCCATGTTGTAGTGTATGTCAGAATTTCCTTCTGATTTAAAGCTGAATAATATTCCATTGTGCATATATGCCATATTTCCTTATCCACGTGTCTGTGATTTGTCGCCTGGATTGCTTCCATGTTTTAGCTATTACAAAAAATGTTGCTATGAAAACGGATGTACAAATATCTCTTCCACACCCTGCTTTCAATTTTGGAGGGTTTATATGCAGAAGTGGGATACTAGATCAAATAATAATTCTATTTTTACTTTTTTGCAAAACTACCATACTGTTTTCCACAGCAGCAATTCCATTTTACATTACAACAGGGCACAAGTGTTTGGCTAACTCATCCTCACCAACACGTGCTATTTTCTGTTATTTGATAATAGCCATTCTAATTGGTGTGAAATGGTGTCTTATTGTTCTTTTGATTTGCATTTCCCTAAAGATTAATAATGTTGAGCAACTTTTCATGTGCTTATCAGCCATTTCCGTAACTTCTTTGGTGAAACATCTATTAAAGTATCTTGTCCATTTTTCAATCAGGTAAATCACGTTTCTTTGTAATTGTTGAGTTTTAGGAGTTTTCCCTATATTTGCGGTATTAATCCCATATCAGATATGTGATTTACAAATATTTTCTTCATTCTGTGGGTTGCTGTCCATTTTACTGTTGATAGGGTTTTTCTTTCCTTCTTCCTCTTTTTCTTTTTCTACAGACAGGTTTCCTTCCGGAGTGTAGTGGCATGATCATAGTTCACTGCAACCTCAAACTCCTAGGCTCACGTGATCCTGCTGCCTCAGACTCCCAAGTAGCTAGGCCTATAGGCATGCGCCATCATGCCTGGCTATTTTCTGTTGTTGTTGAAACAGAGTCTCACCACGCTGCACAGGTTGGTCTCGAACTCCTGGCCTCAAGTGATCATCCTGCCTCAGCCTCCCAAAGTGCCCAGATCACAGATGTGAGCCACCATGCCTGGCCAGTGTTTTTCTTTTGATGCACAAAATTTTTAATTTTCATGAAATCCAATTTGCATGTTTTTTGCTTTTGATGCCTGTGCCTTTGTTATCATATCCCAGATATTGCTGTCAAATCCAATGTTGTGAAGCTTTGTCCTCTGTTTTCTTCTAAAAGCTTTAAAGATATTGGTCTTAACATTAAGTGTCTTTGATCCATTTTAATTTTTTTATATGGTGTTAGGTAAGAGTCCAATTTCATTCTTTTGCATGTGGATATTTCGTTTTCCCAGCACCATATGTTAAGACTGGCCTTTCTGCATTGAATGGTATTGCCACTCTTGGCAAAAGATATTTGGCCATATATGTAAGGGGTTAGTTCTGAAGTCTCTATTTTATATTTATATATAAATTTATATATATTTGCAGGATAAAATATTATATTCCACTGGTCTATATAACTGCCTTTATGCTGGTATGACACTGTTTTGATTACTGTAGTATTGCAACAAGTTTTGAAATCAGAAAATGCGAGTCCCCCAGTTTTGTTATTCAGGGTCTCTTGAGTTTCTATATCAATTTTAGCATGGCTTTTTAAAATTGTTGCATTTGCCCATTTCATCTAGGTTATTGAATTAGTTGGTGTACAATTGTTCCTACTACTATCTTATAACGTTTTTAATTTCTTTATAATCTGTAGAGATGTTCCAACTTTTATTTGTGATTTTAATAATTTGAGTCTTCTCTCTTTTTCTTAGTTTATCCAGCTACAGGTTTGACAATTTCGTTGATCTTTTTCTCTATTTTTTTTTCTATTCTCTACTTCATTTATCTCTGCTTAGATATTATATCCTTCATTCTAGTTTTGGGTTTAGTTTATTCTTTTGTTAGTTCCTTAAGTTGTAAAAATAGGTTGCTAATTTGAGATCCTATAAATGCTTTAATGAAAGCATTTATAGCTACAAATTTGCCCCCTGGCATTGATTCCACTGCATCCCATAAGTTTTGGTATGTTGTGCTTTTGTTTTCACTCATCTCTAAGAGTTTTCTACTTTCCCTTGTGATTTCTTCTTTCATCCATTGGTTGTTGGAGAGTGTGTTAAGTTCCACAAATTTGCGAATTTTTCAGTTTTCTTTCTGTTATTGATTTCTAACTTTATCCCACAGTGTTCAGAGAAGACATAATGTATGATAACTACTTTTTAAAATCTATTGAGGCTTAATACTTGGCCAAACATATTGTCTATCCTAGAAAACATCCCATGTGCACTTAAGAAGAATGTGTATGCAGTTACTGAGTAGGGTGTTCTGTATATGTCTGTTAGATCTAATTGGATTAATATATTGTTTGAGTCCTCAGTTTCCTTACTTATTTTCTGTCTGATGTATTCATTATTGAGAATGGGGTATTGAATTATCCAACTATTATTGTAGAACTATCTATCCCTTCAATTCAGTTAGTTTTTGCTTCATATATTTTGATGGTGTTTTTTAGGTGTATAAATGTTATAACTTATATTTTGCTGCATTGAAACTTTATTAATATATAGTGTCCTTCTTTGACTTTTCTGAACTTTTTTGACTAAAAATCAATTTCATCTAATATTAATATAGGGCATGCCTGCTTTCTTTTTGCTACTCTGTGCATGGAAAAAATTTTTTTCATCCTTTTACTTTCAATCTATTTGTGTCTTTGGATCTCAAGTGAATCAACTGTAGACGGCATACAGATGGATCTTTTTTTAAATTAATTCTGCCAATCTCTTTTGTTTGAAGAGCTTAATATCCATTTACATTTACAATAATTCCTGATAAAGGACTTACTTCTGTCATTTTGCTATTCATTTCCAATATGCTTCATAGTTTTTTTGTCCTCATTTCCTGCAACGCTTTTGTCTTTTGTGTTTAGTTAATTTTTGCAGTGAAACTTTGAATTCCTTTCTCATTTTCTTCTGTGTATATCCTATAGCTATTTTATTTGTGGCTACCATGGGGATTAAACTTAACATGCTAAAGTTACAAGACTCTAATTTAACTTTATTCCAAATTAGCTTCAATTACATACAAAACCTCAGCTTCTTTAAAACTCCAACCCCACACCTTTAAGTTGTTGATGTCAAAAAATTACATCTTTATATATTGTGTGGCCTGAAACACAAACTAATTAATTATTTTAAATACATTAGTTTTTTAAATTAAGAGAAAATAAAATGTGGAATCACCAACCAAAGTTACAATAATACTACTTGTATACTAAGAATTTTTAAAATATTTTATTCTCTTAAATGATGATGAAAACAAACAATAGCATTGTTTCCAAATACTAGCACTTATAATTGTCCATGTATTTACCTTTATCAAGATCTTTATTTTTTCATATGGCTTTGAGTTACTGTCTAGTGTCATTTCATTTCACCCTGCAGAACTTCCTTGAGCATTTCTTCCAAAGCAGGTTTAAAGATAATGAACTCCCTCAGTTTTTGTTTACTGGGAAATGTATTAATTTCTCCCTCACTTCTGAAAGACAGTTTTGCAGGATAAAAGATATTTGGTTGACATTCTTTTTTTCTTTTAGCACTTTAAATATATTGGCCCATTTCCTTCCAGTCTCTAAAGTTTCATATCAGAAATCTGCTGTTTATACTATTGAGGATCCCTGTATGTATGTGTTAATCACTTCTTTCTTACTAATTTCAAGATTCACTCTGCTTTTCAAGATTTGATTATGATGTGTCTCCATGTGTGTCTATTTCAGTTCAAATTCTTGGAGCTTGCTGAAACTCTTGGAAATTTACTTCATGTTTTTCATCAAATTTGAGGAGTTTTCTGCCATTATTCCTTCAAATATTCTCTCTTCTCTTCCATCTCTCTCTCTTCTCTTCTGGTACTCCCACATGAGTGCATATTGGTGGGCTTCATAGTGTCCCTTATGTCCCTTCGGTTTTGCTTACTTCTCTTCAATTTCTTTCTGTTCCTCAGACTCAATATTTTCTATTGTCTTATCTTCATATTTGCTAATATTTTCTTCTTAAATATGTCTTTGAATTCTTCTATTTTACTTGTTATTATATTTTTCAGCCCTACAATTCTTTTTTTGGTTTTCTATCTCTATTATTTCTATTTTGTTCATACATTGTTTTCTTGACTTTCTCCATATCTCCTTTAGTTTTTAAGCATCCCAAGACAGTTGTTTTAAAGTCTTTGTCTAGTAGATCTTTCATCAGGTCTTTTTCAGAAAGCATCTGTTTATTTTTTTTTCCACTGAAAGAAACATAATTTTCTGTTTCTTTTTAGGCCTTGTGGCTTTTTGTTGAACCCTGGACACTTGAATCTAGTAATATGGTAACTCTGGAAATCAGAGTTTGCTGTTTTTGTTTTTATTTATTGTTTTTGTTTTCAATTGTTGTGGGCTGTCTGTGTCAAGGATCATCCTCAGGTATAAACATAAGG
Source organism: Homo sapiens (assembly GCF_000001405.40). Lineage (NCBI taxonomy): Eukaryota > Metazoa > Chordata > Mammalia > Primates > Hominidae > Homo > Homo sapiens. Next base: position 176,103,246 of record NC_000004.12, on the reverse strand, counting down.
ACTACTCAGGGTTATTCTGAACCTGTGTCCTCTGTTCATGCATAGTAACTTCCTAATTTTCTTTGTATAGGCAGTTGCTTTTGAATTGCATAGGCTTTAATGGATGGCTCCCAAAAGGGTAAAAAGAAAAAAATTAAGGGATTCAGCCCTTTAAGTCCCCTTGAAATTGCTTCAGCTGGAGGGGGAGGAGCTTGTAACATGGAGGTAGGTGCAATAACAATGGCTGCCTGCCTCTTTGTCTGCACTTCTGTGATCAGAAGCAGTAGATCACTGATATATAAAGGACAGAGTGCTTTTTTTTCTACCCTGGTTCACATAAGCTGCTTGCAAGATACTTCTGGGATACATGCTCACTTGTCTGCCCTGGGGCTTGAGGTGAGGGATGAGTAGCTGCCACTGTGCTGAGAACTAAAGCTTACTAACTTCAACTTATCATCCAAGCCTTCCCCTGGAAGTTGCAAGCCTTCATAGATTCTGGTATTACAAAATAATTACATCAGACAGACTGTACCAGTGCAATTGTTGTCTAGGTGGGGAGAGAGATTTCTAGTGCCTTTCATGGCTTAATGGCTCATTGCTTTTTAGTGCAGAATAATACTATTTATCTAGATGTAGCACAGTTTATTTATCCACCAGTCTACTGAAGGACATACTTGTTGCTTCTGTGTTTTAGCAATTATGCTTAAAGCTGCTATAAACATCCATGTGCTGCTTTTTGTGTGGACACAGCTGTTTAATTCATTTAGATAAATACCAAGGAACACAACTGCTGGATAATATAGTAAGAATATGTTTAGCTTTGTAAGAACCCATCAAACTGTCTTCCATAAGATCTGTGTCATTTTGTATTCCCATCAGAAATGAGAGTTCCTGTTGCTCCACATCCTTGCCAGCATCTGGTGTTTGGATATTAGCCATTCTAATAGATGTGTAGTGGTATCTAATTGATTTAATTTGCAATTCCCAAAGACAAATGATGTTGAACATTTTTTCACATGCTCACTTGTCATGAATATACATTCTTTGGTGAGGTATCTGTTCAGCTCTTTTGCCCACTTTAAAACCAGGTTGTTCAATCTTCTAGTTACTGAGTTATATAAATTATTTGTATATTTTGGATAACAGATCTTTAGCAGATGTGCAAATATTTTCTTCCATTCTGTGGCTTGCCTTCTTATTCTGTTTGATATTGTAAAAATTGAAGATTTTCATTTTAATAAAGTCCAGCTTATCAATTATTTTTCATAAAACATACCTTTTGTATCTAAAAAGTGCTAGCCAAACCCACAGTCATCCAGGTTTTCTCTTATGTTACCTTCTATGAGTTTTACAGTTTTGCATTTTACATGTAGTTCTATGCCGCATTTTGGGTTAATTTTTGTAAAATATATAAGGCCTGTGTCTAGATTCTTTTTTTTTAACATTGTATATCCAGTTATTCCAGCCTCATTTGTTGAAAAGACTATCTTTGTTTCACTGTATCGCCTTTGCTCCTTTATCAAATATCAGTTGAGTATATTTATGTGGATCTATTTCTAAGCCCTCTATTCTGTTCCATTGATCTATCTGTCTATCCTTTTGCAGATACCATGGCTGTCTTTTTTATTGGAGCTATATAGTAAGTCTTTAAGTTGGGTAGTGTTAGTTATCCCACTTTGTTCTCCTTCAATCCATTCCTGCATGTTGTCTACTTTTACCATTAAAGCTATTAGCAAATTAATTGTAGTTTTTTAAATTCCTTGTCTGATAATACCAACATTTCTGTCGTATCTGACTCTGGTTCTGATGCTTTATCTGTCTCTTCAAACTGTATTTTTTTGCCTTTTGTTTATCATGTAAATGTTTGTGAGGTGCACATGATGAACTACATAAAAGAAAGTGCTGTAAATAGGCCTTTAGTAATGTAGTGGTAAGATATGGGGGTAGAGTGAGCATTCTAAAGTCCTATGATTAGGTCTCAGTCACGTGCCCATGACCAGTGCTTCTCAGTACCCCCAGCCCTGCTTAGGTGGGACAGGATGGCTGAAGGGGGCTGATGTTGGGTATTTTCCTTCTCCCAGGTAGGTAAGGCTCTTCTAAAACCCCAGAGTTACGCTCTGGACAAATAGGTTCTCTTGAGGGTAGGTTTTAAGAACAGAATGCCACGATCCTAAAATTCATATAGAACCAAACAAGAGCACAAATAGCCAATGCAATCCAAAACCAAAGGAATAAAACTGGAGGCAATGCATTACTTGACTTCAAATTATATTACAAGACTATGGTAACCAAAATAGCATGGTACTGGTATAAAAAATAGACATATAGATCAATGGAAGAGAATAGAGATCCCAGAAATAAAGCCACATATCTACAGTGAATTGATCTTTAACAAGGCCAACAAGAACACAGAGTGAGGAAAGGATACCCTTTTCAATAAATAGTGCTGGAAAAATTAGACATCCATATACAGGAGAATAAAACTAGACCCATAGCTATCACCATATTAAAAAAAACAATTCAAGATGTACTAAACACTTAAATGCAAGATCAGAAACTATAAAAATACTAGAAGAAAACCTAGGGGAAACTCTTATGGACATTCATCTAGGCAAGGTATGTATACTATGACCTCAAAAGCACAGGCAGCAAAAACAAAAATAGATAAATGGGACTTAATTAAACTAAAGAGCTCCTGCACAACCAAAGAAATAATCAACAGAGAGAACACACAACCTGCAGAATAGGAGAAATATCTGCAAACTATTCATCCAACAGGGGACTAATATCCAGAATATACAAAGAAACCAAACAACTCAATGACAACAAAAATACAAATAATCCCATTAAAAAGTGGGCAAAGGACATGAGTAGACATTTTTCTAAAGAAGACATACAAATGGCCAAGAGGTATATGAAAAAATGCTCAACATCACTGATCATCAGAGAAATGCAAATTAAAACTACAATGAGATATAATCTTCCACCACTCAGAGTGCCTATTACTAAAAAGACAGAAATAATAGATGTTGGTGAGGATATGGGGAAAAGAGAATTCATACACTGTTGGTGGGAATGAAAATTAATACACCTTTTATGGAAAACAGTATGGAGATTTCACAAATAACTAAAATTAGAGCTATTATATGATCCAGTAATCCTACTACTGTGTATCTACCCAAAAGGAAATAGATCATTATAGCAAAAAGATACCTGCACTCATATGTTTATTGCAGCACTATTTGCAATAGCAAAGCTATAGAATCAACTTAAGTGTCTATCAACAGATGATCAGATAATGAAAATGTGGTATATATACACAGTGGAATACTATTCAGCCATTAAAAATCATGTATTTTGCAGCAACATGCATGCAGCTGGAGGTCATTATCTTAAGTGAAACAAGCCATGCACAGAGAGTCACATATCACATGTTCCCATTCATAACTGGGTAGTAAAAAAAATGTGTACACATGGACACAAAAGTGGAATGTTAGACAAGGGAGACTCCAAAGTGTGAAGGAGTGGGAGGGGGTGGATGATGAGAAATTACTGAATGGTACAATGTACATTATTCAGGTGATGGATACCCTAAAAGCCCTGATTTGATCACTGTGCAATCTATGCATGTAACAAAATTGTACTTGTACTCCATAATTTTATATAAATTATTTTAAAAGTTGGTTAAAAATAAAGAACAGAATGCTCTAGTGTAATTTAAGTGGTTTCTTTTCCCCTCCCCCTGCTGGAAGCAAGAGGATATTCTTCTCTAATATGCACTGTGAGCACCAGTTTAGAGCTCCTGGAAGTAAAACTTACAAAAGCTCCCCCGCCACCCCCATTACTGGGTTCCCGTGAAGTTTTTAACCCTCAGACCTGACCATATTGTGCTTCCATCAATTTATCAGTTACAGTTCAGATTTTCTTACTCTGGCAGTGATGCCCAGGTTAGTTTCTGCTAATTCATTTCTGCTCTGGTAAGTTGCAATTCTCTGTAACTGCATTTCTATCTCAATAATTTTGAGGGCAGTGATTTGCCTTGTGCCCTTACTTCTCAGGTGGATCTAGGAAGAGTTGTTGAGTTTTCAATGCGTTCAATTTTTTATTGGCTAAAATGGAGTAGCAACTTCTAAGCTGCTTACATACTGAACTAGAAACCAGCAGTTTCTCTGCTTATTTATTAAAAACAAAAATAAACTTCTAAATTTATGCCAATACATTTTGACTTTAACTCAGAGTATATCTTGATTTATTATTTTTTAGTTTCCAAAATTAGATAATATAAGCATTTCTATGTTGACATAAAATTTGGTGTACCTTTGTTCTTAAATAGCTTTTACAGGTCTTACAAACCAACACTTAAATCCTTTTAAAATTCAGAGTCAAATAACTTGCTAAACCAGATATTAAAATAATAATTAGGACAAAATAAAATAGCTATTTCAAAAAAAATAGATATTTTTTAAAATCTATGATTCTAAATAAAAGATAAAAAGCATATCATACATTATTGAATATATATTATTACATTTAAAATCTGAATTACATATTCAAACAAAGTCTAATATGTGAATTTCTAAATTATTTTTGCAAAAGGACTAAAAAAGATATGTAATAATTATTCAGTCTTCATTAAATTGTATCTACAGTTGCCAAGGAGATGAAACAAAATGTCCAGAACCTTTTGTTATCTTTGTAGTCAGCATGAATTGTTACTCAATTCATGATTCTGCATTACTAAAAACAGAAAACAGTCCACTGAAGGTCCATTTCAAAATATATATCTATATTTTAAATATAAATCCTACAAAATATGTCACATATAAAGGTAAAGAAACATATTTAATTATGACAGGTAATATACTGCAGATAAATGTTTTACAAAGCCTTTATTATCCTTACTTTAGAATGTTTCATTAATATGTGAACCACTCAAGAATTTTCATGTCTACTTCAAAGATTTGTTGCTTCAGAAAATACAGTCTTTTTGGCCCAGGAACAACACACTTCAGTTGGGCTGAAGTGCATATGGGGTAGATTTATTCTACCTTCTCATTCTATACAGTCAGTGTAAGAACACAGCCTGTGGTAAGCACCAGGAGGGCATAAGTTGGATTTTTGAAAGAAATTAAGGTCAATATTCATGTGCCAATTTTTTTTCATTCAGAATAGGATCTTTCATTTTCATCTACACATGTATGAGAGCTGGTCAATACTTAAGCCGGAAGGAGCTCAAACTCACAGTAATATAGTAATTTTAGGGTCAATCTATTTCTATATTTTAACAACAGCTACACTTTTAGTATGTTTCAAAACCAGGCATTCATTTATAAAGGCCCATAGTAGTATAAAGGGCAAGAAGAGGAAGATTTTGAATTCTCATAATCTCCATGAGCTTCTCCAAAGTCATTTTAAAGGAAACACATTTCATTAAAAAGCATTTTTCTTAAAATCAGTTCCCATTCCTGCACACAATACAAACAAGGATATTGGCATTGTGTGTGTGTGTGTGTGTGTGTGTGTGTATGTGTGTGTGTGTGTGTGTGTAAGTGGGGCTTGAAGTATTACTATTAAACTCATAAGCTGAAATATTTCCATCATTTATACCTGAAATTGAAACTCAGGATGGAAAACTGCTCATTAACTCTCAACTCCTTTTCTGAAGAATGCTTTAGGATTTACAATATGAGTATTATTCTTCAGAGTTAGATATTTACTGGCTCCAGAGATGTTTACTGGATTTTTTCACAGCTTACAAAAAAAGTATCTGAAAAAAAAGTCCAAAAGGCTTTAAACTGTTGAGGATTTATAATTAAAAAGAAGTAATACTGAGAAAATATCTGTAATTAATGTGCTTAGGATGGGAATCTCAAGAAAAAGAAAGAAAAATAAAGTACTGTATATCATTGGCAGCCTATGCCCTTGAACAACAGTGGTGAAAAATCTAGTAAAACTGCACATAGTCTGGTTTTTTTGTCCCACTAATTAATAAAATAAAAATATACAAATTGTCTTCATTTAAATAATCAAGAAATTTAAAAAGTGAAAATAATCGAAGAGAAATCATATATTATTCTAGACTAAATCCATTTGACAAGGTACATTTTAAATAGCATTTTTTTCTATTATTGTAATAATAGGTTAGAATACTATTTTCAAAACACTATGCAAATGTTGCCACACTAACAATGCAGTTTGTTTTCAAACATAATTAATTAACCGCCTAAAAATTTATCAGATGCAACATGGCACTCTTCTTCAGAATTGTTTTCATTTCCTTTTAAAGTATTTGTTTAATAAGTAGTATCAGCATACATTTATCTTCTGTTTCATGAAATGATTTTCTTTATGGGAAAGACTTGCTTGAAATTGTTGCTATTTTCATATATTAATCTCAATATATAAAATATTATTTTATATTTAAAGCCTAAGAGAATTTGAAAACATTAAGAACTCATCTGAAATTAGGATAGAAAAAAATGCCCTTTCTTCTTCACTATATAATTACCCTTATTATATTCTTACTTTTGCTTTAAAACTAGCAAATAAGTGTCTTATTCACGCTCAGAACTTTGCAATGCGAAAATGTCCACGATATAAATGACACAGATATAAAACTATATGAGAAGCAAAGCAGAAAAAAAATCGCAGGAAATCGTAATTACAAGTAAATGTATCTTACTCTTTGTAGTCCTTCATACCAATCATCTTGCTCAAACCAATTTGAAATGTAAGTCATCCAAGCCATAGAATGTTTCTACTTTAATCAAGGCAATTGGAAACTCGGCATCAGAATAGTCAGCACCTAAAGTAACAACAATGTGTTTCAACCAAACAAGATTTACCAAAATCTCCCTTGTGAAATGATGTTCAGTACAAAAGGCTAGAACTGCACAAATATTTCAGCTGAAACAATTTTAATTTTTTACAAGTAAATAAGAAAATAAGAAAGAAATCGACAATAATGTTGGATAGTACCAGAGAATGCTATTATCAAATATTTTATTAACCTTTCTGTTTACATTCTTAAAAAACAATCTTAGATTTAACTTTTATAAGAAACAGGTCAATGATTTCTAAAAGTTACCAAGTTAAAAATAAGGTATCCATAAAAATCACAAAATGGGCAGCAGAAAATGATTTACATTTTCAACCTCAGGAACTGAAGCTTTCTAAGTTAAAAGGTATACAATGACAAAACCAATCCTATATTTCTGTTTGCTTCCAGCCCCATAGTTGACAGTTAAATCATTTTACATTTAAGTTAATTGCTAACCACCTAACCCGTCAAAAAGTTTAAAGACACCATTTAATACAGTGCTAATACGTTCAACAGAGTCAAAACCACATGAATGTAATTTAATTTTAGTTTTACTCATTTTTAGAAGGAAATATTTACTAGCCATGATGAGTAAGATATTTCTTCCTACACTGGAGAATATTTGGACTTCAAAATATCCTCTGTAATGTTTAGATGCTTAACTCAACATACAACAGGTTCTAAGCGATCTTTTCTTCAACAGAGACAAAATGAAGGAAGGACAAAGGGCTGAAGGATGGATGGTAGGAAGCGAGGAAAGAAGGAAGGGAAGAGAAAAAGAGAAAATGAGTAAAATAATGAAAAGGGTATTAAGCAACAAAGGAAACGAAGGAAGGAGGGTAGGGGAGGGGGGAAATTACAATGTTTGTAATTTGAGTGTTTCATTCTTCAATATCCAAAAAGTAAGATAGCTTTTGTTCTGGCATAGGAAGATACACAAGTATGAAATATAATTATCACTGCAGCTACTTGAGAACAGCCTTATCTCTACTGTGATTCCTTACTCTTTAGAAGTATTTTCAATAATATCTGAGTGAAGCCTCAAGTCATAATGCTTCGGAATAGGTTCTTGCTTCTGCAACAAGCTCCAGGACTGGCAAAATCTCTTGCTTAATTTGTTAACATTTCGATGACTTCCTTGAATCTGTTACCTTGGCTATTCTGCCCTGCTCTTCTAGTTTCCACAAAGCCCCTTGTTCCTGCCTATCTGCTCAGGTTTTTAATCGCCTGCCTTATCCTATCCTCTGGATTTGTCCTCTCTTCATTGTTGTCTCTGGCTTATCGTATTTTGAGTTGCAATTCTTTATCTAAGTCCTGCCATCAGCTTTTTTTACCCTACTTTGAACTTTTACCTAGTACTGGCCCAACAACTCTACCAACCTTGTCTCTGCTTCAGTGATTCCAGTGTGTCTCCCATAACACAACCTACAGGCCACACCAAGCTCCTAAACTCCATTTCGAGCTACCTGCTGAATCTAGATCTCTCAGCCCTTTACCTGATAATCTCAATATTAACATATTTAAAACCTAATGTATCTCTTTCAAGTAAGGTTTTCCTTTCTACCACCCCAAATATTCTTTCTCTTACATTCTCCATTTCAATGACTATCATTATATTCTAGATAGTAACCTGAGATGAAAATATCAAATCATCTTTGATTATTCCATCAACCTCATCTCCTCCTACTACCACATTTAATTGCCAAGTCTTATCAAATTACTTTGAAAAAGTCTATTCAGAAGGCCCTTATCTTCATTACTAATGCCACTACTTTTAATGAAACCCTTCACTGTGTCCTGTACAAACTAATGCAATAGTTTACTTACTGTTCTCTGCTTTCAATGTATTTCCGAAATATATGTTGTCCTTCTATGTTTTCAAGGCTTTTTGCCTGGAAGCTTTTAAATGTTTTGCCCAGGCTGCCACTTTCACCTTTTCCTGTGAGTAGTGAGCTCTTGCAAGTTTTTCAAGACTCAAATTAAATGTCTCTTTCTTTTGAAGACTTTCTCAAATCCTCAAATCTCTTGTCTGTGCTCCTTCATATCTATATTTGTAGGTATTAGATAGTGATTATTTGTGTAGATATAAATTGTGAGTTCCCCAAAAGACCAAGCCTTAATCATCTTTGTATAGAAGATACAAAATGTATGTTGAGTGAATTGGCACATGCAGGGCTATGAAAGTTGGTCACCTAGTGACAGTTCACATGAACTGAAGGCATATATTCCTGAAACTTGGAAAAGATCTAAGGAAATGTATCTAAGTAAAATGGGATTACTATCCAATTCCTTGTGGGGAAGCAGCTAAACAAAATCACTTAAGAAATTGTTTTTGGTGTTTTTTTAAGAGTAAAATAAAACTTGAATTAGTAAAAGTACTTTGTCATCATGCCATCACCAAGTTAGTCTTTATTATACTATTATAAGTCCAGTGTAAATAAAATACCGTATTCATAGAGCATATAATAGTTCTTATTTCTTATGTCCTGATACTTATCCATGAGCACTATTTATTATATTTGCAAGGAATAAGAAAAGCAGGATATTTCACATTATGTAATCTCAGATTAAATGTTATCTTGCATAAAAAATACTTTTGTTGTTGTACTCCAGGTATTTTGATTATATGAGAATAGATGGGATCTGGTTCATTTAGTATAAGAATGGTAAATGGGTTTTAACTCTCACCCCTCCCTGGGGTGCAGAGTTGAAACCTTTAGCTGACCTCAGAGGGGAAGCATGTCATGATCACTCAGCAGTAACTGAGGTAAGAAGAAACTTTTGAGGAAATTTATTACACATCTTCGCATCCCTGTATCTATGTCCATGAATCTAATTGATATTTCATTAAAATCACACATTTAACTTATTTTAGTCAGAAAATTCTTATTACCTATTAAAATTAGTGATAGAAATAAATAACAAAAATAAAATATTAAATATCAGTAATTAAAATAAAATAGAAAATGAAGTAAAGTAGTTTTCATTGTCGGAAAACTTATTGCAGGCATTGAATAGTCAAGCACACAAGTACTCTGTGATTTCTCCATTTTTTTCACAAGATGACTTTTGGCTACTCTGGGTCTTTTGTGGTTCCATATAAATTTCAGGACTATTATTTCTATTTCTGTGAAGAATGTCATTGGTATTTTGATGGGGATTGCACTGAATGTGTAGATTGTTTTGGGTAGTACAGACATTTTAACAATACTGATTCTTTCAATCCTTGAACATGGAAGATCTTTCCATTTTGTGTCCTCTTCAGTTTCATCAATGTTTTATAGTTTTCATTATAGACTCTTTCACTTCTTTGGTTAAGTTTATTCCCAAGTATTTTATTTTATTTGTAGCTGTTATTAATGGGACTACATTCTTGATTTCTTTTCTTTTCTTTCTTTTTTATTTTGAGACACAGTTTCACTCTGTCACCCAGGCTGGAGTGTAGTGGCACAATCTGGGCTCACTGCAACCTCCGCCTCCCAGGTTCAAGCGATTCTCATGCCTCAACCACCAAAGTAGCTGGGACCACAGGCATGCGCCACCACACCCGGCTAATTTTTGTATTTTTAGTAGAGACGGCTTTTTGCCATGTTGGCCAGGCTGGTCTTGAACTCCTGACCGCTAGTGATCCACCCACCTCACCCTCCCAAAGTGCTGAGATTACAGACGTGAGCCACCGCATCAAGCCTTGATTTCCTTTTCAGATTGTTCACTGTTGGCATATAGAAATGCTGCTTATTTTTGTATGTTGATTTTGCATTCTGTGACTTTACTGAATTTATCAGTTCTATTTTTTTTGGTAGAGTCTTTAGGTTTTCCTAAATATAAGATCATATCCTCTGCAAACAAGGATAATTTGATTTCTTTTGTTCCAACTTGGATGCCGTTTATCCCTTTCTCCTGTCTGATTGCTCTAGCTAGGATTTCCAAAACTAAGTTGAATAACAATAGTAAAAGGCTTTCAGATTTTTCCCATTCAGTATGTATATAGCTTTTATTGTGTCGTGTTATGTTCCTCCTACACCCACTTTTTTGAAGGTTTTTATCATGAAGGAATGCTGAATTTTCTAAATGCTTTTTCAGCATCAATTGAAATGATCATATGGTTTTTGTCCTTCATCCTGTTGACATGATGTATAATTTGATTTGCATATGTTGAACCATCCTTGCATCCCTGGGATAAACCCCACTTGGTCTTGATGAATGGTCTTTTTTAATATGCTGTTGAATTCAGTCTGCTAGTATTTTGCTGAATATTTTTGCATCAATATTCATCGGAAACACTGGCCTTTAATTTTCTTTTTTTGTTGGGTCTTTGTCTGGTTTTGGTATTAGGGTAATACTGGCCTCAAAGAATGGGTTTGGAAGTATTCTTTCCTCCTCTATTTTATAGAATAATTTGAGGAAATTTGGTACTGGTTTTTCTTTAAATGTTTGGTAAAATTCAGCAGTAAAGCCATTGTGCCCTGAATTTTCCTGATGGGAGACTTTTTATTATCGTTTTGATATCATTACTTGCTATTGGTCTATTCAGGTTTTGGATTTCTTCATGGTTCAGTCTTTGTAGGTTGCGTGTCCTTTTAGGTTTTCTAATTTATTGACATGTAATTGCTAATAGTATTTTCAATGAACCTTTGAATTTCTGTAGTATCAGTTGTAATATCTCTTTTTTCATCTCTGAATTTATTTAGGTCTTTTTTATTATTAGTCTGGCTTACAGTTTGTTGATTTTATTTATCTTTTCTGAAAACCAACTTTTCACTTCATTGATCTTTTGTATTTGTTTCAATTTCATTTATTTCTGCTCTGATATGTATTACTTCTTCTACTAATTCTGGGTTTGGTTTGCTCTTGCTTTTATAGTTCTTTAAGATGCATCATTAGTTTGTTTATTTCAAGTTTTTCCACTTTTTTGATGTAGGCATTTATTGCTGTAAATGTTTCTCTTAATACTGCTTTTGATATATCCCACAGGTTTTGGTATGTTGTGTTTCCATTTTCATTTGCCTCAAAAAATTTTCAATTTCTTTAATTTATCCATTAACCCACCAGTCATTCAGGAGCATATTGTTTAATATCCATGTGTTTGTATAGTTTCCAAAGTTTCTCTTGTTACTAATTTCTAGTTTTATTCCATTGTGACCAGAAAAGATATTTCATATGATTTCAACTCTTTTGAATTTTTTAAGACATTTTGTGACCTAACATATGGTCTCCTCTTATAAATGATGCATGTGTTGGGGAGAAAAATGTGTATTCTGCAGCTGTTGGATAAAATGTTCTGTAAATATCTATTAGGTTGCTGAGGATAGGCACCCAAATCTGGCCATAAACTAGCCCCAAAACTGGCCATAAACAAAATCTCTGCAGCACCGTGACATGCTTGTGATGGCCATGATGCCCACGCTGGGAGGTTGTTGGCTTACCAGAATGAGGGCAAGGAACACCTGGCCCACCCAGGGTGGAAAACCACTTAAGGCGTTCTTAAGCCACAAACAACAGCATGAGCAATCTGTACCTTAAGGACATGCTCCTGCTGCAGATAACTAGCCAGAGCCCATCCCTTTATTTCAGCCCATCCCTTTGTTTCCTGTAAGGAATACTTTTAGTTAATCTATAATCTATAGAAACAATGCTTATCATGGGCTTGCTGTCAATAAATATGTGGGTAAATCTCTGTTCGAGGCTCTCAGCTCTGAAGGCTGTGAGACTCCTAATTTCCCACTCCATACTCTATATTTCTGTGTGTGTCTTTAATTCCTCTAGCACCACTAGGGTCTCCCTGACCAAGCTGGTCTTGGCATTGGGTGATAATGATGTCCTTTCAGTGAGGACCATATGGGCCTATATCTTAATAATAAGGAAGAAATGGAAATAGACCATTTCTCACAAAGCCTGAGGCTCAACTTAAGTAAATTCATTTAATGACTAGAATAATGTGACCTGTCTGTCTTCATCTGTTTGTCTTGCTATAAGGCTGGGTAATTTATAAAGAAAAGAGGTTTTATTTGGCTCATGGTTCTACAGGCTATACAGGAAGCATGACACCAGAATTTGCATCTGGTTAGGGCCTCAGATTACTTCCACTGATTGCAGAGGGGAAGAGGAGCTGGTGTGCGCAGAGATGACGTGGAAAGAGAGAGGGAGCAAGAAAAGAGGAAGGAAATGCCAGGCTTTTTTTTTTTTTTTTTAAAACAACCAGCTCTAGTAGGAACTAATAGAGCAAGAATTTGCTCATTACTGCAAGGATGACACCAAACAATTCATGAGGGATCTGCCTCCATGATCCAAACACCTCACTATACCCTAACTGCAACATGGGGGATCAAATCTCAACATGGATTTTTCAGGGATAAACATCCAATCTATAGCACTGCCCTACTCTAATATCCTCCATAAGCAAAAGTATATTCTCTCTGGAGGAAGATAACATTAAATTATCAGTATTTAATAAAATAATGACCAGGCAGGCAAAAATACAGAAATTCCGAGTTATGCTTGTTTCCACTTATACATAAATGGAACACCTTCATTTCCAGGAACAATGGAGAAGGAGTAAAAGCAAACCTCATTTGTCTCTGAGGAGGGATAGAAAACTCTCCTTTCTGACCCTAGGAACCAGGGAAAAATCACCAGTTCTAGGAAAAGGGAAGAAGCAAAAGCTGTCATACCCTAGGGAGCAGGCTGGGAAAAATCTTAGTCCCCAGTTCTGTCCAAAAACAAGACATAGATCTGCCACTGTTTGAGGAAATGCAAAAAAAGCTCTCTCACTCAACACTCATATATACTACACTCGGCACTCATACATGCAACACTCAGCACTCATATATACAGCACTCAGCACTCATACATACAACACTCGGCACTCATACATGCAAACACTCAGCACTCATACATACAACACTTGGCACTCATACATGCAAAGCAGAGACTGGCTGCCACAGAAAGGGGTTTAGGGGTATAGGAGAGACCCACAAATCTTTGCTAAGAACCAGACTCTGATAAACTGGGGATCAAAATTGTAGTATAATACTACATTAGGGTACTATAAAATAATTAGAATGAACTATGATAATCAAAAGTCAAACATAAAAGGATACATATTGCATGATTCCATTTATAGTAAGTTAAAATAAGCAAAATTAATTCTGTGTTATTAGAAGTTGTGAAAGAGTTTTGGGGAGGGGGAACAGAAACTGTAACTAAAAGAAGCCCTGAGGGAGTACGTTTATTTTATGCTAATTATGCTAATGAGTACATTTTGCTGCTATAAAACATTAGATTACAATTTCTGCTTTCAGGTACGTAATCTAAATAAAAAGAAATTACATACTAAAAATCCACAGCAGTGCTTTCTAATATTAACAAAATTAAAAGGGGAAAATGCAGAAATTAACATGTCCACATAGAGATACAGTGTAATTAGATTATGTTTTCTAACTTCACTTGGGCAATTTCATTTCTCCTTTTCACTTTTCCATTAGTTTTCTGTCTACCAACCCCAACCATCAATATTTCAGGACACAGCAACTTAAATCTATCTCTGGGATATAGTACAAATTCTTCTCTAATCCACAAGTATTGTTAGAAGCAATGTCAGGGACAAGCAGATGAAGAAGGCAGAAACAAAAAATAAATAATCCCCATCATGGGACAGGAATGAAAACAGAAGTCTTTCTAAATAAGCTGAAGATGGATTAGATCAAGGAAATGTGTTTGGGATCCAAAGAAATACCAACAGGAAATGTATTGACTTTGCCATAATCATCTCAGCCTGTTCATGCCACATCTATAGCAGGTCCTCTACGTCCTTAATTCTTACCATTACCACAGAAAATGTGTACTTGAGCAGATCGCCACTATCATGTTCTGAAAGGCCTGAAGAAATCTACATAGAAAAATATTTCTGATTCAGTATTTCATACTTTGATCAGACATTCCAAGCTCACCCTTTAACAACAAGAAAAAATAGTGCAGCTGACAACACTCTCCAATTATTAGTGATTCCAGTTTGAAATTTTTTTTTAAAGAGATAGGGTCTCACTATGTTGCCCAGACTGGCCTCAAAGTTTTGGGCTCAAGCAGTCCTCCCACTTCAGTCACTAAGTAGCTGGGATTACAAGCATTCATCACAGTACCCTCCTGGCTGAGTTTGAAGTTTTTAGTGACAAAGTATATACTGTGCTTCTCTTTAGTTTAGGTCATATACTATCTTTAATGTGCAGTAACAAATAAAGTAAAATAGTTGAAAAAGGAAGTATTTTTACCAGATAATTGGAATATATAAAAATATATAAAAATAAAGGCCAGGGATGGTGGCTCACGCCTGTAATCGCAGCACTTTGGGAAGCCAAGGAGGGCAGATCACTTGAGGCCAAGAGTTTGAGACCAGATTGGCCAACATGGTGAAAACCTGTCTCTACTAAAAATATAAAAATTAGCCAGGTATAGTGGTACACACCTGTAGTCCCAGCTACTCAGAAGGCCGAGGCACAAGAATTGCTTGAACCTGGGGGGCAAAGGTTGCAGTGAGCCGAGATCGCGCCACTGCAATCCAGCCTGGGTGACACAGATTCTGGCTCAAAAAAAAAAATTAATTGATTAAAATAAAAATAAAATGAATATTACACTCTAAAACTGAAAAACACAATGGCTGAAATTTATATCTCAATGGATGAGTTTATTAGTTGATTGGATATCCCAAAAGTCACTATTAGTTCAGTGGAACATAAATAAATGGTATAGGCCAAAATCAATGCATAGAGAAAAAGAGAAATAGAACAAAGCATAAGAGACAGATAAGGTATGCTGAAAAGTTAAACATGTATGTAAGAGTAGTATAAGAAGGAGAGGAAAGGGATAATATAGTGAAACCAAAGAGAGATAAAGAATGAGAAATTTCTGAAACTGATTTTAAAACTAAGATTTCTGAAGCTACCAAGCTCCAAGCAGGGTAAGTTAAAGCGATACCTTATCTATGCACATCACACTAAAATGCCAGAAACCACAAAAAGAAAATATTAAATCTTAAAAATGGTCATGTTACAGTCAAAGATCAACAGAAATAATGGAAGTGAGAATGCAAAGAAATTACATTTTAAAGTGCTGAGAAAAAGATAACTAAAAATTCAGTAAACATATTATTTAAAAATGGAAGAATATGAACGTTTTCATTGTAAGTTTTCATACAAACAAAACCTAGTAAATTCATTGCTAGTAGACCCATTCTAGAAAAAAAAATATAAGGGATTTCTTTAGGTAGAAGGATAAGAAACATGAAAATGTTAGAAATATTGAAGATCATCAGAAAGGGAAAATATGTAGTTAAATATAAATAAATATTAACTATACAAAATGATCATTGTAATGTCTTATGAAATTTAAAATATTTGTAGCACTAAATTATATGAAAACAGTAACACAAAAGACAGCAGGATAAATGGAGTTAGTATTAGTATTAAAGAAGAGGTAAAAGTAATCATTTGTATTAAACCATAATGAGTCAAATTTACATGCCGGAATCTCCAGGGTAATTATAAAAAGGAACAGTAAATAAACATACTATCAGCAAGTTAATTGAAGGAAAGTGTAATTAATTAAAAATTGTAAATCAGAAAACAAAAACTGTAAATAAGAAAAAGTTTGTATATATAAATAAAATTATAACAGTTACATATTGAATAAGAGAAAATAAAATTACAAATCAAAATAAAATTAGCATCTACATTAAAAAATTCAGCTCTTTACATAGGGCACACTTTAATAAAAGGTTACAGAATAGTTGAAAGTCAAAGATCAGAAAATGATAAACTATACAAATATTAACCAAAAGAAAGATCTTATGTAAATCAAAGATAAAATAGATTTTGAGGCAAGAAATATTACCAAAAAGAGAGGAACGTTGCTTAAAGATAAAGGTGACAATGAGACTGAAATGTATAATAATCCTAAAACTGGTTGCATCCAAATGACATACATAGTTTTCAATTATATAAAGCAAGAATGACAAAAAAAGAATGACACAATTAAAGGAAAACTATGTAAATCTACACTCATAATGGTAGATTTTAAGTAACAAATCTCAATAGCTGATAGAATAAACAGATAAAACCCCATAGGATCTGAACAACATACAGAAAAGGACTCAACTGACATATATATGATACTGTACCCAATAATGATAGAATTCACATTCTTTTCAAATAAACATGGGCTACTTACAAAAATTAACCGTGTGCAGAGCCATAAAGAAAATTTAACCAAACTTTAAAACGCTGAAATCATTCAGAGTATATTTTAAAATCAGGATAGAATTAAGTCTGAAATCAATAAATAAAACTACAAAATCCACAACTATCTAGAAATTAAAGAATGCATTTCTAAATAATCTTGGAATCAGAAAAGAAATAAAAATGGAAGTTAGAAAATATTTAGCACTAAATAGCAAAGTCTAAACATAGAAATTTGTGGGTTGCAGCTAGATTAATGCTTGAGTGGGGGAGGATTATAGCATCAATTATATTTCACTTCTTTCTAGTAGAAAAGGAAAAGGAAGAAAAGTCAAAGATTTAAGTTTCTATCTTTAAAAACTGGAAAAAGAAAAGCAAATCAAGCCCAAAAAATGTAGAAAAGGAAATCATTCCAAAAAGAGGTGAAAGCAACGAAATAGTTTACAAACATTCAGTAGAGGAAATCAACTAAACCAAACACTGCTTCCCTTATATCAACTCACAGAAGGACTGATCAAGAAAAATACAGAACAAACACAAATATCCATATCAGATCCTTATCAGGAATAAAAAAATACATCACTATAGAACTTACTGACATAAAAAAATAAGAATACTATATCCACCTTCACACCAATATATTGGATAACTTGGATGAATGGACACATTCTTCAAAAAGAAATACAAGTTACCAAAGTTGATAGAAGAATGAGAAAATCTGTTTAGCCTGAATATGAATATAAGTCTACATGTAAAACTTTTCCCATACACAACCTTCCAGGCCCAGATCGTTTCACTGGCGAATTCTTTAAAATAGTTCAAAAAGAAATGTTACATAAACTCTTTGAGAATATAGTAAAAGGAATCACTTCTCACTTCTTTATATCTTCCCCAAACCTGAAAAAGACGTGTAAGAAGGGAACTACACAGCAATGTCTCTCATAAATTAAACATAAAAATCTTAAACAAAAAAGTAAAGATACATGGAGTTAATGAATTAGATTAAATGTGAAAATGTAAATTCTCTCAAAATTAATCTTCAGATTTAATTCAATCCTAATCAAAAATCCTAGCAGATTTTTTTTATGTATGAAAAGTGCCAAGCAAATTCTAAAATGCATATGAAAATGTAAATGCCCAGGAATAGCCAAGGGAGTCTTGCAAAAGACTGAGGTTTTATATGAACAAGCCTAATGTTATACTATCCATTATAAAGCTATTATAATTAAAACAGGGTGGTGGTGACGCAAAGATACACAAACTGACTAATGGAACAGCATGAGTCCAGGATAGATCTCTTCATATACCGTTAAGTGATTTATGGTGAAGGTGATAATTCAGTGGGGCACAGAACAGACCTTTCAGTAAATGATTCTGCATAATTGAATGCCCTTATGGAAATATAAGCATGTGTGTATATATATATATATTTTATATATATATATAATATATAATATATATATATAATCTCGACAGTAAGCTAACAATTTTAAAAAGAGAGGATGATTATAAAAGTAAATACAAAAGTAAAGTATTAAAGCTTTAAAAGAAAACTAACGATAACATCTTATCTTAGGGATAGGAAAAGACTCATTAAATAGGACACAAAAAATGCCAATCACAAGGGAAAACATTGACATATAGGACAATATTATGGTTACAAACTTATTGCTATAATTTGGATGTTTGTCCTCCCTCAAACCTCATGTTGAAATTTGATCACAATGTTGGAGGTGTGATGGATGTAATGGAAAGGTGTCTGTATTATAGAGGCAGCTCTCTTATAAATAGATTAATGCCTTCTCTCAGTAAAAGGGTGAGTTCTCACTCTAGTTCCCAGGAAAGCTGGTTGTTAAAAAGACCCTGGCACCCCCAGCTCCTTGCTGCCTTTCTTGCTGTGTGTTCTTTGCACACACCAGTTCCCCTTCACCTTCTACCATGAGTGGAGGCAGCCTGAGACCCGAACCAAATGCTCAGTCTTGAACTTTTCCAGACATTAGAATCATGAGCTTAATAAATCTTTTTTCTTTATAGATTACTTAGCCTTGGGCATGCCTTTATAGCAACACAAAACAGACTAAAACACTTGCATTCATCAAGACATTGTTAAAAGTGTGAAAGGCAAGGGAGAAAATGTTTATAGCACCTATGTTCAACAAAGGACACTTACAACCAAAAAAAAACAAAAACAAAAACAAAACAAAACAGACTGGCAAACCAATAGAAAAATGGACAAAAGGGAAGATAAATTCAGATCATCCAAATAACTAAGTAGCATATGAACAGTTGCTCAATAACACCAGTCATAAGGGAAATACAAAGTAAAACTGCAAAGAGATACTGCTGCCCTCCCAACAGAAGGACTAAACTGCACAATACCACAGATTGGCGACAGTGCAGAGTAACTGAAACTCATATACTGCTCAGGGGAACGTAAACTGGGGCAAATGCTTTGGACAACTCATTGGCCGAATCCTCTAACGCCGAACAAATACATACCCCATGACCAGCATTTCCACTCCTAAGTGTATAGCCAACAGCAATGGGTAATGTTCATCAAAAGACATGTATTAGAATATTCACAGTATTTCTATTTATAAAGTATAAACTGCTCAAGTATACTTTAATAGTACAATGATACAGTATATTCATACTGTGTGGAAAAGTTCATAATAATGAGAATAAGTAACAACTACATGCAACCCTACAGATGAAACTCACAAATAATGAAAGAAGCCAGATATAAAAATAATACTGTATTCCATGAATACAAAGCACAAAAATGTACAATATTTATCTATTCTGCTAGTGGTATCCTTGGTGGTGGTAGTGAGTGCTGATAATGTTCTATTTATGCTTAAAAACAAAAATAAAAACAACCTAAGGGAAGAATTGCCTCTGAATGATATGTTTGTGTAGCACGAATCATAATCATCATAGTCAATGAGTTCTTTTTAATGAATTACTCAGCCCCCATCTCCTGAAAATTTAACCCAAATTCCTAGCCAGAATCCCTAATTGTTCTAGTCTAAACATTAAAAAATCACTTGCATTAGGGTAATATAACAAGTCTAAAATGCCCCACGTATGCCACAGTGCCTCATGAATAAAATATTATTAATTTTTAGAGGAAAAAATAGACTTCTAAGTTAATTGCTATTTAATATAATTTGGTTTTCTAAGAAAATCTATCAAACAGTTTAAGTACTCTTTATTTCTAAGAAATATAAATGTAGTCTTTATTAAAATTCAAAGAAAAACATTTTACTCTTTTATGAAAGTGGCTTGATGTAGCAGAAAAAGTATAAGCTTTTCAAAAGTATGTATATTTTTGGATGAGCCTATATTTCCCTGTCTAAAATTCATCTTCATCTTTGCTATTTCCTAAGACTTAAAGTAAATAAATTAAAAAATCCCATGAAAAGCATTTTGTAAAATGCAGATGAATCTAACATTGGAGAAAATAATTTTTAAAATGGAAAGTATCTTAGACACTATATTTCCACAAATTTTTGAAAATAAAAAGCATTGGGATTTATTGTTTGCATTAAGAGAAAAGGCATACCATTTTCAGCTCACCCTTTTTCTTCCATTTGGAACTTGGAAAGTAAGCCTGGCACATTAGCAAATATCTTGGATCGTTAAGGACAAGGGTTATACCAAAGAATAGTAGAACGGGAACTGGAAGATGTCTCAATCCCGGAAAACCTGGACTTTTAAGCCACTGTAATGTTGCATTTCTCGGTTATGCAGCCAAATCTCAGGTCGACTTTTAGGTTGCCTATTTTCAAATCATATTTTACAAAGCGAAATTCTCAATTAGTCAATAATGTCAATTACTTACAGCCTTCTTCATTTCTTGTCTTTAAATATAATTACCATGTTTCATCACCCCGAGTATACATGGTTATTAAAATTCAGTCATTACTGTCTATAGTAATACAACAAGCAGAATTGGTGTCGTTTTGCCTTACCAAATGTATTATTTGCCTATGTTTCTATCTCATTAATGTGACATATTATTTAGTGAAAAAATTAATCCATATATATCTGTTGCATCATTTTATTTCATTCATTTTGGCAAATAGTATAAATCATGGCCAGGAACTAAAGCCAGTTATTAAAGATACAAAGATAAACAAGAAGTAAACAAAGCAGAAAAAAAAAAGCTGCTTCAAGAAACTTAGAGCAGAAGAGCTAGACACACAGCAGACACATGTTGTCTAATCTACCAACAACCATTCTCACTTGTCTCCTTCCCTGCCAACAGAGTCCCACATTCTTTTGGTACAGGTGGAATTACACTGATCTCAGGGAGGAAAGGCTGTTTACCTATCCTAGGAGGAGAATGATGTTTGGTCTATGTCAGTCATAGTAATTTCATCATCTGGACAATTAGAGGCCTAGGTGTGGGCATCTGATCCAGCTTCAGCTAAGGAGATACAAGTGGAAATCTATGGTGTTATTCTCCTGCCCTTCTGACCGGAACATTGATGTGATGCTGTCGCTGCAGCAGCTGTCTTGCATCCCCGAAGGAAAGGCCAAGAAAACTGCAGAGATGCTGCAATTCTAACACTATTGTTGCACCATCTTCAGGCATCTTGTTATAAGAAAAAAAGGAAGTCTGTTTTAGTTACTGATTTTCTGTTATTTGCACTTGACTTCATTTCTAATAGACACAAATAAATGTATGAAACAATATGCAATAGCTGCTATAATAGAGAATGAACACATATTTGGAGGAACAGAAAGAAAAATGTGCCTATGATTTAGGTGGCCAAGAAGGCTGTATAAAAAAAAGGTGAGGTTGGAACTTTGAGAGGGAAATTATTTTTCTGTGCCTAAAGTATAATGGCACGTAAAAAGGAGTAGTGGAACATGAGAATGAACAGACAGGCGAGACAGAATGATGGAAAGTCATGTAGATCATGGTAAGAACTGTGAATTTTACTTTATAGGAGATGGGGAGTCTTTGAAACATTTTCAACATGCTAACGATATTTTAAAATCACACAGAAATCCCATTTTGTGATTTACTAATATCATCCTGACACTATTTTGAAAAGGCCTCTGGGGGACAGGGTAGCAAAACATGTATAAGTAGATGAGAAAGACAAGGGGCTGAACTAATTAACTGGCAGCAAGGGAGAGGTAGAACTTAAGATTTGTAGACTTCTGCCTGACTGAATAACTTAGCCCCATTCATTGAGAGAGAGAATTCAGTAGGAGCTCCAGGGTCTGGGATAAAGCGATAAAGCTCTATTAAAAGATATTGAATGCAAAATGTCAGTGCGACATGTAGGTGGAGATTCCTAAAATTAAAATACAGAGGTCTGGATAAGCATTTCATACACAATTTTGAGTAACACCAATGTCTGAGGGATAAGTACAGGAAAGAAAAAGGAGTCTGAAAAGACAACCAAGCAAAGAGATACAATAAATAAAAATAATAGAGAAAATAATATGTTAAATGTCAAAGGAGAACGTTCTCAAGCAGGTTAAATATTTCAGACAGGCCAAGTAAAATTAAGACTGAAGTATTCATCCTGCATTTGAGGATTAAGAAGCAGGCTGTTAATTAGCAAAATTAGTAAAACCTCCACTAGTCAATGATCGGTCCTCATTTTACTTGCTACTTTAGCAGCAGTAGCTGCCACGTTGGATCACAGTTGAATCCACCCTCCTGAAACATCTCTTTCACTTACCTTTTAGAAAAGTGTTTTCTTTTGATTCCCCTACTACTTCAGTGCCTTCTCCCCATTGTTTTTTTAAAATCTTTTTGTTTTGATTCCTCATCATCTCCCTGAACTTCAAACTTTAGAACGTCCTAGGGATCAGTCCTTGGATTTCTTCTCCACACCGGTTCTCTCGGTGATCCCATCCAGTTTTAGAAATTTAAATACCATATACATTTACCCCCAAGTTTTTATCTTGAGTCTAATTCATATTTATAATTTCCTGCTTAACATCCCCACATGGATTTTAAATAGATTCTCAAATTTAAGTTATTAAAAAAAAACTTATGATGTTCCCCACAAAATATGCTCCTACTTGTTTTTTTCTAATTCAGTAAATGGCCACCAATCTGACTATAGTAAATAGCTACTGATGACTGCTGCTATGGTTTGACTGCATCCCCTACATTTCATGTGTTGGAAACTTAATCCCCAATGTGGCAGCATTGAAACGTGGGGCCTTTAAAATTGATTAGATCATGAGGGTTCTGCCCTTGTGAACAAATTAATCCATTCATGGATTAATGAATTAGTGGCTCAATGGGTTAGCAGGTTATCATGGGAGGGGAAGTGGTGGCATTATAAGAGTAGGAAGAGACCTCAACAAGCATGTTAAGCATGTTAGCATGCTCACCCCCCCTCGCCTTGTGATTACCTGTACTGCCTTTGGACTCTTCAGAGTCCCAACCAGCAGGAAGGCTCTTAGGCTTTTACCAGATGTGGCCTCTTGACCTTGGACTTCTTAGCTTCCGTAATGGTAAGAAATAAACTTATTTTCTTTACAAGTTACCCAGTTTCAGGTATTCTTTTGTAAGCACCAGAAAATGTATGAAGACAACATATGTATGTAGGTATAAAGAATAACTGATGTTTCCTTAATTTGATTCAATATGAATCACCTTCTGGTGATAGAGACATTCCATTTGAGATATGTATGAGTGTGTATGTGTATGTTGACATTTTAGTAAAGACTATGTGTAAATTTTTAAAAGCATTAAGAAATAGAGACTATTTGCAGTACTGCTAATAAAAACTGGGTTTTATTTTTCCAATTCTAATACATTTCTTATTAGTTTACATTTCATTACTTACTGATTAAACAGCCCCATGACAAAAGGAAATCAGAACATCCAAAAGATATCTCCACTCCCATGTTTACTGCAGCACTGCAGCACTATAGCCAAAATGTAGGATCAAACGTAAAGTCCATCAGCAGATGAATGGATAAAGAAAATGTGGTATATATACACAATGAAATACCATTGAGCCATAAAAAAATAAAATGCTGCCATTCATGGCAACATAGATAAGCCTGGAAGACATGTTAAGTGAAATAAGCCAAGAACAGAAAGGTAAATACTGTATGTTCTCACTCTTATGCAGAAGCTAAAAAAGTTGGTATCATACAACTAAAGAGTAGAATGCTGCTTATGAGAAGCCACAAAGGGTACAGGGTAGGGGAGATAAGAAAAGATGGATTAAATAATACAAAATTACAGCTATATAGAAGGAATAAGATCTAGTGTTCTAAGCACTATAGGAAGACTATAGTTAACGATAATTTATTATATATTTTCAAATAGCCAGAGAGAGGACTTTGAATGCTCCCAATACAAGAAATGATAAATATTTGAGGTGACAGATATACTATCCTGATTTGATTACTCTATATTGCATGTATCATAAATATGTGCCCCATAAATACATATAACTATGTTTTAATGAACAAAATAAATTAATTAAAAAATGACAAAAAGCCCATGACAAAGATCAAAATATGAGTAGAATTGGAGAGATAAGCAGCAAAATATAATTTTAATTGAAAATTATTATAGTTTTATCTTCCAGTTGAAGAATTTCGTTCCCACAAGTTTCAAGATTCAAAGTTCTATTTTGTTTGTAGGTTCAATATGCCTGAGTCATCTGTGCTATAGAGGCATACAAGTGTTTCAGGTTAAAATAGCATTTCTAGCAGATCCTGACAGAATCTCTTCCAACTTTCCACTTAAACACCATAATGAAGATTTGTTGTTTGCCTCCCCACCACCTCCATTCCCTTCTTTGTGCAATCATTACATTTGTATTTGATGATCCTCTCCTCTGCTTCAGTCCCGGTTTAGGTAAAATTCCAGTCCCTGAACTAGAGCAGGTGATTCCAGTTTATACTCATCATTTCCCTAGCCATTTTAATGGTTCAGTGATGGGAAAAAAATTCAAATGTGTTCATTTATTTATTTATTTATTATAAATATTCAAACATTTATTTATAATAGTCAAAAACTAAAAACAATCCACTATCCATTAGTAGGCAAAGGGATTTAAAAAATGTATCCATATAATGGAATATTCTGCAGCAATAAGAAGGAATGAACTAGTGATACATGCAACAAATGCATAAATATCAAGATAATTACACTGAGTAGAATAATATAGACAAAAAGAGTGCACAACGTATCATTCTATTTATACAAAGTTCTAGAAAATGCAAACTAATATTTAGTGACAGAAAGCAATCAGTGGTTGCCTGGGTCAAATGTGTTTAATCTTGAAATTTAGGACTTTTATGGGCACTACTAGAAAAAGAACCTTTCTCTTCTGTGGACTAAACCACAGGTAGTGTGAAATCAGAGATAATATAAGTTATTTTATTATCATGAGGAGATATGTAGAATTGCTTGAGGCTACTACCTGTAGCTTGAAAAAAGCCAGCACAGTAGAGAGGGGCTGAGTCACAATGACATCAATTTAACACTGAAGCTAGTTATGAATGATACATACAATCATCCAACTCTATC
The DNA here is from genome assembly GCF_000001405.40 of Homo sapiens. Classification (NCBI taxonomy): domain Eukaryota; kingdom Metazoa; phylum Chordata; class Mammalia; order Primates; family Hominidae; genus Homo; species Homo sapiens. Next base: position 176,077,688 of record NC_000004.12, on the reverse strand, counting down.
CTTAGATTTTTTTTTAAGTTACATGAGCTAGTAAAATGAGTGTATTTTCTGTTGCCTACAACTGAAAGAACCCTAATTGGCACTTATCACAGGAAAAATACACCAAAAAACTCATAGTCACATATAAAATAAGGTTTCAGCATCAGCGACATTTTAATCTGGGAGGAATTTCCTCTAAACACTAAGGTACTATAATCGGTGTCATAGGTACTACGTGAAAGGAACTACAGAGTGCCATAGATGGACCATCCACAATGCTGCTAGAAATTTTAGAAGCTTTCTCCCAGGACGTATGTATAAATGTACATTGTCATTGCCTCATTAAATGCCCCCAATTTAGAAAAACAAGATCAATGTCAACCAGAAAGTAACAGAGCTATTAAACCATGCATGGCCTGGGAGCTGTAGTACTGTCTTTCTCATTTCCATCATGTACCTTTTCTATCCTTCTTCACTCAGTCCATGACCCCCGCCCTTATATTTACTCAGTGACTACAGCTCTTAGTGAAAAAAAAAAAAAAAAAAAAAAAAAATTGGGAGAAAAAGTGAGATAAGACAGTAGTACTATACTCTAAGGAAGTGTAGCTCTTCAGCAATATATTATAGGTGGAAGCAAAAAGTATTTTTATTTTTTTCATGTATTTCCCCATTGATTGAGTCAATGCAGAGGGGAGAAAGTTCCATCTCAGGAAAAAAGAATCTACTACATAATAGAAAGTCTGCTAGACAATGCCTATTAGATTAGGACATTGACATAGATTTCTATCAATGTTGATATAAGAAGGAGATTTGACATTGATCAAATAGTGATATAATTGATCCAGTATCCAAGAAGAAAGAGTTTGGGGCCTGCAGAAACCTACACATTCTGTGTTTTGGTAATCAATAGCCTATATGGGCCGCCTCTCATTCAGGAGTAGGAATGAACATACTATCAGCTAAGATAAAGAGGCTGCAGGATGAGATGGCTAAAATAATGATTATGAAAAAAACAAAAGACAACAGCAGAATAAAAATCCACATTAAAGAGCAATAAAGAGCCAAACTGAAATTGCAAAAAAAAATCATATCAATGATTCAGAGAACAAAGTGAAAAAACTCTTCCAAAACACTGGAAAATAAGAGATTTTTTAAAATTTAGAGAAATTGAAAGATACAGTATACAAGGAATGAAACCTCAAACTAAAATATTAAGAATATTTTTAGAAAAAGCTAAAGCACAAGTAAAACTACAGAAACAAAAACAACAATCTGAGATGCAGCCAAAAAAAAAAAAAAAACCAACAACGACAACTCATTTACTGGGTTAAAAAAAGACTCTAAATAGGCAGATCAAAAGTGCTTTTGTTTTAAGCAATATACATATTTTGCTTAAATATATACATACAGATACACATATTTTGCTTACATGTATATATATGTGTGTGTGTGTGTATATATATATATATATATATATATATATATATATATATATTATATATGTAAACATACAGTTAACTATCCATACCTGGGTATATTAAGGCAAATTCAAGGCTAATTTATTTCTTTACACTCTAATGAGCAACTAAGAAGTATTTTGTAAAAATATTATGTACAAGTGGAAAAAAACAGATTGGCATCATTTTTCACCACTGCACAAAATTCCCAAATTCAGTGATATAATAACTTTATTAAACTGAAGAACTATTGTGATCTCACTTTTTTTTCCTTTTTTGAGCCAGGGTCTCGCTGCAACACTCAGGCTGGGGTACAGTGTCCCGATCATAGCACATTCAAGCCTCAAACTCCTGAGCTCAAGTGATCTTCTTGCCTCAGCCTCCCGAACTGAGACTACAGCACACACTAACACTCCTGGCTAATTTCTTTTTCTTTTTCTTTTTTGTAGACATAGGGCATCACTATGTTGCCCAAGCTGATCTTGAACTATCCTCAAGTGACCCTCCTGCCTCAGCCTCCCAAAATGCTGATCTCACTCCTCTATAATTTGCCAAAGTATCATACATGTGTGAAGGGAAAACGAACAGAAAGACATTCTCATACTGGAAAGATTTAGAAGGCAATTTACACATGTATTCCTCTTAAAAAATTACTTGAATAAAATTACAGTCTTTTTAAAAATGAATCAAAACAAAGCTCAAATATGGAAGTTAATGTAATTTTTAAAATGTATTAAGCAAAGAAAATGGAATATGGTTATGAAAATGGAAATGACAAAGTAATGATTGAAAGAGAAGACAGATAACCTAAAATGTTCATTATCAAAACTTTAAAATCTTATATTGTTTTCCTAGGTACTAGAGCTTAGGAGAAGAATAGAAGAAAACAAAGATATGGTAAATTTCTCATTTAACAAAGGTAATCAGTAGAAACAATTTGTTTCCTGATATTTAGGGAAAAATCGACTCACAATATTAGAAATTGACTCAGTCACCTTATAATTAAAAAAGCATGAAATTACAAAAATTATGAAACAAAATCTTGAATTTTTTTTGTTAAAATAGATCATAAAATTGAAAGAAAAAAACTGGAAAAAATATTAACATATACATAAAACATCTTAATATGAAAAGAGTAGTTATAAATTAATCATTTGATAAAGTCTATGTAGTTAATTTAAAAGGCATGTCAGACTTATGTTTCTGCATTTAAAAATTAATATATACCTATATACACATACACATTAAAAACTAAAAGGATATACAGCTCAAGGTAAATATTTGGCTATTTCTAGATGGTAAAATTTGGGGAAGTTTATTATTCCATTGACTTTTTAAACTTTCAGTAATCACTGCACAATTTACTCATCCACTCAATAAATATTTATTGAGCAATAACTATGTGCTAGGCAAGAACAGCAAAAAAAAAAAAAAAAAAAAAAGCATTAAAAAAAATCCCGCATGCCCAGAGCTTTTATTCTTGTAGCAGGGAATCACAAAATTAGCACAGGGGCTCGTGTATTTAATCCCAGTGCTTGGGGAGGATAAGGTTGGAGAATCACTTGAGGCCAGGAGTTCAAGCCCAGCCTGGGCAACACAGCAAGACCCTATATCTACAAAAATACAAAAATTAGCCAGGTGTGGTGCATGCACCTCTAGTCGCAGCTACTCATGAGGCTGAGGTGTGAGGACCACGTGAACCCAGGAAATCGAGGCTGCAGTGAGCTATGATCATGCCACTGCACTTTAGCCTGGATGACAAAGTGAGACTCTGTCCTTTTTTAAAAAAAGGAAATTAGCAAAACAGATAAGTAAATTATATATATAAATATATATGTATATGTGTAGTATATATCACAATTATCTTGAGTTTTATATATATCTCTCAAGATAATCTGTGGAATAGAGAAAAATAAAAATAATGGAGGGAAAAGGGAAAAGGTGTTCTGGTGACAGAGCTCACATTGTAATTTTTTTAAAAGATGGCACAGGATGGATTAAAGACTTACATGTTAGACCTAAAACCATAAAAACCCTAGAAGAAAACTTAGGCAATACCATTCAGGACATAGGCATGGGCAAGGACTTCATGTCTAAAACACCAAAAGCAATGGCAACAAAAGCCAAAATTTACAAATGGGATCTAATTAAACTCAAGAGCTTCTGCACAGCAAAAGAAACTACCATCAGAGTGAACAGGCAACCTACAAAATGGGAGAACATTTTTGCAACCTACTCATCTGACAAAGGGCTAATATCCAGAATCTACAATGAACTCAAACAAATTTACAAGAAAAAAACAACCCCATCAAAAAGTGGGTGAAGGATATGAACAGACATTTCTCAAAAGAAGACATTTATGCAGCCAAAAAACACATGAAAAAATGCTCATCATCACTGGCCATCAGAGAAATGCAAATCAAAACCACAATGACATACCATCTCACACCAGTTAGAATGACAATCATTAAAAAGTCAGGAAACAACAGGTGCTGGAGAGGATGTGGAGAAATAGGAACACTTTTACACTGTTGGTGGGACTGTAAACTAGTTCAACCATTGTGGAAGTCAGTGTGGCGATTCCTCAGGGATCTAGAACTAGAAATACCATTTGACCCAGCCATCCCATTACTGGGTATATACCCAAAGGATTATAAATCATGCTGCTATAAAGACACATGCACACGTATGTTTATTGCGGCACTATTCACAATAGCAAAGACTTGGAACCAATCCAAATGTCCAACAATGATAGACTGGATTAAGAAAATGTGGCACATATACACCATGAAATACTATGCAGCCATAAAAAATGATGAGTTCATGTCCTTTGTAGGGACATGGATGAAACTGGAAACGATCATTCTCAGCAAACTATCGCAAGGACAAAAAACCAAACACCGCATGTTCTCACTCATAGGTGGGAATTGAACAATGAGAACACATGGACATAGTAAGGGGAACATCACACTCTGGGGACTGTTGTAGGGTGGGAGAAGAGGGGAGGGAAAGCATTAGGAGATATACCTAATGCTAAATGACAAGTTAATGGGTGCAGCACACCAACATGGCACATGTATACATATGTAACAAACCTGCACATTGTGCACATGTACCCTAAAACTTAAAGTATAATAATAATAAAATAAAAAATAAAAAATAAAAAGATGGCACAGGAAGTCCTCATAGGTGATACTGAGCAGACATTTGAAGGAAAGCAAAATATAAGACATCTGGTGAAAAAATCTTGCTAAAAAGAGGGAGCACAAAAATAAAGACTCAGAGATGTGTTTCTGGGAATGTCTGAGAAATAGTAAGAAAAATCAATAAAAGTACCTAAAAATGTCTATTAAAAGGTCAGCGTTTTATACCAGGATGCAGAGATTCAAGATAGTTTTGTGAAACTCACTTTTATACTCTTCTGAATTGTGTAATTTTTCTGTAATGGAAATGTATTGCCTTTATTACTAAAAAATAAAACCCTAAAAACACATTGTTGAAATGTCAGTGTTTAAAGTGTAAATATACTATGTGCTCGGAGCTATGCAAAAAATATGTCTTCTCATATAATCCATAGGTGCTTGCTCTCTGGAAAACATCTGGAAAATGCAGAAAAATGAAAGGAATTTTAAAAAAATCATCCATTGGCCCACTAACTTGAGCTCTTCTTGTATCCATAATTCTAAATGAGCATTATTCTCATTGTGATAGATAGCAACATACATTATCAAGAATAAATAGGATTTCAAAAATCTCTTAATCAGTGTATCTCAAAGTGTGGCTCTCAAGTATTTCGCATCAGAATTAACTTAGATACTTGCTAAAAATGCAGACTTGTGAATCACATCCCAACTCCAACAAATGAGAACCTTGGAGTGGAGCTTTTCAATATCACTCTCAGACAATTTAAATGCACAGCAAGCCTTAAGAACTACTGGCCTAGTTCAATGTCTATAAAGATGAGTTGGAAGAAAAATTGTCTCTGGTATCTTCTACTGTCTGAGATTAATCTCTGAAATGTCTAGTTTACCTTTCACATGCTTGAGTTTACCTGAGCATTTCTGAGTTTACCTTTTACATGCTTGGCAGGCAGTGTTATCTAAGCATTCCCAATATATGTCAAATCATGATGTTCTTAAAAGCTTAGAAGACAAAATAGGTCACAAGTACAGTACTAGCCTACATTAAAATCCTGGATTAGGTAGCAAGTAGAGAAGAATGAGGTCATTATGGCAGTTCTACTTTGGACTCACGAAATGACCACTTATACCAGTATGAATTCCATCTTGGTCAACAAAACACAGGAGTTATATCTAAGACCAAACACTGAACATCAAAAGAGCAAGACACCGATTCAAAGATACAGAAAGATGAATGGAGTTACCTTTATTATCTATTTACATATATTTTTATACTTTCCTCCATTTTAGCCATGAAAATGAAAATTATATGGATTTGAATCCTGGAACTAGACTTACCCAGATGCTTAGAGGATTACAGAACGTTTTGTGCTGCAACATGGAAATAATTTTTGATTTGATCAAAGAAGTAATCCACATCTACTTCAACAAGCTCATTCATATACTTTCATTGTGACCATTCTGAGAGAGGTATCCAAAGAATAATAGAAAAGGGAAAGGCCGGGTGTGGTGGCTCACGCCTGTAATTCCAACACTTTGAGAGGCCAAGGTGGGCCGAGGTCAGGAGTTTGAGACCAGCCTGACCAACATGGTGAAACCCCGTCTCTACTAAAAATAAAAAAGTTAGCTGGGCATAATGGCCTGCGCCTGTAATCCCAGCTACTCAGGAGGCTGAGGCAGGAGAATTGCTTGAATCCGGGAGCTGGAGGTTGCAGTGAGCCTAGATCGTGTCACTGCACTCCAGCCTGGGCGACAGAGTGAGACTCTGTCTCAAAAAAAAAAGAGAAAAGAAAAAAGAAAAGGGAGAAATCACATATTTTCAATTATAAACTAAGAATTTTTGAAGTAAATATTCCATTGCGAGAACACTATGGAAGGAAATAAGTAAATATTTGTCATAAAAAGATACAAGATTATTTCTTCAACAGGGTGTGGCAAAAAGTATACCCCTATTTTTATAAATAGAATCACTGCTCATTAAAAAAAAAAAGACTTGAGGAACTCTGCCATAAATTGCTATGTAATCCCCAGGACCCTCGCTCCCCTTCTAATTAACCTGGTTTGTGAGTTGGGTTTTGTATGTGAGTTTTTGAAGCAGGATGAGCCTTCATGCTTATCTGTCTATCAAACTTAGGATTCCCCATTGGGCAGAAAGTCACTTAATGCTGGCATATTCATGTTCTGGGAAAAGGTGTTAAAAATTATTTTGGCAAGTCAGTTTGGGAAAACCAGCAAAGAAAATCAAATGGATGCTTAGAAGCTTGAATATTAAAAAACAAAAACAAAAACAAAAACAGGGCCAGTCACAGAGGCTCATGCATCCCAGGACTTTGGCAGGCCAAGTTGGGTGGATCGCTTGAGCCCAGGAGTTCCAGATCAGCCTGGGCAACATAGTGAGCTGTCTTCTCTACGAAAAGTAAAAAAAAAAAAAATTAGCCAAGAGTGGTGGTGCGTGCCTGTAGTCCCAGCTGCTCAGAAGGCTGCTGTGGGGGGATTGATTGAGCCTGGGAGTTCAAGGCTGCAGTGAGCCATGATCACACCACTGCACTCCAGCAGGAGACCCTGTCTCAGAAGAAAAAAAGAAAAGAAAAAAGAAGTGGAAAAAAAGGGAAAAAAGGATCTACATAAACTAACTAAACTCGAAACTTTCTTCAATATATGCATTCAATATATTGACAGAGGCCTGAAATAAGTCTGATTTTAATTTGCTAAGTAAAGGGCTGTATTACCTAAGGTAGGGCCCAGGCACAGATCTGATAGGTTGGTAATCTACATATTAGTCTGCCTAAGTCAAATATTACGCTCTGAGCCAACATAAAATTCCCCCTAAACATGAGCTAATGAATTAATTTTGAAGGTGAGACATTATGCCCAAAAAGCTACTATTGATATATAAATGTTAACGAAACGTATCCACTATTATATTTTCAGGAATAAATTCATTTATTTAGTAGTTCATGGTACTCCCAAGTAAAGCTTCAGAAGTAGAACATAAGCCAGCTTTTCCCTTATTAATTTTGAGAACATAATTTTTATGTGTTTAGTGTCCTCATTAACAGAATAACGGTGTTAGAGTAACTGGTCTTAAGGATCCTTCTATCATAAATTCCAAAATGACCCCTTCAAACCTGTTTACCTTAAAAATAAAATGTTGCATAACTCTTTTCATTAAAAGTCATCCATAATGTTTTATCTTAAAGAATCAAACTTAATTAAATGTTAGCTATTTCTTATTAACCAACTATTCATTTTTTTGAGACTCCATGTGGAGCTGTTTGTATTGTAATGAAGGGTTTTTTTAATAGCATGTTAAACACGAGTGCTTTGTGTAATAAAAATTATTTTCTACTTTCCGATTTGAAAGTAAGTTTTCTGTGTGCGTGATATGAAATTGAACTTACTACACATCATTGTAAATGAGTCTGCCTGGGACACTGGTACATGCTTACAACTAAAAAAAATGGGAAGAATCTGGAAGAAGAAAACAATAAACCTAAGCATAAGAAAAATTGTTTAAGGACCTCAATCTTGAGTTCTCCATCTCAGAACATTTGAATGTACAAAACAAGTATTGACTGTTATAACATCTTCACTGACACATGGAAATTTATTTCTTACACTTTTGCTACAATTTATCCGAACATGACAATTATCAATCATCCTTATCATAGCAAATAACATTGTTAAATTACCTCCTGTATTATCTTAATTATAGATTTATATTACTGTCTATTTCTACAGTACATTTTTTAAATTAGAATGTAGAATTACAGAATTTTATAAGACAGCTTACTGAACAATACTTTGTAAGTACATTTAACATAATAAAAAGTAAGACTTTTATCAATATATATATATAAATTATTTTCCTCAAGTAGCTGATAATGTGACATCTGGAAGGCAGGTGCCAGCTGTGGCTCCAATATCAAGTTCTTTTTTTTTCTTACAAAATCTAGCCTATTTGAAATGTTTGACTAGTCACTGAAATTATACCTGTCTAGTCACTGAAATCAGATGAAAACAACCTGAACTCTGCCTTCTAATGTGACAGCCCATGCTTTAAGCATGGAAACTTTTCAAATCTTTCTAATTAATCGTGATGGGAATTTTTCTTTTACTATACAAAGCTGATCATTTTATATTATTTCTACCAATTTTTATTACCAAAGTTGCAAGTCCTTCGTGAACATTTTAAGTAAACTCAAATAAGAAAAATGTTTTTCTCTAGGTTTTGTTTCCTTATAGAGTAGATTCTTTGGGAGAATTTCTAAAATTCTCTTCAGGTATCCGTATCTAATTTCTTGCTCACAAATTTCAAGGAATAGTTTTATCAACAATGAAAGAATAATCACGATACTATTTTAACAGGATAAAGCACAGTCTTGGGTATCAAAAAGTACCAACCAAATCTTAAGTTTCATATGTTTCTGATACAAAAGAAAAGGAGCATGAATTAATAAAAAATCCCTTCCAATATCCTCCTTTTTTTCTTTTTCTTTTCTTTAATTTTTTTGACGTTGTCTTGCTCTGTCGCCCAGGCTGGCATGCAGTGGCGCAATCTTGGCTCACTGCAACCTCCGGGCCTCCTGGGTTCAAGAGATTCTCATGCCTCAGCCTCCCAAGTAGCTGGGATTACAGACGTGCACCACCACGCCCAGCTAATTTTTGTATTATTAGTACACATGGGGTTTCACCATGTTGGCCAGACTGGTCTCAAACTCCTCACCTCAGGTGATCCGCCTGCCTCAGCCTCCCAAAGTGCCGGGATTACAGGTATGAGCCACCGCACGCAGCCTATCCTCATATGATTTCTATAAATTAATATAATTTCGATGAAATCTCTGTTCCTGAAGACGTACTGGAAGATACATGACTTCACTTTAATATTTCCATCTGTTCAATGGAAGAGGTATACAAAATGTAAAATGAGATAATTCAGCAGTGGTCAAAAGTAGCAATGATGCTTCCATATACATAATTATCATGAATAGCTGGGTAAACTCTTAAGTATTCAGTATTACAATTCAGTAATCTGATAAAGCGTTACCTTTCTTGCATATGTTAGATTTCAAAGAAATTCTGGAATATAGGATGAAAATGTGAATCCTTCAAAACTGTCAGAATTACATTTTAGTCGTCATTAAAGTATTTAGGCAACAAAATCAGGTACTCTGGAGAATTTACACATTTCATTAATAGTGACAACCTAATCATTCATGTTGGACTTCTAGTATCCATCAGGGTAAAACCATAAAACAAACAAACAGAAACCTGTTCTTAAACTTCTCCAAGTAATTAAAAAACTGCCACTGGCCCTGTCCCTCCTTTCCCAGACTAAAGGATACAAGATAGAGTCTGTAGAAAACAGCAACAACAAAAGCAATCTAGCCCTAGTCTCCCCTCTACTGGGAGCATTGTTTTTCTGGCCTAAATTAATTTATGGCTTTCTAATCTATGGAATTATTTATGTGACTAATGGGTAACTTAAAAATATTTAGAACACCACTATTTATCATTAGAAATAAGAAGAATAAAGAATGTTAAAACTTTCAAGTAAGCATATTTAACGTCTTCTTCAGATGTCCACAGTTTTTTAAGCAGTTCTATTAATATCAACACAAGAGAAAGTCAGAACAATGTAAACAATAACATTCAACTAGTTATTTTTACATAATTACGTTTGCAGAACTCAAGAGCTTTACTTTCCGTATATGCCCTTTGAAATAAGTCATTGCTTTAAAACTTCCCAGGAACTCTAAAGCTACCATTTGTAACATTAATCTCCAAACAATCCAGTAAAGGATGTTTCCCAAAATATTAACGAATTGACAACTTTTCAAAAGCACTTAATAACTATATTTAATTTTAGATGATAGGAGGGGAAAGGTTCTCAGACCACCTATCTCAGACGTCTGCCTTCAAAACAGTTAGATATAACTATATCCATTTTCTTGAACACTTAGGCCAGTGAGGCAGAATCTCAAAAGGATGTAAGAGTGCTTTCTCCACAGAGTTTGTTTCACCACCCGCCCAGCATCAGCTCCTGGCAAGCAGGGTAATGATAAGGCATAAATCTACAAATAAATTAATGCTTAAACTCTTGTGGAGTTCAAATTTATAAATTCTCATAAATTCATTGTCATTTATTTTCTAATTTTTACAACGCAGAAATGTTATTAGAGTGCTAAGAACGGCAACTATAATCTCACATTGTTGGGCTTTGGCCGTTTCGTATCCTTTTACAACGAACTTGTGTTTTTTTGATAGTTTTCTCTAAAGGGTATTTATGAAAGATTCAGAAATGTAGTATCTCTCTTCAAACCCTTGTTAAATATATATAGTATATATGTATATATTAATATGCAAAATAATTTATTTTTGATGCATGGTCGGACTTTTCATTACTTTTCATTCGAATCAATTGCTTTTAATTAATATATTTAAAAAGTCTCCTTAAATTGTTTGTTCCTTTCAATCTTTGCAAGCAAAACAAGTCTGATTTTGGAGAGGGGAGGACAGCAAAGATTCTATTTTACGATCTACTTAATAAATAGTATACCTGCCTTATATCCAATACCGTCTTTTTTCTGGAACGCATTTCCTTTTTACTCAAACCTTTCTTAGTACAACCCTACTAATAAGTCCATCTTCAAAGGGGTAAATGATCTATACAGAAGTGTCTGGCCGGCGGAGGGATGAGAACAGCAACCTAGGCTCTAGACATATACTTAATAGCCATAAAAATAAAACAATGTCCCTCGAAATGTCCACAGTTTACACTGCAATGGTAGTTTAGATACATAAATATTCGCTGCTTGCTGTGCCTTGTAAGAATCAGGTGTGTGGCTCTAAAACTCAGTTGATTATCTCATCAGGCACCATGGTGTGCAAAGCCCTGCAGGACGTACATTACCCTGGTCCGCGATCACAGGGAGGTCAGAGCCCCTCTCGCATGACGCCGCGACAGTTCCAGCATCACCCACATCAATCCTGAGCTTGCCTTGGTATCTCTGCGGCCCCACCGGCTTCTTACCTGGAGGAGGAGGCGGCTGCAGCGGCGGACAGCGGAAGGTGCTGAAGCCGGCGGGCGCAGCTGCGAGGCGAGCACCACCAACGCGCGGACCCTCCCCGCCCTCCCCGCCTGCTCGCTCAGGGCGCCCGGGGGCGGGGCGGCCGGGCCCGCGGGCTCCGAGGGGCGGGAAGCGTGCTCCGCAAGCCCCAGCGCGGAGCCACGATGGAAGGCGCCGCGAGCCCGATCTCCAGGGTCTGCCCCAGAGGCCCACGTGACAGCTACACAGGTCGCTGATTGGAGCGCCCGAGAGGGGGAGGCGGAAGTGGCTCGTGACCCTTGGAGACTAGGCTGAGGGAGAAGTGGTTACCTGGCAACAGAGAAAGTGTGTTGAAGGCGCAGCTCCTCCGTACTGGAGCGAGGCTTTGGGCAGAGGGTTTGCACTGAGGCTGAAAGTGGAGGAAAACGGTGAACCATCAGCGTTCTCACCACCTAACACATTTTATAGCGAGTCTGCACTTTCTAGGAAAATGAGTCAAATATACAGTAAGTCAGTCATCCTGTCTCTTTCTTGAGGGACCTGGAGGAGGGACTTGAACCAGTGCCTGGAATGTGAGTGCAGAATGCTGTCTCGCCTGCACTTCATTATTGTCTGATTGGGCCCAAGAAGGTCTGTGGGAGAGCTCAATGGATAAGATTATTTGTTTATATTAATCGAGTTGTATGTGGTTAATGTATCTGCCTTCACAAAACTGACATTTTCCCTGTGGGATCTGGTTGAATGGAAGTGCTGGATGTTGTCATTCCTACTGGATTCTTCACATCTCTGAAATATCTTCACTACCTGTGGCCTTTATCCAACACACTAGAGAGAATAAGCCTCGACGTACTCGAAACAAAGTGTATTTAATGACATCTATCGAGAATTAATTATACTCCACTCTAAATAGTTAATAAATGAATGGTCGACCTCAACCAGAGAAAGTCCCTGGGCCTAATTCTTACCTTCCTATGCAGTAGATTTTAATGCTCCTTTTTTCCAAAATATTCTCTGCAGAGACGAGTACCTACCACAGCACTCAATATTCTATATTGTAAATTAAAATTAACTTAAATGTTGGATTTCCATATAAAGAATAAACTTGTTAAAGCTAAAATCAGTTCTTACAACTCCGTCCCCTATATTCTAACAAAGTATCTGATGAATAGCAGGTCTTCAATTAATTCTTGATGGATAGATGGATAAAGAAAGAAAGAAATTAGCACATAATCTACCAGAGAAAGTATAAGGGCAATAACTAAATATAACTCAATGTGTTAAGTACTAAAATAGGGTTACATAAAAGTGCTATGAGATGATTTCAGATGAGGGAGGCAGAACTTTTTCTTCCAAGGTATTCAGAGAAGCTTTCAATATGATTAGTATTTGAGCAGGGACTTATAAATAGGTAGAATTTCACCTGATAAAAAGGGGAAAGTGTATACTATGCAGCAGGAGCAGCATTGCCAAAAGCATAAAGTGGGAAAAAATAAACGATTGATGTAAATAAATTTGATGTTTTTGCCTTCTCCGGAGTTGGGGATGTGAATCCAAAGATAAGAAGGAAGATGGAAATTGGCAAAAGACTGTACTAGAAAAATAAGAAAACTTGATTGGGAAAGATGCAGAATTCTATATATGGGTTAGGCTTTAACCTCTAAACCAAAGGAAGAGATTGAAGTTTATAAAATCAGTGCTTTTTCATCAAGAAAGACACCTTGGAAACATTGGAGATACATGGGATGCAGGAAGATGAAGAACATGGTCTGTTAGGAGAAAAATTCAGTAGTTCATGGGAAAAGATGCTGATGACCTGAGTTAAGACAATGAAAATAAGAATAGCGAAGAGGGAAAATCACAAGAAACATTTCTGTGAAAACAGACTATAGTTTTCATTTATGACTGATATTTGCTAGGTATAGTGCTGAATAGTCAATGGTGTACATGAAGAGAAAATGCTGAAGATACAACGTCTAGCTTAGTCCATCGGTTGGACGGAAAAAATCTTTTATGTTTATTTTGCTCATAATGGCTCCAGCTCTCCAGTTAAGAAACAAAAAACCGGCCGGGCGCGGTGTTTCACTCCCGTAATCCCAGCACTTTGGAAGGCCGAGGTGGGCGGATCACCTGAAGTCAGGAGTTTGACGGCAGCGTGGTGGTGAAACCCCGTTCCTACTAAAATACAAGATGAGCTGGGCGTGGTGGCGGGCACCTGTACTTCCAGGTCCTCGGCAGGCTGAGGCAGGAGAATGGCGTGAACCCAGAAGGCGGAGATTGCGCCACTGCACTTTAGCCTGGGTGACAAGAGTGAGACTCCGTCTCAAAAAAAAAAAAGAAAAAAAAGAAAAAGGAAAAAGAAAGAAACATAAAATTGAATGAGACAACTGAAATTATCTAGTTGTGCACTCATAATTTAAAGATGAAGGTGTTTAAATCTCCAGTCATATTAGCAGCAGATTTTGATAGAGTGATCCCGGTCTCCCAGTTCAGGACTCTTATTCCTTTACCAGAATTTAGTTCATTCCTTTTGAACAGATTTAAATAATCACAACTATAGTTAGATTAGATCTAGAGGAACAATATACCTAATTTATAAAACAAAGATCTCTTTACTCTGATTTTTTATTCTTTTATTCAACCAGTATTTAATGTCATATACTCACCTCACAAAGAAAAAATTGTCAGTCACTTAGGCTGACTGACATTTTCAGGGCAATCATTAGTTCTTAGCACTGAGTACCCGGAGTTCTTCATGATTAAATTTAAAAGCAGAGCGATTAGGGAAGCCAAATGACTCCAGTCAAATTCATCTTCAAGGATAGATAGACATGTTCTATGAGTACAATGGCTTTGAAAAGGAAGTTCAATGCAATTTAATGTGGCAAATGCCCTTTTAATATGTATTCTGGATGAGAAATCAACAAGAAAAAAACTTCTTAAACTAAAATTTTAGAAAAATTTAGCCAAAAAGACTTTAGATTCACCTAATTGAAAAGCCCTCTCACACTTTTTTTTAATGTAAAAATGGTAAGAGAGCAGAAACAAGTATAACAGAAAAAAAAACTTAAACTAATGTGCAGTAAATAGTGAACTAAATACTTAAAAATGTACTTTATGTAAAAACACTTAAAAATTGAAATAGTTTTAAATAGATATATAATCTATTGCCACAATATTGATGATTAAGGTAGATATATTTAAATATATCAAAATATTATTATTTCTATTAAGAAATATATTAGAGGTTATTACTCTTTGGTCTTCTTGAGGTATAAAAATGGCTTAAATTAACCAATAATTTTTGCAGAAAATTGAGATTTTTTCTCTAGATCAATATTGATAGAATTCTTTTATTTTTTTAATAATTGCAGAAAATTTGATATTTTTTCTCTAGATCAATATTGATAGAATTCTTTATTTATTATTATTATTATTATTTTGAGACAGAGTGTCACTCTGTTGCCCAGGCTAGAGTGTAGTGGCATGTTCTTGGCTCATCACAACCTCTGCCTCCAGGGTTCAAGTGATTCTCCTGTCTTAGCCTCCTGAGTAGCTAGGATTACAGGCATGTGCCACCACGTCCAGCTAATTTTTTGTATTTTTAGTAGAGACAGGGTTTCACTATGCTGGCCAGGCTGGTCTCGAAATCCTGACCTCAAGCAATCTGCCCGCCTCAGCCTCTGAAAGTGTTGGGATTACAGGCATGAGCCACTGTGCCCAGAGGATCAATATTGAGAGAATTCTTAAAATTGTTTTTAAATTGTAAAATATTTAAACAGGAAAGTACATACAATAATGCAATAAATATCTATAGTTAATAAATTTTGTTTTTGTCATATTTGCGTTGTCTTTGAAAAAAAAAATTGGCTGGATGTGGTGGCTCACACCTGTAATCCCAGCAATTTGGGAGGCCAAGGTGGGCTGATCACGAGGTCAAGAGATTGAGACCATCCTGGCCAACATGGTGAAACCCCGTCTCTACTAAAAATACAAAAAAATTAGCTGGGCGTGGTGGTGAGCTCCTGTAGTCCCAGCTACTCGGGAAGCTGATGCAGGAGAATCATTTGAACCCGGGAGGTGGAGGTTGCAGGGAGCCGAGATTGTGCCACTGCACTCCACTCTGGGCGACAGAGCAAAACTCTGTCTCAAAAAAAAAAAAAAAAAAAATTATAGGTAGTGAAGTTCTCCTTTTTTCTCTTGTCATTTGATTACTCTCTCATTTTAACCAGATGTAGCTAATCTAACAGATAAATATACTTTCTAAATTTGCTTTATTTTCTGTCATTTATTTTAAAATTTTATAATATTGGTACATATAAGTATATATATTTATATGATATATATCTTATATTAGGAATATAAAATATAGCATCATCATTATTTACCTATTGATGAACATATAAGTGTGTGAACTTTTCTCTATTGCAAAAAGTAGTGAAACTCTTTTCCTGCTCCATATCATCAACATCAGAGTTTTATACTTTTTTCAATCTAATGAATGTATAGTAATATCTCTACATGATTTAAATTTGTGCTTTCTGAAATTGTTGGAATGACACATCTTTTTAAGTTTATAAATTGTTCACTACCTTTTTTTTCTATATTTAACTTTTCCATATTGATTTTTTAGGTTTTAAAATATTCAGGGTGTTTATGTGTTAGATATACCCATTGCAAATATCAGTCCAGATCTTCAGTTGTAAAAATTCTCCATCATTATTTGAATATTTATTCTATTTTTCACTTCTAAAATTTTAATTGAACCTATATGAGAGTTGTTAATTCTACCCATAAATGTATTTATCACTTGTCTTTTCATAGTTTTAATCTCTTTGTCCCTTTGTGCTGAATTCTGTATGACTCTCAGTACCATATTTCAATTTATGAATTTTTTTTCTTCAAATAGTTTCAAAGTGATGATCTTGGCTCCTGCCTAGCCTCATATGAGACATTTAGGTTCCATTTTTCAGCTTAGGCTAATTCTCATCTACTCTTACCTATTTCAGATTTGGGATCCAAAGATTTATGGTTTTAGCTTTACACTCATTATATTTAAGCCACAAATGTGCTTATTGAATTTGTGACTGAGACTCAACAACTTTAATATTCAAATTTTCAAAAACAAAATTCCCCAACCTCCCTGAATGTTAATTTATTCCCGGGAAAATGTTTTTATATCTTTACATAAATTTTGCATATTAATTGAGAGGGATCCTCTTTGAAATTCCCTTAGAATCCACTGACTCTGTAAAAAATCCCTACTCTGTTAGTTTCTGTGACACTGTTCTCTTTGTACAACTAAAAATGCCTTGCCTTTGACAGTATATCCATTTTCACAAACTGAGTTTCAGACTAATGCACCCTTTTGATTTTCTCTTTCACTTACCTTTTTTTTAGTTCAATTGATTTTATGTATAGTAATAAAAAGCATGGTGTTTTCACTCAGTCATCTGCTGAAGCCAGACTGCACTGGTTTGAGAGAAAACTGTTAACATTTTTTAGGAATTTTGCTATTCATTATTAAACACATCTATTCTTAAAATTAAATTATATAAATGTATAATTAAATTAATTAAATTAAAAATCGAAGTAATAAATACTCAAAATGTATCACTTCTTAATTATTTACTAGTGTTTTATCTATGCTTTTGAGGTTATTTATGTTTATTGTAACTGTATGGTACAAATACTGTATAATAATGTACATTTCTTCCTAACTTGTTCAGTGATGTCACATTGATAGCTTGAAATTGGCCATAGTGGATGTATTTACTATCATGGGTAATCAATGACTATCTAGGCCAGTGGCATTAGGGTAAGAAGAAGTTACCAAGACAGTTGTAGATAAAAAGGCAGATTTATTGGAGAAGGTATGAAAATACTTCGCAAACGTGCAATGGGCAGACCAGCAATAGAGGAGCTGACTTCAAGGAGTCAAAATTTGCTGGGGATTTTATACAATGGTGCTTGTGCTGTGTACTGAGAAGGGCTTTGTGCAGTATTTGTAATATCAAGGTTGCAGTGAGCTAACTTGCATTTTTCCAGCAGCTGAGGGTCTAGTGATAGCTGGGCACAGAAAGGTTGTGAGTTGTTTGTGCAGGAGGGCTATGAGTCCTGAATCATGAAGAAAGGTAGGCTTATAACTTATCTGCTTTCTCTTTCCTTTCCCTTGGTCCCACCAGCCTGACTCCTTTTCCCTTATTAGGACTCCATATTTACACCTTGAAATTCAGCAAATGTGAGAAATCAGGGTATGATTCGTCGTGTTGTTAACTGTCTCGACCTACCCTGCTTCATAAAGTAGCTACTAGCAAAACATGGCTATTTAAATTTAAAGTAATTAAAATGAAATAACATTAAAAATTCAGCTCTTCAATGATAGTACTTAATAGTTCAAGTACTCAATAGTCTCATGTAGCTAAGTGGTTACTGTATCAAACAGAGCAGGTAAAGAACATTTTCATTATACCAGAAAGTTTTATTGGTAAATGCTGGTTTACTTCAGGAGTCAGAAAACTTTTTCTGTTAGGAGCCAGATACTCAATATTTTGGACTTTAGAGCTATATGGTCTCTGTCACAACTACTCAAATTTGTTATGACAGTGTGAAAGCTGTCATAGCCAATACATAAATGAATGGATGTGGCTGTGTTCCAAAAAAACTTTATTTACAAAAACAGGAGGCAAGCTGTATTCAACTTAAGGCTATAATAGTTCGGCAGTCTCTGGTATAAACTTAAGAAAATGATGGAGAAACTATTAATAATGCAATTTAACTTTAAAGTTTGTTGTGTCTATTACTGTTACATTAGAAATCGCACAAAAACTGAGGAATTATTCTTTTAATATTCAAAAACTGTTATTCAATCCTGCTAATAAGTTGTTTAGGCCAATGGTGAATGAGTGAAGTTTCTATATATGCCTTCATTGTTTCTTTGTTGTCTTACTCATTAACATAAAAAAATCAACATTAATGTCAATTGCAACCATAATTTCAATACAAATACAAGAGTTTGGCAAATATTAATGAAAGTATTCTGTGAAAATCACTTTGCTATATGGAATATAAAATAAAGAAGATAATGTATTATATTATCATACATAAATTGTGTGGGACATATTTTATATCATTAAAATTTATAATAAATTTGTTTACATACATATACGCATACATTGTTTTTTTTAGAGAGCAGGTTGTTAAACGGTTACTACCACATCATAAGAAAGCATCTGAATTTATCTAAAAGTGTGACACAGGAATGCTTATGAATCTTGGTGTTTCAAAGCCATCTGTCTATGTATTCATCTACTCTCTCTCTCTGCCCCCACCCCAGTCTCTCTGTCATGACCTTCGGAATGTACTACTCATTTCCAGCTGTGGGGATCATAAAGCATAGATGGTCTCAGCTGCTGTGATTTGAATCCACCATCATCACATTTATGCCAAAACCACACTTCACTGTATACAAATTTTATCTCAATAGTTATTTTTTGACCTTCACAAAGAACTAATTTTCCCCAGTTAGTATTCAAATATCCCAATAGTATACAATTAGTGCATCAGACTGAAAAAAAATTATGAAACTACTTTTTTTAAAAACATGAAAAACGCTATTTGAACATATATTAGTATTAAATATTGGGAGTTAATAGAAATAATGGCAAAATTAATTACTCTTGTTTATTTGGACAGCCACCTGAGCTTATATCATGAATTTTATCAGACTGATATTAAATAATAATTTATTTTTAGCATGTATATCCCATATGGAAATATTTTTTGGTATAAGGAACATACAACATTTATTTGAGATAGACATTCTGACTCCCTAAATCTAAAACTCTCCATTATGGGCATTCGATTCATATATGTGTGTGTATGTATATACTACTGTCTGTGCATTTAAATAAAATTTCTCAAAGCCTTATAAATAGAATGGAAGAAGTACATACAATAGACTGAAACCATGCAAAAGACTAAGCCAAACTAAAAATAAAGCAAAGTTCAGATATCTGGTTCTAGAAAATATGACTTAGGCCATTTTGCTATGAAACAAGGCAATATGTTGCTATGAACGGGAGTCCCACATGAAGCAATTTGCTGAAGATATTTCAGAAGACTTTGTGCCCCAAGACACTGGTTTTTATTTCTTTGTTTTAAGGATGCTTGCCAGCACTAATTCTTCATCCAAACTTTTAATCTTTTAGTGACACCAGGTTGAAGGGTAGTTTTCACCTGTTTTAAAAAGTGTAAGATCATAAACAATGATAGGTAAAAACCTAGCCTTCATAAAATCCTGTTCAAAGAGTGAGCAAATTTTCATAGCTTTTTAGAAGCAGTTGTAAATCTCAGAGGATTTCCTTTGTGTTATTGTATTCCCAATTCATAGCCATCTTGCCAAAAAGAAAAAAAAAAAAAAAGAAAAACCCCTAAATATATATTTTATGAAATATTGAAGCAGTAAGTGTTGCATGGTGTTTTTCTGGATGGCAAGCAATGGATTTTATAACCTAGAATTTTTTCAAGGAGCAGAACAGGTTAAATTAATAAAATTATGTTATATTTTCTTACATGTGACCTTCCACATTACCCTGTACCTATGCCATCCTGACCCCACCACTATATTTTACTTTTGTTTTTCTTAGGGGAATGAAAGAGAAATAAGAAAGCAGCTCACCCAAATTTGCTTCTGGAGAAATTAATATTGAAATGTAAAAAAAAATTCTCAAAAGGACAGTGTGGCCTCAGTACCTAAGTAAATAAGCAAGTAATTCAATAAATGTCTAATATTTGCCACTCAGATAAATTGCTTTGTTAAATGAATGTTAAAAATGTTAACCTTCTGTTTGATAAATTAATGCTAAGGAGATGATTATATTTAGGTTTTCAAACCTCTACATTAAATAATAATTTATTTTAAAGTTGAAATATAGAGGGAGATCATGAGGAAAGATCCTTAGGGATTAATTTATAAGTATTCTCTAACTCTTTCATTGCTAGAGCATTTTAGTATGGCCGTTTTAGTTACATAAAGGGACTTGTCTCTCCAGTTCATGAAAACATGGTTAAATTTTGAGAGATTTCTTTTTCAATCAATATGTCATTTCCCCAGTTAGAAGCATTTTACACATATATGAGGGAATCAAGCAGATGTTATAAGCAGTTCAAATGAAAATTCCAAACCTCACAAATCTGTATGTCATGTAAATGAATATTTGTATTTATTTATTTATTTATTTATTTATTTATTTATTTATTTATTGAGATGGAGTCTCACTCTGTCGCCCAGGCCGCAGTGCAGTGGCGCAATCTTGGCTCACTGCAACCTCCGCCTCTCGGGTTCAAGGGATTCTCCTGCCTCCGCCTCCCGTGTAGGTGGGACTACAGGCACCCGCCACCACGCCCCGCCAATTTTTTTTGTATTTTGAATGGAGAGGGGGTTTCACCGTGTTAGCCACGATGGTCTCGATCTCCTGACCTCATGATCCGCCTGCCTCGGCCTCCCAAAGTGCTGCGATTACAGGCGTGAGCCACCGCTCCTGGCCATAAATGAATATTTAAATGAATTTCAAATGAAGGCAAAAACTGTTTTGGGAGAAGGGGATAAGTCAGTTAAGTCTTTACCACACAGGAAAAATTTTATGTTATCTATCAGATCTACAATTTTAAAAAGGCAAAACAGCTAAAGATCATGTACAGGGCTAGAATCACACAGCAGAAGGGTGCGCCATAGTCAGTGCATAGAATTCCATGTCTTTTCAACACGTTATGTTGGCGATGTTTGGGTAGCTAGCTCTGAATATAGAGCATACTCATTGAGTCGGCAAATATGTAGACTTTAGATTTAATTGACTTGATTTTTAACCAACATCACATATAGGTTTACTACATGTAGGGAAATAAAAAGATAATCTTAGGGTATAAGGAGACTGACATGGTTTTCAAGGCTTGGCTTAAAATAGCACATTGGCATGATAATAAACTACAATCATCTTACAGTCTCATAGTTATCAAGATATTAAAAGAGGATTTTAGGGCTGGCTGGCACTGTGGCTCACACCTGTAATCCCAGCACTTTGGGAGGCTGAGGAAGGCAGATAACGAGGTCAGGAGTTCGAGACCATCCTGGCCAACATGGTGAAACCTCGTCTCTACTAAAAATACAAAAAGTTAGCCGGGCATGGTGGCAGGTGCCTGTAATTCCAGCTACTCGGGAGGCTGAGGCAGGAGAATCGCTTGAACTCTGGAGCTGGAGCTTGCAGTGAGATTGCATCACTGCACTCCAGCCTGGGTGACAGCAACACTCCATCTCAAAAAAAAAAAAAAAGAGGATTTTAGAGACAGGTTCTTGCTCTGTCACCCAGGTTGGAGTGCAGTGATGCAGTCATAGCTCACTGTAGCTTCAATCACCTAGGCTCAAAGGATCCTCCTGCCTCAGTCTCTCGAGTAGCGAGGACTACAGGCACACAATACCACATCTGGCTGTTTTTTTCTTTTGTTAGAGACAGGATCTTGCTATGCTGCCCAGGCTGGTCTGGAACTCTTGTCTACTAGCGGTTCTCCCACCTCAGCCTCCTGAGCTGGGATTACAGATATCAGGTACTGCACCTGGCCCTAAAATCTCTATTGTCAAATTTATAGTGGTACCTAGCTGAGAGTTTGTTGTTGTTGTTGTTGTTGGAGAGAGGCAGGGAGCAGAGAGGACTATAATGTGATGTTCTCTATATAATGGGAAAGATAATAACCTTAATATAAAATATTGGGATAATTACTTGCTTCGTTATGATATAAAAATAGAAGTTTAAAAATAAGGTTTCTGATATTATCTGAAATAGTGTATAGACTTCTTAGCATTACAATCCTAACTTATCCAATGATTTTGAAGTAACAAACAAATTTCAACTGCCACTAGATGACACTATTTCATCCTTAGAGTAAATGTAGAAGTTGATTTCTCTTCTGTTGGTGGCTGTGAAGGAAATGCAAGTTCTGTCAGGCCAGGCTTGATTCGGAGCCCCTTGATTTGATCCATTTGCTCACTCATAAAGCTCCATTCATACCCACAGTTACAACCTGTTGCTTTTCCAAATCCCAAATGCTGTAGTGATTATGACAGCTATGATTCCACCTCGCTATTAGGAGACAAACCAATGAAACAAAAGCATTAGTCTTCCTCTCTTCCAGAGATCACCTTGCCTGGTGCTGCACCTGTTTGTAAACCAGTGGCTTGGACTTATGTCTCTGCTGGACTGTCTCCCCAGAAATTCTCCTACCATTACTTGCCATTCTACTGAGGCCACCGCCTAGAATGTATGGGCATGGTCTCCCTGGTGGAACATTGCTCCTTCTCTGAAAGTAGTAGTGGGAGATTGAATATGAAGCAGTCATAGCTTTTTTGACCCTTTATACTTTACACCTGCACCATTCAATGCTGAAGGGAACATCAAACTTTCTGAAGGATTGGTGAAACAAAGGATCTATAAGGTAGGAGGGAAGCAACTTTGAACTGCATATTTAATATGCTTTCAGTTATCATCCCAAGGCAAACCACCCATGAACTTAAAAGTTTTAGAAGGTTGGGGATTTGCTTGATGGTTACCTAACTTTGATACTGTTTCCTTAGTAATAGCTACTTCATAAAATTGCTTCTTTCCAAATTCTGCCATTAGACTCTCCACCCACTATCCAGAGAGTCTACCCCTTATGCACAAAGGTTATTTTCATCCATCCTCCTGTTGCCTTAAATTAGAAATACCATTCTAAAATACCACTTCTTTTGGGTACAAGTGCAGAGGTGGGAAGAAAGAGTAAAAGGAGAGGCTGGAATGGCAGTCAGTGTGTTAGAGTGGACTTCTGGCATTCTAAGTGTTCTATAATGATGTCAGCCAGAAATAAGCAATCGGGTCTGATCTCTCTAATGTTTCCCAGTACAGCCACTTGCAGGCATACTCTTTTCCTCATATTATCAAATGGATAACTGAGAAATTAACATGGACTTACAACATACATCTGCGTATTTGGAAGATATGTGCATACCTCTAACAATGGAGGACAATTAGCAGAGTCAGCAGAATGTAAATAGAGCTTGCAAACTGGTCAGGCCATTTCTGAACAACATTTATGTTATGTTTGGCTTAAAGCCTACACAATCTGTTTCACAAGGAGCCAACATTTAAAAATCAGGAGATTTCACCATAAAACTTCATTATTCCAGCTTTTCCATACTAACCAGGAGCCCTGGAAATATGGGACCTTATCCCAATGCAAGTAATTAGCTAGAGGTGAGTAGTCATTGACTCTCTAGATGCGGCAGATGATCCTCTTTGACAGTCACTGTTTCTCTCTTTCTTTCTTCATTTTTTTTTTCTTATGAGACAGAGTCTCACTCTGTGGCCCAAGCTGGAGTGCAGTGGCACAGTCTCAGCTCACTGCAACTTTTGCCTCTGGGGCTCAAGCAACTCTCCTGCCTCAGCCTTCCAAGTAGCTGGGGCTACAGGTGCGCACCATCACACCTGGTTATTTTATTTTATCTTATCTTATTTTATTTTATTTTGTACTTTTAGTAGTGACGGGGTTTCACCATGTTGCTCTGGGTGGTCTCAAACTCCTGAGCTCAGGCAATCCACCTGCCTCGGCCTCCCAAAATGCTGGGATTACAGGCGTGAAGCACTGCGCCCAGCTTCTCTCTTGCTTTTTACATTCTACTACCTTAGCCTGTTGACAATAGTTGCTTGACAACTGTAGATATTTAGGTTTGCAAACCCTGATCTAAACTGTTAAGGAGAAAAAAGGAACATTTTTCCAAATTGGAAGGCCTCTTCTCTCACAATCCCAATAGAGTTGTACTTCACATTGTATATTTTGTAAAGCAGTATTGGCTCTTTTCTTTTATTCCCCCCACCCCCACCCTTCTCATTCCTACAAACTGGACCTCTGTTTCAGTTTTTACGTGATGCTTTGACAGAATGGGTTGATGTCATAGCACCGTTGCCATGTGACTATTCCAGCCATTGTCAGGAGTGACCATTTCCTTAAGTCATTGACTTTGGACATCTTTTCCCCGCCACTTGTCACGTGACTATTACCAACGTCTTTTCACAATAAAATGAAACATAAGGCCACTGCTTAGCACTTCTGATGTATTTCTGAAGGTTATTCTCTTAGCTACATGCACATCCTGTGAATATCAAAGCAAAAGTGAAAAGGGGAAGTTTTATGGCTGTGTGGTTTTACAGCCATACATCTCTGTGATCTTGGATAAGTTAGCAAGCTTTCTAAATGACGTCTTCTCATCTACAAAGTGGTACATTACATCTTACTTATACTTGGATTCAGAAATAAATGGACTTTTAGAAAACTGGCCCACTGCAGGAAGAACTTCTTGAGAAACATTCTGAGGAAGGAAAGTTCAAGCCCACAGCCTTGGCCTAATTGTAAAGTTGTTTGTTAATCAGGAGAAATGACTATAATTACGGGATTTGGAAGTAATTTGAGTGTCTGTTGCACTCATGGAAATAGAATTCAAAGAAGAGAGAAAAACAAGTAAAACCTATGATATGGCTAATTAATAGCCCTGTAAAACTTGTGGGCCCTGCCTGCTTTGCAATCCGTATACTACATAGAGCAAAGCAATATCCTCATTTCTGGTGAGAACGCAAGACAGCAATCCATATGGAGGACATTAACACACTCATAGTGTTAACATCCTTCAGCTCAGCATGATTGCTTTTGCACAAAGAGGCCAATTAATCTCAGCCAGGCTTTGGCACGATGTAGCTTCGGCCTTAGGTGCTACTAAGGAGAGAAACATCAGTGGGTTATCTTACTGTAGCATTGCTGGTGGCTCCAGCAGCAACCAACATTATTGGAGGCTGAAGCCAGAGAATGAGAAAAGGAAAAAAGTAAAAGCCAAGTGATAGCTGAGAAGAGTATATTTAATAGTTCCAATGAGACTACGCAAGACCATAGGTAGGCCTGTCCCCTCTTGGAACCTCTCAGGAAAGCCATTTCTTCATGCCAAGTGTGCAGAGTTGCAGGCAAGCTGTACTGAGTACCAGTATATTGTTGAGTACAAAAGTAAACACAAAAGTAAAAGCTCAGGAATCTGGTCTTCTCTTTATTCGATTTCATCACCAACACCTTGATGGTTGTGCTGGTATTTATACAGTTTTCTTTGTTCCGTTAGACCACCGTTCTCATCCTTTGTAGTTTTATGACTCTCCTTTTGCAACATTAAGACTGACGTGCCTTTGGCTTTGTAAGGTATCGGAGATGATAACTACTGCCATTTGGCTTTTCATCCAACTTTAGAAAACTTCTCAAGTATCACAGAGTTTAGTCTTATCTCATATTTGGAAGAACAAAAAGATTGATGAGATTGTTTTGGCCTTAAGAAATTTGAAATGAATAGTAATATTCAAAACTCATTCCTTTTTTGTGGGGAAGGTTGGTCTACGTTATAGAATATAAAAAGGAGATGCAACAGAAACTTCTATTCCCTTTGTTGACTGGCAAAATAGGGGCAAAATCAGAAGGATATGAGGTAGACCCTTTAAGAAGGGGCTAGTAGAAAACGTTTCAGTTCTCTGTGATGTGCTTCGAGATGACTGGTTAACACATTAGCATTGCTGTTCTGCAATAGCTGTAGCCATTGTCAGGAGTGACTATCTCTTTAGTCACCAGCTATTTTTTTGGATTACACCAAATAAAAGAAAATCTATTTCCTGTATTGATTATTCTGAAAACCATCTCAAGGAACTGATATAGGAAGGTATTCATGTTCTCCCACAATAATCGGTAGAAACTTTAAAGTAAAAGAGCTGGAAAACCTGGCTTTGTAAAATTATATAATAATAATGAAAAATATAGTGGAAAAAAACTCCAGAGTAACCTCTTGCTTATTTTAAATATGTCAAGCAAAATACATTGTTTCTAATCTGTACTGACTTCATACTGTCATATTCATTCTTTCATTCTTCATTTCACGAACCTCTTTCGATGAGTGACTCTGTGATATAGGCCTATGCTTGGTTCTGGGATAATAATCTCAGAAAGGCTAATTTTCTGGGTTTAAGAATGTCACAGTCTAATGGAAACCCTGAAAAACAACTCTAATAAAATGTGATAAGTGTTATAATAGAGTGAGTTTGCAGAGTTTCAGAAATGGAGGGGGACTAGGGGAGTCAGGGATATCGTCACAGAGAGAAGTCTATTCAAGCTGTGGTTGGAAAAATTGTTAGGAATTCATCAAACAGGCAAGGGTACAAGAGTATTCCAAACCCAGGTAATAACATGGCTAAATTATGACCATAATTTAGGGCATGATATGGTCAGGGTCCATGAGGGTAGCAAGGAAATAATCCTGTTTTTAAAAACCAATATCTACGTTTCCAACAAATAGTCCTAGAGTGATCTCCATCTTCCTTTGATGCATCTTTTTTCCAGTTGAAATTATACATTTTTTTTTTTGAGACAGAGTCTCGCTTTGTCATCCAGGCTGGAGTGCAGTAGCTCGATTGTGGCTCACTGCAAACTCCGCACCCAGGTTCAAGCAACTCTCCTGCCTCAGCCTCCCACGTAGCTGGGATTGCAGGTGCCTGCCATCACTCCCGGCTAATTTTTGTATTTTTAGTAGATATGGGGTTTCACCATGTAGGTCAGGCTGGTCTCAAACTCCTGACCTCAAGCAATCCACCTGCCTCAGCCTCCCAAAGTGTTGGGACTACAGTTATGAGCCACTGCATCCAGCTGAAATTATACGTTATAATGATTTGTAAATGATTACTACATGTCCAATTATTTCCTTTTAATTCTGTTTACAAATGAATATCACTATCTTTGTATCATTTGTCTAGTTTTCTTTTCTATTAATAAACTGAATTAAAACTTCTTATGTCATTTTGCATCATTGTAAATATTATATTCCTGCAAATCTTTGTGTACCTGTGTCTACAGGCACAAATGCTTTAATGCAATCATTTTTTAAAATGGCATCCAAGTGGTTTTTAATAGCTAAAGCAGCTTTGAAACCAGAGTGTATATTGTGGAAGTTTCAACTTTATAATAGAAATTCATGAGAATTTCACATTCTACACCATAAAATATATCCATAAGTTTAATACAAAATACATTTTCAATAAAAATGCTTATTATTTAGCAAATTTGATGTGTCCCGAAGATGCTTCTTGTTAATTTTTGGAGTCTTGAATATATACCTAGGGTGACTCACCAGAATGGTTTGCCTAGAACTTCAGAGTTTTCTAAGATACAGAATTATCAGTGCTAAAACCAGAACTGCTCTGGCCAAATTGGCTCAGTTAGTTGACTTTCATGTGACTTTGAGAAGCATAGACTAAGGACAGGGCTTAACCATGTCTCACAGTGGTGAGCTGATTCTTGCCTAGCATCCCTTCCCTCCTATTATGGAAATTGTGTCCTGCTTTTTTGTTTGTGATCCTCCTCTTTCACTTCAGTATGGATGCATGAGTTCATTTGTCCTACCAGAGTGTCCTGACCTCTCCTCATACCATGAAGAGTCACAGACCTTGTTAATAAGAGCTCCTTATTTCTTGAACACAGAGATTGCTACAAACAGGGTCAGAGGTTCCAGGAAAGACTAACAGATATTTAGATACCATCAGAGAGAGGCTTTTTAAAAATATGATTTCTGAATTAGGAGGACATTAATCCATGTTGAAAAGAATGATCTTGCCTTACATGAAAGAAAAAAAAATCCTTCTGTGAAGAATGAAAACAAGATTTATCCATATCCAAGGAATCCAGAATCTGATGATGCTATTTGAGCTCCTGAATCACAATACACCTAAAGCTAAACCCCTTTATAGACTCTTAACCCTATAAGCCAACAAATTACTGTTTTGCTTAAGCTAGTATAATCAGATTTATATAACTAGCAATTAAAATAATCTGACGTGCTAAATATTTTTCTTCAATTTATTTTAAATGCTTATTTTACAGAAACTAATATTAAATATAGTTTCCTGAAGATTCAGACTTCACTAGCATAGCATACATATCATTCGTCATTGAATCAAGGCAGTGTTCCTTCAAGGAGACAGGGATAGGCGGGAAAGGATCAAAGCATGTGAAGACTAACACGAACTGAGATTTGAGGGGGTGAACAGTGAGCAGCATATGTCAGGGAGGGCTTGGAAATCTCCCTAATTCAGCAGGTAATTGGCATCAGTTGAATCAAACAAAAGTAGCAGAGTGTGCCAACTGTGGGAGCCAAATGGCTAAAAGGAAATGAAACATGTATTACCTGGAAGATGTGCTTATGGGGAAGAGGGCCCTAACTGAATTAGCACTTTCGCCCTTGAGAGTAAACTTAGTCTTCAGGGAAGACTGAGAAATCTAGCCAGTCTACTGGGTTATGACCTTAGAATGTGGATGAAGTTAGAAACTCAGCCCTGTGACCAGTGAACAAGTTGGTGAGGAATGGGTCCAGAAAATCTGTTGGAGAAGCTCAAAGAGCAGAAAAGAATAATCCTGGGGAAGGCAAAGTAGGAATGTGAGACACCCTCTTTCCTCGAGGAAAGATTTTTTGGGAATTGAATGGGGTAAGCCCAGTGACTGGAGCTCTGAGAAGCTGTAGAAAGCAAAGATCTAGAGTTGCAAAATATGCAAAGGTTAGCTTTATTTATAGCTTCCTAAATTTTCAGTTTCCAGGGAAATTTTATTTTTACAATGGATTTCTCATTCTAATGATTTTCATAAAAATAACTTTTTGTCTATATCATGACCCCCAATCTGGAACATCTATTCAAGAACATGTACATTTATTGGAAATTTATAATTTCATTTTCAAATTTATTTTTATAAACCTTGGGTTTCCAACTCAAAAAGTCCCTCTTCTCCTGTGTTTTCTTTAGCAAGGAAACATCCTCAGTTCGCAGAGCAGTGAAACATGAAAGGAACAAGCTCAATTACTGTTGAATACACATAGCAACATAAACAACATAAACAAGTTATTTCAAGCATTCTTATTCCTTGAGTTTTTCATGCTATTCTAGAAGTCAGATTTGTATGTATGTAATATTACTGTCATGTCAAAATTTAATTATTTTGTAAATGTTTTAATAAAATGAAATGGTATCTAAGAATAAAGGAAACATAAAATGTTTTAGTTCCATCTTTCTGGCTTTTAAATAACAAATATGCAAGTCTAATTTATTTTATGTCATTAAAGTGAAAAGTTATCCATTGACCCTCTCCTCCCTGATTCTCACATTGACAGCCACACAGGTAGCATCTTTACTAGCTACACCACTATGTGTCTTCCTTTTCTCTTTTCCTTTCCTCTCCCCACCCTCATCCTGATAGTCTTAGTGCTGTGGGAACAAAGACGAATATATTGGCATTCTTGACTTTCTGGACCACATATTCTCTTGGAGGAGAAAATGATGTGAACCAAAACATCTGCTTTTGGAAGCTTTTGCCCTCTGTTTATATGGCCATCTAGCTTTCATAAGTCAGTATTCCTCTCAGTGCTTTCATTTGTTGAAGAGTTCAGCTTCTGGCACAAGGTCGTTCTCTGTAACCCTGCTTCTGCAACCAATGATGTTACATCATTATGGATAACCTGTCTAGCAGTCAGGACTCTCAGTTCATCTTCATCTTCAGTATTTTGCTCTACTACACTCAGCTTTTCATTCCACGAATCTTGTGATCATCAGTCTTAAACCTGGAAGTGTGAAGAGTCTAAGATGTTACCCCACCTACAAGCTAAAAAACTACCTGTCTGTGTGTGTGTGCGTGCATGCACACACAAACAGAAACATGAAACCTCTGGATCAGGGAACAAAGCTTTTGTTTACTCACAGAATACCTTTTCTCCATGCCCCAGTTCCTCATGGAGAGACATGACAAGAGTTACATGTACCTGATGGGGTTAGCATCATAGGAGAGGAACTCTGAAATTATCAAAACCCAGAGCTTATGTTGGAACTGCTGGCATATCCTCAGAGAGAGGGAGAGAGATTGACATGACTATCTTTTACTCTGGAATGTAAACACATCCTCTTTTGGGGAAAGATGGGAAGTCCTTTTACCCTGGAATGTAAGCAATTTGTTCTGGGGAAGATTAGAAAGCTAAGTTTAGATTTTGCTATCAAAAAACATGACAAATTAGGGGAGAGGAGACATTCTCTATCTTCATATTGTGTTAATTTCCATTGCTCTGAAGATACTCACCATGTAGCAACAGGAAGAAACCCAGGGACCATTATCTTGCTGCAATCAATACCTGCACAACCTCTAAAACAGTGGCGTTCAATCTTTTGGTTTCTATGGGCCACATTGGAAGAAGAAGAATTATCTTGGGCCACACATAAAATACATTAACAGTAACAATAGCTGATGAGCTAAAAAAAAATGACCCACAAAATCTCGTAATGTTTTAAGAAAAGTTTACAAATTTGTGTTGGGCCACACTTGAAGCCAGCCTGGGCTGCGGGTTGGACAACCCACTGGGCCATGGGTTGGACAAGCATGCTCTAAAATCTCTATTTTACGCATCCCACTTTCTAATCGCTTGCTCGTATATTTCTAATTCATTCATTCTAGTACCCAGACTCCAACAATTCTTACCTCCTTCAAGAAGTCTAACTCACTGGGATGCTTGTTTGTTTTTATCTTTCAAGTTTTTTTTTTTTTTAACTATCCAATCCATCATCTGCTACCTGCACTTCCCTTTTAACTCAACCCCAAAATAATGTCTCATCATTATAATTTCTCACTTATCAATGTCTCCAATTCCATTGTTTCCCTCTGCATGCCAGAAACACCTCAATCCCACCCTCTACTTGCTTATGCTCAAGTGTTGGAATGTTGTTGGGAGAAAAAAAAAATCACACAAAGAAACTAAGTGGTCTCACTTTAATTCATGACTGTAAACCTTTCATAGAAATAAATGTAGCATTCCTCCACAAAACTGTAGGCTTCTCTAGGATATAGATATTTAATATTTGTAATTATAGAGCTTGTTCCACAGAACTTCATAGCTTCCTATCCATTTGCCAATGAGACCACAGTTATTCCAAGTGTGGTGCTTAATTTTTGGTGTCAACTTGACTGGATTAACGATACATAGATAACTGGTAAAGTATTATTTCTGTAAGGGTGTTTCCAGAGGAGATTGGCATGTGAGTCAGTGGGCTGGGTAGGGCAGGTCTGCCCTCAATGTGGGCAAGCATGATGCAAATGGCTGGGGGCCCAGAGAGAACAAAAAGGCAGAGGAAGGCAAGTTCTCTGTCTCTCTCTCTTGTAGAGTTGGGCCTCCCTTCTTCTCTTGCCCTTGGGCATCATAACTCCAGGTTCTTCAAGAGTTATGATGAGCTTTGGATTCAGGACTTGCACTAGCAGGCTTCCAGGTTCTTTGGCCTTTGGACTCAAACTAAGAGTTACATTATCAGCTCCCCTAGTTCTGAGGCTTTCGGGCTTGGACCAAGCCACACTACCAGTATCCCTGATTCTGATGCTTGCATGTGGCCTATAGTGGGACTGCACAGTCTCCATAATCATGTGAGTCAGTTCCCCTAATAAATCCCCTATCTATCTATCTATCTATCTATCTATCTATCTATCTATCTATCCTTCCTACTGGTTGTGTCTCTCTAGAGAACTCTGGCTAATACACTATATGGCAAGGTCCCTGAGTCTAGATGGTTCCATTTTCAGGAAAGGTGAAGTTTGATTTTCTACTAGCTCAATCTATCTTTGATTGCTGACTTTTGACTCTAATCTTCTTTGTGGCTGACTTTCTTACATCAATATTTTGTTTGACTGTAAGCTTAATTTTTGACGCTTTTTCCCTGTTTCCTCTCTTTTAAGTGACATTAACCCAGTGGTCTACAGCAGCAGTTCTCATGGTGTTGTTCTTTTTTTTTTTTTTTTCTGCTTTCTCATTCTCATTATGTAATATAATCATGGTCTTGTTCTTACAGCCTTTTACATTCTTAAAATTTATTGAGGAGAGACGCCAAGATAGCCAACTAGACACAGCCAGTTGGAACAGCTGCCACTAAGGGACTGAGACAATTGGCACACTTCTGACAGATCTTCAGAGGGAAGGCACAAAGAGTGGACAGAAGGAAGATACAGAAGCTGGACCGAAGGGAGAGGAAGCTGGGAACCCTGCCTGGGGCTACCATGCACCAGGACTTTTTCCTGGCCCCCAGTGACCCTGGGGGAACAAGTGAGTTGAACTGGCAAGGAGCAACCCACTGTTCCCATGCTCCTCTGGAATCCTGGCAGGAGAAGAATCTTCAATCACCATGGAAACTCGAGTAGGCAGGGAGAGCTGCTTAGAGAAGTGGTAGGGGCAGCATGCCAGCTGAAGTGAAGCCCAGAGAGTTTGCAGGAATGTCTGTAGCAGAGCACAACAAGGGAAGCCCATTTCCCTAGGCTCAATTTGCTCCCATAGGAGACGTTAGTCCTAAGAGAACTGCGGGCCCTGAATTCTGCAGGGCAGTCTTGCCCATCAGACCTGGCTGGTCCAACCTGAGCACCCCTTGGTCTACTGGGCCCCAGCCTGGCTACATCTTCTTGCAGGGCAGTCTCAGTTACCCGAGGGACTTGCATCATAGCTCCTGCACTGGCAGACTGTGCCTGCCAGTAGAGAGCTCCAGCGGGTCAGCCCCCGTGGCCACACACCAGCCTACCCAGGTCTTCCCCATGCTGCAGCTTTCCTGGGGCCCACAGCAAACCTCCACATCACTTTGCTGGCACCTGTGGGAGTGGGCAGGTTTTGTTTTCCTTGCACTGCTAGCACACATGTGGGCGTGCACCCTGCCCTGTGACTGCTGCAGTGGGCATGCCCTCTACCCCTTCTCCCCCCACTGGACTACCTTTGAAGTCAGAACTTTGGCAGTAATAGAGCCAGCCAGCCCTGCTCCCACCAGCTCCTCGCTCTTGCACCAGCACTGCCATGATAGTGAAACTAGACACAGAGAACAGCAAACCCTTCTGTACCCTGAGTGACCACCCTTGCCTACGGCCACAGAGAATACACGCAGACCTGCACCCACCAGAGCCCCACCCTACCAGTGTGACTGTGCACTGTCAACAGCAAGCACCCCCCCAACCAGCTGTGTTGCCTCCACTACCGTGATGGACACCTGCGTGGAAGCAGGCACCTCTGCATCTGCTAGCAGCCTGCCACAGCTGAGAGTGTGAACCCCTTGCTACAGCTACTGTTGCTGCTGACAAGTGCAAATGACGACAGATCCTGCTGCCATTGCACTATGAAATGCTTTGGCTGACACCACCCATCAGAGTCTAGTGACTAGTACCAGCAGTCCAGGATCACCTCACCTCCCACCCAGCACAATAGAGTCCTAACTTTGAGGAGCCTGAGAACGAAGTCAGGGCTGATACAAGTCCCCCCACCTCAACCCTAGAGATAGCGCATGCAGTCCAGGAATTGGGAGCTGAGCAGTGGCCCCCTAAAATCTTCCAGAAATGAAGCCAGTTGGCTGAATCCTTATACAACAATCAAACCTTCAAGGTCAGGAAATAAATAGGATAAAGTAAAAAAAAAATCCAGAGGTGACAACTTAAAAGACTGAAGAAACATCAGCCCACAAAGATGAGAAAGAACCAATGCAAGGACTCTGACAACTCCAAAAGCCAGACTTCCTTCTTTCCTCCAAATGACTGCATCACCTCTTCAGCAAGGGTTCTGAACCAGGTCAAGATGGCTGAAATGACAGAAATAGAATTCAGAATATGGATTGAAACAAAAATCATTGAGATGCCGGAGTACACTGAAACCCAATCCAACGAAGTTGAGAATCACAATAAAATGGTATAGGAGCTGACAGACAAAGTAGCCAGTATAGAAAAGGTGGTAGCTGACCTGATATAGCTGAAAAACACACTACAAGAGTTTCACAATCCAATCACAAGTATTAATCGCAGTATACACCAAGCTGAGGAAAGAATCTCAGAGCTTGAAGATTGGCTTTCTGAAATAAGACAGTCAACAAGAATAGAGAAAAGAGAACAAAAAAGAATAAACAAAACCTTTGAGAAATATGAGATTATGTAAGAAGACTAAATCTATGATTCATTGGTGTCCCTGAAAGAGATGGGGAGAGTACAAGCACCTTGGAAAACATATTTTAAGATATCATTCATGAGAACTTCCCTAACCTAGCTAGAGAGACCAACATTTAAATTCAGAAAATTCAGAAAATCCCAGTAAGAGACTTCACAAGATCATTTCCAAGACATATAATCATCAGATTCTCCAAGAATTAATAAAATGTTAAAGGCAGCTAGAGAGAAAAATCAGGTCACCTGCAAAGGGAAGCCCATCAGATTAACAGTGAATATCTCAGCAGAAACACTAAAGTCAGAAATGATTGGGGGCCAATATTCAACATTTTAAAGAAAAGAAATTCAACACAGAATTTCATATCTGGCCAAACTAAGCTTCATAAGCAAAGGAAAAATAAGTTCCTTTGCAGACAGGCAAATGCTGAGGGAATTTGTTACCACCAGACTTGCTTTGAAGAGTTCCCAAAGGAAGCACTAAATATGCAAAGAAAAGACCAGTATCAGCCACTACAAAAACACACTTAAGTACACAGACCAGTGACACTAAAAAGCAACCACACAAACAGGTCTGCATAGTACCCAGCTAACATCATGATGACAGGATCAAATCCACATGTATTAATACTAACCTTGAATGTAAAGAGGCATTTAGCCTAAATGCCCAATTAATGGGAACAGAGTGGCAAGATGGATAAAGAACTAAGACCCATTGGTATACTGTCTTCAAGAGAACCATCTCACATTCAGTGACACACATAGGCTTGAAATAAAGGGAAGGAGAAAACTCTTCCAAGCAAATGGAAAACAGAAAAAAAGCAGGGGTTGCAATCCTGATTTCCAACAAAACAGATTTTAAACCAACAAAGATCAAAAAAGATAAAGAAGGACATTATATAATAGTAAAAGGTTCAATCCAACAAGCAGAGCTAACTCTCCTAAATATATATACATATATATGTGTGTGTGTGTGTGTGTGTGTGTGTGTGTGTGTGTGTGTGTGTGTGTATATATATATATATATATGCATCCAACACAGGATCACCCAGATTCACAAAGCAAGTTCTTAGAGACCTTCAAAGAGACTTAGTCTCCCATTCAATAATAGTGGTAGACTTCAACACCCCACTGACAATATTAGATCATTGAGGCAGAAAATTCACAGATATTCAGCACCTCAACTCAGCACTGGATCAAATGGACCTGATAGACATCTACAGAATTCTCCACTCAAATGCAACATAATATACATTCTTCTCACTGCCACATGGCACATAACTCTAAAATTGACCAGATAATGAAATATGAAATGCTTCTCAGCAAATGCAGAATAACTAAAATCGTAGCAACCACTCTCTTGAACCAGAGCACAATCAAATTAGAAATCAAGACAAAGAAATTTGCTCAAAACCATACAATTACATGGAAATTGAATAACATATTCCTGAATGACTTTTTTGGTAAATAATGAAAGTAAGGCAGAAATCAAGAAGTTCTCTGAACCTTATGGGGACAAAGATACAATATACCACAATCTCTGGGACACAGCTAAATCAGTGTTAAGAGGGAAATTTATAGCACTAAATGGCCACATAAAAAAGTTAGAAAGATGTTAATTTGACAACCTAGTGTCACAACTAAAAGAATTAGAGAACCAAGAATAAATTGACCATAAATCGAGCAGAAGACAAGCAGTAACCAAAATCAGAGTTGAACTGAGGGAGAACTGAACCATTCAAAAGAGCAATGAATCCAGGAGTTGTTATTTTTTTAATTGGTGAAATAAATAGATTAATAAAGAAGAAAAGACTGAAGGTCCAAATAAATAAACACAGTTAGAAATGACAAAAGTAATATTACCACTAACCCCACAAATACAAATAACCATCAGAGAATATTATGAACACCTATATGCCCATAAACTAGAAAATGTAGAAGAAATGAATAAATTCCTGGACACAAACCTCTTTCCAATACTGAGCCAAGAAGAAATTGAATCCCTGAACAGATAAAAAATTATCTCCAAAATTGTATCAGTAATAAACAGCCTACCAACAACAACAACAAAAAGCCCAGGACCAGACAGATTCACAGTTGAATTCTACCAGATGTACAAAAAAGAGCTGGCATAATTCCTGCTAAAGCTATTTCAAAAAATTTGGGAGAAGGGACTCCTCTTAACTCATTCTATGAGGCCAGCATCATCCTGATACCAAAACTTGGCAGAGACACAACAAAAAAGAAAATGTCACGCCAATATCCTGGATTAACATCAATGCAAAAATACTCAACAAAACATGGGCAAACCCAATCCAGCAGCACATCAAAAAGCATATCTACCACCCTCAAATAGACATTATCCCTGGGATGTAAGTTTGGTTCCACATAAATCAATAAATGTGATTCATCACATAAGCAGAACTAAAGATACAAAATCACATGATTATCTCAATAGATGCAAAAAAGGCTTTCAACGAAATTCAACACCCCTTCATGTTAAAAATTTTCAATAAACTAGGTATTAAAGGAGCATACTTCAAAATAATAAGAGCCATCTATGAAAAAACCACAGCCAACATCATACTGAATGGACAAAAGCTGGAAGCATTCCCCTTAAAAACCAGCACAATACAAGGATGCCCTCTCTCACTACTCCTATTCAACATAGTATTGTAAGTCCTGGCTAGAGCAATCAGGCAAGAGAAAGAAATAAAGGGCATCCAAATAGGAAGAGAGGAAGTCAAACTAACCCTATTTTCTGGTGACACGATCTTATATCTAGAAAACTCCATAGTCTTGGCCCAAAAGCTCTTTAAGCTGATAAACAACTTTAGCAACATCTCAGGATACAAAATTAATGTACAAAACCTGCTAGCATTCCTATACACCAAGAATAGTCAAGCTGAGAGCCAAATCAGGAATGCAATCCCATTTACAATTGCCACAAAAGGAAAAAATACCTAGGAATACAGCTAAACAGATGGGGGTGAAATATCTCTGCAATGAGAACTACAAAACACTGCCCAAATAAATCAGAGATGACAGAAACAAATGGAAAAACATTTCATGCTCATGGATAGAGAGAGAAAACATTGTTAAAATGGCCATACTGCCTAAAGCAATTTATAGATTCAATGCTATTCCTATCAAACTACCAATGATAGTTCACTAAAAGCTAGACAAAAAAAAAAAAAAAAATCATATGGAACCAACAAAGAGCTCAAATAGCCAAAGCAAGCCTAAGCAAAAAGAAGAAGCTGGAGGATCATGCCACCTGAATTCAAACTATATCACAGGGCTACAGTAATCAAAACAGCATGGTACTTGTATAAAAACAGACACATAGACATATAGACCAATGGAACAGAATAGAGAGCCCATAAATAAGGCTGCACACTTACAACTCTCTGATCCTTGACAAAGTCAATACAAACAAGCAATGGGGAAAGGACTCCCTACTCAATAAGTAGTACTGGGATAACTGGCTAGCCATATGCAAAAGATTGAAATTGGACTCCTTCTTTACACCATTTAAACAAATTAACTCATGATGGATTAAAGACTTACATGTAAAACCCAAAACTGTGAACATCCTGGAAGACAACCTAGGCAATACCATTCTGGACATAGGAATGGGCAAAGATTTCATGATGAAGATGCTAACAGCAATTGCCATAAAAGCGAAAATTGACAACTGGGATCTAATTAAACTAAAGAGCTTCTCCCCAGCAACAAAACACAACAAACAAACAAAACAACTATCAACAGGGTAAACAGACAACCTACAGAATGGGAGAAAATTTTTGCAAACTATGCATTTGACAAAGGTCCAGCATCTATTAATATAGGAAACTTAAACAAATTTACAAGAAAAAAATTAACAACCTCATTAAAAAGTGGCCAAAGGACATGAACAGACGCTTTTCAAAAAGAGACATACATGTGGCCAACAGTCATATGAAGAAAAGCTAAATAACACTGAATATTAGAGAAATGCAAATTAAAACCACAATGAGATACTATCTCACACGAGTCAGAATGGCTATTACTAAAACGTCAAAAAATAACAGGTGCTGGCGAGGTTGTGGAGAAAAAGGAATGAATATACACTGTTGGCGGAAGTGTAAATTAGTTTGCCCACTGTGGAAGACAGTACAGCAATTCCTCAAACACCTAAAACAGAACTACCATTCAACCCAGCAATTCCCTTACTGGGAATATACCCAAAAGAATATAAATTGTTCAACCATAAAGGTACATGAATGCCTATGTTCATTGCAGCACTATTCCCAATAGCAAAGACACAGACTCAACCTAAATGCCCATCAATGATAGACTGGATTAATAAAATGTATTACATATACACCATGGAATACTATGCAGCCAGAAAAAAGGAATGATATCATGTCCTTTGCAGGAACATAGATGGAGCTGGAGGCCATTATCCTTAGCAAACTAATGCAGGAACAGAAAACCAATTACCACATGTTCTCACTTATAAGTGGGAGCTAAATGATAAGAACACATGAACACATAGAGGAGAACAACAGACACTGGAACATTCTGGAAGGTGGAGGGAGGGAAGAGGGAGAGAATCAGGAAAAATAACCAAGGGGGTATTAGCCTTAATACGTGGGTAATAAAATAATCTGTACAACAAACCTCCATGACACACGTTTACCTATATAACAAACCTGCACATGCACCCCTGAACTTAAAAGCTAAAGAAAAAATTTAAAAATAGAGTAAAATAAGAACTCTACAATTAAATGATTCACAATTCAACAGGAGCAATAATATATTAGGTTGGTGCAAAAGTAATTGTGGTTTTTGCCATTATCTTTAATTAATTTTGCCATTAAAGATAATGGCAAAAACCACAATTACTTTTGCACCAATTTAATAAAAATGGATGTTGGTACAATTATAATGCTGTTGTAATGGATAAGTGACTTTGGGCTGGGACTTGAACTGAAAATAAGAGTGTTCCAGGAATAAGTGCATCTGTATGTATGTGTGTGACATGTGTACACATGTGTGTGTCTGCATGTGGGAGTGAGAACATGGGGAGAGAAGAGCAGGACAGAATGATAGAGAGACAGAGATATTGATTGATTCATGATGATGTTACTAAATCACGTTATGGAAGCTGGAGAATAGAGCAGAAGATGGGGACATGTTGAGTCACAGATAACTTCAGAGGGAGAATATCCACTTGATAGAAGATGGCTTAGCATTCGAGCAAGAAGTTAAGGCGGGGGATATTTGCCCATTTATTTGTTCACTCAATAATTATTATTGGGTGTTAACTGTGCCTCAGGCATTGTAATAGAGATTCTGTTAGGGAAGTAAACACATGGATGAAACAACATGGACTATTTCTTCAGGAAATTTATGGTCCATCGAGGGGGAAGACATGTAAGCAAACATAATTCAATTATTAAGAGAATTATATTATAACAAACAATTAGATGAAAAAGCAGATATAATTAAAAGGTATGATT
Organism: Homo sapiens; assembly: GCF_000001405.40. NCBI lineage: Eukaryota > Metazoa > Chordata > Mammalia > Primates > Hominidae > Homo > Homo sapiens. The sequence continues at coordinate 176,037,483 of NC_000004.12, read as the reverse complement.
TACAATTTAAAAAATTATTGAGGACCCCAAAGAGCTTGGGTTTATTTGGGTAATATTGAAATTTATGGCATTAGAAATTAAAACTAATAATTTAAAAATTTTACTAAATCTCTATAAAAACAACACTAATTAACTCATTGCAAGTTAACATAAATAACACGTTTTCTAGGAAAAATACCTGTATTTGCCAAAATAAAAAAAATTAGTGAGAAGAGCAATGTTATTTAACATTTTTGAAATCTCTCTAATGAATGGTTTAATAGAAAATCACTGCTGAAGTCTCTTATCTGCTCTGCATTCAATCTGTGGTGATATCACGCACATGAGCCCTCTAGAAAACTATAGTGAAAGAATAAGAGAAAAACACAGGCAAATGATGCCTTAGTATTTTTATGTGAAAAAATGTGATGTTATGTAAATGATCTCTGGAAACCCAGCCATTCGTGGGTCTCACTTTACACACCACTAGTCTACTGTGTAGACTTGTCCTATCACCAGTCTCAACCCAACTCTTCAGCCTGCTCCCAAAAGCATCCAACAAATCCGTGCCCACTTCAAATCAAAGGTCTCAAACACTAGGTGCTCTGTGAACAGAATCAACTGGCAGTAAATCCCTTAATACCAAAAGCTTAGTGTGCTGATTTTCATAGAAAGTGAGGGGCAGAAGAGGCTCTGTCTCACTCTCTAGCTGGGCTTGTGGGAAGAAAAACCACAGAGAGAATTACAAAAAAAACCCATACCCCTGCAAGAGGAGGAAACACAGACAACAGGCCTACACTTCCCAGGTGCCTGTGACTTACAAATGAAAGTCCAGTGGTGGTGGGGAATGCAGAGTATTATGTCCTTAGCTCTCCTCTGAGAGTTTGAAGAACTCTCAGTGTAAATACAGAGGTTAGTTGCATGGTTAAAACAGATAAAATATTATGTTTCCAGATTTCCATTTCATAGAGAAATAAACTCATGTACAATGTAAAATATGGTGACTCTCTGAGCCATAATGTGACTGGACAGGACTAACGTAAATTTTCTAGTCCAAGAGTGAGTGGAGTAGAGCCTCAACCTAGTGAAAATAGAAAGTAGATTAAAATCAGAATTGGAGAGTATTACAGCTAAGTATAATATAAAGTGGGATGCAAGGAGAATTGTGACCTGAAAAATGAAAGAGATATTTTGGATGGAGTAGTCAACTATGAGAGACAGACTCCAAGGAGGAGTCCACTGGCACTTCCTTCCTAGTTTAGACCCACTTCTTGGTGAGACTGCAGTCCTTCAATCCATGGGCCAATCCTAACTGGATAATAGTCCACATTATCACCCCAAACTAACTTAGATCTGACTCAGCACAGTCTTAAACCCAATTTTTTCTCTGTAGGCCTAATAATGAGATAATTTATAACTCAAATCTGAAATCTCAAAGGTGACAGCACTTGGACTTAAGTCAATGGAGAACAATAAATGAGCGAGTTTGAGAGTTTGGCTTGAAGCTTTTGCTCAGAGGTAGAGAATCTGTATCTGGTTATTTCTGCTGGGAAAAATATATCAAGGATTCACTTTGTAAGTAACGAGGATGGCCTCTGTAACTTCTCCACAAATGCCTGGGGAGAGACACACTGAAAAATGTAAAAAGGGTAAAGTCTGGAGTTGCCATGGTTGTTTCAGAAAAAAGAAAATGAATTTTAAGCCATAGACATATGTTTGGGCTCCAGGTTGTCACTTTCTAGGCTTGTGGTGCAAGAAATTTACTTAACTTCTTTGAGCTACAGTATCCTAATTTGTGAAGTGTGAAAAATGGTACCTATTTTACGGAGTTATTTTAAGGATTAAATTAGGAAAGGATATAAATGTGCTAGGACACAGCTAGTGTATGGTAGGCAATCAATAATCATTATTATGATTATAATTTAATATACACTTTATATAACTGAGTTTTATTTCTAAAGGGTGGATAAAATATGTATTTTTATAAATAACTCAGTTTAATAGGGGATAAATAATTTCTTCATTATGAAGTAAAAGCAATTTTTTTGGGAAAAGATAAAATAAGGTTATAGTAATATATTGTTCTGTTTAGTTAGTATTTAATATGTGTGTTTCTCTTCTTAGGCTAATATAACATATCCCCCCTTTCAGATAATTTAAATAGGAAATCTTGTAACCAGTGTTTTTGAAACAAGGGCTATTTGTACCCAAATTGTCAAGGAGCTTGTTAAAAATTCAGTTTCCTATACCTTCTGAATCGGAACTCTGTGTTGCCCGGTTGTCTAAATTAAAAAACAAAAATCTGACTAAACGCAAACGCTTAAGTCACTCCAATAGAGTCAACAGCTGCTCCTGATTAGCTCAGGACTTTCCTGGTTCCAGTACTGAAAGGCCCACCTCCCTGCTCCTTGGAAATCCCTCAGCCCCACTAAGAAAATGTGGGTGCCAATAGCAACAGTGGGTAAAATTTTCTCCACTATGTGAGCACATAACATGGCCTCACAGCGTGGTAAGGTACATTTACAACATAGTTACAGAGAGCCTCCTCCACATGTTTAATGCCAAAGGAGAAACTTTAAGTGAAGCATATTTCATTACAAATAGAAAAGGAAAATTTACCTGAAGAAAAATTGGATTCACTTAAAGGATCTGCTCAAACCATGATGGTTTGTCACCCAAGTAGCTAGTTACTACAAAACAACATAAAGAAATAAAGAGATTTAAGCCACAATTTCATTAGCATTATATTTTGTAAAAAATCAACACCAGTTTGCTTTGCCAATTAACAATTCATTCCTGTGGTTAGGCTGACCTCTGGTGGGAATGTGATTTCAACTACAATTATTTGAGAGCAGATTCTTCAAGTGAATCAGAATTTTCTTTAGGGTTTTAAATCTTCATTTTCTATAAGAAATGAAATATGCTTCACTTAAAGTTTCTCTTTGGCATTAAACATGTGGAGGAGGCTCTCTGCAACGCTGTAGATGTATCTTCTCATGCTGTGGGGCCTACCGGGTATTCATATCGTGGGAAAAATGTTATCCACTGCTGCTATAGGCACCCACATTTTCTTAGTTATTACTAGAGAATATCTTCTTTACATGAAATCCATAACAAGATAGGTAATTTAAAATTTAGTCTCTAAGCACTGGTCTTATTTGGTGTGCCCTTGCCCCTAACTTACCTTTCTCCCAGATTTCTATGTGTGTTTTTCTTTTCTTTTTCATTTTTTAAATTTTACTTTAAGTTCTGGGATACATGTGCAGAACGTGCGGGTTTGTTACCAAGGTATACATGTGCCGTGGTGGTTTGCTGCACCTATCAACCCATCATCTAGGTTTTAAGCCCCACATACATGCATGCATTAGATATTTGTCCTAATGCTCTCCCTTCCCTTACCCCCGCAACCCACGACAGGCCCCCGTGTGTGATGTTCCCCTCCCTGTGTCTATGTGTTCTCATTGTTCAACTCCCACTTATGAGTGAGAACGTGCAGTGTTGGTTTTCTGTTCTTGTGTTAGTTTGCTGAGAAGGATGGCTTCTAGCTTCACCCATGTTTCTGCAAAGGACATGATCTCATTCTTTTTTATGGCTGCATAGTATTCCATGGTGTACATGTACCACATTTTCTTTATCCAGTCTATCACTGATGAGCATTTAGGCTGGTCCAAGTCTTTGCTGCTGTAAATAGTGTTGCAATAAACATACATGTACATGTGTCTTTATAGTAGAATGATTTATAATCCTTTGGGTATATACTCAGAAATGGGTTTGCTGGGTCAAATGGTATTTCTGGTTCTAAATCTTTGAGGAATCGCCACACTGTCTTCCACAATGGTTTAACCAATTTACACTCCCACTCCCACCAACAGTGTGAAAGTGTTCCTATTTCTCTACAGCCTCGCTAGCATCTGTTGTTTCCTGACTTTTTAATAATTGCCATTCTAACTGGCGTGAGATGGTATCTCATTGTGGTTTTGATTTGCATTTCCCTAATGACCAGTGATGATGAACTTTTTTTTTATATGTTTGTTGGCTGCATAAATGTCTTCTTTTGAGAAGTGTCTGTTCATATCCTTCACCCACTTTTTAATGGTTTTTTTTTTCTTGTAAATTTGTTTAAGTTACTTGTAGATTCTGGATATTAGCCCTTTGTCAGATGGATAGATTGCAAAAATTTTCTCCCATTCTGTAGGTTGCCTGTTTACTCTGATGATAGTATTTTTGCTGTGTGGAAGCTCATGTGTTTTTCTTTTGCTTCCTTCAGGTCTCTGATGAAATGTTGTCTTATCAAGGAGATGTTCCTGACCACACTATATGGAATAGCAACTCTTTCCCTGCTACTTTCTATTATTCTTATCCTGTTTTAGTTCTCTTTTGCAGCAGTCAACAATACTTGATATATATCTGTTTATCTATCTTCCTATCATATCATATCTATCTATCTATCTATCTATCTATCTATCTATCTATCTATCTATCATCTAACTATCCATTCCTCCACCCATTCATCTAATCTGTTATTTATCTATCCATCTCATCTATTATCTATGTGTCTATCCACCCACCCATCTATCCATCCATCTAATCTGTTACCTAACTGTCCATCTATCCAATCTATATTATTCATCTGTCAATATATCTAATCTATTATCTATCCATTCATGTAATCTATTATCTTTGTATCTATCTATCCACCCACCCATCCATCTAATCTATTAGCTAACTATCCTTCTATCTAATCTAATCTGTATCTATCCATCCACCTAATCTATTTTCTTTTTCTTCCTTTCTTTTCTATTATCTATCTATCTATCCATCTATCTATCATCTATCTATTCATCCATCCATCCATCCATGCATCCATCCATCCATCCATCCATCCATCCATCCAATCTAGTATCTCTCTATCCATCCATCTAATCTGTTTTCTATCATCATCCATTTCTCTCCTATTTCTCTTTCATTTATCTATCTTCTATCTATCTACCTATCTCATCTGTCTATTTCTCACTATTCCTACTAGAATATAAAGGCAGGGACTTTGTTTATATTGTTTACTGTTATATCCACAGCATTTAGGACTGGATTTCTACTATGTACTTATTGATGCACAAGACATATTTATTAAATGAATGAATGTCCTTTTTAAATTAACATAATACCCATAATATCCAATCTCTGAAAGACAAAGAGCAGCCAAATACAATACTTGAGTCCTCGCAAAGAAAGTTTTAGTTAAAAGAAATCACACTACAGGCAGTCCTTTCACAAGTAAATGACCCAGTTACCTAATTTCATGAAGTAGAAATAGAGTAGTAATAACATGTGTCATTCACAGGCCTGGGCAAGCGAGCAGCAATGCTGGTTGTGATGATTGTATAAGGCCCCAGGCACGAGGGAGGAGGTGTTAAAGTATCTCTCCAGAGTAGCCTCAGGCTGCATATAAATTGGGTTGAACAGGGAATCAGGAGATCAGGGCTACAGAAGCTGCATTAATCTTCAGGTTGACTGGATGACAAAAACAGGAAAAAAGGATATAAGGTGAGCGGCAGGAAGATTAGAAACTACTCAGAATACCAAGTGCTGTGTTGGTTTGGACAAATTAGAGAAGCACTTCTGTAGTAGAAGTTGCTTAAGGACTTATTAGCAATGTTAATGTGACCAAGCTACCTCTTGCTTCATAATTACACTTCATAAATAGATGAGAACTTAATCCATTGTAAAGTCATACATCCCATGGTAAGCACTTAGTATGTGTTAACGGCGGTTTGTTTTTTTTATTGCCGTTTTTGTTTGTTTGTTTGTTTTTGTGAGACAGGTTCTTGCTCTGTTGCCCAGACCGCAGTGCAGTGGTGCAAGCAATGCTCACTGCAGCCTCGACCTCTTAAGCCCAAGCGATCCTCCCACCTCAGCCTCCCCAAGTAGCTGGGACCATAGATGTGCACCACCAAGCCCAGCTAACTTTTTATTTTTATTTTCATTTTGTAGTTACGGGGTTATCCTATGTTGCCCAGGCTGGTGTCAATATCCTGGGCTCAAGTAATCCCCCCGGCTTGGCCTCCCAAAGTGCTGGGGTTACAGGCATGAGTCACTGTGCCCAGCCTTGTTTTTGTTGTTGTTGTTGCATACAAGTGGTCCTGTTACATTAAAATATCACATATGATTGGTATAATTCATGATGTCAGAGCTTTAATTAAAAATGAATCCATTCTGTATGTGCCTCACTGCACTTTCTAAATAAAACCTCCACTCTAAACATTCAGAACACTAACTTAGTCATTCTCATTCTTCTCTGATGTTTCTATATCCCATTTTTGTCCACTACCTTACAATTGCCAGATAAACAAAGACCAGCATGGGATAAAAATGATTCCCCAACAACTTCAGGACACTATAAGATTCTTAGATTGGTTTCATTTATTAATTGAATATAGTATTAGTTATGTTATGAGAAATACAGACTTTATCATTTTACTACCTGTCACTGATTTCTTTAAAAAGAATAGGGAATCGATGTGTATTTTTTTATCTTTCAATTATTAAAAATCAAAACACCATCATAAAATTAGCTAGATGTTTTTCTTACCTCATAATCTACAGATATATTTTTTGCCATTTGAATGAAAGTTAATAGAATATTCTCTATACTACTCATCACCAATTATGTTGATTACTTAGTTTTAAAGTCACATAGAAAACTGCTTTTCAGTCCATCAATACTTTATCATTTCTTTATGCTGCGCTAATCACAGTAACATAAACTGTATCTACAGCTAAGACTGTAGCCAAGAATCAGAAAATAATACTATAAATGATTCTGTGTCATCTGAAGTTATAAGCACTAGAACTAGCACAATTTTATTTTGAATCAAAGGACTACAGACCAACTTCAGAGCATACTAATTCTTCATTGTCAGCAATTCTAACGATCATTTGAATTACCAAATTCTGGCTCATTTGAAGTACTCAGAAAAAGGGAAGGCTGAAAGAATCAATAAATTGAACATCATAGGTAAGAAAAATCCTAGGAACTAAACCTCCTCTGTTCCTGAAGAGAACAAGAAATAATATTCATGAATGGCCCTACATCTGGTATTAAGTCAAATAATGCCTTTGGAGATATTTTAAGAAGCAATTGCTAAAACTTATTTTGATGAACCAAGTATCAATTACCTTGAATATCAGTTTAAAAAGAAAAATCTCCTGTATCAATAAAGATATGTAAATGAAGCAATATTTCTTTTTTCATAATTAAAAAAAGTTTATATACATATTTGTACTTGATATGTTTCAGGCATACATTTTACCTCAATCAATTGGAAAGTTCATTAAGAGCAAGATGAATATTCATCTTTTTTATACTGTTAGGGCTCTGAATGCAGCTGTGTTCATGAAACAGAGTTTTTGCTGTTGTTTTTATTTTTCTTCTCTAAATCAAGGTGCCCCATAATTTCAGGGCAGTAAGATATTCTTCTCTCATTTATCCACTGACATTAAGTCAATATTACAGCTTTTTAGTAGCCTAAAAAATTACAAGCACATATATTTTGCTATTCAAAACATGGTTACCTCAGATAGGTTAATAATACTATCCTTCTGTATTGCAGCTATTTGCCACTTACCCATTTCAAAAACTACCAGGTGCTTAGACATGAGGACATGCAAACAGAATTTAGAGTAATACATATCACAGGCTTCCAACATTGCGCAAAAATAACTATTTTCTTGTTAATATCTTTGATTAAATGGAAATGACCTATAAAATTTTGGATTTTTGACTGAAAATATATTTGGCAAGATCATAACAACGGATAGTATTTGAAAATGACAAAAAATCATGCTTCATTCTTTTTTCAGCTTTTACTTTGACATAATTTCAGACTGATGGGAAGATGGTAAGAATATGAAACAAACCTTCTAGATTCCCTAAATGTTAACATTTGCTGCCTTTGTTTTGCTTTACTGCTCTTTCTCTCTTTTATGTAGGTATATATGTAATATTACACACATACATATGACACACACAGAGTACAATTTTCCCTTTACATACTCTTTTGTCTTTGAAATTAAGTAGCAGACTTGATGATCCTTTACTCCTAAATATTTTAGTGAATATTTTCTAAAATCAAAGACATTTTGTCAGAGAACTAAAGTATAATTATCAAGCCAGGTGCAGTGGTATATGCCTGCAGTCACAGCTACTCAGGAAGCTGAGGCAGGAAGATCCTTTGAGCCCAGGAGTTCCAATACAGGCTGGGCAACATTAGTGAGACCCCTATTTCCAAAAAATGAATAAATAAGTAAAATAAAGTAGAATGATCAAAATCAGGAAAAAGCATTGATATTATTATCTCATCTAAAGACATTCCCATTTTGCCAATTGTCCCAATAATGTCCTTTGTAGGAAAAGAAATTGTTGGATCATAAGTGGTTCTCAGTTGCACGTCTTTTTGGTTTGCTAGAGTATGCAACATTCCCCAGGGTTTTTTGTTGGTTTGTTTTCATAGTCTTTATACTTTTGAAGAATATACAGTAGGCAAGCTAGTTCAGAGAACGTCCTTAAACATGCTTTCTGAGGCACTTCAACATGACTAGATTCAACTCACGGATTTTTGGCAGGAACATTGCAGAAACATGTTGTGTTTCCCATGCTTCCCATCAGGAGGTGCATAATGTCGGATTGTCCAATTGCCAGTGATATTAACTTTGATCACTTCATTAATTTGGTGTCCTTCTTTGTCCCCATGTAAAGTTGTATTGTTTCTTTTGTAATTAATGAGTGCATTCTGAGAGATCATTTGAAACGAAAGTACATAAATATTCTATTACTCATCTGACTTTCATCCAGTTAGTTTTAGCATATGCTGATGATTCTTTTGGAATCCATTATTACTATGATGGTTGCCAAATTATAATGATCTAATTTCATAATAGTTCTGCTTTAATCAGAAATAAGATATATTCTATAATTGTTTTTATCTTTCCCTAGTTTAATTATTTTCTTAATGGATTTTTATGTTCTCATTTTTTTCTCCACTGCTAGTTTTATCTAAAAGTTCTCTAAAATTTGCATAGATCATTTGGTAAAAAGCTACTGATTTTATAGTTCATTTCCATCTTATAGTAAGCAATTATTTGCATTAGTCATATATTTAAAAATAATTTTAAATGTGCTGAATATTTTAAGAGTGTGACTCTTTTCTTTATATGGAATGGGATATTCCTAAGACAGATGAATGTTTTTCCATTTGCTGACTTGGGGTTAGATTTCTTTACTAAAGCTTAAATTCGCCATGTCTGAGTCAGTTTCTTGGCAGTACCCTGATATTAGCAGCAAAGATTAGGAGCTGTAGACATTTTTTTAAAAATCACAAATTATGTTTATTTTAATTTGTCTTTGTTCCTAACTATATGGCACCATATAGTTGGTATTACACAATACAGCGAAGAGTTTTCTATAACTTTTGCATTATGAATCTTAGCTTAAGGAAAATGTCACTTTAGTGACAACACTACTGTGAGAAAAATTAAAAAATTATATGATTGGGTAGTCTTGATACTGGCAGTTTTAAAATTTACCAGCCTGAGTAGATATGTAAATCAACATACTTATATTCTAGGGGGTTTTCTTAATTGCTAAATTGTAGTGGCCCAGTTAAAAGGAATGAAGAAGGTCTTCGTCTTTTAAAAATGATATATATTGATGATAATACAAAAAATTTTAAAAATTATCTGGGTCATGTGGCTCAGACCTGTAATCCCAGCACTTTGGGAAGCCAAGGCAGGAGGATTGCTTGAGTCCAGGAGTTTGAGACTAATCTGGGCAATATAGTGAGACCCTATCTCTCTCTCTCTAAAAAGAAATCACTGAGCATGATGGCATATGCCTGTAGTTCCGGCTACATAAGAGGTTGAGGTGGGAAGACTGCTTGAACCCTGGAGGTCAAGCCTGCAGTGAGCTGTGATCACACCACAGTACTCCAGCATGGGTGACAGAATGGGATCTTATCTCCATAATAATAATAATGATAATAATAATAATAAAAATAATAAAACAAAAATAAAACTTATTTTGTGATAAAATTGGAAATAAAATTGAGAAACTCTGGAAGGGCATTTATTGATGGTTTGCTGAGAATCAAGGATAGTACTGATTTTATTATTAACTCTATCTTTAAACAATGCCCATATGAGGGCTTGATTAATGCTTTCTTATCTGTCCTTTTAGACCTATAATTTGTTGTTGTAGTTCTGGATCTATACTTTGTTATTACCATAAATGTGCTCTTCATATTTGCTCACTGGGATAATTTATAATACCATATACATACATTCCATGGTGTTTGATAATTCAAATTTAACTGACTTTTTTTGTTTGTCTCTTCTTATTTTGCTTTTCAAAGCTTAAGGAAATAAGTTTATTGAAAGAATGTTAACATTGGTTTTTATCCAAGATGAGATTGAATGACACCACAATGAAGTAACAGAATTTGTAGCAAAGAGGGCAAATCATAATGTTGTGAGGAGAGAAATCATGTATACACACCTCTCCCTTGCTTTATAGCTTTATCTTTTATTAACCTTTATAATTACCCCATCCCATCTATTCTCACCTCCACATTTGCTCTATTCTCATTCTTTTTCCCAATCTCTAACCATTCTTGACCTGATCTTTTTGTAGTTTAACTAGAACTAGTTTTTCCCCTATTTATTAAAAATTGTGGTAAAATACACATAACATAAAATCGTGGTAAAATACACATAAACATAAAATTTACCATATTACCCATTTTTAGGTGTACAATTCAGTAGTTTTAAATACATTTATAACATTGTGTAACCATTACCATCATCCATCTCCAGAACTCTTTTAAACTTGTAAAAATGAAACTCTATACACATTAAACTATAAATCCTCATTGCATCCTCCCCGCAATATCTGGGAACCATCATTCTACTTGCTGTCCCTATGATTTTGACTACTCTAAGTATTTCCTACCAGTGGAATCATACAGTATTTGCCTTTTTGTGACTGGCCTATTTTACTTAGCATAATATCCTCAAGTTTTATGCATGTTGTAGCATGTGTCAGAGTTTCCTTCTGTTTTAAGGCAGAATAATATGCCATTGTACGTGTATACTACATTTTCCCTATCCATTCATCCATCGATGGACACCTATGTTGCTTCTGTGGTTAGCCATTGCTAATAATGTTGCTATGAACACGGTTATACAAATATCTCTTCCATATCCTGTTTTTAATTCTTTTGGGCATATACCCAGAAATGGAATTGCTGGATCATATAGTAATTTTATTTTTAATTATTTGAGAAGCTGCCAAACTGTTTTCCACAGCGGCTGTACCATTATTCATTCCCATTCACAATGCACAAGAGTCCCAATGACTCCATATTCTTGCTCACTTGTTTTTTTTTTTTTTTTTTTTTTTTTTTGAGACGGAGTCTCACTCTGTCGCCCAGGCTGGAGTGCAGCGGCGCGATCTCGGCTCACTGCAAGCTCCGCCTCCCGGGTTCACGCCATTCTCCTGCCTCAGCCTCCCCAGTAGCTGGGACTACAGGCGCCCGCCATCACGCCCGGCTAATTTTTTTGTATTTTTAGTAGAGACGGAGTTTCACCGTGTTAGCCAGGATGGTCTGGATCTCCTGACCTCGTGATCCGCCCGCCTCGGCCTCCCAAAGTGCTGGGATTACAGGCGTGAGCCACCGCGCCCGGCCACTTGTATTTTTTTTTTTTTAAATAGTAGCCATCCCAATAGGTACGAGTTGTTATTTTATTGTTGCTTTGATTTGCATTGTCCTAATGATTAGTGAAATTGAGCATCTCTCCATGTGCTCATGGTCCTAATGATTAGTGAAATTGAGCATCTCTCCATGTGCTCATGGGGCATTTGCATATCTTCTTTGGGGAAATGTCTATTTATGTCCTTTGTCCATTTTTGAAGCAGTTTGTTCGTCTGTTTTGTTCTTGAGTTTTAGGAGTTCTCTATATTCAGGATATTAATCCCTTATGTGATATATAATTTGCAAATATTTTCTCCTATTCTGTGGGTTGCTTTTTTATTCTGTTGATTAACTAGGACCAGTTTTATTTTCAGAGATGGATGTTTAAATTATGTAATTTTCACAGATTGAATGTAATTACAGAGTAGACTACTGAGACTTTATTGTAATCATCAAGAACTTTTCAAAATTGACCAAAAAAACTTAAGTATATTTAAGTGTAAGGATTCAAAATATTCTATTTTTAAAGTCACATTTTCCAAACTCTGAACAATCTTAGCCTTAGTATCTTACTGTCCCTGAAATGAACAAGGCCTTTCATATATAAAAGTTATTTAATAAGTTAAGTGCTATTCTTTAGTCAATGTAATTTTTAACATCATTACAGCCAACAGATAAGACATCTCTCATTCTTTGAAGTGATTCATTAGTAAAGCTTGAAGCTTTTTTCATATAATTTAAGGATTAATGAAGCAAAAGAGAAATAACGATGATAACAGGGGTTTAAACTTCACAACTGTTTTGCTGTAAGATAAACCACCATATAATTTTAGCAGTTGGCTGTGACCAGTACAAATAATCAAATCAGTTTTACAATGTTTGTCACACTACAGTCCAGTTTCTTTTCCTTGAAAGATTTCTGTCTCCTATTAGCTCTCTAATTTATTCTTTTGTCAGAATCTAAATTGCCCATGCACCTTTTTGTCCAATTCTATTCACACTTAGCAAGTGTATATGCTTTTCTGAATATTAAGGCACAATTTTTTGGATGACAGTGAACCATAGTGGTAAGAGCACTGAATTAGGAGACAGAGGCCAGGGTGCTTACAAGTAGAGTGGGTTGATAAATAGCACTAAGGCTGCTGGTTTTCTCCTTCTCCTTTTAGCAGGTGACAGGTTCTGTGTTTCCTCATCTTGTGGAGTTTTCTCTCAGAGGGTAAAACAGTATATCAGTTGCATTTTGATGTGTAACCACCCCAAAACTTGTTGACTTAAAATAATAGTGACTTACTATTTCTCAGGACTGATTGGCTGGGTAGTTGTTCCTCTCGCCATGTGGGGTTGGCTGGGGTCTGTAATGACTGCGCTCAGTTGATAACTCTACTGAGCTGGGAGGTCCAAGCAGGCCTCTCTCACTTTTGGGGCCTTAATTCTGAGTCACTTCATTCTCTACATGGTGTGTAATTCCACATAGCTCCTCTATCAGGATGTCCTGAATATTTTACCTAGAGGCTCAAGGATTTAAGAGAGCTCTGAAGTTTGAGGATTAGCCCTTAATAAGCCCGAAAGCTCCCACTTGGGCTACCTGTGCTGCATTCTATTAGGCAAAGCAAGTCACAAAGCCAGCCTTATTCAAAGGGAGGGGAAATGGACTCCACCTCTTGATGGGATGAGTAGCATGTGCACCCAGGGAAGAGAGGAACTGTTGGCACCTAATTATTGAAACTATCTGTAAGAAAATACATTATTTTTGTATGCAATCTAGATTAATTTCTCCCATTTTCAGTAATCATATTCATTTTTCCTCAGGACACTATTCCCCTCTCAGCCCATATGCTTTGGGTAACTCCCATCCCCAGCTCCAGTGTAAAGTATGGGACCTGGATTTAACTCACTCAGTGCATCATATTACCTTGGTCATTGAACTCAGGGGTGAAAATGTGATCCAATCGAAGTCAAATAAGTGCCAATAAAGTTCATTTTTATGGTTGTTCTAGAAAGGAGACTCATTCTCTTCCTTAATGGACTTGAAGCTAAGATGGCAGTGTAACCGGAGATAATGATTGGAGAATCGCTCAGAGAATAAATTTAATAAGAAGAATGAAGCCAAAACCCATAGAGGAAAACCCAACCCTGATGACCTAATTTGAGCCCTGAAACCCAGCTTGCTGGGAGCCAAAACTATACCTTGACATTCTCAGTGCTGTCACCAATTCATTTTTGTTTATGCATAAGGCCGTATGAGTTGGGGGTATGTTCACCTGCTACCAGAAAAATTCCAACTAACCAAATTAGAAAGCTAAAATTGTCTTCAGTTCAGTTTCTTTTTTGGCTTTTGTGACCTGAAGTCTAAGTGCCTTAAAGAGAAGGGAATGAGGAGAAAGAATTCTTCTATGAGAAACGTGAAAAGGGAAATAACAATTTATTCAATATTAAACATAATATATTCTGAGGCTTCCAATTGGGAGGGAATGGAGAAAAGATCAGCTGGAATTTGACATTGCTCTAGGGCAGTGCTCTGAGGAGGTGGCCAGGCCTCAGAAGAGCTGATAGAGTGATGCATTATGACAGGTGGGACTCTAAGCTTCAGTATACCCATCTTCTCCAAAGAGGTGAGAGCCAAGCATGATAGGAAAGCTGCAGAGCTGGCTGGTTAGGAGGACTATGGAAAAGGCGATATGGAAGCCTGAAAGCATGACTTAAAAAAATTAGACTGTTAAGACTCCATAGACTTTGCAATTGCTCCACAGAGAAAGCCCATAGAACCCTGAGGTTGAGTGCCTTGCCATCTCAGGGGAATTTAGATTTAAGTTGATAGTTAAGATAATTTTTAGAAAATAAAACAACGGGTTTTTTTGCACATCTGAATTTTTGGACCGAGATTTATATTCACTAAGCACTAATGAAATATATGAGTTAAGGAAAACTATTTAAGATCTCCAGGAGGGAGTGTTCTCCTATACACAAGCTGGAGGATGAGGGATCATGAATTAAAAAAATCTTTTATGTCTCTGATACCTGAAGTATTGTATGAATGTATTAAATTTTAATTCAAGCTGGGCACAATGGCTTATGCCTGTAATCCCAGCACTTTGGGAGGTTGAGGCAGGAGGATTGCTTGAACCCAGGCATTCAAGACCAGCTTGAGCAACAAAGTGACACCTTGTCTCTACAAAGAACAAACAAACACAATAGCCAGGAGTGGTGGTGTGCACCTGTGGTCCCAGCTACATGGGAGGCTGAGGCAGAAGGATTATTTGAGACCAAGAGGTCAAGGCTGCAGTGAGCCACGTTTGTGCCACTGCACTCCAGCCTGGGCAACAGAAAAAGATCCTGTCTCAAAAAACCAACTTAAGTCAAGTGTTGAGCCCAAGCATTGTGCTACATACTGGGAAGACAGTGATGAGCAGGAAAAGCCTGGTTCCTGCCCGCCCAGAGCCTATAATTTAGTAAAGACACAGATAATTACAGATGGACTTACAGTGCAATCTATGATGGGAGGAACACAGGGCTTTCTTGGAGCATGTGAAAGATGTGCCTGACCAAGTCTCTAGGTCATGGATAGTCAGCAAATCCAAGTTGGAAAATGAAGATAGTAGTTGTTTATAGATCAAAGTAGGGGAGAAGAGGGGAGGTCATTTCATGGGGGAAATAATTATTTGAAGCCAGAAGAACAGCATATTTAAATGTGTGAAGAGAATGTGTGGCAAATTATAGGAACTATAATGATATCTAAATGATTATGTGCAGGTTGAACAAAAGGCTCAATACAGGGAGTGGCAACCGAATGAGGTGAGGCTGGAGGATTAAGCAGAAGGCAACAATAGCTTGAAGGGCTTTATGGGCCATTTAAAATGTTTGGGTATTACTTTAATGTTTAGGTGGAAGATTTTAAATCAGGAAATTACATAACCAGACTTCCAGTTTTAGGAAGACAAATTTGGCTAAAGAGTAGATGATAAAATGATGAGGTGCAGGGATGCTATTAAGAAGTTATTACATATTGTCAATCAGATGGTTTCCAACAGCCC
Organism: Homo sapiens; assembly: GCF_000001405.40. Taxonomy (NCBI): domain Eukaryota; kingdom Metazoa; phylum Chordata; class Mammalia; order Primates; family Hominidae; genus Homo; species Homo sapiens. The sequence goes on along the minus strand of NC_000004.12, from coordinate 176,021,729 downwards.
TCTCCTGCTCTGAAACACTGCCAATCTCCACCATGCTCCTGAGAGGATATTTTCCAAGCTCTCACTTCCTGCTGTGGTCCAGATGTTCCTCTTTCAGTCCAAAGAATCAAGAATTACAAGAGCCCTTTAGTGATCTTGGACTAACTCATTTCTTACTATTAAGCTTCCACCATTGTATTTGGACCACATGTTCAGAATTCTGTTAAGAATGCCATCATTGTTTTCTTTTTTTTTTTTTTTTTTTTGAGACAGAGCCTCGCTCTGTCGCCCAGGCTGGAGTGCAGTGGCACGATCTCAGCTCACCGCAAGCTCCGCTTCCTGGGTTCAGGCCATTCTCCTGCCTCAGCCTCCTGAGTAGCTGGGACTACAGGCGCCTGCAACCACGCCCGGCTAATTTTTTTGTATTTTTAGTAGAGACGGGGTTTCACCATGTTAGCCAGGATGGTCTCGATCTCCTGACCTCGTGATCCGCTCGCCTTGGCCTCCCAAAGTGCTGGGATTACAGGCGTGAGCCATCGCGCCCGGCCCATTGTTTTCCTTCACTGAGCAGATCTATAGAGTTACTTCGGGATTTCAGACTCACTCTGCTGCTTGTTAACTTCTCCTAATCTGCCTCTATTTATATAAGTTAACATTGTAATTAGAAATTAATAGCAATGATACACTCATCTCAGGGTTGTTGGGAAGATTATATTATTTTATGTTTATGCAACAGGCCTGGCTCATAGTAGGCATTACAATAAAACATGTTTATTACTTACAGCTGATCTGAGCTTTCCTGTGATTCTTTCCTCATAAGACTTGAGTGTTCTGATGTCAAATGTATTTCCTTCCCCCAGTTGCCTAAAGCAAATATATAAATGGAATCAAAATAACTTCAAACCGTATTTAGGTTTATCAACACAAAATACAGAACCAGAACTCAAATGTTGCAGTAAAAATAGAATATACAGTGCCTTCAAAGATGCAAATGCATGAAGCAACTTGAAAGTGCTTATCTTCGTTAAATAAATATATGAGGTATGACTGATACGGCTTAAATGGGGCGTGGAAGCCTGGCTCCATGGCCACACACACAAAATGAACCTCGTTAATTTATAGTTCACAGCAGGGATATTAGTAGTTGATATAGATAAGGGATGTCTGGTTCTTCTACATTAAATGTAGATCTCATTTGAATTGTATTTTAGCTATGGTGTTCCTGGTGTCTTGGAAATAATTTATTATAGTGTAAACATGTTTGGATTCAGGAAACTCTTCAAAAATTTTGTCTGGGTTTAGCAAATCATTTTTATGCTCACAATATCTAAAATAAAGTGAACAACATTTAAAACTGCTCTATTGGTGGAAAAAATTATCTCATTTGCTTCTGATAATTAAACCACATTTCACAATTGATTTAAAATGAAGTGTCTTAACTTTCCCCCATATCCTTTGGGGCATACAGAATGGCATATTGTTAAATGAGCCTATTTTATATGCAGAACCTACAGTTCTTCTCTAACAAATCATTCTAAATTCTGCCTTTCACACTTTTACTTTTATTATGTGGAGAGCCTCTGTGATTTCTTAAACACTTTTATGTGACTTTGAAAAATAGTGTTGGTTGTGCTTATTTATATTAGGCATAATTGAAAATTTACAATGCACTATGTAGCCTAACACTTTTGATTAAAATTACAGATCATGGGCCGGGAGTGGTGGCTCACGCCTGTAATCCGAGCACTTTGGGAGGCCAAGGCAGGCAGATCACCTGAGGTCGGGAGTTCGAGACCAGCCTGACCAACATGGAGAAACCCTGTCTCTACCAAAAATACAAAATTAGCCAGGCGTGATGGCACGTGCCTGTAATCCCAGCTACTCGGGAGGCTGACGCAGGAGAATCACTTGAACTTGGGAGGTGGAGGTTGCGGTGAGCCAAGATCCCGCCATTGCACTCCAGCCTGGGCAACAAGAGCAAAACTCCGTCTCAAAAAAAAAAAAAAAAAATTACAGATTATGGTCTTATTTCCAAGTCTTTCTTGAGGTCAACAGCAAACATGCAAAAAAGAACACGTTGGAGAAGACAATGAACATATTTGAATCTCAGTGTTTCCATCTGTATGTAGAAATAACATGAACACCTTATTTATTGTTTTGTTGTAAGGTTTTCAGGTAATAGCAATGTAAAGAGGCTAAGAAAGTGTATTCAATAATACTTATTGAATAAACATTAGCAGCAGCTAATACTGGAAGTAATGCATGTAACACAAAATATCAGCTTTAGAATTCTTAAAAGTGAGGGAAGGAAATCCAGGAAGTAGATGAAGAGATCTGGCATAGTGACTGTCAACCATGGTCATATCAGGAAGCTTTCAAAAAATATTCATCACCAGGAATTCTAACACATTTAAGTTGGGGTGGTGTCCAGGTATAATTTTTAAAATTCTAAGGTGAGACATGGTGGCTCACACCTGTAATCCCAACATTTTGGGAGGCCAAAGAAGGAGGATTGCTTGATCTCAGGAGTTTGAGACCAGCTTGGGCAACATAGTGAGACCTTGTCCCTACTAAAAAGTTCCAAAAAAAAATTAGCTGGGTGTGGTGGCATGTGCCTGTAATCCCAGATATCAGGGGGCTGAGGCGGGGGATCACTTGAGCCCAGCAGGTTGAGGCTGCAGTGAGCTATGATCCTGCCAGCCTGGGCAATAGAGCAAAACCCTGTCTCAAAAAAAAAAAAAAAAAAAATTAAGGTAAGTGTGGCCAGGGTTGAGGACCACAAGTGTAGTTAAAGGTGCCTAAGGGGTACATTGCTGCAGGATGGCTTTACATGAAAGTCCAAGATTAGCAGATATATTTTACAATATTAGACAAAAGTTCAGATTAAAAATTTCCCACCAACGCATTTATCTTTAGCTATAGCATTTATCTTTAGCTATAGCAATTATTTCACGTATTAGTGCATGAAATAGTGGTCTGTAATTTATAGGACTCAATATACAAAAGAATAGTGGTAGCTTGAAAGGAATATCAGAGATGTTAAATTGTTAACCATTTATTTTGAAAACATATAAGAGCATTTTTATTAGCTTTTGCTAATGCTCTTACATCTTTTCCAATTAGAGATGTACGAAGAGTAGAGGATATTAGAAACTTGATTTTAAAAGCAATTGTGGAAACCTCAAAAAGAAATTAATATCATTAATAAAAACCATAAGGATTTCATTTACTTAGAGGTGATTTTATTAATACTGTTTAATGAAGGAGAAGGCTACAAATCCCTCTGTATTAAAAAAAAAAGTTACAAATCCAGTGAAAGCATCAATCTGCTTTTACATCATTTGAAAACGTCTTCATGGATGCAGATGTTGGAAAACTCTTTTCCCAGTTGGCAGTCTGTGTTCTTTTATACATATATATATGTATAATATATATATATGTATAATATATATATGTATAAGTATAATATATATATATTATATGAAGTATTATATATTATACTTTAAGTTTTAGGGTACATGTGCACAATGTGCAGGTTTGTTACATATGTATACATGTGCCATGTTGGTGTGCTGCACCCATTAACTTGTCATTTACATTAGGTATATCTCCTAATGCTATCCCTCCGCCATCCTTCCACCCCACAACAGGCCCCGGTGTGTGATGTTCTCCTTCCTGTGTCCAAATGTTCTCATTGTTCAATTCCCAATGCTCACTATCACTGGCCATCAGAGAAATGCAAATCAAAACCACAATGAGATACCATCTCACACCAGTTAGAATGGCAATCATTAAAAAGTTAGGAAACAACAGGTGCTGGAGAGGATGTGGAGAAATAGGAACACTTTTACACTGTTGGTGGGACTGTAAACTAGTTCAACCATTGTGGAAGACAGTGTGGCAATTCCTCAGGGATCTAGAACTAGAAATACCATTTGACCCAGCCATCCCATTACTGGGTATATACCCAAAGGATTATAAACCATGCTGCTACAAAGACACATGCACACATATGTTTATTGCAGCACTATTCACAATAGCAAAGACTTGGAACCAAACCCAAATGTCCATCAATGATAGAATGGATTAAGAAAATGTGGCACATATACACCATGGAATACTATGCAACCATAAAAAAGGATGAGTTCATGTCCTTTGTAGGGACATGGATGAAGCTGGAAACCATCATTCTCAGCAAACTATCGCAAGGGCTGTCTGTGTTCTATAATCAATGTATTTGAAGAGGTGCTAATGTTCTTGAGAAAGAAGAAAAGGATTTCCTACTACTTCTTTTTCATCATTGAACACATATCTGAGCTTTGTCTTTAAACCAAGTAATTCAATACAAAACTACTGGTGGTTATCTGAAAGCCCTAAAGCTTAGCACGTGTATATTTTAGTGATGTTTATGATCATATAATATCTTGCCAATGTGCAAAAAGTGTAAAACTGGAAAATTCTTGTCTCATGCATACACCTCTACAGATTCATGCCAATTCACCTACTATTAAGGAGACCAGTGAGTACTCATTCTTACCATCACAGAAACTTAAGTGACAATTGTTTCTAGTGAAACAATACTTACATATGCAGCTTCTATGTGGTCTACTTTAAATGTATAATCCTGTTTAATATTTAATCATTAAGATATGCTAAATAATAATAATTAAAATATGAGTCTTAAGTCACAGACTGGGAGAAAATATTTGCAAAAACTATTTGATAAATGACTGTTAGTCAAAATAAACAAAGAACTTTAAAAACTCAACCATAAGAAAAACAACCTGATTTACAAAAGGCAAAAGATTTGAACAGACACCTAATCAGAGATAATAATAATATATGAAATGAGAATATGAAAAGATGTTCCACATCGTTATGTCATTAGAGAATTGGAAATTAAAACAACAATGAGACAATTCTACACAACTGTGAGATGGCAAAAATCCAAAATACTGATAAGAATGTGGAGACACTGGAGCTTCTCACGCACTGCTAGTTGAAAGACAATTTGGCACTTTCTTATAAAACTAAACATGCTCTTACCATAAAATCCAGCAGTCTCACTCCCTGTTATTTACGTAAATAAGTTGAAAACTTATATGCACACAAAAACCTGCATACGGATGATTATAGCAGCTTTATTCATAATTGTCTAAACTTGGATGCAACCAAGATGTCCTTCAGTAGGTGAATGGATAAACTATGGTGCATTTAAACAATTAAATAGTATTTAGGACTGAAAAGAAATGAGCTATCTAGGCATGAAAAGACATGGAGGAACCATAAATACATATTACTAAGTGTAAGGAGCCAATACTGTATGATTTTAACTATAAGGCTACACAGTGTATGATTAAAACTATATAACATTCTGGAAAAGGCAAAACTATGGAGTTGGTAAAAGGATCTGTGGTTGCCAAGAGTTAGTGGGGAGGGAGGAAGGAATAAGTGGAGCACAGAAGATTTTTAGAGCAATGAAACTATTCTGCATACTATGATGGTGGGTACAAGTCATTTATGCACTTGTCCAAACCCATAGACCATGTAACACCAAGAGTGAACCACAGTGTAAGCCATGGACTTTGGAAGATAATGATGTGTCAATGTAGGTTCATTGATTGTAACTAATGAACTGTTTTTATGGGGAATGTTGATAGTGGAGGAGCCTATGCATGTGTTGGGTAGGGGGATATGGAAACTCTCCATATCTTCCATTCGGTTTTGCTGAGAACCTAAACTACTATTTTAAATAGTCTATAAAGTGCAAGAAAGAAAGAGACAGAGAGAGAGGAGAAAGAGAAGGAAAGAAAGAAGTAAAAGAAAGAAAGAAAGAAAGAAGAAAAAAGAAAAAAGAAAAAGAGAAACTTGCTTTCTCAACTGACAGTTGCAACCTCTACATTTGAAAATACTGACATGAACAAAATGAATCATCTATCTCATGGAAGGGAGGAATTTTCTCCAAAGAAAGGCAAAGCTTTAAATAAGAAATGAGAGTATGATGGAAGCTATCTTCCCCTCAGCTTTAAAAATCCTAATAATGTATACCTAAGTATATCTGATTGTGTCCTATGCAATGGAACATTTTTGTATAGTATCATGATGTCAGCTAAGTTGTGACGTCATTTTGAGACCAACCATTCAGAGTTTTTAAAAAAGAAATTATAAATTTTAGGCTGGGCACAGTGGCTCATGCTTGTAATCCCAACACTGGGAGGCCAAGGTGGGCAGATCACCTGAGGTTAGGAGTTTGAGACCAGCCTGACCAACATGGTGAAACCCCGTCTCTACCAAGAATACAAAATTAGCCGGGCATGTTGGGGCATGCCTGTAATCCCAGGCTACTCAGGAAGCTGAGAGAGGAGAATTGCTTGAACCCAGGAAGCAGAGGTTGCAGTGAGCTGAGATCACACTATTGCCCTCCAGCCTGGGCAACAAGAGCAAAACTCCGTCTCAAAAAAAAAAAAAAGAAAGAAAGAAAGAAAGAAAGAAAGAAATTATATATTTTAAATGTAGATACTATGAGCTCTTTAAAAGCCAAAGTTTATTGTAAGTTCCAAACTAGGAATGAAAAAGTCACTGAAACACTCTGCAGGTTTTAAATTCTAACGAGGTAAATATTGATCAATATAACTCAGATTAAAAGCTTTTTAGGAACACCTCAACCCCCCTCTTAAGAGAAATGTGTTCCAAAACCAAAATGTAAGAAAACCACTCTGGATTATCCTTACCAGTGATAGTTCATTTCTTGCTATAACCTGCATAAGGAGCTATTTTTATGAAATTCTAAGAACCTACAACTTCTGGGTCTAAACTTTGGTGCTTCCAGCTCAGGAAGCTGGTTTTCCATGACCTGAGAGACTTTGACCAAAGTTAACTTTTTATCTCTTTGGCTTTTTTTCTCTTTTGCTTGTTTTAAATTTTTCTTCTATACTGTTTTTTTCTGTTCCTCATTTTTTATTATTTTCTTACTTTCTTTTTTCTCACTGCCCTTTTTCATTTTTATTTTTCTCATTTTTATTATTCAGTCTTTTTCTCATTTTTCTTTTCTTAATTTCTCTCATTTTTTTGTTTAGTTATTGTTAATTTCTGGTACTTTTTATTTTTGTTTGGTGTTGTGTTTTGATTCCTCTCAATGACCAGTTCATTGGGTAGACTCTGGGCCTGAGTTTCTGTTGATGCGATTTGGACCAAGCTTCTCACCAGCTTTTCCCAATTGTAAGCTGACTTTGTGACAACTTGCCTATAAGCCCAACATGCTGCAGTGCCTCTCAGCCATCTCTATTCAGGAAGAGACCCATAATGGCAACGACTGGCTCCTTAGTCGACTGGCTCCATCAGTGGGGGTAACTTCACCAAGGTGAAATTGGTGTGGCACATTTTCACTGGGAAAGAGGTGGCTGCAAAGACCATCAGTAAGACTCAGCAGAACTCCCCCAGCCTCCTGTGACTGTTCCAGAAAAACCAAATCAAGAAGGCCTTGAATCAACCCACCATAGTGAAATTATCTGAAGTGATTGACATTAAGAAAATCCTCTACAGTATTGTGGAGTATGTTGGTGGAGGAGGGGGTGTTCCATTACCTGGTGGCTGATGGCAGCATGAAAGAGAAAAAAGCACAAGGCGAATTTTGCCATGAAGTGCCTATTGTGCAGTGTTACCACCAGAGGTGTATGGTCCTTAGAGACCTGTGGGCAGAACATCTGCACAGCTGACATTGTAGGCTAGCTTCACAACAAATTCACCTTTGGCAACAAGCTAGCTGCCCTCTGTGGCAGCCCTCTTTATATTGCCCCACAGCTCTTCCAGGGCCCAAAGTACAACAGCTGCTAGTGAATGAGTAAAGACTGGCAGTTATCCTCTATCGGCTGCTCAGTGTGCCCCTGCTGCCTTGTGATAGACAGAACTTCAAGGAGTTGCCAGAGTAGATATTGAGAAGAATATCTGGTATTTCTTGCTATATGCCCATGGAGTGTGAAAACCTGCTCAAGAAATTTCTTGTCCTCAACTCTCGCAGGAGAGGCACTTTAGAGGAAATCATGAAGCATCCGTGGATGAACATGGACCACGAGGAGGAACTGAAATCTAAACTCTTACATTGACCACTTCCTGCTTTTAAGAATCCCTGACAGACTGAGATAATGCCCATGGCTTATACGTGCGAAGAGATTCAGAGCTTGTTAATGGGTCAGAATTATGCCAAAGCAATGACCATCCATCTGCTCCTGGGCTACGAGAGATCTGAGATGGAGCACTACCCCATTATCCTCAAGCCTCGGCTTCAGCTCATCCCACCAACAGCTGTACTCCTTCCTCACTTGCAAGGTATAGCATGAGATCTCTGCCACCTCAAAGCGGCAGAGTTTCAATGAGCCTGCCATTCCCACCTTTAATTCTCACTCTAAGAATAGCAAAGACATGGAAGCAGCCTAGATGCTCATCAGTGGTGAATAGGTTAAATAAAATGTGCTACATATACACTAGAATACTATGCAGCCGCAAAAAATGAAATCATGTCCTTTACAGCAACATGGATACAGCTGGAGGCCATTATACTAGGCAAATTAATGCAGGAACAGAAGACCAAGTATCACATGTTGTCACTTGTAAGTGAGAGCTAAGCATTGGGTACACATGGACATAAAGATGGGTATAGTAGACAGGTACTAGACGGGAAAGGGCTGAAAAAAAATATATATATTATATATTTATATGTATAATGTTTATATATATAGTAGACATATATTAGAGGCAAAAGGGCTGAAAGCCATCTATTGGGTACTGTGCTCACTACCTGGACAACAGGATCATTCATAGCCCAGACCTCAGCATCACACAATATACCGGTGTAACACGCCTGCACATGTACTCCTGAATCTAAAATAAAAGTTGAATTTATTTAAAAAGTCCCCTTATGACCCCTTCTGTGGGGCACTGAACCACTTGTGATCTGCTGCTACCCAATCCATGAATCACTGAATATTCACATGAACTCATTAAATTTTTTCAAAAATGTAGTCAGAGTGCCACAAGAATTCAGTGGTCCGGGCAGAACCAGGAGTCAGAGTGGAAGGCCAGTGGCTCTGTGAAAGTGCCTGCTGGTCACCTAATCTGCCTAGAGGTGAAGACCACCTCCTTACAGCATAGCCCTCCAGTATGGCCCTGTGGCCTCCCTCTCTACCCACAATGCTGGCAGCATTGGTGGAGCCCAAGTTGAAACTGATTTCCTCCAGGGTCTCTCCTCCAGATGAAAATCCCTTCACTCTGGGCAGTTCGGAAAGGTGCACAACCAGCAAAATATGCTTGAGGATGAGACCCCCAGCCTCTTCTGATAACAGCCAGACCCTGCAGTGGGGCACTGGGAGGTTCCTCACCATTGATCTGCAGATATGTATGTTTCCAGTTGGCCAGAAACATAACAGCATAAAGCTGAAAGCAGTGCATATCAGACATAAAAAGATGGGCAGCAGAGGCAGGAGAGGCAGTGATAAAATCAAGAAAGAATGTCAGGAGTTCAAGCTGTGCTCCCTGGTTTTACCTGGAGAATGAAGACCATGAGCTCCGTGTAGCCCACCGAGATGCCAGAGATCAGCCAGGTGCCTGGTCAAGAGAGCTTTGTGCAGTGAAGAATGGAGGTGTCCAAACTCTTTCTGTGGGGTTCAAATTAAGATGATATTCAGCACCTTTGAGGCCTTCAAAAGCATTATCTCCAGAATAACTGGTAAGCCTGGGGAACTGCCAGTATTCATCAGAGAGACAAGAGGAGAGACCTCTGGCCCTAGTCATAGGCCTGGCACTCTGCCCCACCTGGTGAAACTTTAGAGACTGGACTGCTTCGAGAACATGGTTCTGTAAATATAAAACACACACACACCCACACACACACACACACACACACACACACAATTTAAAACAACATATGCTAATTATTGCATTTAAATGTTAAGGAAAACCACTCTGCTTTATTGCTATAGCTGTCACAAGACACTTACCTACAGCTTTGCAACGGGGAGGCTCAAAACCCTTCAAAATTCTCTTGTGACTCAACTGCAAACCACAAAAGAAAATCACTTTCCTCAAGGGAAACCAAAGCCCAGTGAGGCCATCCTAGGAATAGAACAAAAATTAATGAATTGTAAAGGAGACTGCATTTGGAAGCTGTTGTGTTGGTGTTTCTGGCTGGGAAAATAAGGCCTGAGGGTACTATCTGTACAATATATATTTTGTGAAACAACCACTTCAGTCTTTGTAAAACTGAAACAAATGAGCAAAAACGAATCCAAACCAAAACAAAAAGCAAACACAAAAAAGATCTGAGTCTTGTAGATGGAACCTCCACTCCCTGGAAAATCAGCCTGATCTCCCCATCTTTTTTATCATTGGTTACCCTGCTCAAGGATCCATGGTTTCCTCTTGGTCCTTACTCGTATATAAATTATGAAAATTTATGCTTCATATTTATGGTATACATCGACTGTTTTCATTTATTCCCTTCAGCAATTTTCATAGTTGCAGCTAACATTTTTATAACTGTTTAAAATTTTCAGCCTTTCTAATGCATTATCTTATTTAAATTGGACTTTGACATTTTTTTCTTTCTTTGCAATCCATATAATCACTGTGGTGTACTGTAGTATCCTTATTAATAATTCTTCCAGCACCTGTCTTCAAAGACTTGCCTCAATAGCAGGAACTGTCACTTCTGCTGAACTTTACAAACCTAATCTTTAGTCTTTCCCTGGATCTCTCTGCACTCCAAATTTCTCAGCCTCTGAAATATTAAGGTCTAATACAGCAATAGCTGAACAACAACTTCTGTCTATCCCCATCTTTCAAGCTTTATTTACGCCAAATCTGCTCTTAAACTTCCTTTATCTTTTCAGTACTGTGTCCCCTTCTTCTCTCACAGTCCATAGCTACTGTCCTGGGGTCTTCTTTCTTCCTGTTCTAATTTAGACCCAAGATGAATTAACTCATTTTGTAGTTTTTGCCATCAGCCTTACCTCCTTCTTCTTCCTACCGCTCTACCATTACACTCACAAATGCTCTCAGTTTTCTTTAAATTCAGCTTTCTGTTTTATCCTCTCCTATAGTCAAGTTATAGATTGGTGTCTCTATAAATTTAGATTCAGTCTCTGCTTGGACTTCAATGTTACTTGATGTTTCTTTATTATACCGTGGTCACCTCCCTCTCCTCTTCACTACAGCAGCTGTAACAAACTTCATTAATTTTCTTAAGTGGAGCTGCAGCCCCAATTTGTTCTCTCTCAGCACATCTCCTTCCTAGTACATACCTACGGAATACTGAGGTTATCAGGCCTCCATGAGGTCCTGAGGTTATCAGCCCTCTGCTCCAAAGCTCCATACTGAAATAAAAATCTTTCTTCTTTTTTCTTTACACTCACTTTCTCTACTTCTTTTTCTATCTCAGAGGATTAGGCAATTTTGCCTGTTCTCTCTGGCTTATTCCTCCTCCTGTGTTCCAGATAGTATCTCTTCATTCTACTCTAAGAAGTAGATCTCTAAGATTGAAACCTATATATGCATTAACATATGAAACATACAGTTCTTTTTCTTTCATAAATAAACTTTCTCTGACACTTATTGCCCACTCTGCCTTCCTTCACTGTGAACTGTAAATAGGTTGTCCACACTCTTTTTCTACCACCCGTTTCCTTATTCTTTATCTCTCTGCTCTTCACTTTTCCATAATACTCTTGCTACTGTTTCACCAGTGACTTCATAACCACCAATCCGAAGGGAACTTGCCAGTCCTCGTCTTCTTCGCTCTTTCTGTTTTATCTAGTTGACACTTCTTTCTTGTTGAAACGTTCTCTACAGGACTTTCTCTGGATTCTTTTCCTAGCCTAAGATTATTTTTTGCACTCCTCTGCATGAACTCCTTTTGTCCACAGTTATTAAATGTTTGTGTGTTCCCATTCTCCATTGTCAGTGTTCCTTTCCTCTTATTGAACATTCTCCCTCAGTGAATTAAAAATCATTGGCAATGTAGAAATGATATTTGGCTGGAACATAAAATGCTCATTCAATGACCCATAGTCACTCATGCCTAGATTAAATCCCAGTGCTTTTCAAGGTCATGTGACATGAGAAATCTTTGGTAAATAAAACTGGCTTAAAAACTGTTAGTAAAATACAATTAGAATGTCTTCAGAATTGTAGGTATTACATATAATTCACACATTTTTGCCTGGATCTATTGGACAGACAAATTTATACTGTCTCTTCTACATGTTTTTAAGGCCAAAAAATGGTTTCTTCTGTGATATATTTGATACTTGCTTAATTTGTCTGCGAGCTTATTTCTTTGGTTTTGAGTCTTTAGATTCTAGGGTTTAGACACTTGGTCACAGTGAGGGCTAGGGCACAGCACTTGAACCCCATCCTACCGGACCCAGCTGTGCCTCATGGCCATGCAGGGAGGAGTTGGATTCATTAGACATTGTCTGGAAAGGTCTTTCCTCCTTGAAAGAAGTTGGATTCACCAGGAATTGTCTTGAAAGGTCCTGGGCACTGTGTCTGGTATATAACAATTAAAATTGCTAACTTCTAAGGTTTTTCCCTGAAAATTAGGGTTACTAAGAGTTAACATTGTAATTAGTATATAAAATTAAAACTACCAGATGTGAGAAACATTTCTGTATGAAAAATGTATAAGGAAAGTTCAATGTGTTTTGGGTGGGGAAGGTTATAACAAAGGTGTGAGAATGTGGTTTTGTTAAAGAAAAGGTAAATTAATTTTTGTCTAGTTCAGAGGCCATATAAATGTTATTTAAAATTGAAGGGAAAAAATAATAGATAAAACTAAATGGATATAGAAAGTTGGGGAAAGAAAAAGAATGAAAAAATTTTTGTTATAAAAGTTTTATACAAATCTTATGTGGTCAAAACTGATTGAGATTAAATGGAACTATTTATAGTATTTTATTAAATTAGCTCTAACATTAACAATGCTGATGCAAAGATATATTTTAGTTTTCTCTTTTGAATATGATTTTCGTGTAGTATTGGCAAGAGATAGTATAATGGAAGATTTTTGTTCACCTTTTGAATAAACTGCAAAAAATAAGAAGTAGCAGGGAGAGTTTGACTCATGCTGTCTTTACTAGGTACTTTGATTGGAAAACTGAACCTCCTCTCTATCAAAGAGTGAAGTGTTTTGCTTTTGAAATCTTTTAATTATGAATTTGGCTAAATGAATAACTTATTTACAGTGACCTGTGATCCTATTTTGATCAAATATTTTAACACTTTCTTTTTTTAATATAAAGTGTTTTAAACCTTTGATATTTGACAAACTTCCAATACCAAATTTTAAATTCTAAAATTAAGTCTTTTTGACCTCAAACTGACTTTTGGATATTCCATAAAGAACCCCTGGAAGTCCAAGAGAGACATATGAGGCTTATGTGATGTGTAAAAATCATACAGAAATATTGTCAAATAAGAAATTGTGCTTAACTCTTCTTTGAGTTATAATTGTATAAATGTGTTATTAATGTGTTCCAAAATTGTATGAAATTCCTAAAATTCTGATATATCTTGGTACATGATATCAGTTATGATTATAATTATGTTAAATTGCAGTATGCCACAAAAATAACCAAATTTCCTTGTCAATTGCTTCTTTAACCATGGCTATTCTGTATCTTTTGTCATCCTCAGACAATGATTGTTTTACTTTGAGTCTTCTCAAAAAGTAGTTTACAACTGGCTACAGTACAAAATGTGCTTATTTTTAATTGGTTACAGTCCAAAATGTACTTATTTTTCAAAGAAATTCATGGAAAGGACATTGCCAAATATTCTCAGAAATACAGGTTTCTGACAACTTTGAAGGTCGTACCATTAGACTAGGTAAAAACTTCCAGAAGTCTAATGAAAAAACTAATGAGTTCATGAAGATTGCTAACCCAACATCAAGCAGAACAAACGTTAGTCATGTAAGACTTAACTGATAGAGAACTGAATGATTTTTCTATGATTTTTAAAATTTGAAATATAGCTGATGGTTTTTGTTTTGTTTTCTAGAGTCAAGAAAACTCTTTTTTTCTTTTGAACTATTTATAGCTTACAGTAATTGGTAAAGTATACTTTTGTGAGCAAAGTGGAAACATTTACCATTTTCTCTACCTGGTGTCACTAGAATTTAGAAACTATTTGTGAGTAGTCTTATTTTATGGCAACATAGTAATTTGCATAAATTAAATAAGAATCTGTTTTTTCCCAAAATAATACACAATTGTAGACACTATTTTACCAAGGCTGTGGATGGAATGACATATTTTCAGATATTACTACTTTGAGGAATTGAGGTTGACTTTCTAGAGCTGATTAAAAAAAAAAAAAAAACCCTTGTAAATACTGGCCTGGTAGCTTGTCTATATGGTTCTCTTACAAGGTTCCTGACTTTGCAGCAAGTAGAATGTCACTTTTTGGCAGCTTCAGGAACCTCAAGATATTTTGGAATCCTTGAGAAAAGGGGAATGTACCCAGTTCATACAGGTATTGGGTACAGTCTCATAGCAAATCCATGGTTTGGCTTCCCAGCCTTGGGAGGTTTTTAAAAATCGAATGTGAGATTCCTTATGTAAAAGTTCCAGCAAAGCCAACTTTAAAAAAGGTCATATAGCCAATCACTGTTCTTACTGCACTTTGTGCAAATAATTAGGCCAATTACAATAGGAGTAAAACTTATGTTGCAAATAAATTGGTCTTACTATGTCTTATCTTTGGTAGACCTAGGGGACTACAGAGAGAAACATATGTTTCAGAAGAAAACTATAGTATGCCTGTTATTGGATTTTAGCCTTGTCCATTGTTTTTAAGTTTTTATTATTTGCCTACAATTTGGACTGCATTCTGAATTATTTTCTGGCTACAAGTCTTTAAGGTTTTCAAATTTTTCTCTCATTTTTCTAAATTGAAATCACTAGAAATTAAAAACATGCTTTTTTTTTTAAAGCTCTGCAAACTAAAACTAGATAACATGATATAAACTTTCAGGGAAATCACTAGAGAAACTTACATACAAACAGTCTTCATGCCTATTGATGTCTGGACTCTGCCGAACGTTCATTTGAATACCTGATTCGAACTACAATCCAGAAAAATCTGTCAGATTGCCATCTAAAGATGCTTCAGAGATGCTAGAAAAATTAGTTTATAGACTACTCCAGACATTAATCTTTGTTTTTTTTATGTTTCTACAGAAATGCCTCTTACTAAAGATCTGTTTGTCTGCACTGTATATGGAGGTCAAGCCCATCTGCCATGCCGCCTCCTGGAATGGGACCCTGCTGTTTAACTCAACTGAACTTTTCTCAGGACTAAGAGGCTGATTCGAGAAGATATGAGATAACATATTTAAATTTGTTCTTTTCTGCTTATCCTAACTTGTTTTTCTCCTCCTTTGCCTGCCTCCTAAATAGCAACCTTTAACTCACATCTTTCCAAAGTTATCAACCTTGCCTTTAATAAGTGAAACTTTCTTAAAGAAAAACTTCCAAAGGGGAACAGAAGGAAACTAAAATATTTCCTCTCCAAATATATTTTCTTGACATATTTCAAGAAAACTATTCAGAAAAGCTGGAAATTCAAGAATAGCTGAAAAGCTGCCTTTTGTGGGGGGAGATTCGCATCAGTAGAGAAAACCTGCATTGATGCAGCCAGGCCCTCTCTGAGACCTTCCTTTGTCTGGATATAGGAAAGATTAACTGAGAGTCTGACACCTTTAAAAGTCTGAAAGAAACATTCACCTTGTGTTCTTGGTGTGGGCTGAGCCCTGCAAGGTTTCATCTGCATAGAAAGACCAGCTTTGCAAGCCCGGGCTCCTCTTCTCCCCCTCCCATAAGCTGTCTTGCCACCGTATCCTATTTTGCCATGATAAAAGCCCCAATTCTTTCTGTAACCTCAAGATGGAATATATAAGATTTGCTACCCCACTGGGGGTTGAGGTAATCACTCTATGGTTCTCTGTGCTCATTAATAAATTTGTATGCCATTTCTCCTATTTATCCATCTTTGCTCAGTTGATTTTCAGTGAACTTTCAGAGAGTAAAGGGGAAGTCTTCCCTTGGCTTCAACAAGGTTATGTCATGAAAAATTTCTAGCCAGGCACGGTGGCTTATGCCAGCACTTTGGGAGGCAGAGGTGGGTGGATCACCAGAGGTCAGGAGTTTGAGACCAGCCTTGCTAACATGGTGAAACCCCGTCTCTACTAAAAAATGCCTGTAATCCCAGCTACTCAGGAGGCTGAGGCAGGAGAATCGCTTGAACCTGGGAGGCAGAGGTTGCAGTCAGCCAAGATCATGCCATTGCACTCCAGCCAGGGCAACAAAAGCGAGACTCCATCTCAAAAAAAAAAAAAAGAAAAGAAAAGAAAAATTTATATTCATCTCAGAATTTTACAAGTTTAGCTAAAGCCTTAATTTTGAGTCCCATGGTTGGTAAGTATCTCCGTTTTTAAAAAGAAGTGTTAGTTATATTTCCACAGGACTTGCTAAAAGGTGGTCTAGGCAATGAAACTGAAGATGCGGGATGAATGGGAAGAATATTTTGGAAACAGAACCTTAGGACTTGATGGACAATTAGGTGACAGGAATGAGAAAGCAGAAATACCGGATAATTAGAGTAAAAAAATAATGTACTAAGTAAGATAATGAATTAATTTATATGTTTATTGAATCCCATATAAAATTATGTAACTTGTTAGATTTCAGGGGAGATAATGGCCTCTCTATACCTGAGATCTAGGATACTGACACCATTTACATCATCACTGTAAGATAAATGAATTCAACATCAACATTTTGATCTATTCACTTATAATAAGGCAAAGGAAAGAAAACATCATGATTTTGATTATTAAAAGCCAGTATATGATGATTTGTATCTTTAGTGTATTCTAAATTTCATATATTTTACTGGGAATGTTAAAAATATTTATGAATTAGGCCAGGCATGGTGGCTCACGCCTGTAATCCCAGCACTTTGGGAGGCCGAGGTGGGTGGGTCATGAGGTCAGGAGATCGAGACCATCCTGGCTAACACAGTGAAACCCCATCTCTACTAAAAATACAAAAAAAAAAAAAATTAGCCGGGCGTGGTGGTGGGCACCTGTAGTCCCAGCTACTCGGGAGGCTGAGGCAGGAGAATGGCATGAACCCGGGAGGTGGAGCTTGCAGTGAGCCGAGATGGCGCCATTGCACTCTAGCCTGGGTGACTGAGCCAGACTCTGTCTCAAAAAAAAAAAAAAAAAATTATGAATTATATTTATTGTTGGAAGATATCACCATCTTTCTCAAGCATGTGGCAAACCAGTTGGATACTGAGAAACAATGTGGTTAACTGACTAAGATCATGAACTCTGGAGTATTTTGTCCTGGGTATGAATTTTGCATTCCCATTTATTATGAGAATTTGGGCAAGTGTTTAATCTCTTTGTGGATTAATTCCCTCATCTGTAAAGTGGGGATAACAGTATTTTCCTTTTTTAGTGAGAATTATATTAGCTAATATGAAGCCCTTAGTACAATGCCTGACACTTAGCACACTGTACTCAGTTTATGTTATAATTATTATTTTGTATTTCAGGATTATCATAGAATCCGATGGGAAAAAAACAAAAAACAGTTCTAATTTTTAGAATTCAAATATTATTTTGAATAAGTCTTCAGGAGATAGATTGTAAGTTGCTTGTGGTGATCCTAAAACTGAGCTTATGAATCAATCTCCAAAATCTATCACTTATCTTTTTTTTTTTTTTTGAGACACGGTCTCACTCTGTTGTCCAGGCTGAAGTGCAGTGGTGCAGTCTTGGCTCACTGCAGCCTTAACCTCCCAGGATAAAGTGATCCTTCCACCTCAGCCTCCCAAGTAGCTGGGACTACAGGCGTGCACCACCACACCAAGCTAATTTTTTGTTTATTTTTTTGGAGAGACGAGGTCTCACTATGTTGCCCAGGCTGATCTCAAACTCCTGAGCTTCAGGGATATACCTGCCTCAGGCTCTGTAAGTGCCAGAAGTACAAGTGTGAGCCAGCAACTTATATTTATTGAACAAATGTATTAGTGTTATGCTTTGCTACAGTCACAGTTCATGTTAGTCAATTTCTAGAAGGGTGATGCATTTCTGAATGATATGTTGAACACTTTTAATTTTTGTTGACTACTTCCTTTCCCCTCCCATAAGAATAACTGTATTCCCATGTAACTGAAGTGCATTTACACACCCCTGCCAGGAGTATACCTCTTCCATTACGTGAGAAAGAGCTGTGCAGATGTTTATGTGGCATTTGAATGATATGCTCTGCATTTATCCATGCATTCTGCTAAAAATATTGTTATTTATTTTTCATATCACCTTTTCCCCATTAGATAGCAATGTTCCTCAAGGTAAGTAATCATATCCATTTTATTTTATTCTTCCACTTGCTCACAGCATAGATATGTATACTTTTGGGTGTGCTTTGCATGAAAAAGCTGTGTACACCTTGGGGACTGACTTACTGAAATAACTTCTCCAGTATGACTCTTGAAAGAACTAGGTCAATAACCCATAGAGTTATATAATTTTTTTTTTTTTTTTAGCTTGAGGAGACCTTAGAGATCACTTTTTCCAGATCCTTCATTTTACAAATTAGGAAATGAGCCAGGATTACAACTCATCCTCTCAACTGTCAAGCCCTGTGCTCTTTCAGCCTCATCAACTGCCTCTTGGATTGAATTGTTTATTTTCCAGGTGATTTCTGCATATTATGATGTGTGTGTGTGTGTATGTCAGGGTGTGTGCATGTGTGTTTGAGTGTATGGTTTTTAGAACTTTATAACCTTGTCCAATTACAGAAACATATTTTATGTAGAAGAAAGAGGAGATGACAAAGGATAAATTAAAGGGAGAATTTTCTCTTCCTCTTGTCTTTATTAATGTTATTATCATTAAGAAACAAAATGGTACACAGAAGACAAGGGAACATAAAATTATCATATGAAACCTGTCTTTTGGAATAATCTATTTCCAGACTCCACTTAGAGATCATTATCTTGGCTACCGAGTCGGTTGTGGGGTGCTGAGACAACGTGTGTGTCTGTAATGTGCATTCAATGTATTTAGGAGAGAGACTTTGCACGTGTCTCTAATGAAAGTGAAAGGGGGCAGGGTGGGGGCCTCTGGGGAGGAGACCCACAGTGAAGGGGAGGAAAACGGGCTTCTCGCAGAGGAGGCAGGTGGAAAGAGGGAGGGGTCTGTGCGCCCGCAGAGTCGCCAGGCGCCCTGCGAGTTGTCTCCGCTGGGAGGGGCGAGGCTGTCACTTGCCAGGGCGCGAGGAGCCTCAGCGCGGCTTGGAGAACTTGGCCCCGCGCAGCGTCTGGTCACTCGCTCTCCTCTGGGGACTGCAGAGAAGCAGGACCTCGGGCCATGGGTGAGTGCGCGGGCGGGCGCGTACACCTCGCCCAAAGGCTCGGCCTCGGGAATGGGCATTATAGAAAGAAAATGAATGTTCCTCGGCCTCAGACTGCGTCCTTCCCAGCTCTGTTCCCCCCGCGCCTGGCGTCCCCCGCCCCCCGCCCTCTTGTCTCCGGACTTTTTTTTCTGGGAGAGAGGCGATGGCGATGGGGTGGCACCTGGAGGCGAGGGAGGGTGCCCGACTGTTTACAGTGGGTCGGGAGGGTGGGGGGCTGCGCTTGGGCGCTGATCCTCTGCGCCGGCCCCAGGACCCAAGCCTGGGGGTCCGGTCTACCGTGCTGGGGGCGGTATTTGGGAAATAAAGAAAGACTAAGAGACCCAGGATCCGAATAGCGAGGCGATTACAGGGAGATCTCTGTCCTCCCGAGTTCCCACGTTTTCATGTTCTCTTTGGGGAGCAAGTTGAAACGGGGCACGAGAAATGGAAACTTCCTAAAACTTCCACTTTGTACAGGTTTGAGCAGAGGAAGGTGCTGGTGCAGGGCCAGACTGGGGACAATTTCTAGTCCCTTTCCAAACGAAGTGCCCATTTGCACAAAAGGTTTGAGGTTGAGGCTGAAGGCTGATTCTTCCTAAATTCCACCTGGGTAAACAGCGTGATTAAAAGGGCGTCCACACTGGCTCGGGTCACTGGACGGTGGAGTTCGGCGCAGTTCAGCTTCGCTCAAGTTTCCAGGCAGGGTCCGCTTATTCGGTGCTTAGCGGAGGCAGCTTGGAATAGCTCCAGGAATGTGACTGCGTGTGGCGGAGGGGAGGAAGAACTGGGTGTGAAATAGCCGATTCACACCCAGCACTAGGACGCAGGGTCCCACGAGTCACCTCGAAGAGCGAGGGAGAAGCTGGGGAGGAGAAAGCACTCGCCATCCCTGGACTGGCGTATCCACAGGCGCAGGGGAGATGCTGCTCTTCCGCGGTTGCCGACTGCGTTCAGCCCGCAGCCCGAGTTACTCTTCCAACCCCAGCCCGCTCACTTCTTCCAGCCAAGTCCACTGGGCGCCCCTCCCCCTTGCTTCTCCCTTGTCCTTTGTTGTGAGGGATTTCTCCAAGAGTAAAGGAGGCCTTGGGGACTGACGTGCTCGGGTTGAAATTCCTGTATTCCCACAGGCTCAAGGGTTAGGGGATGCTTTGACTACTAATTTCTGGAGTTTATAGACAGTAGCCAACTTGGAAGAAAGGAAAAAAGAGAAAGCTGAGGACATTTTTGCCTATGAATGTTAGCTGTGATCAAGACTTTCATAGTCTCTTCTTGCTTGACCCCTGGAAGTGTCTTAGAAGGACCCATTTTTAGGGCCTTTGTATAAACAGTGTTGGAAATGGTCTTAAGAAGGACTGTCTTTAAATGTTTTCTGAAAAGGAAGGAGTATTTTCAGGTTAAAAAAGAAAGATAAAACATTTTCCCAAGTGTGGCAGAGAGTATTTCAGGCTCTTTTTTTTATTTGGTTGTTAAGTGTTGTGTTCCATTGGAAAGACAGGTCCGGAATATTTTAAATTTTTCTCCTAAACCCAACACTTGCTGTTCTACTTGACCACTTGAGCCTATAAACTCTTGTTTCTATGCTCACACAGGAGAAAAGCTGTCAGAAATGGAAAGTCAAAATAATTGACTTGATGTAGTCTATTCATTAGCTGTATTAAAAGCATTAAAATGCCATTTGGATCCAACATAATAAAATGTCTAGAAAGAATTACATAATTTACCCTTGTAACCTCAAGCTCGAGAGGACTGGCTATCAAAGGTAAGGTATTCATAATTTCAAACTTAATTATTTTTAATTTCCATTTCCTTACTATAGTGAAAACAATTTGTCCTGGATTTTGCTTCAATGCCCATGGATAATTAACAATCATCCCTAATTATAGGAAGATTTTGTTGTGGGGGATGGTGTGGAGTTAACAGCTGAGTTGTCAGGATCCAAAGCTTGGTCTGTAACTCTTAGAAGTTCTCTTTCCTGTCTGTAATCTGACAGATACCTAAAATTTGTTTGTTCCTTCTACTGCCAGAAGTGGATAACATTTTTCCTGTTGTAATTGAGGTCACCAAAAACTTACGTAGTCAGGGGCCTAGTAGGACAGATTAAAAATATTCCTGAACTCTCTTTAGATGGAAGTAGAGGAAGCAAGTGAGGAAGCCAGAGGTGAGCGAAATAGAGAAAAGAGCAGGCCTGTAGCAGGGGAGAGTGACAGCATGAAGCCAGAACTCAGGACAGAGATTCAAGTATGCAGTCCAGAGACTAGGAAGAGCCAATAAGAGGGGCAAAGTGGGGAAAGCAGGAAGGAAGTGCATAGGGGAAATAGAAAACATTTGGCCACTTAAGGCCATATCTCTCCTCTTTCTTTTAATTTACTTATGAAAAATAAAACTTCACTACTCAGAACCTCTTCTATTTAGTGGTAGTAGGGATGGTAGGGAGTTTAGCATTAGAGTCCAAATGGCTAGGATAAGAGGGAAAAACAGCGTAGGAGAATGCTGGATTGCGCCAACAAATGGAATCCAGTTTTTTTGTTTTGTTTTGTTTTTGTTTTTTTCCTGGTATCATGAAAACCAAAATTTATCACTTAAAGAAAGGAAGATAGTGTTCTGGGGATGAATGTAGCAATCAATTCTCATTTGTCTTAGAAGAAGAAATCTGAACTCTAGCACTGTGGAAGAATGAGAGTAATTGGTTAATCAAACATTCTGAATAATTTATAGTCCTTCATATCCATAATGCACAAGGCTGATTGTAAAAAAAAAAAAAAGTTATTTGCAAAGTAGGCAAATTGCAATTTTGGCATCTCTTCCTTTTATTGTTTGATTTCCTCATTGATGTCCTCGGCTTCTCTAGGTATGCAGCAGGGCTATCCCTCCACTGCAAAATTTCACTCTGCAGAAAGGATGCAACAAAATAGTTGATACTAAAAAAACTGCAGGGCTAACACATTGCTAAGAGTATTTACATTTTAACTTTAAGATGAACTTTAACCTGCGAATCTCTAATTGTGGAATTTCAGGCCCCATTGGAAAGATAGGTCAGGAATATTTTTACATTTTCTCCTGAACACAACACTTACTGTTCTACTTGACTACATGTATATCACTATGAGACTACATGTATATCACTATGAGACCATTGATTACTGTTTTGTTTAAAAATGATGTTGAATATGATTTAGTTTGACAGATATTATGAAAAGTTTAATGGGAGTGGTACTGAACCTGTCTTGGAGGAATGTGAAACATTTGGAAAGGAAGTGGTTCTAGGTAGAATAAGGAGCTCCTTCTCATGGCAGTAAGGAGGTGTGTTTGGGGAACAGTAAGACATGGAGCTGGATTGACAGGATGGGATTTGATTTTGGAGAGCTTTTAAAAGCAATGATAGGAGGTAGGGTGTCATGGAAGGTTTTTGAGCAGGGAAGACATAATGAGATTAGTGAAAATGTTGTTTAAAACAGAATTAGTTGGAGAAGACAGATCCAGTTGTCACAGTAATCCTGGGATAATATGATATATGCCTAAACCAGTTTGGGAATAATATTATATGATATATATGATATGATAATAATAGAATATGATACATGTCTAAGCCAGTGGAACCGGAGAGCAAAAGATTGATGAGAGATAGGTCAAGTGAAAAATCTATAAAATTAGGAAATGGAGCAATAAGAGAATGAATAGAAGATTTTGTCTAGAAATTTGAAATCTTGAAGACTGGGGAAGCAGTGGGTTCCTTGATAGAATATTTAAAGGATAAACCCAATGGTTTACTTTCTGCATGTTTTGGACAAGAAATTAATTTCATATTTGAAATGTTATTAAGAAGTGATAGCAAGGCCGGGTGCGGTGGCTCACGCCTGTAATCTCAGCACTTTGAGAGGCAGGACGAGCTGGGTGGATCAGTTGAAGCCAGGTGTTTGAGACCAACCTGAGCAACATAGTGAGACCGTCTCTACTAAAATTACAAACAGTAGCCGGGTGTGGTGGCACACGCCTGTAATCCCAGCTACTCGGGAAGCTGAAGCACGAGAATCGCTTGAACCCATGAGGCAGAGGTTGCAGTGAGCCGAGATCATGCCACTACACTCCAGCCTGGACAACAGAGAGAGACTCAGTCTCAAACAAAAAGGAAAAAAAAAAAGAGGTAATAGCAAGACATCTAAACACAAATATTTAGTATGTTAGGAACACATAATGAGAATTTAATCAGAACACAGGAACAAAAAGGAAAACAAAGATGAAAGGGTTACCAACCTTTAGTGAGAGGAAAACCCATGAAATGAATTATCTATTTGAAAGTGTGAGTATAAGGAGTACTGGTTGAGGGACAGGGAGGGAAAGGATAAATCCTGTTTGATTGAAGAAGGATGCCAACTGCATGATACGTACTAAATGCCCCAACATAAGAACAGTGAAATGTGACAACTTAAACATTCCACATTAGATTTAAGAGTATACACATTTTGACAAGAGAAAAATATCCAATGGAAATATTTTGCTCTTACTCAATTTGAGTAACAATGGAGTTGGTTAAGTATCTGTAAAATTGTTTGCAAATTTAGACAAAAAATAATGACACACAGTATTGTCTTGAGCTCATACCTTTTTTTTCAGGAAAACTATGACACCCTCGAGACAGTTATGAACAAGGTACAAGAGCCAAGGTTTGAAATAGGAGAAGCAGATGATAATCCCTTATGCCTTTGAATGGGTCCTATAAATCTCTGGGATCCTGTTTCCTCATTTGTTTGATGAGAAGGTTGGGCAAGGTTCTATAAATTTATGTAGCTCAGCTCTTGATCCAGTAACTATTAGAGAAAAAAAAAACATGTAAAGAAGATAAGATTAAGCTATTTCCATTAAGCAAATCAAGAACACTTTTATGATGCTAGAGTACTGGATAATACTTTTGATCATTTGGCTTCTAGTGTGTTATTTTCCTTAGAAAATCACAAAGTCTGATAAGAGTCCCAACCTCAGCGGAAGAAGATAAAAGTCATGTTCTAAGCATTTATTGCTGCATAAAATGATCTCCCAAACTAGTGGATTAAAACAACAATTTATTATTTTCATTCACGGTTCTGAGGGCTGACTGTCTGCTGAGCAATCCTCATTTGAAGTCTCCTGCCTTGGAAGCCTGATGACAGCAGGGGATTCAGCCATCTGAAGACAGGATTGGACTGGTCGTCCAAGAGAGCTCACATATATATAGCTGGCAGTTGATGCCAGCTGTTGACTACGAGTTTATCTCGGGCTGTCCTGAAGTGGCTTGGGTTTTCCACAAAATGGTGGCTAGGTTTCAAGAGGCAGCATCCCAAGAATGAATGTTCCAAAAAACCCAAGCAGAAGCTGCAAAGATTCTTATGATCTAGCATCAGAAATCCCAGGACATCGCTTTTCCTTGATGTGAGGAGCAGCCAGCTCATACGAGGAAAGGAGAAATTGAGGGTAGCCGACTAATTGATCTAATTCCTAAAAGAGCTGTCTTGTTAAGTGTGCTTCACATTGGGTTTACAACTGAAAACTCAGCACAAGTCCTGAGAAAAACATGATTAAAGACTAAATTTTTAATTAGAAACATGAAGAAATCTAAACAGTCACACTAAAATTTCACAGCAAAACATTTGAGTGTGGAAATTCATGCCTGGGTGGAAATGTGTTGGTAGAATACTGGGATAAGCTCCACTCAAAATAGTTTCAAATAAAATCAGCTAATCTTCCTTATTTTCCCTTGAGTCTGAAGTTTCTAAGGCTATTGTAGGGTACTGTTCATTTTATTTAGAGTGGAGTTGGTCATAAACTGGAATGTAGGTCAATTAGCATAAATCCTTTGCTCAATATCCTCTTGTCACAATCAACTAGATGCTTTGTAGTGAACTGTTTAGGAGCTTGCTTTATTTTTCAAGAATGTGTTAGCTTTACAAAGTACAAAATTTGAATTGGTATAGTGTCACTAGGGGTTTCACCATACTTTTCTTTTGAAGAGATGTATTTAACTAAGGTTCCACTTAACAAAACTCTTCATGTAAATCTCCTTTTATTATTAATACTTTTATCTGGCAAAGTTAGAGCTGTCTCTGTGATTACAAAAAATCGAGGCCTTTCTCCCAGACATTTGAAAAACAAAGAAAAATTAGGGTAAATGAGATGGGTTGAAACTCCAGGACAGAGTTAGTTTCAACCTAGAAATTTTAGAGGCCTTAAAAAATATTAGCTCATTATTGTGTTTCAGCTTATTTAAGTTGAGGTCATTCTATTTTCAACTGTTTGACAAGAGGTGAGGAGACAAGGGTAAATACTGCAAAGCTGTGTACTCAATGCTCACTATCCATGCTATAGCAAGCAAACAAAGCCACATCCCAATGAGAAATGAAGCCTTGACCTGTATGAACGACATAACCAGAATAATGGAATAATGCGTTAATTCTAGAAAGCAGTATGATAAAACAAATTCTTTTTCAGTTTAAGATATTCGCTATTTATTTTAAGATATATAAGGTATGCTTAAATAATATACAGTAATAACAAAATAAATATCTCTTGCTAGTTGTATAAACTTTCTTATTGTAGAACCTCTAATTTTATTGCCTAGCTAAAATACCTTAAAGCATATATTAAATACTGATTCCTGGGTCCCAACTCCCAAGACTCAGATTCAGAAGGCTTGGGCTTGAGAGCTGGACCTGCAATTTTAACATGTAATCCGACTGATGATGAGGCAGGAAGTCTGGGGCATGCAACGAGAAAAACTGACTCCAGAATGCCTTTCTTTCAAGCTGACTTAGCCACTCATTACAGCTGTTATTCCTTCACTTGTATCGCTAATCGCTAATATACAGGCGTACCCTGTCTTGTTGCACTTCACTGTATTGTGCTTCGTAGATACTGTGCTTTTTTTTTTTTTTTTTTTTTTTACAAATTGAAAGGATCAAGCAGCAATTTCCACTTCCAAGTCTTATTATTTAAGAACTATATCTCACAAGGCAATAGCTGCCATACATAGTGATTCCTCTAATGGATCTGGACAAAGTCAATTGAAAACCTTCTGGAAAGAATTTACCATTCTAGATGCCCTTAAGAACATTCACGATTCATAGGAGGAGATCAAATATCAGTATTAATAGGAGTTTGGAATAGATTGATTCCAGTCTTCATGGATAACCTTGAGGGGCTCAAGCCTTCAGTGGAGGAAGTAACTGCAGATGTGGTAGAAATAGCAAGAGAACTAGAATTAGAAGTGGAGCCTGAAGATGTGACTGAATTGCTGCAATGTCATGATGAAACTTGAATGGATGAGAAGTTGCTTTCTATGGATGAATAATGAAAGTGGTTCCTTAAAATGGAATTTACTTCTGGTAAAGATGCAGTGATATTGTTGAAATGACAACAAAGGTTCTAGAGTATTACATAAACTTAGTTGATAAAGCAGCGGTAGGATTTACTCCAATTTTGAAAGTTCTACTATGAGTAAAATGCTAACCAACAGCATCACATGCTACAGAGAAATCTTTCATGAAAGGAAGAGTCAGTTGATGCAGCAATTATATTGCCTTAAAATAAGACAAATGCAATTCATTATCTTATTGTAAGAAATTGCCCAACCACCTTCAGCAACCACCACCCTGATCAGTCAGCAGCCGTCAACAGGGAGGCAAGGCCCTCCACCAGCAAAAAGATTATGACTTGCTGAAGGCTCAGATTATTATAAGCATTTTTCTAGCAATAAAGTATTTTAAAATTAAGGTATATACATTGGGTTTTTTTTAGACATAATGCTATTGCACACTTTATAGAATTTAGCATAGTGTAAACATAACTTTTATATGCACTGGGAAATCAAAAAATTCATGTGACTTGCTTTATTGTGATGTTGGCTTTATTGCAGTTGTTTAGAATGCAACCCCAAATACCTCTAAGGCATGCCTGCACTATTTTTATTTTCTAATCCTGGTCCTAATATTACCAAGAGCTACCTCTTGGAATTACTATTACATTTCTGTTTCATTTCACTACTAAACTTACTAAGTTTCTATAGTTGCTGTCTCTTCTTTTTCATCAGTCACTAATCAGCCTTCTTGGGTGATGTTCTCCAGAGTTCACTGAAACCCCTCCCCTGAAAGTTACTAATAACCTCCTGTCTCATAGCTTCAGTGTCATTTGTATTTATGTATCTCTCAAATGCATATCTATGCCTGTCAGCTGTCTTCACCTAGCTGTCCCTTTGGTCCTTCAGCCTCAATAGGTTCAAAACTCTCCTTTCTCTCTATCTTGGAAAGATGTTTGTAGAAAATAAGGGAAATTGGAAAAGGAATGTGAACATAATAAATATTTCATATATTATTACATTTGTACACGTTGCTAGGAAAATCTGGTAAAGCTACAAGTAAGTTGCACAAATGCCTGGAGTTCAGTAAATACTGCGTCTGATGAAAGTCTACCTTTCTTTTATGTCTCTCTGTGTCTGGTATGTCAGCTGCTTCCTCCTTGCATTATAGTTATTTGTGAATGTGTATTGTTTCCTTCATTATTTGGGGTCATGTCCAGACTTTGAAGGCAACAACATTTAGATAATTGACAAAGAAACCAACAAATACTCTTATCATCAAGCTATTTGCCTATGACTGCCTACTTTGCTAACTCAGAAAGATACAAAAATACAAAATTTAAAAAGTATAATGTATTTAATATTGGTCATTGCAGGAGACAGGAAAGAAGGCAAAACTGTGGAATGAGTGTATCTGTTCAGAACAGGGTATAGAAAACAGTTGTGGGAGGGAGTTAACCTTAGACCAAAGGCCCTTGTGAAAGAAACACTAAGGCAAGAAGGATCTAGAACATTAAGGCAAGAAGGACTTTTCAGCTGAAAAGTAGATGAGACAGAGTTAGTGCACATTCAGAAGAATCAAAGAAAAAAAAAGAGTTTTAAGAAGTGAGTGACCTACAGTATTCAGTGCAACAGAAAGAACAGAAAGGAATACAATATATTTTGTTTTAAGGGTTTTTTCATTTATATCAGATATTGAAATCAAAGCATTTTTAATAAAGGAGTGAAGATACAAGTCTGCTCTCATAGACCAGATTACAAGGACTAGGAAAAAAAAAAAAGAAAGGAAGAAAAGTAAGGAAGAAAGAGGGGAGGGAGAGAGGGGAGGGAAACAGGAAAGGAGGGAGGGTGGGAGGAAATTTGGACGGGTCCAAGGTCAAGCAAAGATTTTTGTTGGGTAGGAAAGAACTGTTTCATGATTTCAGAAGGGGAATGATCTAAGAGAAAGGCAGACACTGAAAATGCCGTGGAATAGCAGAATCCCTCAGCAAGTTACTACAAAATGATCTAATGATATACATTTATTATTTAAATATAACTTTAAAAGTTAAACAAACTGTCTAAGAATGTTTGATGGCATTTGAGTTTTTTAAATGATAAGATATGCTTCTTGACTGTTTTAAATTGTGATATAATACAGTATGTCTCGTGAAGTTGGTGTTAATGCATCTGTTCTGAAAACTGTATTGTGTTCATTTTTCTTGTATTTTATTTATAGAGACTATTTATACCTTCATGTATTTAGGAATATATAGATAAATACATGACCTATATTCAAACTGTGAAATGAATCAACAGAGATGAAGCATATTGTGCTTAAATAATCACTACACTAGGAGTCAGGAGATAATTGTTCTTATTCCAAAAACTCAGCTATTATTGATCTGTGCTACCTTGGTCCTGTAAGATTTCACTCAGCTCTAGATGCCTATAAACTAGTCAATCAATCAATTGTATTGAGCCCCACATCCTCACCAAATTATGAAGATGATGCTCCCATAGCAGCATTTCTCAAAGCTGACAGATCTTTCCTTGTTAGTAATTCTTCTGTGTTTTCAACCCTGACTTTCTGACAGAGAAGACACCTAAGGCTTCAACCAGATTTGGGTATTTTTCTTTCTTCAAGTCTTTAGATATTTTTTTCCCTTTATTAAGTGAGGATAAGAAAAAAATGGAAACAAAATAAATACCAAATATACAATATTACCAGGAATTATCTGAGACTTCCTTAGGCTACACGCACATTACTTGTAACTCATTATATATTATTAATATGTTATTAATTAGTGAGGGAACTAGTTGATAAATTTTAACATGTAAGTTTATATGTTTTATGCTAACAACTCTAAACTTTTAGATTGCTATTTACATCTCTGTGTGTGTGTGTGTGTGTGTGTGTGTGTGTGCATGTGTGTTTGTGTGTAGGGGGTTCTTGTTTTTTTCATTTTGATTGATTTGTTTCGTTTTTATATATGTGAGTGCAAGATAGTGTTTTGTGTGGCTGTTATGATGGAATCATTTTACAAGTCCTAGAAATGATTCATTTAAAAGGAATCATTTTACAAGTTCTAGAAATGATGTTTGCTCCATTGGCAATGTTATCTCCAGGTAAAAATGACCATCATGGTTAAATCCTAGTCTATACATCCGAAACAAATATATTGTGTTTTTTTTAAAGAAATATCAGGGCATGGAACAGATCATATCTGATAAAATATAACTCAGTGTTTGCTTATTCCTTCTGGGTATAGTATTTTTTGTTTGTTATTTTATTAAGAAAAATACATAAATATATAAAAGAAAAGTGCTGAAATGGAATTGTGCTTTCAAAATATTTTGAAGACACATTATATTTAGTAGATAGTTTTTATTAACGTAAGTCAACTATGTATTTCCATCTAGATTTGAAGTGCAAATAATGAACTTCAACACTGGATACTCAGGGAATTTTCTGCATTCTTTTTTTCAGTTTTCTTACTAAATAGTATAAAAGGATAAATATTCATAGAGATGTACTTGAGATATATGTTTGACTAGGTTATACATTTTGTCACTGTTTTACATATTTTTTTCCTATCTAAAGCAAGATTTAGGCCAGGCGCAGTGGCTATGCCTGTAATCCAAGTACTTTGGGAGGCCGAGGCGGGTGGATCACTTGAGGTCAGGAGTTCGAGACCAGCCTGGCCAACATGGTGAAACTCCGTTTCTACTAAGCATACAAAAAAAAAAAAAAAATAGCTGGGAGTGGTGGCGGGCACCTGTAATCCCAGCTACTTGGGAGGCTGAGGCAGGAGAATCGTTTGAACCCAGGAGGCAGAAGTTGCAGTGAGATCATGCTACTGCACTCCAGCCTGGGCTACAAGAGCGAAATTACGTCAAAAAAAAAAAAAAGAAAGAAAGATAAAGAAAGAAAGAAAGATTTAAAAAGAAGAATGAAATTTTATTTGTTAATTGTATGTAAGAAAGCAAATTTCTCTAAAGAGGAAAAAGGCAGAGCAACTATTAATACAAGTATACGATTTGTAAGTAGTTGGTTCCTTAGGTAAAAAAGGCATAGAAATACCTACAAAAATTAGTGTTATTAAATAATTTCATTCATTTCACAGCAGTTACCTTAAGAGAAATCCCCTTACATCATATGATAAATACATCCTGGTTTAAATCAGCTGACAGGTAAAGGGATACTCAACTCAAGAAATGTCAAATATTTAAAAATTCCAATGATAATTCACATATCTCATTATATCATCTTAAGATCATTGTTGTGGGAGAATTTTTGTTTGTAGGACCACCAACCATTCCCTGGTTAAAAAAAAAAAAAAACTACTTCACCCCCAAAAGCAGCCTTTTAAATTTATTTTAGTGTTGACTCGATTGAACAAGTATTTCTTAGGGGTCTACTGAAGGGTCTATCCCATGCCCACCCTTGCTCTGCACATAATGACGTAACGAAGGATGCAGGGTAAGTATAATTTCTGATTCTAAAGGACTTATGCTTTCATTGGAGATAAAAACTTGCACACAGGAAACTATTTAAAAATCTGTAAGACACAGAGATCTAGATTAAATATAATCATTGGTAAAACCACTGGTCAGGAATGGAGGACATCGATGGAGGCTGCAGTCATCAAGAGAAGCTTTCTGAATGAGTATCTTGACGAGCAGCTGGATGGTTTGTGACTTTGCAGCATTTCCTACAGGGAGTGATGGAGATCCAAGCAGATTTGGTTACAGATGTAATAAAAAGGAAGAAAATATGTGGGATAATAAGAAGGAAAAACATCTTTTTATTTGTTAGAATACAAACTAGGAGAAGTTGGTATTCTGAAGAGAGGAAGGAGTCATCAAGAACAAGCACAAACAAATGAAAAGTATTCACAATTCTGGTAACTTCCAATTAATTATAAATAACTGTGTATATCAAAACCCGTGTTATTAAGTAGGAGGATGATCTGGTATGACTTCTGTCAACCCAGTGATTCAGGATTGCTTTGTTGATCTACTTGTCCAGAGAGATAGATGTTACACCACTTCTTGCTATGCCACATGGCCTTCGTTGGAAGCTATGCAAGAGGATGACTCTTATAGATGACAGAAACATTTATGATTATTCAGTTGGTTTCACTCCTTAACTAAACAGAACCTCCAGACAAGGCTTTAAGATTCTATTTCCCACTTATTGCCATGATATAATCAGAAATTTATAAAATTTTACCCAAAGACCTAAAGAGATCTGATTCACTATAAAGGAAATAATTTAACATATTTAACTATAGATTATAACATAGTGGACTATTACACTGATCAAACTAAGTTATAAAATTAAAAATTAGAAACTTTAGCTATCAGAAAATGTATAGTTAAGTGTTGGTAATTGCAGGATACCAACAGCTTTTTTTTAAAAAGATCACATGATTTAGCATTATTAAAATTTATTTTCATATTTTTAATACTTTAATACTTGTATGACTTAATTGAGATGAAGGGCAAAGAAGAAAGATCCCTTTCTTGTAATACCTTGTATTTCACATTATTGTCTGTAGGTCTCCATAATTCTGGGGCTCTCTTCCATGTCTTCCCTTTTGCCCCCTATTTTTCCCCTTTCTTGCTTTTTCTTGGCTTTTAAAGCTCAAACGATGAATGTTTAAAGAGGCTATTATCCTTGGGTTGAAAGACTCATTCAGTTCTCTCTTATCTTTTACATCAAGGACTGATTCAAAACAACATAATTAAAATAAAATACAGCATAATTAAAACAAAGCATTCTGAATAGTAATTTTTTTTAAAGCTAATAGGATATTTGTAATTATGTCTTTTCATTTTTCAGTAAAGCCTTCTTTAATTGATATGTGGTGCTATGTGCAGATGAATTTTTAGATGCAAATGTGTATAAGAAGTATTGCTCTACTGGTAGGCATAGCTTTAATATGATCTTCCAATTCCTCCAAAGACTACAGAATTGGGGTACAAGTAGCTGTTTGCTCTGCTCAAGTTGAGTCCTTCTGTTTTCTTTGTCCCTGGCTTTCTTCTTCTGTCCCAATGGCTGTATCTCACTGTTTATTTATTAGCTGTTTAGTATGAAAAAAATCTACTCTTTTAACATTGACAACAAATCAGAGTAATGAGCCTGCCCCTCACGCTACATTGGGTATAATCTTTGCCAATTAGGCTCTTGGCTGGTTTTGATGCACTTTACCATCCTGAAAGTTTGAGAAATCTGACTGCTTTGTTGGTTGTTGTTTTCCTATTCTTATTAGCACTTGCCAAATCTTTTGTCATGCATCTTTAGACCAATGACAGCTTCTAGGTCAAATTTCAGTTTTGATCACTGCATCTTTAGAAGTAAAGCTAAGGACTGAAATAGCCAGTTCCTTTTCAGTGGCTGCAATGGATGCTGATTAGCTGCATGCTGGTTGTTGAAGTCATAGCAACAAGTCCTACTTATTATCTTTTGGGCATCTCAAATAAGGTTCTTTAGTCTTTGAATATATGACTACAAAAAGTTTCATCTCCTAGTGAAAATGAATATGTTCTTTCATAGGACAACAATTTCATAGAGTTGATTAAGCATTCTTGTCTAATGTTCATTTCTGAACAAGTAAGCTGAAATTATTTGCACTCCTGTCTTTCTTTCTTTGTCCAGTTTTCATAATTAGGCTTTCAGTGGACTTAATCTTTTAATTTTAAAATGATTAATTGCCAAGTTGTTGGGTGCCATTGCTTAGGTTACTAAGCTAAACATAGCCAGCAATAACAAAGAGAAGTGCATTGAAGTGGGCTATAGTGGCAACAAATATTTACAAAAAGTTCATTTTCAACAATGACTCAGGATATTTTGTAGTCAATAATGTTGTTTAGAGAGGAGATAGCTATGGTTGTTTTATTTTTCTAGATAAAGGTAGATTTGGGAAGATAATCTTGTTTTGTATTAAATTCTACTACTATATAATTTATAAATACAAATGGATTTTTTCTCTTTTCACAACTAACAAATAATTCTAATTTCTGCTTACATAAAACCTCTTTTGGTGTTATGGAATTATAAAGTTTAGACTTTTTCAGTCAGGTTAATGGGTGAAAAAAGGTTATATTATTTTACTTTATACATCATTTGAAATAAAATTTTATATCATTCAATTAATTAATTTCTAAGCAACCTGAAACAAAACATTCTTCCTTGGCAAATTCATGACAGTTTCATGGCAATTTTTGATTTAGAACCATCTGTTCTCAACTTCTAGATCCACTAAATTGGAGAAAGGATCTATTATCCCTAAGTTTAGTTATGTTATTTGTAGGCCTAATAAAAATAATATATAATCGTGGAGTTGTTGAGATGAATAAATGAGGGAAAATAAGTCAAATAGCTTAACAAAGTCACCAGGAGAAAGTATTCAATTAATATAAAGACAAACACACACACACACACACACACACACACAAACACACTTTAGTACAAAAGTAAGTTTGTCTTAACTAAGTTTTAAGTCTTAATTTCTTTTTAAATCTATCATAAAGAGAACTTTAGATTTGTAATTTAAGACAAACTTCAATCAAATGAGAGGTTATTTTTCTAAACCAATACACACTGTAGTCATGTGTTTTCTTAGGAATAAGCTGATCATTTAAAGCTTTTATGGATATTGTTAGGAAGAAGCTAGAATTAAGAGCCAGGTGTTGGTCAAAAGACACTTAGAGATGGTCCTAAAAATCAGAGCTTGCTAAGTCTATCTGTGTAATTCATTCACCAAGTAATTTTTAAACTTGCTATTTGCTAGACAGAATGCTTAGTGCTACACATTTCTAAAGAAAGATAAAATATGGTACTTGGTATAATAATAAAACCGTAGGAATTATATGGCATAACAGATGTTGAGGTGGAACTTTATATGGTGTATATGGGCAGAAGACAGTAGTTGAAATTCCTCTTAAAATGTCAGTAAAGGATTCAGAGACAGGCTAGAGCTAATCCATAAAACTTTGAAATGATTTGCCTGACTTATGAATCAAGGAAAAGGCCTTCTAGCCAGAGGAGTAGTATGAATAAAATATTGAAATGAAAAAAGCATGAGGTATTCAATGAATTGTAAGCAGCTCAGTTGACTGGAGTATAGAAATGTGAGAGATGTGCATTGATCAACAAGAGCTCAATTAGGGGGTGGGGCTCTTGCATGACATGTTAGATGGTTGGCCTTTTGAGCAGTAAGTGTGTAGATGCACTGTTGGCTATTTGCTGGGGAAATAAGATACTTAAATTGTTCACTTAAAACGATCATTCTAGCAGCAATGGAGATGAAAAATATGATACATGGGAGATTATAAACAACAGGAAAATATAAGAAAGGTTTTGTTTAAGAATAGAGGTAAATACGTCAAGTACTGCAAAAATTTAAAAGTCTCTTTTTCTTGTTTGTAGAGGTGGAGTCTCACTCTGTTGCCCAGGCTGGAGTGGCAGTGGCACAATACTAGCTCACTGTAGCCTGGTGGGCAGAATGCAGACTCTTCTGGGCTCAAGCAATCCTTCCGCCTCAGCCTCCTGAGTAGCTGGGACTATACCCACAGCCACTGCACCCAACTTATTTAAAATTTTTTTTTATAGTGATAGGGTCTCACTATGTTGCCCAGGCTGGTCTCAAACTTTTGGCCTCAAGCAATTCTCTCATCTTGACCTCCCACAGTGCTGGAATTACAAGCATGAGGCATCACACCTGGCCTAAAAGTGTCCTAAAAATAATTCTTTCCAAATAACACTTATTGGAATGGAGGGATGGTTAAAGAGCTGAAATTTCATTTTCAATGTTTGAAGGAAAAAAACCATATGATCATCTCAGTAAACATAAAAAATGCATTTAATAAAATGTAGGCCAGGTGCAGTGGCTCATGCCTTTGGGACCCTGCACTTTGGGAGGCTGAGGGGGGCAGATCGCAAGGTCAAGAGTTCGAGACCAGCCTGGTCAACATGGTGAAACCCTATCTCTACTAAGAATACAAAAATTAGCTGGGTATGGTGGCACGTGCCTGTAATCCCAGCTACTTGGGAGGCTGAGGCAGGAGAATCACTTAAAACCGGGAGATGGATGTTGCAGTGAGCCGAGATTGCACCACTGCACTCCAGCCTTAGTGACAGAGCAAGACTCCATCTCAGAAAAAAAAATTATAAATAAATGAAAGAAAACATATTTAATAAAATTTAACATTAACTTATGATAAAAATTATAAGTAAATTAGGAATAGAATAGAATGGTTATAAACTGATCTGGGAAATCCTGCAAAAACTGTAAGTAACATTATATTTAATGGTGAAACACTAGAAACATTCCCAATAACGTCAAGTACAGGAAAAGGACACTCACTCTTGCCATTGCTATTCAGCGCTGACTTTGTTTTCCTAATCAGAGCAATCAGAAAAGAAAACATATAAGTGGAAAGGTTGGAAAGATGGAGGCAAATTTGGCATTAATCAAGACAATGCACTTGTCTATATAATAAAGACATTCTACAAGAATTAAAAATAATAAGAGATCAGCAGGAATGCTTGGCATAGGTCAACATGTATTACCAAGAGCATTTCAGTATCTCAACAATACCAAAACAAGGGTAATTAAAATCTAATTTACAATAGCAAAAAGTTTTATACTAATCCCAGCAGTAAATTTACCAAAAATATATGAGATTTTAATGGCAGAAAGCAAATGTGAACACATGATAAGATAGATCTGGTTAGCAGATATGCAATCTCATTATCACATCTCTTTCAAATATGTGTGTGTACATATATAGATATAGATATACATATATTTTCAAATGCAATTTCAAGAACATTTTCAAAAAAGTTTTCATGGAATCTACAAACTGATTCTAAAATTCTGTAAGGAAAAGAGATGTTCTATAAATTGACATAATTCTGAAAAAGAAAAAGAAGGTGGGAGAATTAAGCCTTCTAAATATCTAGACTTATTCTTAAACTACAGTAATTACAACTGTGGTTTAGCACTAAATAAATACATAGATGACTATAACCCAATATAGGTCAAAAATAGTTCAGCTTTCTGTGTCCTTGATATATAATAGGGGAGGAATTACTAATCAATGTAGGCCTACTCAAAAAATGGTGATGGGACAACAGGTTTATGCAGACAATGAATAAATTATTTTACTGCCTCACACATATCCCTATCTTACCCTACACATGAAAATAAATTCTAGATGCATCTGATAAGAGTTACCTAATAAAGATCTAATTGTAAAAAACAATAAAAATATAGGAAAGTATCTTTATTACACTAGGGCAGGGAAGGATTTTAAAAATATAGAGGAAAAGTAGTAATAAAAAATACTGACAAATTTTACCATATCAAAATGTAAAGCACTTCTATGAAGCAATAAAATATTGAAAAACAGGTTGGATTTTTTTAAGTGTTAAGAATATATAAATAACTTATACATCACTAAGAAAAAAGACAAATGATACAATAGAAAATGAGCAAATAAAAGAACAGGAGAGGGCTGGGCGCGGTGGCTCATGCCTGTTATCCCAGCACTTTGGGAGGCCAAGGTGGGTAGATCACAAGGTCCGGAGATCAAGACCATCCTGGCTGACACGGTGAAACCTCGTCTCTACTAAAAATACAAAAAAATTAGCCGGGCGTGGTGGAACGCACCTGTAGTCCCAGCTACTCGGAAGGCTGAGGCGGGAGAATCTCTTGAACCTGGGAGGCAGAGGTTGCAGTGAGCTGAGATCATGCCACTGCCTTCTAGCTTGGGTGACAGAGCAAGACTTCGTCTCAATAAATACATAAATAAATAAATAAAAATAAACAATAATAGAACAATATAATTTCATGGAATAAGTAATCATGGATGTCCAATAAATATATCAAGAAATGCTCTGATCTCTGGTAACTAGAGAAAATCAGGTGTGTGTGAGTGTGTGTGTGTGTGTGACAGAGAGAGAGACAGAGAGAGAGAGAGAGAGACAGAGAGAGCACAATAGGTAACTGGAGTCCTCCTATATGCATTAAATAAACTGAGTTAATAGTTGTAAAGCTTGCAACAAAGAAAACTCCAGATGCTTCCCTGGGGAGTCTGACCCGCCATTTAAGGAAAATATAATAGCAGCAGTTCTATCACAAAACCTGCCAGAAAGAAAGAATAACGAAAATCATTCCCAACCCATTTTATGAAGCCAGCATTCCCTGATGCCAAAAGCAGACAAAAATAAAATAACACTCTAGACTAATATATCTCAGGAGCATAGATGCAAACTTCCTCAAGGAAATTTTAAGCAAATTGAAACCAATATGCAACATGTATAGGCCAAGTGGGCTTTATTCTAAGAAAGCAAGGAAATGGTTTCAAATGGTTTAACATTTGAAATTTAATTAGTGTAATTCACCATAAGAACAGATTAAAAAAGAAAAACCTTATAATCACCACAATAGACATAGAAAAAGCATTAGACAAAGTTTTAGCATCCATTCACGATAAATTTCTTTAACTAGGAATAGAAGTAAACTTCCTTAACCTGTTAAAGGACATTTTAAAAATCACAGAGGGAGATGGAATTTTGTCTGCTGAGACAGGACCTTCAAAATAGAAAGCTCTGCATGGTATATAAAGAGCTCCAAAGAAGCATGAGAAATACAGTGCAACTGCGTTATCACCATGAAATTAAGGCATTGTTTAAAATATTTGTTAAGCCACTTTCCATTCTATGTATCTGTCTGATACGTTATGCAATAATCACAGCCACTTGAAGAGTTGGAGGTCCTTTAAAATCTGATTATAGATTATCTGTCCTCATAGCTTTCCTCCTTCGTTTTGGTCCTTTAAATTCTCCCCTCCCCATCTTTGAGGCACCTTGTGCTATATTGATTTATTATTTAACTTGATACCAGGGATGCAGCCTGCAATAAAAGTCACTTGACAAAATAAAATTGCGTTATGTTCTATGACTCCCACAAAAAATGAAAACCATTTACAAATAGCACCAAAATATATAAAATAGGTATAAACCGAACACAATATGTACATGCCGTTTATGCAGAAAAATACAAAATAGCCATGAAAGAAAACAAAGACCTAAATAGAAAGATACACCACATTAATTGATTGGAGGACTCAATATTAAATTGTCAATTCTCTCTAAACCTATCTATAGATTCAGTGCAACCTCAATAAAAATACCACCAAGAAGTTTTATAGGTTGATTCTCAAATTCATATGGAAAGGCAAAGGAAGTAGAATAGCCAAAGCAATTTTAAAAATGAACAGAATTGGAGAAGTCATGCTAATTCATTTTAAGACTTATTCTACAGCCATCATAATCAAAACTGTGTGGCATTGGTGAGAGGATAGATATATACATTAATGGAATAGAGAACAAACTCTAGAGATAAACCCACATCACAATTTCAGCTTATTTTTGACAAAGATACATAGAGTATTAAGTGGAGAAAAGCAAAGTATTTTAAACAAATGATACTGGAAGAATTAGACACCATGTATAAAGAAATGAACCTTGAACTTTGACCTAACTTGTACATTATAAAGACATTAACTCAAAATGGATATAAAACATA
This sequence comes from Homo sapiens, assembly GCF_000001405.40. NCBI lineage: Eukaryota > Metazoa > Chordata > Mammalia > Primates > Hominidae > Homo > Homo sapiens. The sequence continues at coordinate 175,982,385 of NC_000004.12, read as the reverse complement.
ACTGTAAAACATTAACTTACAAAGCTTTTAAGAGAAAGCAAAGGAAAAAATCTTTTTGACCTTATGTTAAGCAAATATTTCCTAGGACAAACACAAAAAGTCTCGTTTTGAAAGAAAAAGTTGATATCCATCAAAATGGAAGACACTTATTTTGTGTCTTATTTTGTGACACATTAAGGAAATGAAATGACAAACCGTATACTGGGGGAAATCATTTGCGAAACATATACCTGATAAGAGACTGATATCCTAAATATATAAAGAATAATAAAAACCCACTAACAAGAAAACAGAGGGCAAACAACTTACATAGACACTTCACTAAGAAAGATATACAGGTGGCAAATAGTCATAAAAATACATAAAATATTATTAGTCAGTAGAGAAATGCAAATCAAACTGACAATGAGATAACACAATACACCTATGGGAATAGTTTTTTTTAAAAAAGGAAAACAGAACAAAAATCCAAGCAAAGAAAACCAAAAAAACCTGACAATACCAAGTCCTGACAGTGGACAGCTGGAATTCTCAAACATCGTTGTGGGACTGCTAAATGGTACAACCACTTTGAAAAATGGCTTGGCTGTTTTTTATAAAATCAAAAATACACTTAAAATGTTCCAGCAAGCCCTCCCTTATGTATTTACCCGAGATAAATAAAAATGTATGTTGACTCAAAAATCTGTTAAGCGCAGGTTTATAATGGTTTTATCTGTTGTCATTAAAAATTGGGAATAATCTGTGACCTTCAGCTGCTGAATGGGCGAACTCTGGTGCAGCCATAGATGGAATTCTACTCAGCAGTAAAGAATGAAGAAACTCTCAATAACATAGGACATGGATGAATCTTAAATGCATGCTCAGTGAAAGAAGCCAGACTCTAAAGGCAATCAATCAATTTATGTGACACTCTCAAAAGGCAATCAAGATAAAAAACAAAGCAGTGCTTAAGAGTGGTTGGAAGTGAGGCAAGTGGTTGACTACAGATGGACAAGACAATTTATGAAAAATTGTTCTATCTCTCAATTACAATGATGTTTATGTGACTGCATACATTTTCCAAGATTTTTAGAATTTTATTCTAAAAAGGATGAGTTTTCTGTGCAACAAGTTATATCCCTTTAAAAGCCAGATGAAATCTGATATAACTAAACTTTGCCCTTGGTTGATTTTGAGTGGTAGGTCATTTTTGTTAATTATATTATTTTTATGCTTTTTTCCACCAAATAAAAATAAAATAAAAACTATTTCCCCAGTTTTTAAAAGATTAACAATAATTACCTCTAGATAACACTTTCCCTATTCCTGCTTCAAACCGTAAAATCCTGTATTTGTAATCTTTCTTTTATTCCCTTCATTTCCTTCAGTTTCATACAATGTACAAAATCTTTAAGTGTTAGACATAGTCGAAGTGATAATTTCTGTAAGCTACTTTTGATTAAAATCATTCAATTTAGCCAACGATTATGCATGAGATAATATGTTTCACTTATTTTATATTAAAAATTGAATGCATCTTAAATGGCAAAATATGCTAACAAACAAACATCAAACCCTACGCCTGCTGAGCTGGTGTACTGATTGAGAGGAAGCCTTAGGATTCCTAACTCTTGAGAAGTGACCTGTACATAAATCTTTTCAGTCGTCACATCACTATTATTATTGCCAAGATAAATATTTCATACATTTTTTCAAATTTGAGAAACATACTTTCAAAAACCTGTCTTGATTCTACCCAGCAGAATTTGGAAACAAATATTATTATAATCCATCAAACTAATTCAATCCTCATTTTAAGAACCCCAGTTTATTTAGGAAGAACATTCACAAATTTACTAGAATATTCCAGTTAGTAGGCATTGATCTTACACATATGAAAACTAATAATAAGGCCCGTGTCAGAAAGCAAGCTAAATAGTCATACTTCTAGGGTTCAAATCCTGTTGTCAGTACATTCAAAACAACTTTAAAAATTTAAATGATCTTACGGTGAGGCCTCAAGGTTTTTGTTTTGTTTTGTTTTTTTGAGACAGGGTCTCACTCTGTTGCCCAGGGTGGAGTGCAGTGGCACGATCTGGGCTCACTGCAATCTCCATCCCTGTGGCTCAAGCGATCCTCCCACTTCAGCCTCTGGAGAAGCTGGGACTGCAGATGCATGCCACCACGCCCAGCTATTTCTTTCTGTAGTTTTTGTAGAGTCTTGCTATGTTGCCCAGGCTGGTCTCCAACTAGTGGGCTCAAGTAATCCACCTGCCTGAGCCCCCCAAACTGCTGCTTTTTTAACTTTTGTAAAATGATAATATTACTTAATTCAAGGTTTGTTGTATGGATTGAAGATATGTAAACTATCTCACACAGTACCCAGACCTTAGCAGATCTTCAAAATTAGCTGTTATAAATTTCATTACTGGATGAAATAATACTCTTAATTATAGTCAGGGCAAAATAGTAAACCAGATCAGTATACTTGACTGCAGAGGAGTAGATGTAAAACTCACAAAACAAGAAGCAAATAGCTCTCTTAGCATTACTACTGTTGCTAGTTATTACTATTATTATTTACTTTTAATTAACTTAGTGGTAAATAGAATAAAGCTATCAATTACAAATTTGTGGTTGGAAAATAAGTAATTGATATTTTCAGCATCATAGCCTAAGTGAAAATTCATTTTCTTCTCCCTGTCTTTTCCTGTGAACTTTTGCCATGGTTCCAGGTCTATAAGCCTGATCTCAGAAACTCAGGAGCTCTCCATATAAAGTTTTTTTATATGTATTTTTTTTATTATACTTTAAGTCCTAGGGTACATGTGCACAACATGCAGGTTTGTTGCACGGATGAAGCTGGAAACCATCATTCTCAGCAAACTATCGCAAGGACAAAAAACCAAACACCACATGTTCTCACTCATAGGTGGGAATTGAACAATGGGAACACTTGGCATATGCATATAAAATTTTAGTATGATTGATATTTACTTTTGACTCTGCTTTAGTAATAGGCTGCTGAACTTAAGAACGGAATAATTGACTCAGTTGATGTGACAGTTTTTGCTCATCCTATACCACCTGGAAAAGTTGTGTTTAAATAACCTTTCAGGCAGTATGGTGATTAAATATTCAGTAATATAAATTGATGCTTGCTTGAAAAACAAGTCGTTAGTTTATGGAATTGAAATAGAATCCAAGTAGTCTTCAGTGTTGTTAAACTTACACCTCATGAAACTGTAGTCAGTCTTTACATTGTTGTGGCAGTTGTTTCTTGGTAAAAACGAGCTTCTATTCTGACCAGATATTTATTTTAATTAAGGGAAAGCTAGCATTTGCCTGAAGTTGAGGAATAAATGGAGCAATTGTGAAATATTTATTGGAATTTTAAAGCAAGGTTTCCAGAATTCAATTTGGATTTTTTTTTTTTTTGCTTTAAATGGACAGTTTTAGGCTTTACATGGGCTTTGATAAAATAGATACAACACTGCAAAGATACCACCTTTACTATGATTGAGTTAATGCAGCTCCACGATTAGCAGCGGTTCTTAACTCTCACTAATGCATCAGACTCACTTAGAGAGCTTTTAAAAACTAGGGCTATTTGGCTTACCTATTGAGATAGAGTTTCAGTTGATTCAGATTAAAACTCAGATATTGGTATTTTTTGAAAAACCTATAGTACTTGAATCCAATATGCAGCTAAGCCTGAATATCTGGTTGAAAGTACTTGAATTAGACACTATGGTTGTTTATTGCCATATTATTTGTTTTTTCAGCATTGACTCATTGTAAAAAATAATAATAGTACATCTCAGTGGCTCACACAAGTGATTTATTTCTCTCTTAAGTCACAGTCTGGCCTGAGTGGGAAGAAGGTATGTGGAGGCAAGAGGGGAAGGGACTGATCTTTTTTTGGGTACTCTAAAAGAAAATACTAAATGATAGCTTATATGGTTTGGCTCTGTGTCCCCACCCAAATCTCATCTCAAATTTTGTAAGCCCCACCTGTCGAGGAAGGGAGGTGTTTGATCAGGCAATTGGTTTTCCCCATGCTGTTCTCATGATAGTTAGTGAGTTCTCACGAGATCTGATAGTTTTATAAGTGTTTGGAAGTCTCCCTTCTATTACTTCTCTCTCCTGCCTCCTCGTGAAGAAGGTGCCTGCTTCCCTTTCACCTTCTGCCATGATTGTAAGTTTCCTGAAGCTTCCCCAGCCATGTGGAACTGTGAGTCAATTAAACCTATTTCTTTTATAAATTACCCAGTCTTGGGTAGTATCTTTATAGCAGGGTGAAAACAGGCTAATACAATAGCACATCAAAAATGGTATTATTTCTTAAAACTTTGTTTAGCATCTTGAAAAAAGTAACAATACATATTTACTTTTAAATGTTTGGAAAATTTGGAGAAACCTTTGAACCTGACAGCATTGAAGTAGGACCACATAGTATTTGGAGGGTTAAGTGGTGCGCATGCGAAGGGAGACTACTGAGCAGAAGTGTTTAGGAATTCAAGAAGGTTAAAAAGAGTTCAGTTGGGAGTCACACTTTCTTTCTGCCATTTGATTATAAACTATCACCTCTTAAGAAGAACCAGGAATCTCTACTTGAATTTAAGCATAATGTTACTGCATCACGTAGACATTGAATATAGTTTTATACACTTTTCCTGATAATGTGAAGTTAATAGCCTCACTGTAAGGCTAATGATATGGGAAGGAAGAAGAGAATTATTAAGATTGTCTTTAACTTTTTATATAAATATTATTTTGTATGAATACAAGTTTGTAATCACAAGGCATTTTTGGTAAGAATTTGATTTAAGATATGTATCAAATAATGTATTACTATTTTTAGATATTAGGAAGAATATAGTATGTTTCCATTCACTAGGAATATCTAGGCTTTTCTAACAGGTATGAAGAGCTTATGTAAATTAAAACCCATATTTCAAGATATTATTAGAGCAAGAAGAGTTTTATTTTCCCTAAAAGACAAAACATTGAAAGAAAAGTTGTTCATTTTTTGTAGTATTTGTCAGCATGCTGACAAGAAAGTACTAAATAAAATACAGCTAAACTTTGGGCGTACATGACTGTTTTATCCATTGTAGGAATACTAAAGGTGTGAACACTGATTTTCAATTTGTGATAGGAATTTCCATTATTAGGACATAAAAAATCAGTCTGGCTACTTTACAGTCATGTCATATTCCAAAGTCTAACTTTGATGAATTCTTGTCTCAGATATGTTGTCTTTTGGAGACCAGTTGTTCACACTCTTCTATTTCTTTGATTTGCCTATTAATTATTTATTTAAGAATACAATGTTTTGACCTTATTTGAATGAGTTTATTAACATATTAGCTTGTAGAACATTTATATAATTTTAAAGATCTGGATAGTTTCCAATAGCTTAATTATGCAAATTCACCTATACTTCTTATATCCAACACCATTATGGAATGCAGGGTTGTCTATTTGTTTTATTTTTCTTGATTTATTCAATTCTGTCCTTTTATGCTTAAATCTAGGCATTCTACTTACTTGTTATGCAATTTGTGTGTTTTACTTGAGTTCTCTGCTGTCATTTCTCTGTGTGGGTGGTTCTACCTCACTTGTACCGTTACAATGATGGTCAGAAGCAGAGAGCTCCACGGGACTGCCTTAGTCCCTGACACAAGGCAGGGCCTGGCCAATGGAGCTTTCTATTAGTGGACCGTTCATCTGTGTACCCATTTCCACAGAGTCAAGCCTTGGTGGCACTTTGCCCTCTTTGTTGTAGACCTTCACTTAATGAGTATGCATGGTCCCTACCGTTGGTTCTGAACCACATTGTTACACTATAATATTATGTTTATTTAGCTATTGCCTGTGGTAAGGAAAAAGGACAGTTTTAATAATAAAAAAGGGGTTTGAAAGACAACATATTGGCTGGGCGTGGTGGCTCACGCCTGTAATCCCAGCACTTTGGGAGGCCGAGGCGGGAGGATCACAGGGTCAGGAGATCGAGACCATCGTGGCTAACATGGTGAAATCCCGTCTCTACTAAAAATACAAAAAAAAAAATTAGCCAGGCGTGGTGGCAGGCGCCTGCAGCCCAGCTACTTGGGAGGCTGAGACAGGAGAATGGCGTGAACTTGGGAGGCGGAGCTTGCAGTGAGCCGAGTGCAGCTTGCAGCTGCACTCCAGCCTGGGCGACACAGGAAGACTCCGTCTCAAGAAAAAAAAAAAAAAAAAGACGACATATTTAAGCCACAAATGTGTTAAAAATTGTGAAGTAATAAAACCTGGTAAAAACATCAGTGTGAAGCATGGTAGGTGACTTATTAAAACTGGATAACACAAGGCCAAATTAGAAGACAGTCTAAATCACTGAATTTTCAAACACAAATAGCATAGTTTTTTTTTATTCCTAGCATACCAAAAGCCTTGAAAGCCACTATTACTATGGTTTTGGAAAGAAAAATCTTATCTTTTTAACGGTATAAGCAGATGAAAATCATTTAAAATGACCTCAGCACCTTTTACAGAGAAATTAATTTAGTGTTATTTTTGGGTGCTTTTTCTTGATAGATAACTAATAAACTAATTTTCACACTGAAGATTCTATGATTACATTTACAGTACTTTATCTTTGATTAATAAATCTTTTCTGTTGAACAAAGATACATTTAAACCTATGATAGATTAAGTTATCTAATACTAAATCAGTGCAATAAGAACTAATAATGTTTTAGAATAAGGTGTAAGTGTTTAAATATTTCTAAAAATTAGTTAGGAACTGGTGAGAAATGCAATTCTAGAGGCATTAGTGCAATGCTGAGAAGTCTGGATTTTTTGGTTGTTTTGTGCCCATTCATTTACTCGCTAAATAAATTTTGATTGAATGACCATCATATACCTACTATGTTCCAGATAAACTGTTAGATGCTGAAAATATAATCATGATCAAGGTAAACATGGTTAGTTATATCACAGATGTTTACAGGCTAATGGGGAAGAAAGGCAAGTAGACAACTGCAACTCAGGTATTGGTATTCCACATGACCCAATAAATCTTGTTACTCACCCAAGTTTGGATTGTAGACAAACACTCTGGCAGATGGAGCTAAAAATGTTAGCTGCTTTTACTGATGAGGAGTTTTGAAGAAAAGAACTTTAGTTAGTCTTTCCAAGGGGGCTTATTAATGCTTCAGCTTGGAGTTGGACAGATTTACCTGTATACAGGCAAAGTGCAAGAGAGGCTGCTGCTCAGAGCCTGTCCCCTAATCATGTATGGCACAGATGAGCAGAGAATGCAGGCAGGCACTAGCTTGTTGTATTAGAGAGGCATGTGTGAAGGCTGAAAGTGGAGAGGTAGGAGATTATGGACTTGAGGGAATTGAAAGTAGTTCAGATTGGCTGATGTATAGGCCAGGTGCGGTGGCTCATGCCTGTAATCCCAGCAGTTTGGGAGGCTGAGGCAGGCAGATCACTTGAGCCCAGGAGTTTGAGACCAGCCTGGGCAATATAGGGAGACCCCTGTCTCTACAAAAAATACCAAAATTAGCTGGGCATGGTGGCATGTGCCTGTAGTCCCAGCTACTCAGGAGGCTGAGGCTGGAGGATAGCTTGACCTTGGAATGTTGAGGCTGCCGTGAGCCGAGACTGTGCTACTGCACTCCAGCCTGAGGCACAGGGTGAGATCCTGTCTCAAAAATAAAATAAAATAAAGGAAAGGTACCAGGAGAGGTGTCTGGAAGACATAAATAGGATTCTTATGTACATGGCCTTGTGGTCATGTTGAATAGTTTTGATTTTATCCTAGCAGCTTGGAGCTGTTGATTTTAAACAGACAGTTGACATAGTCACATTGCCCTTTAAGTGTCATTTAGGGCTGGGCATGGTGGCTCACGCCTGTAATCCCAGCTACTCAGGAGGCTGAGGCTGGAGAATCGCTTGAACCCGGGAGGTGGAGGCTGCAGTGAACTGACATGGGGCAACTGTCCTCTAGCCTGGGTGACAGAGTTAGACCCTGTCTCAAAACAAACAATCGATCAAACAAACAAACAAACAAGGCATTTAGGAAGCTTTTTTCAGGGTGGATCTGAAAGGGACAAAACAGAACAAAGGATCTACCATACAGGCTGTTTATTTTTATTTTTATTTATTTATTTATTTATTTAGAGACAAAGTCTCACTCTGTCTCCCAGGCTGGAGTGCAGTAGCATGATCTCAGCTCATTGCAACCTCCACTTCACAGGTTCAAGCAATTCTGCCTTAGCTTCCCAAGTAGCTGGGATTACAGGTGTGCGCCACCACGCCCAGCTGTTTTCTGTATTTTTAGTAGAGATGGGGTTTCACTGTGTTGACCAGGCTGGTCTCAAACTGCTGACCTCAGGTGATCTACCTGCCTCGGCCTCCCAAAATGCTGGGATTATAGGCATGAGCCACTGTGCCAGGCCAGGCTGTTTTAATAATACAAATTATTATTAAACCAAAAATGATGAGTTAAAAACTGTGAAGCAATAAAAGCTGGTGAAAAAAAAGTCAGCATAAAGCATCATATGATAATTTATTAAAAGCGGATAAGACAAGCGGCGGTGGCGCAGATGTGTACCAGAGTAATGAGAGTCTGGGTGAATAGGTTGGAAAACATTTGCTATTTTATCTTTCTAGACCCTTCTTAGCCATTTCACTGCTCATTAGCACCTCCACTGAGAGGCTAGCCAGGGGAGCTGAGTCAGATCTTTCTAATATTCTTTCAGAACAGTGTTTTTGAAGAATGCTTAGTAATTTTTAAAATTGCAATTGATAGTCATGATGTGGTTTGGGATTAACTGAAAATTGCATTTATTCATCCTGTCCCAAGATCTCATTAGCATGTATGACTGAGTTGGAAGTGAAGTTAATTATGTAGTTGACCCTTTTAAGTACCTCACTTTGCATGTGATAATTTGTAAGCTTTCTGCAAAATTTTAATTTGACCACCTCAAAGGAGTCACAGCTTTCATAAGGTGGACCTTACTGAAAACAACAATATGTTAAACAGCAAAACCGTGTTCTAAAGCTTTGTGAAGTTCATTTTGGGATTAGATAAAAAGCTAAATAATTTCTTGGGTCATGCTTGTTTTTAAGAATAAACTTTTCCTCATTGTGTAAACTCTGTTGACGTGGACTGCTTTTGGTTTGAAGACCTAGAGTAGACACTGAATGCCCCAAGGCTCAATATTCACGATATTATCTAATCTTTGACTTTAGAAGATGTTGCATCTATAAAGTTAAATCCTCTGGACCTTTTCATGTCTATTTCTTTAAACTTCTGGTTTATGATTTGCCATAAATCATCTCTTTTCAGGTGGGTGTTCACTGTTATGGACACACTTTGTTTTCATTGACATAGCATTGTGAGATTATCAATGGACATAGATGATCGTCATGTGATCATCCATTCATTTCCACCAACACTTAGTGAGCACTCAGTTTATGCTCAGCACTATTGACTGCCCCATGGATCTGAGTTTAATAGTATAGAAAGATAATAGATATAACTGCTCATGAGAAATATGAGTAGAGATATACATTGTCACAGCATAGAAAAGACAGTAACTAATTTTCCCTTCATAATCAAGAAAGGAAACTTTGCATAACAATGGAAAGGAGTGTTTCGAACCACTAAAAAGCATGCATCAAGCAGAGGTATTCACATATGCAAAGAAACAAGCCCAAAACAAAGGTAATGTGATATTTTATATTTTATTTTTCTCTGTGTTAACAAAGAATGTTCTCTAAATTTTAAATAATAGGCTATACATATGAAGATCCTAGCACCGTAAATTACCATTTCAGATTTTATTCTTAAACATCTTATTTTATAGTGTGGAGCCTGAGGCCAAGACAAGTGAATTGGCTTGTCCAAGGTAGTATGGTTGATCAAAGGCAGAGCAAGTCTGCAAGTGAAAACGCTTGCATTTAAGATCAGTTTTAAAATACCGTGTTCAGGATTGTTTTGTTGTTTTTATCTATAAGTCTCTTTAGAAATAATTACTGGCATGAATTTAACAATCATCCGTGATTTTGCATTTTAATGTAAACAAAATCTTTTGAGCAAAATAAATAATTTGGATTTTTATATAGATACACTGGAATATTGTATTCTTCTTAAATGTATATACATCACAAATTTTTTTAAAAAAATCTTCTATTGCTTTTAGTAGCTGACTTTGACACAAATTTTCTTTTTTAAATAAATTTTAGAGCTACACGGGGGTTCTTTGAGTGAACTGATGAATAATAAAGTATATGCAAAGAATCATAATGTGAAGGGAAGGGAAGAATGAATAGTAGCACCATGGAGAATTTAGGTCAAAGACACTGCACGTGACTCTCTTCTGACTGGAAATACTTTTCAAGTAGACAACCGCGGAGAACAATGTACTCAGCTGCATGCCCCAGCAGTAAGACAGCGTGTGTCAGGCCAAGGAAATAACTGTTTCCACCCTCCCAAAAGCAAGAGATCCCATCACTGACTTTCACAAGGTGTGATTTTTATCTCTACTGGTTTCTCTTTCTAAAACCAAACAGCTAGAAATTATGCAGACTGTAGCCATTCCTTATTGATGATTTCAACATCTCTATCGTACTTTCATTTTTCTGGAAAAAAAATATGAAACACTTTATTTCAAAACCTATAATACAGAAAGACAGCTCCAGCAGAAACTTCAAAACCACTGTTTCTTCTACCATCTCTCTATTCACTGCACACCTCCTTCTTTCCTTTGGTTTGGTTTTCTTGATAGCTCAGTTGGCTCCCCTGATGCCGCCCGCTTCCAAATAGGGTAATATAGTAGAGTTGGAGAGAGATATAAAGGAGAGGGAGGGGGCTAATTTAGGGAGAGGAGTTGCTGGATGTCATTCTGTTGAATGTGTTTGGTTCTAATTTTTACGTGAAAAAGATGAATGAGGTTTTTAAAGAAAATTACGTGCACGCAATATTTTTGGTATATTAAGCACCTACTTTACTTCCTCGTTTGATTGCAGCTGTGAAAATAAATATGATCAGAAAATATGCTTTATGTTGGTTTTGATGCATAGTAACCTAAAGGCAGGTACCGGGTCCTTTTCAGAATTTTTTTTTTTTTTTTTCACGGAAGATAAAGAGAACACTAATGACAGGTTTCCCAGGAGCGCAGCAGCAGCAGAGTTAACCTTGCAGCCTACAGTTTTAATCCAAACCACTAAGATATTAGGGCTCTAGAAAATCTAAATATGTTCTGTATTTTAAAATAGAGTTAATAAAAAATGTTTGAAGGTGGTTGATGCTGCAGACAAACAGACTTTGTCAGGGAATTGCACCTTTTCTGGGGTCTGTATCCTTTACTTTCCTAACTGAGGCTGTATTGTATTTGCAACTTTCACTGAATTCCCCAGGAGCGCTCTGCGCTGCTCAAGCACAGGCTCTGGCGTCCATCTCTGTACCGCACCCTGTGTTCTTCAGTTGGGAAAAAAAAGGGTCTGTCGGTATCGAGTGATGCCTACACTTGGTAAGAGCAGTGGATCTAACAATCGGAAGATTTCTTCTTCTGACAGCTTAGTAATTTAGTAGAAGCGGTGACAAAGAAAAATAAAATCTTGCTTTTCTTTTAGTTGCAATTCCTTCCTTTTAATGTGACCTTTTATTTCAACATAAGAAGTTTGTTGTGGCTTCGAAGATACAGCTTGCTTCAATTCCCTTCTCCCTTTTCCTTTTTTCACTCGTGACTGTGTTAAGCTTCACAACCCTGCATATGACCCTTTAAATCTAATTTGAATGAGGAAAGAAATAAGCTTAGAAAGAATTTGTCTTCCAAAGACAGCAAGAACTCTGTCCAACTCTTTCTGTGTATTCCTTGTAGCCCTCTATTTTATAAACGTTTGTCAGTAAATACATATGTTATAACACACACACACGAACAAACCAAACGTATTACAAAGTCTATTGTTATTGTTTACCAGTAACTTTTTTTTCATTTCCCCTGCTTTTTGAATTTTGTTCTTTTCCATGGAAGTTCACTTTACTGTGTCTCTGAAAACTGTAGGGCATTTGGCTGCTGTGAGGGGTTCATGTGTTTGCTGCAATGAGAGTCTGACCTTCAACCCTCAGTTTCCTTCTCTGTTACAAAGCACAAGTCTGGTGTGTTTCTGTTTAAAAGCCAAAAAATCAGATTTCCGGTGAAAACAAACTTGTTTATTGAGAGGTGGCAAAGTGCAAGGGCAAAATAGTTTTATTTCCAGATAATTTGCCAAATATTTTTCAGTAGGAGAAGTTTTCTTTGATGAAAAATGTTTTTAGAAAGGAGAAAGGAAGGACACAGTGGAATATTTCGGCGTCATTGTGTTTTAAGGAACAATAATATCTGAAAGTAATTGCTGAATTGGTCCTGAAAGTAAAAGTAGTTAAATTGCTTTATTTTTGTGCTTAATAATTACTCATTTTCAAAAGATGATTGTATGCCTTTTGGTGGGTTTTAAAAAATTAATAGACATTATTTTTAGAGCCATTTTAGATTAATAGAAAATTGAGTTGAAAGTACATAGAGTTCTATTTACCCTGCATCCCTCCACACACACTTTCCGGTATTACTAATATTTTGCCCTGTTGCGATACATTTGTTGTAACTGATCAGTCAATGTTGATATATTGTTGTTGTTATTATTCTTATTATTTGAGCAGAGTTTTGCTTTGTTGCCCTGGCTGGAGTGCAGTGGCATGATCTCTGCTCACTACAACCTTTGCCTCCCGGGTTCAAGAGATTCTCCTGCCTCAGCCTCCCAAGTAGCTGGGATTACAAGTGCCCACCACCACGCCCAGATAATTTTTTCTTTTTTTCAGTAGAGAGGGGCTTTCACCATGTTGGCCAGGCTGGCTTCGAACTCCTGACCTCAAATGATCTTCTCGCTTCAGCTTCCCAAAGTGCTGGGATTACAGGCATGAGCCACCTTGCCTGACCTGATATATTACTATTAATGTCCATAGTTTACATTTGGGGTCAATCAATCGTGTTGCACATTCTTTGAGTTTTGACAAATGTATGATGATACCTATCTACTATTAGAGTATTGTACAGAATAGTCTCACTGCCCTAAGAATCCCCTGTGCTCTGCCTTCTCTCCCTCCTTGTACTAGACCTCTGCCACCACTGATCACTTTATTGTCTCTATAGACATTTTGTCTTTTCCAAAATGTCATATAGTTGCAGTCATATAGTACATAGCCTTTTCAATTAGCTTCTTTTACCTAATAATATGTATTTAAGATTCCTTATCTTTTCATGGCTTGATAGCTCATTACTTTTTATTGTTGTAAAACATTACATTGCATGGAAGTGCTACAATTTATCTATTCGCCTAGTGAAGGATATATTGGTTGTTTCCAAGTTATTTGCAATTATGAATGAAACTGCCATAAATATCCATAAATTTTGTGTAGTCTAAAGTTTTTAATTCATGTAGGTAAATACCTAGAATCATATGCCAAATGTATTTTTAGTTTTATAAAATACTGCCAAACTGTTTTCTAAAATGGCTGTACCATTTTGCATCTCTACCAGCCCATCAATGAATGAGAACTCCTATTTCTCTACATCCTTGCCAGCATCTGATATTGTCAGTGTTTTGGATTTTTGCCATTCTCACAAGTGTGTAAACGTATCTTATTCTTTTATCCTTCAGTTGTTTAAATGACATATGATGTGGAGTATTTTTTCATATGATAATCTATAATCTCTATGTCATCTTTGGTGAGATGTTAGGTCAGATTTATTGTCCGTTTTTTAATTGGGTTATCTGTTCTATTACTGTAGATATTTAAGAAATCTTGATATATTTTGGATGCCAGTCATTAATCAAATATGTGTTTTGCAAAGATTTTTCTCCCAGCTGGTGGCCTGTCTTTTAATTCTCTTTACAGCATCTTTTGCCAAGCAGCAATGATTAATTTTAATGAAGTCCATCTTATCAATATTTTCTTTCATGAGTCATATGTTTGGTAATCTGTCTAAAAATTCATCACTAAACCTAAAATCACTTACATTTTTCTCCTATGTCATCCCCTAAGATATTTACAGTTTTGTGGTTTACATTTAGGTCTATGATGTCCTTTGTGTTTATTTCTGTGAAAGCTATAATAACTCCTTCTGTATTCGTTCTTTTTTTGCCTATGGATGTCTACTTGTTCCAGCATCTTTGGTTTAAAAGGCTGTTTTTTTTTTCATTGAGTTGCTTTTGCTCCTTTGCCAAAGATCAATTGACTGTGTTTGTGTAGTTCTATTACTACGCTCTCGATTCCGTTCCATTGATTTATTTGTCTATTCTTTTGCCAGTATTACGCTGTTTTGATTGCTATAACTTTGTGGTAAGTCTTAAAGTCAGGTGATATCAGTCCTCCAACTTTGTTCTTCTCCTTCAACATCGTGCTGTTGATGTTGTATTTTTTCTGTTTCTTTCCATATAAAATTTAGAATCAATTTATTGATAACTTGAAAATAATTGGCTGAGATTTAGATTGGGATTACATTGCAACTATAGATCTAATTGGGAAGAACTGACATCTTGACAATATTGACTCTTTCTATCCATGTACATGGGGTACCTCCATTTATGTAGATCTTGTCTGACTTCATTAATCAGAATGTTGTAGTTTTTCATATAGTTCTTGTGTATATTTTGTTAGATTTATACCTAGGTATTTCATTTCTCTAATGGTAATGTAAATGACATTTTGTTTTTTATTTCAAATTCCAAATGCTCATTGCTGGCATATAAGAAAGTGATTGACTATTATATATTAACCTGGTATCCTGCAGACTGAAAATAATATTTTATTAATTTAGTAATTTGTTGATTCTTTGAGATTTCCCATGTAGACAATTATGCCATCTGCAAATGAAGTTTTACTTCTTCCTTCCTAATATTAATACCTTTTATTTCCTTTTCTTGTCTTATTGCTTTAGCTGGAATTTCCATTACAATATTGAAAACGAGTGATGAGCAAGGACATCCTCCTCACCATAGCAGGAAAGCTTCTAGTTAATTGTCATTAAGTGTGATATTAAGTGTAGATTTTTCTTAGCTATTCTTTACCAAGTTGAGAAAGTTCACCTCGATCCCTAGTTTGCTGAAAGTTTTTATCATTAATGGGTTGTCAAATGTTTATTCTGCATCTGTTGTCATAATCGTGATTTTTATTCTTTGGCTTTGTGATGTGATGGATTACATTAATTGATTTTTGAATATTTAACTAGATTTTCATACACTAATAAATCACTTTTGGTCATGATATATAATTCTTTTTATACATTGTTGGATTTGATTTGCTAATATTTTATTGAGGATTTTTGTATCTAGGTTTGATATTTGTTGTAGTTTTCTCTTGTGTTGTCTTTGTATGGTTCTGGTATTAAGGTAATACTGGACTTGTAAAATAAATTAGGAAATATTCCCTCCACTCCTATTTTCTGTAAGAGATTTTAAAGAATTGGTTTCTTTCTTAAATATTTGGTAGAATTCAATAGTAGACCCATCTTCATTTGCTGCTTTCTGTTTTGGAAGGTTATTTATTATTGATTTAATTTCTTTTATAGATATAAGATATCATAATCAGTTCAGGCTACTACACAAATTACCACAGACTGAATGACTTAAACAACAAGCATTCATTTCTTGGTGTTTTGGAGGTTAAATATCCTAAATCAGGATGCCAGCATGGTTTGGTTCTTGGTGAGTGTCCTCTTCTTCATTTAGAGAGGGTGGTCTTCTTGCTTGTCCTCACATTGCAGAAAGAGAGCTGCCTAGCTCTCTGACCTCTTGTTATAAGGGCACTAATTCCATTCATGAGAACTCCACCTTCATAATCTAACTGTTCCCAAAGGCCCCACCTCCACACCTCCAAAGACCATCATACTGGGATTAGGCTCTGAATATATATATATAATATTTTGAAATATATATATATTATATTATTATTGTTATTATTTGAGACAGAATCTTGCTCTGTGGCCCCAGGCTGAAATGCAGAAGCTCCATCTCAGCTCACTGCAACCTTCACCTCATGGGCTCAAGAGATTCTCTCACCTCAGCCTCCTGAGTAGCTCTGACTACAGGCACATGCCACCATGCCTGGCTAATTTTTGTATTTTTAGTAGAGACAGAACTTCACCATATTTTCCAGGCTTGAACTCCTGAGTTTAAGCAATCCTCCCACCTCTGCCTCCAAAAGTGCTGGGATTACAGGCATAAGCCACTGCAACAAGCCTGAAAATATAAATTTTAAGGGCACAAAAATGTTCATTTCATTGCAAAGGTCTACTTAGACTATTAGTTTTTCTATGTGTAAGTTTTGGTGGATTGTATCTTAAGGAATTGTTCCATTTCATTTTGGTTATCAAATTTGTGGGCATAGAGTTGTTTGTAATATTCCCTTGTTAGCTTTTAAATGTCTATGGATTCAACAGAAATAGACCCTCTTGGCCAGGCGTGGTGGCTCACGCCTGTAATCCCAGCACTTTGGGAGGCTGAGGTGGGCAGATCACAAGGTCAGGAGTTCGAGACCAGCCTGGCCAACATGGTGAAACCCCGTCTCTACTAACAATACAAAAATTAGCTGGGAGTGGTACCACATGCCTGTAATCCCAGCTACTAGGGAGGCTGAGGAAGGAGAATCTCTTGAACCTGGGAGGCAGAGGTTGCAGTGAGCCAAGATTGCACCACTGTGCTCCAGCCTGGGAGACAGGGTGAAACTCTGTCTTGGAAAAAAAAAAAAAAAGAGAGAAATAGTCCCTCTTTCATTTCTGATATTCTGATTTGTTTCTTTTCTCTTTTTTCCTTAGTTAACCTAACTAGAGGTGTATCCGTTTTATTGATCTTTTGAAAGAACCATTCTATGGTTTCATTGATTTTTCTCCTTTGATTTCCTGTTTTCAATGTCTTGTATTCTACTTTAATTAATATTATTTTTTTCTGCTGCTTACTTTAGAGTTAGTTTGCTCTTTTTTTTCTAGTTTTCTTGGGTAGAAGCTTAAATGATTGAATTTTCTATCTTTCTTTTTTTCTAATATATGCATTCAATTATGTAAATTTTTGTCTAAGTACCAATGGTCTGTCTTTACGATTTATAGCTTTCTGTCCTTGATTTCTAGTTTCTATCCATTGTGGTCTGAGAGCATACTTTGTTTGCTTTCTATTCTTTTAAATTTATTAAGATGTGTTTTAGGACACGAAATGTGGTCTATCTTGGTGAATGTTCTGCGTGAGATTGAGAAGAATGGGTAGTCTGCTGTTGTTAGATGAAGTAGTCCATAAACGTCAATTAGATTCAATTGATTGTGCTGTTTTCTTCACTGCTTTTCTGCCTGCTCTATAACTTTCAATTGCAGATTGAGCAGTGTTTAAGTCTGCAACTGTAATAGTGGATTCATCTGTTTATCCTTGCAGTTCTTTGAGTTTTTGCCTCAGGTATATTGCTAATCTATTGTTAAGTACATGCTTATTAAGGATTGTTTTGTTTTCTTGAGAATTGACTCCTTTATCATTATGTAGTGCCTCTCTTTATCCGTGATAACCTTCCTTGCTCTGATGTCTGTACTGTCTGAAACTAATATAGCTACTGCAACCTGCTTTTGATTTGTGTTAACAATGTAATGGACTGAATTGTGTGCCCCAAATTCAGAATGTGTCTGTATTTGGAGAGAGGGTCTTTAAGGATGTAATTAAGGTAAAATGAGGTCATTAGGGTGGCCCTAATCCAATATGACTGTTGTCTTTATAAAATAGGAAATTAGGACACAGGCACACACAGAGGCAAGATCATGTAACGATACAAAGAGAAGAAAGTGGCCATCTTCAAGCCAAGGAGAAAGAACTCAGAACAAACCAACCCTGCTGGCACTTTGATCTTGAACTTCCAGAATTGTGGGAAAATAAATTTCTGTTGTTTAAGCCACCCAGTCAATGTGGTACTTTGTTATGATAGCCCCTGCGAACTAATATAGTATAGTAATGGTATTTCTTTCTTCATTCATTTACTTTTATCTATTTGTCTCTATAGCTGGGTGGGTTTTGTTGTTGTTGTTGTTGTTGTTGTTTGTTTGTTTTTGGACAACATAGAGTTTGGTGTAGTTTTATGCACTTAGTCTCTCTCTTTTTTTTTGAGTGTATTTATACCATTGGCATTTAAAGTGATTATTGATATAGTTAGATCATTATCTATCATGTTTGTTACTGTGCTATTGTTTTCTACTTGTTGCCCCTGCTCTTTGTTTCTTTCTCTCTCTCTCTTTTTTTTGTCTTCTACTGTTTTTCTGTCTTTTCTGGTTTTAATTGAGCATTTAATGTGATTTTTTTTTCTTCTCTCTTACCATATCAATTATATTTTTAAAACTTTTTCTGAGTGGTTGCCATTGAGTTTAAATATATATTTTCAATTAATTTCAGTTTATTTTCAGAAGACACTCTACCACTTGGCAATACTATATTACCACAGATAGGACAAGTCCCTTGTAACTGATTATTCCAAATTCCTCCCTCTTATCTCTTATAACATTGGTGTCAGTCATTTCATTCATCCATGAGATAAAATCATCGAATACATTGTTGTTATTATTTTGAACCAGCTGCTATCTGCTATGTCAATTAAAAGTAAGAAAAATAAAAGATATCATTTTACCCTTATTTATTCCTTTTTTAAAGCTCTTCATTTCTCTATGTAGATCCAGGTTT
Organism: Homo sapiens; assembly: GCF_000001405.40. Lineage (NCBI taxonomy): Eukaryota > Metazoa > Chordata > Mammalia > Primates > Hominidae > Homo > Homo sapiens. The sequence goes on along the minus strand of NC_000004.12, from coordinate 175,963,662 downwards.
CTGATCTATATCATTTTCCTTCTTTCTGAAGAACCTCTTTTAAAGAAGCGTCTACCAGCACAAACATCCTCAATTTTCATTTTTCCTGATAAAGACTTCACTTTTGAAAAACAATTTTTTCTAGGTGGGTGGGTTTTTCCTTTTAACAGTTTAAATATTTACTACATTATCTATTTTGCTTGCATGGTTGTAGAGAGAAGTCTGATATCATTATTTTTACTTCTCTCTGGGTAGGCTCACCCACTCTCCACCCCAACCCGGCTTCTTTCAAGATTTTCTCTGTGTTTTTGAATATGGTTTGCCTAGATTTCATTTTTTATTTTGTTTTGTATTTATCCTACTTGGTGTTCTCCGAGATTCTTAGATTGGAGGTTTGGTGTCTGTTATTAGTTTTGGGAAATTCTCAGTCATTATTGCTTCAAGTATTTTTTTCTGTTCTTTTCTCTCCCTCCTTCTTGAATTCTCATTATAAATATGTTACAACTTTTGTAATTGTCCCACGTTTCTTTGATACTCTATTTCATTCATTTTCTTCTTTTTACATTTCTTTTTTGATGTTTCCATTGACTTTTTTTTCAAGCTTACTGAGTTTTTGCTTGCCTCTATTCAATCTATTGATGAGCTTATCAAAGGTAGACTTCATTTCTGTCACTGTTTTTGATTTCTAGCACTCTTTAGATTTTTTTCTTAGTTTCTGTATTTCTGCTTACATTACCCATCTGTTCTTACATGCTATCTGCTTTATCCATTAGAGTCCTTATTAATCATAGTTGTTTTAAATTCATAATCTGATAATTCTAAAATCTCAACCATATCTGAGTCTGATTCTGATGCTTGCCCTGTCTCTTAAATTTTGTTTATCTTTTAGTATGCCTTTCAATTTTTGTTGAAAGTAGGACATTAGACACTGGGTAAAAATAAATGAGGTAAATAGGTCTTTAGTGTGGGTTTTTTTGGTCTGTCTGGCTAGGAATTAGGCCGTGTTTACTAGTTTCCTTTGCTGTAGGTGCCATAGGCTAAAATATCCTCAGGTGTCCGTGTTTCTATCACCTCAGTTGTCTTCATGTTTCCCTAGAAACCAAAGTAGTAATGAGTACAGGAGGCTGCAGAGCAGAGAGTACAGGGATGTCCTTTCTTATAGTCAGTCACTGCTGGGAAGTGATAGGCAGCTGTGACTTCACTTGCGCATTGGAGAAGCAAAAAAGGTTGCCTTATTGTCCTAGGTTGGTGGCAGGCTTGCTTTTGCTCCCACTTGGGAGTGTTCTTGGTGAGGGTGGAGTGGTCTCTCAGCAACAGGGAGCTAGATGAAGGAGTCTTAAGAAGCTGATGTTCAGGAGTGGCCACAGGACCCAGTAAACTCACTTTTACTTCTGGTGTCTGTGGTGTTGAAAAGGCATTTGAGTTTTCAATGACATATAGGAGGTCAATGTTCTCTTGTTCCACCATCATGAACTGACTCCAATACTCCAGGGGCAAAGAAAGCAGGTGCTCGATCACCTTGGGTTGATGCTTGATGTCCTGTAACATTGTCACTGGGTCCGGATGGTGCACAGCATGGGCTACTATTGTAGGGCCAAAGACTTTAACCAGATTGGCAACATCTGGTTCCCTAGAAATTTCTTAAGTAAGGCCTGAGACGTGAACATTTTCAGTTGTGCTCCCCTGTTAATATACAAGAGCCCTATTGCTGTGGTGGTAAGGTTGGGTGAGGGGCAGCACTGTCCTGTCCTGTCCTGTAATTAGGACTCAGTTTTTTACTGAGCCTGTGCCCTTGGGCTGTAACTTTGCAGGTACCTTCCCTGCTTAGGTGAAACAGGAAGGCTAGAGTGGGCTGAAATTGAGCCTTTCCCTTCTTCGAGGTTGGGTAGGCACTGGCAGAATATTTTCCCTTGAGGGTAGGTCTTGCTGAGAACAGAAAGCTCTGGTGTTTTTCGAAAGAGCTGCTCTCTCACTCTCCACCCACTCACACATTGGAAGCTATAGGCGATTTTTCTCTGATCTTCTCTGTGAGAACCTGGTAGGGCTCCTGAAGGTAGAACTCCGAAAAGTGTGGGGACCTCCTAGGAAGGCCCCACTGGGAGATTTTAATTCTCAAACTTGTCCAAACTGAGTCTCCAGCAATTCATAAATTACAGCTTTAGATTTCAATCCCAGTACTAGTTCCAGCAGAGATTTCTGCTCCAGGGAATTGGATTTCTGTGTCTGCTTATCTGTCTCTCCAGTTTTTGGGGGGTGTCCATTTGTCTCAAGACCTCAATTCTCTCATGGACCTAAGAAGAGCTGTTGATTTTTAATTTATTCAGCTTTCTATTTGTTTTTAGAATGCAGTAGTGACTTCTGAACTCCTATATGCTGGCCAAAAAAAGAAAATCAGTTTTATTTTGATTTTTGTTGAATGAACATTCTTCTTTAAAAGTAATCTAAAGGTGAGTTTTGTAAGCATTTTGAAAATTTGCATATTTCGAGAGGATGATAAGTTTCCAATAAAGGGATTTGTATGCAACTGATGAGTGATAACCAGATAATAATGTTTGCAACTGACAGTCCATTAGCTCAAAATGTGTTTTGTATTGTCAGCTACATTTGAAGAAAGTTTCGGTTAATAAAGTTTCAGAAATTAGCACATTGGTATGCTGAATATTATTGTGTAACATAGACATTCTTGTGCATTAAACAGTATGTCCTCATCAAATTACATTATTTGCTTTTGTCCCTAATTCATAATGGAAAAGTAGCTATGTCTTGGAAGCAACTATCATTCTTCCAAAATTGAAACAACTTCATATTTTAAAATACCATGAATTTTGTATATCCTGATGTGGCATGTTGTGGGATTAGTCATTGCATCACAGAATTTTAGAATTTGAAGAGATCTTGTGTAATTTTGTTTTCATATTTTACAGATCATGTCTACAGAAGGTAAGTGTCTTATTTAGGGTCAGAAGCTAGTATGTGGGATAATTATATTATGATAGCTTAAAATGTGACTATCAGTATTGGTCTTAAAACAGATTTAGCTGAACAATGAGAATACATGGACACAGGGAAGGGAACAACACACACAGGGTTGGGGGATGGCGGAGACATCAGGATAAATAGCTAATGGATCTGGCGCTTAATACCTACGTGATGGGTTGACAGGTGCGGCAAACCACCATGTCACATGTTTATCTATGTAACAAACCTGCACATCCTACAAGTGTCCCAGAACTTAAAATAAAATAAAATACAAATGTAAAAAATGGGACAGATTTAGCCCATCTTGTTCTTATTTACTTCATCAGGGGATTATCCTATAGTGGAATTTAGAATTATGAGCTTGAAACTCTGAAGGATCTCAAAGCAATATCTGACTCACCACAAAACAGCTAAATTCTATGCCTAGAATCCTAGTTTAATTTTTTTATTTGCTTATATAACAATTATTTGAAAATTGACTCCAAGTATGTCAAGTTTATTTTAAAAAGTTTAATTCAAACACATTGGTCCCAATTGATGTGACTTAACAGGAGCTTATTTAAGAAAACAAGTCAGGACATTTGTAAATTCCAAAGTAGAATATTTGACTATGATTTGGTCCTATTCAATGAGGATGCTACTTAGTGACGATGTAACCATGGTTAATTTACTTAACCTCTTTGTGCCTCAATTTTCTTGCTTGTAAAGTGGGATGTGGATAATAGTTTCTTTCTCATAGGGTTATTTTGAGGATTAAATACATTTAATGTATAAATTGCTTAGAACAATGTCAGACAGTAATTTCCTAATTAATATTAGTTACTATAATTAAAGAGAACAGATACTCAGACTCTTAGGATTTGCATTTTCAGCCCTCCTCTATTTATAACCCTTTGTAAAACCATCCTGGACAGATGATTGGCCATTTCTATATTACCTCTAAAATAGTTCCTTTCACTCTACTAATTTCATATCAATATGTTTGCATGTGTGTGGAGCGGGGCAGGCAGTGGTGGAGAGGCAGGAATGTGTCCAGTGAATTTCAATAATTGACTCTTTTGTCACACAGAGTAGCAAAGCCTAGTCTTAAAATTTATTGTGCATACATCTCTAGTGAGTGAAGTAGCACAATCCCCACATCCCAGTTCTCCTAAAGCTCTGATGCTCTTCTCATCCTTTCTGTTATCTTCTTCTTAGGTAATTTTAAGTAAGCCTCTGTAATTGCAGCAGTCACTGAACTGTGCGTATGTGGGGTGTGTGTGTGTGTGTGTGCATGTGTGTACGTGTGTATTCAGGATCATTTCTAGATGCATGAGAGGTTATTAGATGGCAAGCATGCAAGGATCATGTGCAGTACCTGAATCATAATGTGTGAAGCTGGCTGTTCCCTGAGCTCTCATAATGTGTATAACGTTAAGCTGTGCAGAATGAAGATGGGGACATGACTGTTTATAAAATGTGAATATAGAGAGTTCCCATGAGTTCCTGGCCCCATCTACCCAGCGATTTTGAGGATAGTTACTTTTATAATTGTTTTGAGTTTCCTTTGAATTCTTGGCAAAATCTCTGTTTTTAGTCACTATTTCTTGAATTGATTTTGTAGAATAATTTAGTTTTCCTTCCGTCTACTATTCCTACCTATATTGTAACTATAGGGTTTTTAAGTGTTTTTGACAGATTCAGTGGAAACTGTTTTTTAAAAAAACCTGGGATTCCAGGCAATTTTATTGTATATTCAGACACTCATTATGTTCTTCATTCATTTTTTACATTTGCAGGTAGGTGAAATTCAGCCTTCATTTGAAGACAACAAATTCCGGTTATGTTTGGTGGGAATGGAAATGGATCTGAGTAGCTTTTTGTAAAGGCAGCAGTAAGAGTGTAAACTGTGATTTTGTTGAGTGAAACCAAAAAGGTTTCTTTTAGTGTAAACTATGCCTCCTTTTGGAAACCTTAGTGCTGTGGCAATGTAGATAACACAGATGTGAGTAGATCACACCCTAGTTTATTTCAAGATGTGATCTAGATTCAGGCTTAATGGACTGCTAATATACACTCAAAGTGTCTAGAGGCAAGCATTCTCCAGAGACCTCTAGAGATCTGAGGAAACTTGTCCTCCTGGTCAATGAATGGGGGGAAGACCAATACCTTTGTTTAGAATACAGTTTTAGCCATTTTTACATGTCACCCTATCAGTTAGCAATTGAATTTAGAGACAGATGTTGAAAGTGGCTTTATGGTTCTCAAGGGTAGTGGCTTTGAAAATACACTTCAAATACAATCATAATTTGCACATCTGTAACCTAATGCTACAGAGTGGAACAGTAAACATGCCTCTGAATCAACAGTGGTTTCCTAAACTTTGTGGAGATTTTATTCTTTCATTGGCTACCATTTAAAAAGTACTTTGAAGGTGAATGATGCCATTCAAGTATTTTATATGGCCCAACTAATATTTTACAGGAAAGCAAAATAGGCAATGCTCTCCAGCATTCACAATTACTTGGAAACAGGCTGGGCATGGTGGCTCACGCCTGTAATCCCAACATTTTGGGAGGTTGAGGTGGGCGGGTCACTTGAAGTAAGGAGTTCGAGACGGGCCTGGCCAATATGGTGAAACACCATCTCTAGTAAAAACACAAAAATTAGCCAGGCATGGTGGTGGGTGCCTGGAATCCCAGCTACTCGGGAGGCTGAGGCAGGAGAATTGTTTGAACCCGGGAAGTGGAGGTTGCAGTGAGCCAGGATTGCACCATTGCACTCCAGCCTGGGTGTTGCAGTGAGACTCCGTCTCAAAAAAACAAAAAACAAACAACAAAACAGAACAAAGCAATTACTTAGAAACTGTGAAATATCGGTGATATGTTAGGATTACAAGTTACATTAATGTTACAAAGGTAGGCACAAACAAAAATTATGATGTTTTTATAACTTTATTTTTTGTCTTTATTTACTTATTTTTTATGAGAACCTACTATTGATTTTTTTAATATATATACTTTAAATTCTGGGATACATGTGCAGAACGTGCAGGTTTGTTACATAGGTATACACGTGCCATGGTGGTTTGCTGCACCCATCAACCGGTCATCTACATTACGTATTTCTCCTAATGCTATCACTCCCCTACCCACCCACCCACTGACAGACTCTGCTGTGTGATGTTCCCCTCCCTGTGTCCATGTGTTCTCATTGTTCAACTCCCACTAATGAGTGAGAACATGTGGCATTTGGTTTTCTGTTCTTGTGTTAGTTTGCTGAGAATGATGGTACTGTAATCATCTTGTTGCATGCCTGGTACATAAATACATGGTAGGGACTTACCTATGAATTTGTTCAATTAAAGTGTAAAATAATTAATGGACTTGAGAGCAGGTACCCTTGTCGTATATGGCTTTCTTACCTGCCTTTGCTCTTAGCTTAGTGTGAAGCACAGAATTTTTGTTCAGTAAGTGGTGTGGGTGGAGAAGAACTGATAGAAACCCACTGAGATAAGAGGCTGTAATAGTGGGTAAAACACACCTGTTCATGTGTTGTAACTTCATTTGCCAGCCTGCTTTTAAGCCTGAGCATTCAGTCTGAACATTTCCAAGGTGCACATTCCGAAAAACTAAGGGTGTTTTTGGAAGCTGTTCTAGTAAAAAAATATATTTTTCTGTCTTTTTCCCTACGCTTATATGAACAATTGCTAAATATATTTTGATAGGCTGTATTTTGATAGAGAATATTGAGTAATTTCTGTTTACTTTCCCATTGAAATATTGTGAAGTAATCTCTGACTATATGTACTCTAGAATACATAGTTTATTTTATTCTCATGTTTATATTAGAGAATAATGAATGCCTTGACATTCTTACTTGTACCAAATTGTCCTTATTCTCCAACTCTATTTAAAAATGTATTTTTCTTTCTTAAAATACAATTGGGATTAAAATTACATTAAATTGTTCAGGGACATAGTATTCAGTTGAAATGAATACTTAAAAATTTACAAATTAGAATTAGAGGAGGGATTAATCAACTTTCTTTTGTACCTTCCAATTGAGCTGAATCAATTGAACACCTCTGTGTACTTTTTAACTGGTAGATGGCTTCTTATCTCATTGAATCTTCAACTAAGTACTTCAAAAATTTTTATTTGACTGAGAAATCATTTGGAATTTGACAGAACCAAATTAAAACAGCTTAACTATTGGTTTAAAACTTACTGTAAAACTGTACTTACCAGAGATAACATAAATTTGAGTATAAACAAATAAAAAGAAGAGATTAAAAATAGAAATAGTGATATGAATTCGAGCAAATGAAATATAAGTAGAAAAATTAGGTGACGCTTTGGTGAGATTCTTACACAGAATTTGTATTGTTAAGCCCTACATTTTATTTATTGATGGCTCAAAAATTATCTATAATTTCTCTAACATCCATCAAAAGAGGGAAAGTCTGTTGTCCATAGGATAAAATGAAGACAGAACATGTGTCTTTCTGGTATATCCAAGAGAAATTTGGCTAATGGCTCCTCTAGAACAGGAATTTTTAAATTTTGATGACCAATATCCTCAAGAGGTTCTTCTAATGTATATTGTAGAGCATTCGGTTTTGTACGACGCACGTGCACTATGGCGCCCATCCATGGAATTCTGTGGGACCTATTTGGGGTTGCCCTAGCAGCATGTTGGTATTTTACAACTGGGTCTCTGGTGAGGGTTCAGCCCTTACCCGAGTATTTGTCTATTTTCAAGGTGTAACTATTTCCACAAAAGCTAATTTTAACGTCACTGAAGGCAGAGCTGGAAAGAGATACACACAATGGGCTCTCCATAGACCATGAGAGCCAGCTCCAGCATACTACCATGTCCCCAGTCACAGCTCTCCAAAACCCTGCTTCATACAACACTGGATCTAGATGTTCAGGAATGGATCGTTTACTCATTACAGTGATTGAAGCAAGCTCCATCAGTAGAAACAGATGGAGCCAAACAGCTTTGTTTTGGCTGTTGTTACTGCTTGGAATGAAGTTATTCCTTATTACTGATTAAGAATAGAGCCAAATGATGTCACAGTCAGGTGAACCAGAGATAGATTGGATACTCATAAATAAAACTGAAAACCTGAAAATAAATCTTCCTGAAAAGATTTTGTCTTACCTCTGTACTGATGAAAATATATGATAGCTAACATTGTATTTGAACATGTGATACATACTGGACACTATTTTTAATGCTTTACATGTATTAGCTTGTTCCAGTCCTACTAAAATCCCAAGAAGTGAGTATTTAAGCTAGAAACTTATGCAGCTGGGATTTAAATGTGAGTTTCCTGGTTCCATAGTCTACCATTTTCTATTTTTGTAAACATATTCTATATTTGCTATTGAATATTTGTTGAATAAAGCAAAGGACACCGCATATTGAAATAAGCTACCCCTTCAAATGAACTTACTAGATTTTCCTTTCTCCCATGGACCCCAGTAACAGGTGTGGTATGTGGGCTTGTTGGAACAGATGGAATTGCTTCTCATCTCCAGCACTGGCTTGAAAAGTCCAGAGGTCAAGTGCAGGCTTCGTCCAGCCATGGATTATCTATGTGGCGAAGGCCAAGGGACTTTTCTTCCAGGTATTGTGTTTTGGAGAATAGGGTGATTCATCTCTACTTCTCAGGACTCTTACGAAAAATCATGGAATTTGTTTTGGATTCTCAAGTAGACACAGGGTGTTTTATCTGTGTTTGAGGTCATTGTCTGGTCCTTTGACTTAAGTATTATTAGGCCCTCACAGCGCCTGTAGTACCTTCTCAGCACTGCTGTTAATTTACTGTAGTCCCTGGCTATCTCTCTTTTGTTCCATTACTACAAGGTTTGGCTGTTTGCCATCAGGCAGCCAGGGTAAAGTTCTACTCTTGCCCTAGATATGTAGAAAATACTCCAAGTCCAAATCATGTTTAAGACCCATGGAAAAGACAGATATGAGGCCCTGTGAAAGGGATGTAGCTGGACTACAAAGGCTAAGACACGGGTGCAACCTCACTGAAAGGAAAACAGAAATGATGACTTCCATTGTCTCTCCAGAGATGGTCTAACTCATCATCTCAGATTCACTCCTCTTTAGACCTCTTAAGACTTTTGCTTTGGCTTGACTCTTCGGGTGGAAAAATGATAGACAAAACTCAGTGTGGTATATATTATTTGCTAGCCACTGTCCTCAGTACTCTACACATTTTAATTAAAACTCTAATAGTGTTTTCATTTTTCAGGTGAGGAAACTGGGGCACAGAAAGACAAGGAAACTCATTTAAGCTTACACAGTTCTAAAGTGCTTGAGCCGGGTTTCGCACTGATACAACCTAGCCACGGGGGCCACACCCTTAGCCACTAGAGCTGTGCTGTCCAGTAGAACTCATGGAGATGATGAAAACGTTCTAGATCTCTGTTGTACAATACCAGAGCCTTAGCCACAAGTGACTGTTGAGCACCTGGATTGTGAACAGCACAACTGAGCAAAGGCATTTACATTTCATCTAATTTTAGTTTATTCAAATTGAAATAGCCACATGTGACTAGTGTCTACCTTCTCAGACAGCTCAGCCCTAGACTATACTGCCCTCTAGGAAAAGTCAAGGTATAGAGCGGGCCAGGAAGAAAAGCTAAGGACATGTAATTGAACAAATTTCTATCACCCAGTGATCAGTGCTGTCAGCATTTCTCAGGACTGTAAAAAAAAGATGTTTTTTAAACCAACTGGGTTAACATTTCTAACTCAATTTTAATAGTTCCCATGGTAGTTATTTTATTTTATTTTATTTTTTGATATGGAGTTTTGCTCTTGTTGCCCAGGCTGGAGTGCAATGGCACGATCTCGGCTCATCACAACCCCCACCTCCCGGGTTCAAGCAATTCTCCTGCCACAGCCTCCGAAGTAGCTGGGACTACAGGCATGTGCCACCATGCCTGACTAATTTTGTATTTTTAGTAGAGACGGGGTTTCTCCATGTTGGTCAGGCTGGTCTCGATCCCGACCTTAGGTGATCCGCCCACCTCGGCCTCCCAAAGTGCTGGAATTGCAGGTGTGAGCCACTGCGCCCGACCTCCATGGTAGTTTTTATATACATTATAAGTCTGCCATGTGTCCTGCAGAACTCAAAGTTGTGTAATGTGTCATAATAAACAAAGCAATAATACTATATTAACTAAAAATAATGACATGCAAATATCAATTAAATCCCTGCCATACACTGCTTTACAGGCAATTGGCTACTCTTTTTGTGGTTAGAAAGTGCATTCTTCCTAATTCTTTGTACTACATATCTTAAAATGGATACAGTTTAGGTCTGCAAATGCTATTTCCGGAGTCATTTTCACATCTATTACACAAATTACTTTCCCTTAGACTACTTCTCTGTGGAAAATTGTCATGATACAGCCGAGGTTCCAACACAGTGTATTTATAGGTTTTTCAGCTTCAAAAACTATCAAATTCTTGGAACAGTTTGATATAGAATAAAATTTCCCTGCCCTTTGATTTCTTTATTTGTTTTATAAAATTTAGGATTTTAGATATGTAGAATGCATGCATGCTCTATTCTTGAATCAAAGTAGAACATTCCCATTATTTAACTTTTAAGGCAAGGGGATTTCTGTTTTTCTTTTCTTTTTCTCTCCTTTTTTTTTTTTTTTTAAAAACAGGGTCTTGTTCTGTCGCCCACACTGGAGAGCAGTAGTGTGATCTTGGCTCACTGCAGCCTCTACCCACTGGGGTCAAGCAATCCCAAGTAGTCAGGACCACAGTCATGCGCCACCATGCCTAGCAAATTTTTATATTTTTAGTGGAAATGGGGTTTTGCCATGTTGCTCAGGCTGGTCTTGAACTGTGGGGCTCAAGGGATCCTCCCATCTCAGCCTCCCAAAGTGCTGAGATTACAGGCCCAAGTTCCCATGCCCCCACCGGATTTCTGCTTTCTTTGGGCATTGTAATACACCAGGACTGGACTCATTGGTGGACAGGATGGCTCATTATCTATTTTATTATATGATTTTGTGGGCTCTGGGACAAAATGTATTACAAAAATTTTCAGGAAAGATGTACACAAAAATATCTCTGGAATGAGTGAATGGATTAATGCTTTCTAATATTCCTAGTTACATGTTGCTTAAATGGAAGAATTTAAAATTTTTTCTTACAACAATCCTTACCCTAAGAAGGTGGAGGTACTGTAGCCTCCGCTCCTTGTTACAATGGGCAACTGGGAAAATAACTGAATAATATGTTAATTCCATTGCTTTGGGGACATCCATTCTGAGATCACTACCTTAAGCTACAATCCATCATGGGAATCCATTATGCAGCTTAGAACTCCACTAGACTCCTTGGACATCTAGCTTTGAAGTGTACATAGAAACGAACTTCTCCTAGCTTCTTAAGGAATATAGTATCTTAACTTGAATATTTCAAACATAAAAGAATGTTCTCAAAAGTCAAAGACTCTCAAGAGTCAAACAGATTTTTGACTCTTGAAAAGGAAAGTTTAGTTACTTGTCTCTGAGGTATTTGTTTTAGTTACTTGTCTCTGAGATATTTGGTCACCTGGGCCTTGTAATATCACTGTATTAGTCATGGTTCTGCAGAGAAAGAGAATCAGCAGAATGTGTGTCTGTGTGGAAGGAGATTTATCATAAGGAATTGACTCACATGATTATGGAGGCTGGTGAGTCCAAAGTCTGCAGCATGGCTGCCAGCAGGCTGCAAGCCCAGGAGAGCCGATGGTGTAGGGAAAGTTGGAAGGTAGACTGCTGGAGAATTCCCTCTTGTTCAGAGAAGCTGGTCTTTTTTTTTCTATTCAGGCCTTCAAGTGATTGAATGGGGCCCACCTCATTATGCAGGGCAATCTGCTTATGAAAAGTTTACCAGTTTAAGTCTTATCTCATTCACAAACACGCTCCGCATTAACCAATACCATTAACTACCCAGGTAATATAAATGTGAAGAAGCCTTGACTTGTATAAAGCTATATAATTCTGGGATAAATCCAGATATTTTTTCAGAAAATTGTTGCAATTCATTCATATTTCTTATTAGCTATTACTTATTAACTGTGCGTATTCTAGTTGCTTTAAATGCCTAAAGCCTCATTGCTTCAACAGCCTTTCAAGGTAGATGGTATTCCCCTCATTTTTAGTTAAGGACACTGAAGCCTCAAGAGATTATTTCGCCGTCAGAGGTAATGAGGATGGAATCCAGAAATTTCGGACTTATAGGCCAGTGCTTGTCCAACTCTATCCTCTCTCTTTCCTTTTCTGTCTGTTCATGGCCTAATCATATGGACATCATGGGAATCAATATCTATTTTTACTGTTTTATCTCCATCTTCACTTCTATATCCACAGATTTAAAAAATCATAATGTATGGTTCTTCCACCCATTTTTCCTACTAAAAGTAGTATTTTCACATGAAATACTATTTATAAAGAAAAATGGCTTGTTACAGGGTCAGTTGGGCAGATAAGCATCTTGAGAAGGTGACGTTTTTCATTCCATGGGGAGTTCAGTAGGCAGGATGATAGATGAAGCTTTCCAATTATTTATCGACGTGTTGTATTTAAGAGTAGTAATTTCTAGGTTGCAGAGATGAAATTCCCTTTCCCAGTGGTCACTTGGAATGGGTGGCATTCAGTATAACAGAAGCCTGAAATAACCAAAAAGGCTTTCTAAATATTCATGGGAGAAAAAAAAAAGTCTTACAAATACTATATTTTAACATTTAGTATTATCTCTGCTCCTGTAAGTATTTTTAGTTTCAGAGCTCTACTTTCTTACTCAACTAAATATTTTTGATAATTCAGAAATTAACATTGTTGAAATTATGGCTGATAATTTCTGTAGGAATAATAGAATTCTTGCTATTAATCATTTAAGGTGACAAGAAATATCATGACATTTAGAACTATTGTGTGTCATTTAAAAATACTTTCATGAAAATAATACATTTCTCTAAATGTAAGTGAGGACTTTGTCCCCTCATTTCCCCTGCCAGCACACTCAGGCACAGCAAAAAATAGCACTGCCCAATCTGTTGACTGCAGCAGATTGTCCTAGGTTCTTTTGAGAGTAAAGTTAAATGTAAAAACTCCCCCAAAGCTACTTTTTTCCACTTTTGAAGCACGTTTCAATAACCAGACATCATCTTGCAATTCCTTTCCTGGAAAGTCATGGTTAAACCTGGAATATTTAAGTTTTGTTGAAAGTTGGAAATAATTCACAAGTATTATATTCTTATTTTCACATTTCAAAATTATATCCAGTTGTATAGAACATATTATGTGCTTGGAATGTCTTGTCTTAGGAATCAATGGCACTTTTGTAATTATTTTAATTAATAAAGCCATTAAAATAATGTAAAAAAATTGAATAAAAATAAACATCTATTATGTCTCATTGAGACTCTGTTAGACCCATAGCTAATAAAGTTTTATTTATTCTTTTCTAATGATGTAACTACACATCTGCATTTGGATGGGCCATAGAGTTCTTAAAATATCACAATACAGTAGAAAGAAATATATTAACTTTGTCAAAGTGTATATAATTTTGTTTCCCTTTATATTCATTGCAAAATGAATTGCTTTCTTAATGGAGAACTTTGTGTGCTTTTAGGATTTTTTGAGGGTGTCCTTACTTTATTTTCTTTACAAAAATGTTTGTGATCCATTGGTGTTTATACATTGTCTGATTACTAAGAACTTTATCTTTCTTCACTCATGAACTTGTAAAATTTATTGAAAATATGTGGTGAGAACTCATAAGGCTACAGTGTTTATTTTCTATTTGGTTTCATGAATTGTCATCCAAACAACTTAGCGCAGATATCAGACAATTTTTAAACAAGCTGTTGACAATACCATCTATTCAAGGAATGTACTAAATGTGAAGAATGAACAAGACTGTAAAGCCTGTCGGTTCAGCTTTATCTTTTTCATGAGTTTAAAATCAAACTTCTGAGGACTCTGAAAGTATCAGCCAAAGACAACCTCATTTATTTACTGATTTGAAGGAATCTTTACTAAAGTTAGCTCTTGATAAGAAGATGCAAGGAGTATTAGCTATGGTTCAGCTTAACAGCCCTTGATTATTTAGTTTCTTAGATAAAAAATCAAACAAACTCATATTTGTTTTACATAAAATATATGCCAAACACAGTTAATGATGATTTTAAGATGTAATGTAAAATTTATATTACTTTGACTTTTGGTCAGGTGTTGTGGTTAAGGTCTGTAATCCTAGCACTTCGGGAGGCTGAGGCAGGAGGATCACTTGCAGTTAAGAGTTCAAAGCCAGGAGTTCAAGACTAGCCTGGGCAACACAGCCATGAGACCCTGTCTCTACCACCACCACCAAAAACAACAACAAAAATAAACAAACTTGACTTTTAGTGAAAAAACTTTCCCAATTGTTAAAAAAGGATATACATATTTTCATTGCAAACAAATGAGAAATTACATAAAAACATAAAAAGAACATTAAAATTACTTCTTATCACACTACCCATGGATAACTCCTTTTGATATTTCTGAGTATTTCTTTTAAAAATATTTTGTGAATGTTTAAGTTAGCTACTCATTTTAGGAGCTTTTTTTGATTTCTTAGTTGCATGGAAGGGAATTCAACTGTGGGAAAAGAGATATCCAAATCTACCTCATCCCTCCACCACATCCCCCCAACACACACACACACACACACACACACACACACACACTTACCACCAAATGCAGTCTTGTTGGTAGAATAAGAAAAGTATCTCATCTTTATCAGGAAATTATTGCTTGTTTTCAAGGATCTATGGCATTTTAATGATTGTTCTTTGCTCAATCTAGTAACAATTGATAGTAAGTTAGTATTAACATTGTTATTTTACTGCGTAGGGGCATGAGTCCATAGCATAACTTTGTGGCCAGTGTTTCAGGATTCCTGCAGAAGGAAAAGACAGAATCACAATTATAATTCTTCTCACTTCCAGTTAGCATTTTCTGATTTCTTATGTGGTTGTATTAACCCATATGATATATTTGTGTTTTTGAGTTACGATAATGAATTATATAAAGTTTGATGGATTGATCATAATTTTAGAGTTCAAATATTCAAAAGTCAAACAATGTAAAGGAGGTAGAATCAGATGTGGCATCTTAGTTTGGACTGCTGTAACACAATACAATAGACTGTGGGGCTTAATCAACAAACCTTTATTTCTCAGAGTTCTGGATGCTGGGGGTCCAAAACCAGGGTGTGAGCATGGTCAGGTTCTCAGCGAGGGCCCTCCTCCCGGCCCACAGATGGCCATCTTCTCATTGTATTCTTCTATGAAGGAAAGAAAAATCATTTCTCTCATGTCTTTTCTTATGGAAACTAATTCTATTTATGAGAGCTCCACCCTCATGACCTAATTACCTCCCAAAGGTCTCACCTCTTAATACCATCACTTTGAGGGTTAGGATTTCAACATGTGAACTTTCAGGGGGACACATCCTGTCTATAACATGAGGGTATCATAATATTGGAGCAAAAAATCACAAAAACATGTCCTCTCTGTAGCACTTATTAAGCTGCAAGTATTATCTTCAGGTGTCCTCTGCATTTACTAACTCTGAAATGGGATGTGTTTGGAAAACACATTGCTATTGCTATTGCTATTGCTATTGCTAGGTGCTATGTTGGCATATAGTGTTGCATAGAAAAAAAGTAGGGCTTTGTTCCTTCATTCATCTTTTTATTCATATATGAATGCATGCATACATTCACTAATTATCAAGTGCCTACTGTGTTCTAGGTATTTTACTAAAAAATCTAGAATATGATGAGGAAATTGAGAACACAATATTTTCATATTTTCTTTGAAAAAAGTAGTGAGGAGACAACATAGTGTACTTGAAAAATATACTCAGCCCTCAGTAGTAATATTGATTGTGCAATTAAAATGTCGGGTGTCTTTGGTTAAATTATTTGTGTTTTTTTATTTTAGCTGAGTGATCATAGTTCCTGCTCTATTAGCCATTCATCTGGAGAAACAAATGAGGTAATGAATGCAAGAACATTTGCAGAATACGTATTACAACACAAATGCTCATTATTATCAGGAATAACTTGAAAATGCATGTGGGATTTATGATGTGCTTTTATAATATTTTATCTTGAAGACATCATTATTTTTGAGTTCTTCAGACTTAAGAAATATTATTCTTAAGAATATTACACTTAATAAATATTATTCTTAAGAATGTTAGACTTAAATATTATTCTTAAGAATATTAGACTTAAGAAATATTATACTTAATATTGTACTTAAGAAATATTATTAAGATAGTGTCTTTAAATGACTTTCTTCAGTCGAAGTTTTCCCTCTAGTGGTTGCTGTGGAAATCACAGGAAGATTTTCTAATGCTAAATGTTCAAATGGAAAATAAACACATAAGAATTGAAAAACGAATAGCCAGAATTATTGAGGAAATTCGAGCTAGTGTTTTTTTTTTTTTAAAGACTCTGTAGTTAGATTTTAAAATTATATAACAGCACTCAGTTTCTGAAAATTAGAAAGAAAATTATTTGGTCCTTTTATGGCATCAAATGGATTTTAATGAAGATGATGATTAATATATCTAGGCTTGAAGAAAGCAATAAGAAAGCCACACACACTTCATTTCATCCTATAAATGAAGCATTTTCAAATGCAGGCTCTTAAATGATTTTGCTTTCTTTTTTGATCTGGCTTCCAGTACAGCAGTAATCTCCAGTTTTGGCTTCCTCTCAGGAAGTTGAGCAGAAGTTGTGCGTGAATAAGCATATTTTGGTTTTTCTTAAAGGCACCTTTCTTATAAATCACTCCCCAAATCAGAAACACTGAAATGTGATGGTAGGATAAAGGCATTTTAAAAATCCAAGCCCCAGAATGCTCTACCAGGCCCCAATTGTCTGTCCTCTGCCCACCTCTGTAGCCTGGCATCGTCCTGCCCTGCCCTTGCCCACAGTGCTTGGGCTGCTGCCATCTTTATCCCTCGGACACTCCACAGCTGTGCTTGCGGTTCCCTGTTCTTGACATGCTCTGCCTCACATCGCTGGCTTCTATGGACCACCTGCCTCAAAAACGTCTTCCCTGACCCACCTAGAAAAGTAGGCTTTGACAGTTCATCTTCATCACATCACCCATTTATTCACTCCAGAACTCTTACCATCATCTAAATAGTGTAATTTATTTTCTACTAGTTTTTGTCTGTCTCCCTTAGAAGAATGGAAGCTACATGACACAGAGATTTATGCATCTTTTCATGATTGTGACCCAGACCCTAGAACAGTGCTTCACACAAGGCAGGTGCTTGATATTGGTTGGCACAATGAATAAATGAATGGAAGATGATAGGAACATTAACTAATCAGTGTTATTTGTTTAAAAATTTTCCTGAAACACTCAGTTGTTTTTGGTGCCTTGTCTTAGTTGATACTCAATTTGTAATCTTTGAAATAATTTAACTTCCTCATTAACTTTACATTCGAATGAAGTTTAATTTTTTTAATTTTTATAAATTTATAGATTTTTTATAGATTTAGGGGGTACAAGTACTGTTTTGTTACGTGGATATACTGCATAGTGGTGAAGTCTGGGCTTCTAATGTAACTAGCATCCAAATAGCGTACATTACACATTTAGTCTTCTAAGTCTCCAGTGTCTATTATTTCACTCTCTATGTCCATTACTTATATGTGGGAACTAAGTAATATGCACCCGTATTACTTAGTTATAAGTAATATGCACCCGTATTACTTAGTTGTACGTAATATGCACCCGTATTACTGAGTTGTACGTAATATGCACCCGTATTACTGAGTTGTACGTAATATGCACCCGTATTACTGAGTTGTACGTAATATGCACCCGTATTACTGAGTTGTATGTAATATGCACCCGTATTACTGAGTTGTAAGTAATATGCACCCGTATTACTTAATTATAAGTAATATAACTTACAAGTAATATAAGTTATATTACTTATAACATATATTATAACTTATATTACTTATAAGTTATATTACTTGCAACTTATATAACATGTTTCTTATAAGTTATATTACAACTAAGTAATATGGGTGCGTATTACTTACAACTAAGTAATATGGGTGCGTATTACTTACAACTAAGTAATATGGGTGTGTATTACTTACAACTAAGTAATATGGGTGTGTATTATTTACAACTGAGTAATATGGGTGCGTATTACTTAGTTCCCACTTATAAGTGATACCAGGTGGTATTTATTTCTGTTTCAGATGGGGTTTTAAAAAGTTTTACAATTCTTTATAGAGAAACTCTACTATGGAAACACTAAATTAAATATTTGTTTGTACTAAACAAGAACATGATGCTTGTTCATCTCCTTTAATAAATTCAATTAGATTACACAGCTTATCTAGTGATACGTGCAGTTTCTTATATCTGTACAGTAAGAAGTTATTCCAGAAATTAAGATTGTTTTTCTGAAATTTATATTGTTTCATTCTGCTTTGTTTTCCGTAGTGAGATAATTGCTGTTCACACTCACGTACTTGGCTTCGTCACAGAGTCTTTTCTAGCCTCAATGAATAATTTTTTTTAAAAAACACCCTTTTCTCAAAAGGCTTACTTTTTAAACCTTTAATCAGTTTTGACTGATCTTCTCCTTTGAAACTGCTCTAATTATTTCTCATACCACTTGATGGTTTGGGGACCGAAAAAACAAAAAACAAAAAACAAAAAAATGTACATGAAGACTAATGATTCGAGGTCTCTGAAACTGAGACGTCTGTATTTATGTCTGTTGAAGACTGCAGTCGGTAAAGCCTACAAAACGCATTATTAGGAATAGTGTTGCGCTGGTTTCCTTTGTATTCATGTCTGTTGCCTGCTAATCTGAATTTGTCGTCCATGCCACTAAGAGTCAAGCAGTTTTGCTGAAAATTTGTGGCCAAAAGGCAAAAGCCAGAAACTGTAGATTTCTTACTTGAGTGTTCTGCTCCGTCATTTTCTTCATACAGCCCTATGAAAATGAGGGAGATGTGCAGAGATTGTAATGGTATTCCCCTGATAATACTGTTAAGAGCTGTATGCTCTCCATATGTGGTAATAATCTGTGTCTGTTCTGTCTTGTACGTGTGTGTATATGTTCAAGGAATAATGTATTTTAATCTATGTAAATGAATGATAAGAATTGGAATAAAAATCAGTATGCATTTTATAGATAGTTCTGTTTATTACAAACACTTAAAAAGAAAGATGAAATGCAGCTTATCCCTGACTTACTCGGGCTGTTTCCTTTTGCACTCATGCTTTCCTGCTCTCGTTACCATAGTTACTGGTTTAATCATGATGCACAGAACAATTTCTAATTACAGTATATGCCAGCACAAAAATTAATTCTTTGCATATCTTAGGCCACAAACAGCTTGTAGCTTGTTTTTTGGCACTTTATTACCACATATAATGAAAAAGACATTGGTACATAATTTTAAATCTATTATTGTCTGCTACTTGTTATCGAAATGAAAATAAGCTTCTAGAAATGGTTAAATTTCTGAACATTGCTCTCAAGACTAAACCAGGAAGAAGTCAAATCCATGAATAGACCAATAACAAGTTCTGAAATTGAGGCAGTAATTAATAGCCTGCCAACCAAAAAAAGCCCAGGACCAGACAGATTCATATCCGAATTCTACCAGAGGTACAAAGAGGAGCTGGTACCATTCTTTCTAAAACTGTTCCAAACAATAGAAAAAGAGGGACTCCTCTCTAACTCATTTTATGAGGCCGGCATCATCCTCGTACCAAAACCTGGCAGAGACACAACAAACAAAGAAAATCTCAGGCCAATATCCCTGATGAACATCGATGCGAAAACCCTCAATAAAATACTGGCAAACCGAATCCAGCAGCACATCAAAAAGCTTATCCACCACAATCACATTGGCTTCATCCCTGGGATGTAAGGCTGGTTAAACATATGCAAATCAATACACATCATCCATCACATAAACAGAACCAATGACAAAAACCACATGATTATCTCAATGGATGCAGAAAAGGCCTTCGATAAAATTCAACATCTCTTCATGCTAAAATCTTTGAATAAACTAGATACTGATGGAATGTATCTCAAAATAATAAGAGCTACTTATGAGAAACTCACAGCCAATATCATTCTGAATGGGCAAAAGCTGGAAGCATTCCCTTTGAAAACCGGCACAAGACAGGCATATCCTCTCACACCACTCCTATTCAAGAATAGTATTGGAAGTTCTGGCCAGGGCAATCAGGTAAGAGAAAGAAATAAAAGGTATTCAAATAGGAATAGAGGAAGTCAAATTGTCTCTTTGCAGATGACATGATTGCATATTTAGAAAACCCCATTGTCTCAGCCCAAATCTCCTTAAGCTGATAAGCAACTTCAGCAAAGTCTCAGGATACAAAATCAATGTACAAAAATCACAAGCATTCATATACACCAATGACAGACAAACAGAGAGCCAAATCATGAGTGAGCTCCCATTCACAATTGCTACAAAGAGAATACAATACCTAGGAATACAGCTTACAAGGGATGTGAAGAAGCTCTTTAAGGAGAACTACAAACCACTTCTCAAGGAAATAAGAGAGGACACAAACAAATGGAAAAACACTCCATGTTAATGGATAGGAAGAATCTATATAGTGAAAATGGCCAAACTGCCCAAAGTAATTTATAGATTCAATGCTATCTCCATCAAGATACCATTAACTTTCTTCACAGAATTAGAAAAAAAAACTACTTTAAATTTCATATAGTACAAAAAAAGAACCTGTACAGCCAAGACAATCCTAAGCAAAAAGATCAAAGCTGGAGGCATCACGCTACCTGACTTCAAACTATACTACAAGGCTACAGTAACCAAAATAGCATGGTACTGGTACCAAAACAGATATATAGACCAACGGAACAGAACAGAGCCCTCAGAAATAACGCCACACTTCTACAACCATCTGATCTTTGAAAAACCTGACAAAAAACAAGCAATGGGGAGTGGATTCCCTATTTAATAAATGGTGTTGGGAAAACTGGCTAGCCATACGCAGAAAACTGAAACTGGACCCCTTCCTTACACCTTATACAAAAATTAACTGAAGATGGATTAAAGACTTAAACATAAGACCTAAAACCTCAAGAACTCTAGAAGAAAACCTAGGCAATACCATTCAGGACATAGGCATGGGCAAATACTTCATGACTAAAACACCAAAAGCAATGGCAACAAAAGCCAAAACTGGCAAATGGGAGCTAATTAAACTAAAGAGCTTCTGCACAGCAAAAGAAACTATCATCAGAGTGAACAGGCAACCTACAGAATGGGAGAAAATTTTTGCCATCTCTCCATCTGACAAAGGAATAATATCCAGAATCTACAAGGAACTGAAACAAATTTAGAAGAAAAAAACAACCCCATCAAAAAGTGGGTAAAGGATAAGAACATACACTTCTCAAAAGAAGACATTTATGTGGCCAACAAACATATTTAAAAAAGCTCATCATCACTGGTCATTAGAGAAATGCAAATCAAAACCACAATGAGATACCATCTCACGCCAGTTAGAATGGTGATCATTAAAATGTCAGGAAACAACAGATGCTGGAGAAGATGTGGAGAAATAGAAACACTTTTACATTGTTGTTGGGAGTGTAAATTAGTTCAACCGTTGTGGAAGACAGTGTGGCAATTCCTCTAGGATCTAGAACCAGAAATACCTTTGACCCAGAAATCCCATTACTGGGTATATACCCAAAGGATTATAAATCATTCTTCTATAAACATGCACACGTATGTTTATTGCCGCACTGTTCACAATAGCAAAGACTTGGAACCAACCCAAATGCCCATCAGTGACAGACTGGATAAAGAAAATGTGGCACATGTACACCATTGAATACTATGCAGCCATAAAAAAGATGAGTTCATGTCCTTTGCAGGGACATGGATGAAACCATCATTCTCAGCAAACTAACACAGGAACAGAAAACCAAACACTGCATGTTCTCACTCATAAGGGGGAATTGAACAATGAGAACACATGGACACAGAGAGGGGAACATCACACACCAGGGCCTGTTGCGGGAGGTGGTGGGGTTAGGGGAGGGATAGCATTTGGAGAAATACCTAATGTAGATGACAGGTTGATGGGTGCAGCAAACCACCATGGCATGTGTATACCTATGTGACAAACCTGCATGTTCTACACATGTATCACAGAACTTAAAGTATAATTTTTTTAAAAAAGAAAATAAGCTTCTAAAGTGGATTGATGTTAAAATAACTAATAAATTTTTTTTAAAAGATGAAGGCTTATTACAAATGAGACGTCTCTAGTATTATCCCTAACATATTAATTAATATGCATTTAACAATTTTTTCTCTCCAAAAACATTATTAAAATGATGTTCATTATTTAGAAACCGAAATTGTTAGATTTCTGTGACTAAGCAGTTGAGCCAGAAACCAGTATTTGAGCACTCACATTTTCCAAACTATGGATAAAATAAACATTAAAATTCCCTGTGTTGAAAGTCTGAAGAATCTTTTATATCACTTAGTAAAAAACAGTATTTCTTAATGTTTGTTAAGCTCCTGTACGCCAGGGACACTAGTAATTTCTCCCAACATCCTGCCATGAAATGGAAGACCAGCCAGAGTTTAATCTGGCTTTTTAGCTCCTATTTCAGTATTTCTAACTTAACTGTGCCAACGTAGTTAAAGAAGATATACCTGGGCACAGTGGCTCACGCCTGTAATCCCAGCACTTTGGGAAGCTGAGGCTGGCGGATCACAAGGTCAAGAGTTCGAGACTAGCCTGGCCAACATGGGCAAACCCTGTCTCTACTAAGAATACAAAAATTAGCTGGGTGTGGTGGCATGTGCCTGTAATCCCATCTACTCAGGAGGCTGAGGCAGGAGAATCGCTTGAATCTAGGAGGCGGAGGTTGCAGTGAGCCGAGATCGCACCACTGCACTCTCCAGCCTGGGCGACAGAGTGACACTCCATCTCGGGGGGACGTGGGAGAAGAAATAAAGAAGATATAAAAAATGTTATAGGTATTTCTATTCACTTTTACTATAATTTCATAGCAGAGCAGCTGTTATAAATGAAATATCAACAAATTTTTAATCAACAATAGAACTTTTAGAGTATTAGAAATTTTTAAACTTTTCTTTGCATTTTGATTAATATGATAGTGCTATTATTACTATTCTTAAATAAAATATATTTTACTATCTTTCTGCCTAAGTAAAATATTTGATAATAAACTAAAAAATGCATTATTTTTCTCATAAAATTACAGTATAACACTTCCCAAACCTATAGGTAAGTTTTCTGTGAGACTGTTAAAAGTAATTTTTATTGTAGATTGTTGTGATGCTGCTCCCAAACATATCTGAATCATATTTACGTTGGCTAACATGAGAAGATACACACATTTTCAAAAAGAATCAATGTACGGTGCTTTTATGACTCCCCTGACTCCAAGTCACCTTACCTATTTTATTATTGCTAGTCTACCAGGCATTTTTAATTTCATTGGTAAAACCAGTCCTGATACAAAATATATTTGTATTATAAAATAATAAATGAACTACTGCATCACTATTTAATCACTATTTATGTTTCTCTGTTTCTTCCTTAACTGGCATGTTAAGATCTTCATGGCATGTATGCATTTTCTCAGAAATATTATATGTAGTCTGGAACCAGGCGCTATGGTTCTATTTGTGCTTATGGAAAAACTTATGATTGCCAAATGTCAGGTTTTTTTTTTTGCTTATTAAGAGTGAAGCAGATAAATGCAAAATAAAAACTTGAAAAATTTCCTGCTATTAGGATTTAACTTTTTCTTGTTGCTTCTGTTGAAAGTCATCATATCCTAGTTCTAGGTCACCATATACATTCATTCATATGTAGTTTATTACAAAATACATTTTAACTTCTAGCTGAATTTTCTTCTGACTTTTTCCATCTGGTAGGCTTATATTACAGTTAATGGACACATATAATGGTTATATTATGTTGTTAACTGAAACAGCTATAAAATTAGTGAACTATTTAATTGCCATTTAAATTGGTGAAGAGTGGCCTCTCTTTAATTGGGGAAGATGTATTTATTGGATTTTTATTTAGTACTTTTAACTTGTCTGGCAGCAAATGTAAATCAGCCAGGAAAGCATAATTCTATTAAATGTAGCTGTACTGCTTTAAGAGATACAAAAATCTCTTAATTCAGATAACAGATTTTACATCAGGAAGTGTACAGATTACTAAATTATTCACAGTTCTAAATACTCCAGGAATGAAACTGTAGACAAAGATTTGAAGACTGCTACACGAGCTTGCCTATTGTTTTACCCCCTCAGGGCTCTTTGGCCCTGCAGCAGCTGAGTAGTATTTATTGTATTTGCTGGAACAATACTGGGTCTTCCTTGCATTCATTCTGAATTCAAACTCTAGTCCAGAGGGGTGATCGATATAATTTAGACTTCTATGCAGATACCCTTAATTGGCAATTATAAACAGGATTCACATCTTTAGGTATGGCATATTTCAAAACCAGTTTTCACCCTTTTTTGTTTATTTATATTTAGCATTATTCTTTTGGTTACTAGATAGCATTTAAATTACAGAATGAATTAAGGAAAAGATTGATTATGGATTTTGGCAAAAGCTGTAACACTGTTTGGTGAAACCTTAGAATGTAATTTGTTTCTAAAATCACAGTTGACTTTAGTCTTTTTCCCATTTCTTATTGATACATAATATTTTACATATTTATGAGGTATATGTGTTTGTTCCATGCATAGAATGTGTAATGATAAAGCCAGTAAAGCCAGGGTACTTGGAATATCTATCACCTTGAGTATTTGTCATTTCTTTTTTTTTTTTGGTTTTACTTTAAAAAAATTTTTATTTTACTTTAAGTATCTGACAGAGGTCTAATACCCAGAATCTACAATCTGTTATTATGTATCCTTACATAATTAAGGATTATGTACAAGAAATAAACAAATTTACAAGAAAAAAACAACCCCACCAAAAAGTGGGTGAAGGATATGAACAGACACTTCTCAAAAGAAGACATTTATGCAGCCCACAAACAGAAAAAAAAGCTCATCATCACTGGTCATTAGAGAAATGCAAATCAAAACCACAATGAGATACCATCTGAAGCCAGTTAGAATGGCGATCATTAAAAAGTCAGGAAACAACAGATGCTGGCGCGGCTGTGGAGAAACAGGAACGCTTTTACACTGTTGGTGGGAGTGTAATTAATTCAACCATTGTGGAAGACAGTGTGGCAATTCCTCAAGGATCTAGAACCAGAAATACCATTTGACTCAGCAATACCATTATGGAGTATTTGTTATTTCTATGTGTTGGGAATATTTCAAATCCTCTCTTTTAGTTACTTTGACATGTACAAAATATTATTGCTATGTATAGTCACCCTATTCTGCTATCAAACATTAGAACTTATTTCTTTTCTTTATGTTTGTACCTATTGACCAATGTCAAAATCATTTTAATAATGTAATAAATTATTTATCTAAAAAATATTGAGAGTGAGCCTAAGATATAGAAAGTTAACACTCAAACTCTATGTAATCCATTCACTTGAGGTCACGTCCATATAAATAACTGACTATCAACTTTAGAATTAAATAGGGTGGTAGAAAGTCACCTCACTAGCCTAATTACATTATTTTATTTCAGCTTTTGATCTAAGTGGCACTTGTAATTTAGGTGCTTTTTGTTTTCATTGTAAAAATGGACTATTCATTTAGCTTAATTTTGCTCTCAACTTTGTGTTTTTACTTTAATATTTTTCTAATAGCCAGATCTTTTTTATATTTTAATTTAAATTAATTTTAAATTCAACATTGTGAATGCAACTTGTTTAAAAAATTCAAGTAAATATATAAAATAGAATAGTCTCCTTCATATCCTTACAACATTTCACCTCTCCCATTGTACTCTCCAACCCATAGGTGATCACTGTTTTCAACATGCTGGATACTTTAAGGTTTCATTCTATTTATTCATTGACTTGTTCATTCATTAATCAAACATTTTAAGTACTATGTTTCATGCAGAGTATCAGCTCCATTTGTACATGTCGGAAACTTTTGTATACTTTTATGACATGAATTGAGTCACACTATGCAGCTTGTTCTGTAACTTAGTTTTAGATTTATATTTTCAGTAAGTTTTTTCATAGAGGTACATATTGATAGAACTAATTTGCATCTTAAATGCGTTAAAGTGCATTAAAGACTGCATAGACAACATAATATGTATGTAAACTAGTGTATTTAATTGAGGGGCATTTGAGTTGATTCCTTTTAATTTACTATTTACAAAGAATGCTACAATGAAAAGTTTGCCCTTGAATGCACATATGTCAGTATTTCCATAGAGTAAGTAGACTTCTAAAAGTGAAATTTCTAAGTCAAAGAAGAAGCACATTAATAATTTTAATATTTTGATAAATTGCCATCTCCCAAAACTACTCCCATTTTTAATTCTAATAAAAGAAATAGTGGTTTCTGTTGTCTGTACCCTTGAAAGTGCTGGAAAACATCAATCTTATTTATAGGTATCTGAGGAAAAGATATAATTTACATTTGTTTTAATTTTGATGTGATCTTCCATCTCTCTAAACTCCACAATAGTCAAGATGAAGGAAAAATTTTCACATATTACTGGACATTTTTATTTTTTGTGACTTCTTTGTTTATATTGTTTCCTTATTTTATTATTTACTTACTTGCCTTTTTATTATTTATTTTTAAGAGTTCTAAATATATTATGGATATGAACCCCCCACTACAATTTACCACGTAGTTTCTCTGAGTCTTGTGCTTATCTTTTAGCTTTATGGTATTTTTACTCTACAGATGCTTTACGTTTTTATGGGTTTTTTTTCTTCAATTTTTAAAAAGTATTGCTTCTGGTTTGATATCTTGTTAGGTTATACTTACATATCTTGACATTCTGAAATATTCTTTTATAAATGTTGCTAAATCTCTTAAGTGTGCTTTAACATTTAGTTATTTATTTATGAATTCATAAAATACCTATTGAATGCCTGCAGGCTGCTAGGATTTGTGTCAGATGCAATGTAGAGCAATCCCAACTGCTCTCTGGGTAACTATGTTCTAGTGGGCTAAAGGACTGGCATCACATATGCAGTTTAATGCATGTAGTTACACATTGAGGAAAGTGCAATGAAGGAAAGGTATGCCTGGAAATTATTTTAATTTTATTATATAACAGGAATGTATAGTTTTTTTTTTTTTTTTTTTTTTTTTTTTTTGGAGACAGAGTCTCGCTGTGTCGCCCAGGCTGGAGTGCAGTGGCGCGATCTTGGCTCACTGCAAGCTCTGCCTCCCGGGTTTACGCCATTCTCCTGCCTCAGCCTCCCGAGTAGCTGGAACTACAGGCGCCCGCCACCAAGCCCAGCTAATTTTTTGTAATTTTTAGTAGAGACGGGGTTTCACCGTGTTAGCCAGGATGGTCTCGATCACCTGACCTCATGATCCACCCCCCTCGGCCTCCCAAAGTGCTGGGATTACAGGCGTGAGCCACCGTGCCCGGCCGTTTTTTAATTTTTTTTATTTTTTTTTACTAAATATTTAGTCATTATATTCTATTCAAGTTATTGCATAGTGTTTCATGGTTCATTGATTTTAAAACTCAAACAATTGCTGTAACAAATTAACATCTTTCTTAATTTTATTAAATCAATATCCCCTCTCCTTGCACTTTTTGATTATTATTCTTTGGCAGTCTAGAACACTTACTCTTGAACATCCACTATAAATTTGCTTGTTATGTTTTACAAAACTTATAAAATTATAAAATTTTTATTGGGGTTATATTGAATTGATAGATTAACTAGGGGAGAACTGATATCTTTATATTAATGAGTCCTTGAATTCAGGAATATGATATTTATTCAAATCATTTTATTCCTTGTATTAAATATATTTTCTCTTTTGTATTTTTCTTCATAAGGAATATATTTGATTTTAGTATGTTGGTATTGAAAATGGGGATTTTTTTAAATTCTAATTTTTCTGAGTATTTCTTTTGTTCCAGTAGTGGTTTTAGAAATCTAAGTCTTTTAATGGGTTAGAGGTGGCAGTAGAGAAAGCACAGAATATTCAGCTGGGCAGGACTTCTTTACTATTTTTGGGTAACTTCTTTTTTGGACATTGACAGTCTGTACTTTTGGCTGCTGTAAATTTCCTTAAACAGTGTCCTGCCTCTCTTTCCTCAAAGTTGAGTGAGAAGTTCCTGACAGCTGAGATAACCAAATTCAATGGGTCTAAGGGACCTGCCACCTAAGAGTTCAGAGGTAGAGAGGTGGGAAGGTGAAGGGAAGGCTCTTTTGAAGCAGTAGAACAGGTAATTCCAGATTGATGAGTCACACTGTCCAAACATCAGGTTTTGCTATTGGAACTCAGAATTAAATCACATTACTGTGCTCTAAAGTGCAATACCTAGAGTAGAGGGTATTTTAGTAATGATATCATCCACATTAAAGTAGTCAAGATATGCATAGGGAATTAAATAAGACTGAGAGATTATTATTCCTTCTTAAATAACAAACAGTTCTTAATATTAACTTTCGAATTCTGTGCTTGGTTGTGACCTTTGAACATAAGGTAGGGATTTGAACAACAATTTAATTTTATCATTATTGTTTTTAAGGATATACATGCTGGCTTAGCTAGTTGTAGGTGGCAATTTCAAAAATGGGGCTACACTTTCAAGCTAACCTAGTCAGTATGAAGCAATTGATTTGTTATACAATTTGTTGTTATGACTGGAGGCATAAATGAGAGCTTCAGCATTATAAATGGAAGGAAAATAAATTAAATGTGATTGTTTTATTACCCTCGCGTTCTGTGAAAGAGTATCTGAAAGCATTTATAGAAAGTTAATTTCTTTTTTATATTTATTTTTATTGAGCTAGTTAATTTCAAACACCCCATAAATTTTAGAACCAAAAACAAACACTGTCACATGCCCTGGAACAAAATACATTTTAGTGTTAGAACATTATCACTCGAAAATTATAGTGCCAACATTTATTGAAATGAATATAGTCTATGTAATTTTTCCTACCTCTTCAGATTTGGGTTATATTTTAGAGTGTTTGAGTCACTAGAACTTCAAATTAATAACTTAAGTAAATGATTTCGTTTTTAACCAGTAGGTAAATTATTTATTTGATGTATATAGGCATGTGGCTAATGTATGGTTTCTGAGATTCATGGCTATAATCCCTTTTCTCTTAAGCGTTAATTGATGAAAGTTGGGGAATCAGTGGTTTACAAAAGACAGTAAATATTTTAAAATTAACATTTAAAGTAGTCGACTTTAAGGAGGAAAAATTTACCCACAATGGAATGCAACCATTTTAAGCATAGCGTTTGATGAATTTTGACAAATGTGAAACCCATGTAATCATCATCATCCCTCAGAAAAACCCTTTTATTCTTTGCTGGTCAATCCACCCCAACCCTCAACTACAGATTGGTTTTGCCTGCTGTAGAATTTAATATAAATGGATGTAACTTTTGATATGTGGTTTCTTTTACTCCGCATAAAGCTTTTGAAATTCATACATGTTATTCTACGTTTTAATAGCCCATTTCTTTTAAAAGATGAAAAGTATCCCATTGTATGTATTCACAGTGTATTTTTCCACTCATCTGTTAATGGACATTTGAGTTGTTTCTATTCTGTGACTTCTATGAATAAAACTTCTGGCCGGGCGCAGTGGCTCACGCCTGTAATCCCAGCACTTTGGGAGGCCGAGGAGGGCGGATCACGAGGTCAGGAGAGCGAGACCATCCTGGCTAGCACGGTGAAACCCTGTCTCCACTAAAAATACAAAAAAAATTAGCCGGGCATGGTGGCGGGCACCTGTAGTCCCAGCTATTCGGGAGGCTGAGGCAGAAGAATGGCATGAACTCGGGAGGCGGAGCTTGCAGTGAGCCAAGATCGTGAAAAAACAAACAAACAAACAAACAAACAAAAACTTCTAAGAACTTCTAAGAACATTACGTGTAAGTCTTTGTGTAGTCATAAATTTTCATTTTTATTCACTATCGACACAGGAGAGGAGTGTAACTGCTAATCATATGGTAAGTCTATGTTTTACTTTTTAAGAAACTGCTGCACTGTTTTCCAAAACTGTATCATTGTACATCCTCAACAGCAGTGTATGAGACTTAGTGTTACTCTAATATCTTCACTTACAGGAAGTGTTGTCAACTTTTGAATTTTAATCATTTTAGAGGGTGTTTAGTGGTATCTCACTCTGGTTTTAATTTGAATTTCTCTGAAGATTGGAGATATTGAGTGTCTTTTTATGAGCTTATTGATCATTTGAAGTATCCCATCCTTTTGCCCATTTTTAATGGAGTTTTTTTTTGAAGTATTCCATCCTTTTGCCCATTTTTAATGGAGTTGTTGGTTTTTTTATGATTAGTATTTGCTTGGTGTATCTTTTCCAATCTTTCACTCTTATTTATTTCTTTATATAAAGACATTTCTTGTACAAAGTATATAGTTGTGTGGTGTTTTTTTATAGACTGACAATTTACATTTTTATTTGTGGTCTTCATGCAATGAATATGACTGTAATTGATAGCATAAGTCCTCCCTCTTGTTTATTTCATGTAGGTCTCATCTATTTTTTCTTTATTATATACTTATCTCCTGACTTTTAGGTTAATTAGGTATTTTTACCATTCTCTTATTTTCTTATCAACCATATTTTATTTTTAGTTTTAGTTTTTTAGTAGTTGCTCCAGAATTCCAAATATTCATTTTATTACAGTCTACCTTCACTTAATATATATCTTCATGTATGATATAAGAACCATAAAACAGTGTTCTTCTATTCTACCTCCTTCTCTTTGTAAAATTGTTACCATGTATTTTCTTTCTATACATGTTATAAATCCAAAATATTTTGCTATTATTTTTGTTTTAAACCACCAATTATCTCATCAATAAATATTTTGAAATGAGAAAATGCCTTTAAGATATTGTCTTAATTTGTTTGTATAGCCATAAAAGAATATTTCGAACTGGGCAATTTATAAAGAATGGAAATTTATTTTCTCGCGGTAACGGAGGATGGAAAGTCCGAGATCAAGGCGCTCACAGGTTTGGTGTCTGGTGAGGGCTGCTCTTTGTTTCCAAGATGGCGCCTTGATGCTCCATCGTCTGGAGGGAAGAAATGCTGAGTCCTCGCCTGGCAGAAGATGGAAGGCAAGAGGGCAGAGCATTGTGTGCAGTCTTGTTTATAAGAGCCTTAATCCCCTTCATGATGGAAGAGCCCTCAGGGTTTAATTACTTCTTAAAGGCCCCGTCTCCTAATACTATAGTACTGGCAACACCTGCATTTTGGAAGGGACACATCCAAACAATAGCAGATATACTTCCATACTTATCATTCCTAGCACTTTTTTCTTTCCTTTTTTTTTCTTTTTTTTTTTTTTTCCTAGAGGCAAGATCTCACTCTGGCTCGCAGGCTGGAGTGCAGTGGCACAATCATAGCTCACTGAAGCCTTGAATTCCTGGGTTCAAGTGATTGGGCTCCTGCCTGAGCTTCCAAAGTAGCTAGGACTACAGGCATGCACCACCATACCTGGCTAATTAATATTTATTTATTATTTTTTGTAGCTGAGGTCTTGTTATGTTGCCCAGACTGGTCCTGAACTCCCAGCCTCAAGTGAACCTCCCATCTTGGCCTCCCAAAATGCTGGGATTATAGGCATAAGCCACCATGTCCAGCCCATTTTTAGTACTTTTTATTCCATTATGTAGACATGCAGATTTGAGTTTATCTACTCTCATTGCATAATTCTGCTATATATATATATATATATGTGTGTGTGTGTGTGTGTGTGTGTGTGTGTGTGTGTGTATATTTTTTAACACATGTCTGTCAGAAATGGACTCTTAAAGCTTTTGTGTATCTGGAAAAGTTTTTATTTTGCCTTGATTCTTTAAATATATGTTTCCCTGGACATAGCATTTGAGATTGACAGTTTTTTTATTTCTTCAACATTTTAAAAATAATGTTTTGTTTTCTCCTGGATTCAACTAATAGTAAAATATAGAGAGAAAAGTACAAGTCATCTGAGTTATCATCTATAATATATTTAGAATTCAAAATATGGGTTTGCTCACTGGCCAAACTTCTACACTGCAAGGCAAAAAGTGTCAAAAAGTGTTTTAGAAAAACCTTTGGTGAATGTAAAATATAGAGAGCATCTGGGAATGTGAGGTTGTAGGATTTAATTTCTGTGGCTTAGACTTTAGT
This sequence comes from Homo sapiens, assembly GCF_000001405.40. Taxonomy (NCBI): domain Eukaryota; kingdom Metazoa; phylum Chordata; class Mammalia; order Primates; family Hominidae; genus Homo; species Homo sapiens. The sequence continues at coordinate 175,931,272 of NC_000004.12, read as the reverse complement.
AGGGTTTATCTAATATTTATTTAATATTTTTCTAGGTCTTAGTTTCTTCATGTGTAAAATGGGCACAATAATAGTTATTATTCATGGGACCACTGCAAAGATTGAGATATGAGAAATAAGTTCTTAGAACTGTGCCTATCTCAATCTCAGTTCCCAGTTAATATTCACTATGATGTTGATGACAGTAATAATGATTACCATACAGAGACACTGTGATTATTAATATCACTTGTTATGTTGCTTTTAAAATTAGATATGATTTCCTGTCTCAAGAATTTGGCACTTTGCTAGGAAGAGCTAAATGCCATCTTCTTAGCAAATCCTAATAATGGATAATTATCCTAAATAATAGATAATTAATTTATGTACATGTTTATGCCAGGTATCGTGTAAATGTCATACATAGTGCCACATAGTTATTTATAAAAATGTCAATGATTTAATAATATATTGTGCCAAAATTATGTAATATTAACTGAGAAGAAATAAAATCTGTGTTTAGAAAACAATTATATTGCCTTCACTGTTTGGTATGTGGGAAGAAAGGAATGCTCATTTTATCTGCAGGAAAAATGCCAGGATTCTTGATAGAAGTCTTCAAATTATTTGAATAGCTTTTATCCTTAAGAATTCAAAGGGATTAAAATGAGAATCAGCTTTTGAGGCTCAAAAGAACCTCACCAAGCAAAAAAAGGTTCTTATAAAACTGAAATTCAGAGTTGAGTATAATTGTCTAAATTTAGCTTGTGAAATGCATAAAATAAGCTGTATAATACCCAAAATGCTCCTTAGAAAGATGAGTTCATGTTGAAACTTAAAAAAAACAACAACAAAAAAACCCCCCCCCAAAAAACAGATGAAAAGCCTCTAAAGATTTTTTTTTTAAGTTTAAGCTTATGTTATGCTTTTCGTTGTTGCTCTGGTCTCGGCTAAAATTTTTCTCTTTAAAAAGAAGAATATTAACATGGAAGTAATCTTGACTATAAAATAAACTTCCCTGGCAGTTTTGTTTTGAAACTGCTAATGCTGTTTCCAAGCATTTTCAAAAAGCACAATTTTTACAGAATGTTATTAACGAAAGAAGATGCCTTGTTTGAGAGCGACTTAATGTTATATCTATGTTTGATGACTAACATTATTCATCTCTGGAGCTTGCATGGCATGTCCAATAAAATAAAACAACTGTTGACTGTGTTGAGAACAAAAAGAACCAGAGAAAAGAAAGTTAAGATTAACGATTTTTAGCTTTTCCTTTAGCTATAGGGAATATATAAGTTCTTTGGAGACAGGAATGAGACAGAACTAACTCTTCATATTAAAATATAGTTTGGTTTAAATAGTCCCAAGACAGGTACAAGGCTGTGATGTATCTGAGAGATCATATTTCTTCTACCACTGTTGGATATCTTCATCATCCTCCTTCTTTGTGTGTTTCTATCTCCGAAGGGCTTATCACATTATGCTTTATAATTTAATAGTTTATATACTTCTCCCACTTACTAAACTGAAAGCATCAACATGTTAGGAGTGTTGTTTTGTTTATATTTACACCTATTGGATTAACTAATATGCCCAAAGCCCTGTGTACATTTTTTGAGGGGGAATCATTGACTCATAACAGCATGATCTCATTCTATTTCAAAGGGAAACGTTTGAAGAGTGAAGGAGAGCAGCAAGGATAGATTTAGGAAGGAGTAATATTACACCTGGCAAGTCGTATACATGCCTCATCCAATCAATATGGGTCAGGACAGTTTTACAAATGCAGAACCATATTACTTTATTTGTATTTTAATCACTGAGTTTATCTTTGTTTTACACATCTTTCCACCAGTGGGAATGTATTCTTCAGAGAGTAACAACAGAGCAATAGACCTGTAACAACGGCCCCTATAACTTCCAAAGTACAAAGTACTCCTGGCGTTGAGCATGAACTAATGAGGTTTCATTATGAGGCTTAGTTTTCAAAATATTTTGACTGAGATAGGTGATATCAGGCATATAAGGATGTTCCTTTTTGCTTATGAAAGTGTTTAAATACAGAAAAAAGTAATTAGAGTTCTAAAATTGAAGCCTGCTATTTTGTTCCTTGTCATAGGGCGGTAAACTTAAAATTCACTGGTTTTTCTGAGCTTTTAAAACTTTGTTTCTTTCTTTTACTTCATCACAGCTCTGAATCTATTGAAAGATAATGTGTACTTATTTATTCCACATAAACCTTAGATTTACAGCATGAGGTAGTCTCATCTGAGTTTCTTTTGCATCTGTCACTTAATAAAGTAAGTGTTCCTCAAGATATGAATATTGTTGAAATGTGCTTAAAATGTATTCTCAGACAACTGTATCCATGCAAATTAATCAAGAATATAACCAAGTCTTTTCAGTAGAGCTTCATTACTTTAGTTTTCAGAGTTTAATACTAAGTAGAAATGTCTATGATAAACCTGAGTACTTTGGCCAAACTATACTATAAAACCAAGTAGAGCAAAATGTGATGAATAAAGATTCAACATCTGTTTATATTCTACCTCTTTTGCATATTATAATCTAAACAGAAAAACAAAATAGCCAAAAGTTTCATACTGCGTTTCTTGGTGCATTTTCAGTTCTCTGCACTGCCCACCACATGCCAGCCAGGCCTACTGCAGCGCCCACTTCGTTGGGCAGTAAATATTTTCTTTCTGAAATGACTCTGCAATACACTCCTCTTTTGTGCCAAGCCCTTATGGATGATATTTCAATTTCCATTACTTATTTTTGGCTGGAGAAGTGGTAGTGGAAGTGGGGAGTAATGTTGCAGTCTTATAAGCTTGTAATGCTTGTTATGAAACCATTTAGCCAAGGCACCACGTGTGGACAAGAAAAAGAGAAAACAGCTAGATAATTTTCCCAGGTAAAGGCTTGTATCGCTAGAGCAAGCTTTTCCCACATAGGAAATTTTCCAGACTAATGCCTTTAAAACTGTAATATTTCATTCCATTTATTGCAACATTCTTGTCCTAAGTCTCATCGTGTTAATGAGCAGGTTTATATTATTAGAAGGCATTCTGTAAACATTTTTGCAATAAGTCTTTTCAAGCCTTCAGGATTCATAAAAGAGAAAAATGCTCACTTCCGGACACTTATTTTATAAAGGAAAGTATAAGTGTATGAAAAATAAAAATCTCTTCTGTTTTATTAATCTATTTTCTCTCTAGAAACCACTGCAGTTTCACGTCCTCCTTAAAAAATAAGAATAATTTGCTAAATAACAATGACCCTCTAACTCCAAAACCAGTTAAACTAAAGGCAAGAAGAGTCTTTAACATTTAGAAAAAAAAATCCAGTAGAAAGAAAGAAGGTTCATTAGCATGAGATGAGTTATATCTTTATTCTTTTTTTTCTTTTTGAGACGGAGTCTTGCTCTATGGTCCAGGCTGGAGTTCAGAGGCGTGATCTCAGCTCATTGCAACCTCCGCCTCGCAGGTTCAAGCCATTCTCCCGCCTCAGCCTCCGGAGTAGCTGGGATTACAGGCGTGCACCGCCACGCTCTGCTAATTTTTCTATTTTTTATAGAGATGGTGTTTCACCATGTTGTCCAGGCTCGTCTCGAGCGCCTGACCTCAAGTGATCCACCCACCACGGCCTCCCAAAGTGCTGGGATTACAGGCGTGAGCCACCGTGCCTGGCCGAATTATACCTTCATTCTTAACCAGTACTCTATTAAGTAGAGCTAACTATGAACAAGGCATCCAGTACAGTTTGGGATAAAGCATGAGGATATGTGTTGGGAGACGTAGGTCTAGCTCGGCCACTGCACAACATTGTGCAAGGCCACAGGCCTCAGCTTTCCTTTTCAGGGAATCATACGTCTCTTCTAGCTATTAAAAAAATGCCATAATCTGTATTTAACATGTACTAGCTACTCTTGGACTTCTGTTTATAGTGAAAACACAGCTCACAGTGACTGTGGAAACCACATTCCTTGTCTGTACTTGAACTGTGGTCAGTGAATAGTTCAGTGCTTTCAGAAATGACTGGACATTTCTTAATAGAAAGAATCATTTTCTCAAAGCCGTGTCCTTCCGTCCTAATAGGCAGTGTCAGAAGACAAGCTATACATTTCTTGTGTTGGTCTCCAAACTTAACTTTTTGTGCACTCTATGAGTAAAAACATTTTCCACATGCATATCCAACAGGTGTACACTTATTTTAAATTATACACATTTATGTGGATTATTAAAAATAACAAAAACCAAATTAGAAAAGCATTAGATAAAGTGAACAATATTTTAAATAGTATTTTATTAACAGCATGGGCACCTATTTGGTTTTACTAAAATACTATTGTAAGTACACTTTTAATTGAAAGCGAAGTGACTAAATAAGCTTCTGCATATAGGAATGGTTAAGGCACTGATTTGACGATCTGACTCTACGTTCAATTTATTTTATTATATAGTTATTAAAATCAAAATTAGTACTCTTTCAATTTGCATTTCCCTATGAAAAATAATGTTTTTGAATTGTCAATAATCACTTTCTACATGTTGAGGTTCCTGTAAGCTTAGAGAAAATTTTGCTAAAAGGAACATATTCTTCTAATATTTTCATATTGTAAAATAATAAATATTTCAGCTAAAATATTTTACAAATACTATCTTTGTGCCTTGATTCAGAGTAATTTTCTTGGACAAAAATTTTCAGATTATCATATTAGAAAATTGTCATATTTAAATTTGTCAAAACTTGATTATTTTGTCAAATTTCAACACCATGTAATTGTAGGTCATCTCAATGTTATTTTAATCTTATACAGAGTATAAAATTATCCAGTGAAAAACATAAGCCCTATTGAAAGATTCTTCCCACAATCCAATATATTTCTAAATACAGAGAATTTAAATATTAAATCTTAAGGCACATTTGATCTTCCAATTTCCTTGATCTTATGCGTGTTTTTCTGTTCTAGCCTATTCCTAGTAATTGCAATTGACCCCAAACTGTAAAAGCCAGTGTATTTTTTGGCATTCCTTTTATTGGATACTTTGAATAAACATTTGCCAGTGTTTTTGAATGTTGTTAATTTTTTAGTGTTTCCATGTTTTAAATGTGTTTGAATTTAAAATATAGAGAATTTGTGGCCAGGCACGGTGGCTCACGTCTGTAATCCCAACACTTTGGGAGGCCAAGGCGGGCAGATCATTTGAAGTCAGGAGTTTGAGACCAGCCTGGCCAATAAGGCAAAACTCCATCTCTTCTACAAATATAAACATTAGCTGGGTGTGGTGGCAGGCACCTTTAATTCCAGCTGCTTGGGAGGCTGGGGCAGGAGAATTGCTTGAACCTGGAAGGCAGAGGTTACAGTGAGCTGACCTCACGCCATTGCACTTCAGCCTGGATGACAGAATGAGACTCTCTCTCAAAGAAAAAAAAAAAAAAAGAAAAGAAAAGAAAAAAAAGAGAATCTGGGTATAAATACATACACATACACATTTGTAAATTTTGACAACTACAGCTGTATTTTGATTACTACAATATTAGTACAATATTGAAACTAGAAACTAGTTTGGATGCAGTTATGAATTCTAATTCATCTCAGCCACTTCCAAATACATGTATTAAGAACATTGATTTTATTCCAAAGCTATACTACAATAAGACTTGTATTCACATTATCACCATAAAAGCAAATAATTTTTTGTCGATGAACATTTTAACTACATTTACGATAGTGTTTACCATTATATCACGTTTCAGTTTCAGCAGAATGAGCTTGTAAGAGCTTTATTTTAAATATGTAAATTAGATTTAAAATTCAAATCATTTTAAGAATTAAATTTAACTAATTTTCTATTTTTATTTCTATGCTTCTACTTGAAGCATTTATGACACAGGATTATTTAACTGCTTTTGAAGATCATTTGCTAAATGGAAGTAACAAATTTATAGCTCTTCGTATGTTCACAAGAAAACTTGGAATAGAATAATGCATAAAATTAATCTAGAAGTCAGGCACTTGATGTAAATGCAAAGTCGCACTCCACAGAGTGATGTGTAAACACCCATTTCCAGTTTCACATCGTAAATCATTGTATTCCGTTACCATCTTCATAATATAACTGCCAGACTTTTAAAAAGTTGCTGATTCTTCCTCAGTGGTTGTGTGTTTCTGATTTTCATGTGATCAGGTATAGTAATTATTATGATCCCTGGTTGACAAACACTTTGAAAACTTACATATTCATTATTAATTTCTCTCAGATGATAAATGGAAGTGTGGTATTAATATTTTCATTAAACATGAACTTAAGAACTAATGTTCTTTACAAAATTAAAAAGCTTTCCCAAAATAAATTGTATAAATAATTGTAGATTTGCACCACACAATAAATGACAAAACCACTGTAGCACAAGTATTTCAGACTTCTCTCTTTTTTTTTTTTTTTTTTTTGAGACAGATTTTCACTCTGTTGCCTAGGCTGGAGTGCAGTAGTGTTATCTCCACTCACTGCAAACTCTGCCTCCTAGGTTCAAGTGATTCTCCTGCCTCAGCCTCCCAAGTAGCTGGAATTACAGGCGTGGGTCACCATGACTGACTAATTTTTGTATTTTTAGTAGAGACGGGGTTTTGCCATTTTGGCCAGGCTGGTCTCGAACCCCTGACCTCAGGTGATCCGTGTGCCTCGGCCTCCCAAAGTACTGGGATTACAGGCTTGAGCCATCCCACTTGGCCTCAGGCTTCTCTTGATTCGTTCTCAGGCAGAAGCACTCAGCCTTGATTTCCCTCATATATTTCATATACACCTCACCTATCCTTTCCCATATTCCTTACTTATCTCTCTGACTAGTGGCCTGTCTGCTGTGTTCCTTTCGCAGTCTTTAGCAAGGGCCACAGCACCTTTGGGGGTTACAATGTGTGGTCGGAATGGCAGGAGCATCAAAGCATTCTCTCACTGCCACTTTGGTCTGTTCCTAGAAAATGGTGTCCGGTGTAATTCTTTTTGTCTTTAATTATACTGCCTGCTGTTTCTGTAAGGTGATTTGAGTAATATTTCATTTGGCGAACGTCAGCAATAAAGACAGGTCACTGCTAACCTTTAGATTTAAGCATGTGTTAAAATGAGAGCTCTAATTGTTGCATAAGATTCCCACACGCTACTAATATGGTCGTGTCAGAAACAGGAAGCAGGAAGTAGAAAGTAGAGAGCTACCAAATGCATCTTTGCTTATTTGAGTGCAACTATTAATAATGATTATTTATTTGAAAGGAAATACCTAGGACAAATACTCGAATAGGACTATTCTAGGCAAACCTAGATGATCCCAGGCAAATCAGGAATGATGACCATTTTTACTCTTCATGCTTGTTGTCTTATGATATCAAGATGGCTGAGGCAATGCCAGCCATGAGGACTTGATTCAAAAGCAGAAAGATGAGATTGGGCATGATGGCTCACAGCTGTAATCCCAGCACTTTGGGAGGCTGAGGCAGGAGGATCTCTTGAGCTCAGGAGTTGGATACCAGCCTGAGCAACATGATGAGACCCTGTGTCTACAAAAAATACAAAAATTAGCTGGGCATGGTGGTGCATGCCTGTGGTCTCAGCTACTTGGGAGGCTGAGGTGGGAGGATGACTTGAGCATGGGAGGCAGAGGCTGCAGTGAGCCAAGCTCACGCCACTGCACTCCAGCCTGGGCAAGAGAGCCCGATCTTGTCTTAAAAACAAACAAACAACAACAAAAAAACACAAAGCAACAAAAAAAACCCCAAAACTGCAGGAAGGTGAGCATGGAGTATTGGAGGCTTGGAACCTTCCCCTCCATCACCGACTTCTGCTCACACTTCATCTGCTGATGAGGCAGGTATATGCTTGCCTCTCACTATTCAATGTGTGTTACTTTCCCAGGTATCTCGTAGCCAGAACTTGAACTCTAAATTCAATGTGCTCATACACATTCCCATGGCTCTCTACCTTTGCAGTAAAATATTCTTCTAAAGAAAAAACACTCTCAAGTTGTTAATCTTTTCACTTGTATGTTGTGTATATATATATATATATATATATATATATATAAATCATGTTATGAAATGTCAGGGACTATAAAGATTGTCTTTGACAAAGTTTGTAATAACTGTTTAACCTATACCTTAGCAAAGATTCAGCATTTATATTTTCTAGAAAAAGATTTATAAATCAATTTTTATATGAATAATATAGTATCTACATATGAAGTCATGTTATTATGATATCCTAGACAAATAACAAGCGTGGATTATATTTTAGTTACCAGTACAGATAAAAATGAGCTACAAGATGTACTGATTAAATTATAGGGCAATTGTAGTGGGCAATGATGTGTTTCTGTTTATAACTGCTAATACAGTATCTCTTTTCATCAGTTAATGAAATGAAGAAAAGATAGGAAAAGAAAAGTTGAAAGCTTTTTCATATTCAATTAAATTTTATGTTAGGTAGATTTAAAATTACCAGTAGCTAGAGATTTTTGCTTTAGAGTTTGTCAGAGTTTTATAATGTAAGTGTTACTGTAAGCCCCAAATAAACTCATCTTTTTCCAGACTTTGACTTCATTCCACTAGAAGGGAAATCAAATGAGCTAGTTTCATCTATGTAGAGATGTTCAAATTGGGCTTCTTGAATTGCTTTCTTCCTTTTATTTCATTATACCACCTTGGAAAAGTTTTCATTTCTCCAATATCAGATTTCTTCTTTTTGGTGTGAGTTTCAGAGCAGAGGTAAGTCTGGAAGCCTTTGGGAACCTTTCCAGTTTGGCTTCTATCTACATACAAGAATAAGGTAATTTGTACTTCCTGACTAATACCTTAGGATCTTTGAGGGCTCTGAGATAATTATGGAGCTGGACTAATATCAGGCTGAAGAGTCCAAGGGAACTTTTAGCATAAAGATGTGGAGGAGGTAAAAATCTATTAATGTGGACTGATTGCTGACATCAGGATACTCAAGAAGACCATTGTGGGACTTATAGGACATTTGGGTATCATTATGTGTTAACAGAAATTCCCTAAACACTGCTTTAGCTTGGAGAGGAAGCTAACATGAATTGAGGGTCTAACATGTGTCAGGTATTTCACATTACCTTTTCTCTTACAATCTTCACATTAACCCTTCACATTAATCCTGATGTATTAGAAGCTCCATTTTACATAAGCATATTTTACCCCACATTATGAATCATGTAAGTATTAGGTAGGCAAGCAGGATTTAAGCTCATCTCTCTTGGTCTTCAAGGCTTGTGTTCAGTTACCACACAAACTGGGTCTTCTATTACTCCCTGAGAAGCAGATTACCCTCCCATTCTAGTTCTAGTGACCTGGATTATTGCCCAAGAGAAATGAAGTACTGAAGAAGGACAGCCATCCTATATAGACTTCCTGTACCAGCTGTATAAGGCTAATATAATTTGTGTTGCCATTTTTGTTAGCTGTTTTTGGAAATATGGTACACTCCAATAAGTAAATGTAAAATTCCACTCCAAAAACAAAGGCAAGAAAGCTAGTGCAGCAAACAAGGTGATGGCTCATGGTCAGGATTTGAATACTTTCTGTGGTGTAAAATACATCTCACTCTATTCTTGCATACAAAACTGGATTTTCAAAATGCATTAAATTTACTGAATAAACAAAATGAAGGCATAATTCTATTTTTTCCTAGGAATTATTTGATGCCTTTGCTATTTCATCTTATTTAGCAGGTTATGATTATGTAATCTTATTTATATTTCATTTTTTTTCTTTGGGAATGATGGTCCATGATTTTTTTTTGGCAGGATCATGCGTGGATTTACTTAAAGACTCTGATTAAAATACTGAAATTCTCTATCCATATATGAACAAAATTATGTTTCCACTGTCTTTTTCAGTGCTCTAATGAATTGGAAAAAGTGCATACAGAGTGTATAAGAAGCAAAGCCAAATTTGACATTTAAGTGAATTTGAGATTAAGTGATTGAGATGGAATATTATTTTTTGAGATTAGATAATTGAAGATTGGAGATGATTTTTTTTAAATAGATCACACTGAATATTAAAAAGGAAGATTCTGAATCTTTTGTTATTGAAAGTTATTAATAATTAAGTTGACACTATAAAGATTTCAGTGTTAAAATTAAGTTGACATTATAAAGATTTCAGTGTGAAATTCCAAGTAATGTGAAATATCACATTAAACATATAAACAGATTGGTTAAAGATAATCCTAATTTTCTTCATGATGGAAATTATTTTCTTATTTATAAATATACTACTACTATTGGAGTTATGTTTCCTCATCTATTGTAGAAGCATATGCTTTGACAATGTTCTGATGCAAGAACATATTTATAATTGATCACACATGTCAATATAATTCAATAAAGAGCAATAATATTTCAGAGACTTTTAGAGTATATTCAAAGCATTTTTTTTTTTTTTGAGACAGATTCTCGCTCTGTTGCCCAGGCTGGAGTGCAGTGGCACAAGTGAGCCACCACCGCCTCCCGGGTTCAAGTGATTCTCCTGCCTCAGCCGCCTGAGTAGCTAGGATTACAGGCACGCACCACCGCACCTGGCTAGTTTTTTGCATTTTTAGTAAAGACGGGGTTTCATCATGTTGCCCAGGCTAGTCTCGAACTCCTGAGCTCAGGCAATCCACCTGCCTCGGCCTCCCAAAGTGCTAGTATTACAGGCATAAGCCACCACGCCCAGCCGTATAATTCTTATGAACAGTAGTTTAAGTATTGTTTCTGTGAACATAGTTTGAACTCAGTAAGTGACTAAATAACCAAATTATATCATCATCTAGATTAACACTACCAGTGATATTAGTTACTAACATTCTTTGAGTGCTTGCTGTATGCATGGAACAGTTCTCAGTTCTTTATTTTTTTGTGTCATTTTATAAGACCATTTTAAAAAGTAATTAACCCTTTTATACTGGTAAGAGAATTAAGCACAAGAGAGGATAAGTGACTTGTTTGGGCTAACACAACTGGTAGCAGAGGTGGGATCAATTAAACATTATGTCCTAAATTCCTGCCAGACATGTAGGATCCCAGTGGCAATAATAATATCAGTAGTAATTAATACTGATTCTATTGTATGTTGCCTTCCTGGAAAGGACAATTTCCCCTTCTGTTCACAAGCATAGAAACACACATACAGACATAAACATACTCACATGCACAATTGATGGCGTAAGCCAAGCTCCATCACCTTTAGAGGTTACTTTCCTTTTATGACCAAAGATGGCCAGACATGAGAAGATAGAAGGAAGAGTCCACTAGAGTAAGATTCTCTTTGCTTCACAACGTCCTTGATGGAAGTCTAGACAGGAGATAATGATTTGAACCATCTTTCACATAGATGGTGCTTTTTAATCTGAAACACATGAGGAAATTTGGGGGGCTACATAGCTATCCATTACAGGGGAGTCCTGAGGCAGCAGTAAGATTTCAGACTGAATTGGATCCCTACTTGGTTATAGTTAGAGCTCCTTGTCCATAACTTGGTCAATAACTGTACCCAGCTTCATCACAGCTTGGGAAATGTGACCATTTAGGAGTGTGTCCAGTTGTAAATGGGAATTCTGTTAATGTGAGAGAGAAGGAGAGAATGGATGTTTGAAAGGAAATTAGCAGTCATGGGCTCACCTATTGACTACTTCTGTTTATTAAAGATGAAAGCTTTGGCCTAATTTTTCTTTATTCACCCTTGCATACTGGTAGTTACAAGCCTGCTGGAAAGTCATTGGCAAACTTCACTGATGGTTTTAATTAAGTAAGGGTAAGTTTTGTTGGTCCAAAAATAAAAAGACCCTCTATTTTTAAGTTAGAAATGTTTATGTAAAAGTGTCAAAAGCTCTTTAAGCTTCTTCTGGCCCATTAATCTTTTTTGGCCGGGGATCTTGCTGGATTAAAAAGGTGAGATCCTGGATTTAAGCAGGTTATGGTGGAGTGAGACCCACAAGTCACCTTTTATGATACACAGAATTTTTAGAAGTACCTCAAAAAAACTCATTATATTTTACTAGACTGCCAGGGACCTCATTTGTGCCAGAAAAGTCATGAGAAGGGGAAAAAAAAGAAAAATCATGAGAAGGGTTGAGTTCTTTTTATAAGTGATGGGCAGCAGTCCTTAATGAGAAGATATTTTAATTAGCTATACAGTTAAATTAAGTGTGCTGAAAGGATACCCTATCTTATCGTAATGATAAAAGGCAATTTTCCCACATTCCCTAGTTTTATATCAATTTATTAGTGAGTTCAGTTTTGTTTCAAAATATAAGACTATAAAACAAGTATATAAAAATCTTTCTCCATATTATTTAAATATATTTTATAAGATAATAAGACAAAAACCAGTAGCTCATAAAAAGTAAAGGATATAAGCAGACAAATCATAAAAGAATGCTGTATAGATGTGATGATAATTCCTTCTTATTAATAACTAGAGACATAAGATAAAACATGTGATATGCTGTTGTTTCACAAATTGTTAAAAGAAATTTAAATATACATTTCTGCATTTCAGACACCCTACTGGAAACACATGTTTTTGACAAAAAGAATTAAGAAACATGATATGCAGTTTTCTTAGGAAACTCCAGCAAACTAAATTAACAGCTTTTCAGCCAAAGATCTTAGACTAAGGAAATGCTATCTTTAGTTCCAAGCATTCTATGGTCTTGCTAAACTGTCTTCCACAGGAAAATGGGAAACAATAATTTAAGATATTTTCCAGAATTCATTTGTAGCTTTTTTTTTTTGTTGTTAAGGACAGGAACTGTATCTGCACCTTCTTGATGAATACTAATTTTTCTTAAAACCTATTGCGATGTTATTTTGTGTGCCTCATTTCTTTTCCCTACTTAAAGATTTTTCTTTTCCAATTCTATTTTTTCTCCTAAAGCCTCTTCCACATGTAACTCAACAGCTGCTGCCCGCTTTATCAGCTCCATTACCTAAGCAAAACTTTACATATCCTTAAAATCTGACAAATTCCTAGCATATATTTTTGTAGTTTCTCCAATGTTTTTTAAAAACATTCATAGCTTGCACATATGGTTATCATCAAGAGTGTCTGAAATATGTCTTCATTATAAAGTTTCTTTTTTTTTCATTTTTCTGTCCATGTTCAATCTCAGGTTTTTAAGTTATGCGTGTAAAATATGCTCTCTATAGAAATTTTCATTGTGGGAATCAAGATTTATATAATATGTTAGGAAAAGAATTATGGTAATTTACTCTTTTATCTTGATGGGATTTATCACTAAAGCAGCTATTTCAGTTACTATTTAAAATGAGATAGACTTTTTAAAAACTGTTTTAAATTTTACTAAATAGGGAACCGGGAAAGAAGGATTCAGTTATTTAAAAATTATTATAATAGTATATAATCTCTTACAAATTACACATTGACTTATAAGGCTACTTAACATTGTTGTCTCTCTAGTGTTTTCTTTAGAAAGCTTTTTTTCTCCTTAAGTTGAGATTTCTTAAGCCATTTGGTATTATTTTTCCATTGTCTTTTTATGTGTTTTTTGCACCGACTCATTCCTCCCACATACCAGATCTCACGCATTTTAACATGTCCATCCTGGATTATTTTGACAACCCCCTCCCCATTTGGTGAATGTTGTATCAAGGAGGATGAATGAAGAGTAATCATCTGTTAGGTGGATTTTTAATAGCCGCCCACACTACTATGGTAACGTACATGGACAGATGTATAATCCAGTCAGCCTGTTTCTGCCTTCTTTGTTCTTGTTAGGTCATATGTTACCTTTTTTTGATAGGAATTCTTTTGCTATCTCAAGCCCTTCGTTTCATTGTTTTGCTTATTTGTTGCTAATATTCCTTTTCTTGCAACATTAAATCAGCAGCAGCATCTGTAGCAGGGTCCTTCAATGCAGGCAAGGGGCAGTGCTTGGGGAAGAAGATGGCTCTTATAAGGAATGTTAAAATGGGGAGAGCATCTGAAATTTCAGGATGCTTAAAGATTAAAAAAAAACAAAACAAAACTGTGATTGTGTGGAGGGAGGAGGGTAAGAAGCTGCCTTGGGACCCATTCGCTTGCTTTACCAAGGTGATGCCTTCTTGCTACCCCCACCCGCTGGAGGAAAGGTAGCAAGGCCAGTGACCTGCTCCAGCCTCCCTGTTCAATGGACTTCTATAGACGGATGATATTTGCCAGGACTTAATCGCATCAGCAGGATCCTTTTAACAGGATATCCTTAGCTAAAAGAATGCTTATAGTAAATCAACCCTGGGTCTATGGATTTAAGAGGTAGGAGAATGCCCATAAACAGCAAAACACTTTGGGGGTATAAAAAGATGTTTCATAACTTAAAAATTCTCTTTTATGTGAATAATAATCTGCAGAACCTCTCCCGCACCTCACCTGTTATTCTTGGCCAGGAAAACTGTGTTTTTAATGTGGAAGGAGGGGCTTGGGGAGTGTCATGGGATCTAGACTTGGTTACCTGAAACGCTTGACTGCTCCTATCCTTGAAAATGTTAGTAAAGCTTGAAACTATGTGAGACCTCTGATTGATTGCATCTGATTCTATAATTAGAAAGTGTGTGTTAGCTCAGATTATTATATTTCCCCCCATAATGTATACACTCTTCAGGCCAGCCTCCTGGGTTATTTTCTCTCACAGGGATGCCCATGGTGTGATACAGAATGAAGGAAATAAAATATAAATTTAGCACTAGTCTCAAGAACTCTGATTCATATGATCTACAGTTAGCATTTTTTAACAAGTTCTCATAACTTCCCTCTGAAACAGTAGGTACAGAAAAAAAAGAAAAACCAAAATTCTAAACTACTGAAAAGCAAAACTTCACATTTTGCTAAAATATGGGATAATTTTGATTTAGCTCCAAAGCTGATGGAATTAAGTAGCTTGTATACGTTAGATCCTTTAATCCACATTTGCCCTTGGCTAAGAGAGTCAGGGGATGCACTAAACAGAAAGGTAGACTTTTGTATTTGTATAGCATGGATGGTATTCTTAAACCCAAGCTCTCCGCTGTATATTGCAACTCACAGAAAACAAATAGGGAAGAAGTGGCATGCGGGAAAGGGAGGGACAGATGTGGTTTCTATCGGGAACCCTGGGGGCCTGCATAGCGGGGACCTGTGAAGACTGTTGTTTTGCATGTGTCTACTTTATATGGTGAGACTATCAGAGAACTTGGCTGTGGAGATAGGAGAATAACACACTTTGATCCAATAAAAACAGGCTGAGTGAGAGAGAATGGTGAGCATGACACATCAGCCTTCCCTTCAGCATTCAATCTGAGAAGGGAGATGGATGGATGACCCAGTCCCCGTGTGCACGCAAGTAGCAGAGGATGACAAATGTAAGGTCCACATGGCTACATTCACATTTGGAGATGCACAAACAACAAAGCAAAACAACAAACCACCAAATAACCAAAGCAACTACCAAGGACAACACAAAAAGACTAACATATCACCAGACAGCGTTGTCTGGTTTCTCATACCCTTTTTTTCCCCATACCCTGAGTATTGCCAGTGAGGTGGATGAAAAATAATATTGTTGTACTGATTTGCATTTATCAAATTGTGCCTAGCTCCTTATATTTTTGTTGATCATTTTTATTACTTCATCTGTGAAATTGCCTGTTTGTCAGTTTTTCTACAGGGTGATTGGTCTTTTTCTTATTGACTTATAGCACTTTGGGAGGCCAAGGAGCAGATCACCTTGAGGTCAGGAGTTCGAGACCAGCTTGGCCAAGATGATGAAACCCTATCTCCATTAAAAACCCTATCTCTATGTAAAAATACAAAAATTAGCCGCATGTGCTGGTGGGTGCCTGTAATCCCAGATACTCAGGAGGCTGAGGCAGGAGAATTGCTTGAACACGGGAGGCAGAGGTTGCAGTGAGCTGAGATCACACCACTGCACTCCAGCCTGGGTGACAGAGCGAGACTCCATGTCAAAAAAAAAAAAAAAATCCTTTTTAATTAAGGAAGGATAGCCTCCTGTCTGGTATAGATGTTACAAATATTTCTCCATAGTTGATTATTTGCCTTTTGGTTTCAGACAAATATTTTAAATTGTAATATGATTAAATTTGTCAGTATTTTCTTTTTTAAATAACATTTGATTTTCATAACTTGCATTATAAGCTTTCTTTACTCAATACTATTGTGGTTTTATTTTGTGTATTTTTCTCTGTCTTTGGGAAAGAAATAACAGTCAAAAAAGCTTTAGAAGGCCAATTTGGCAATATCTTTCAACATTTAAAATCAATATTAATTAAAATTTGTGTAAAAATATTTATTGAGCATGTGCGCTGTGCCAGTCACTTTTCTAGGTTCTTGATTGTTATTGCTTGGGGTGTGTCTTGTGAAAGGAAAATAAAATGTTGGGGCCGCAAACACTATGGCAAAGGGAAACGTTAAGCTTGAAAACTGAGCCATACAAAAAACTACCTTTCCTTTTGTTCTTAAACAGATAGCTGCAAGATAGAAGGCTACGGATCTCCCCAAGTGGCCCCCCCTCGCTCTGACAATGTAAACTAACTGCTTATCTTCACTGGCACTAGACAAGACAAATGCATATTTGACTTCTTTCTTTACCTTATGTTTACTTTATCTTATGTAAAATGCAGATTTGCAGGCGGACGCGGTGGCTCACGCCTGTAATTCCAGCACTTTGGGAGGCCAAGGCGGGCAGATCACTTGAGATCAGGAGTTCCAGAGCAGCCAGGCCAACATGATGAAACCCTGTCTCTACTCAAAATACAAAAATTAACTGGTCGTGGTGGCATGTGCCGGTAGTCCCAGCTACTCAGGAGGCAGAAGCAGGAGAAATCACTTGAACCCGGGAGGCAGAGGTTGCAGTGAGCCGAGATCACACCACTGCACTCCAGCCTGGGCTATAGAGTGAGACTCTGTCTCAAAAACAAAACAAAACAAAACAAAATGCTGATTTGCTGAGCATGAAACAAATGCATGATTGACTGTTCCTTTACCCCGTCTTTCCACATGCAGCATGTGGATTCAGGATTAAGTGAACACTAATCAAAGCCTCACAAAAATGTGACAACTCACCTCACTACATATCCCTACCCCCCCCACACATTTTTTTTTCCTTTTCTCTTTCCCCTCCTGCCCACTTTTTCCTCCCTTAAATGTGGAAGCCCTAAAAACCCTCTTAGGGAAAATGTGGGGCACAAATCCTATGGTGACTTGTGTCTCTGTGGCTTTTTCCTAGGCAGGCCTTCAACCTTGGCAAAATAATCCTCTAAATTGATTGAGACCTGTCTCAGACACTTCTTTGGTTTACAGTCACGTGGAATTGATGATGTCAATGGTGAGAGGGAAGAGTAAAATATGCTTCATAAACAAGGGTTTTTTATATTCTGTTACCAGGTGGTAGGTATGATGGAGAAAGGAAGAAGAGCAGGTGAAGGAAGTTGGTTGGAGAATTCCATGCTATCCGGGTGGGTTTACAATCCTAAATATAGTGGTCAGAGTAGGCCTCATTGAGAAAGTGACGTTTTGGCAAAGGCTTGAAGGAGATGAAGGGATGGGGCAGGGCAAGAGCACCAAGCAAATACAACAGCTCGTGCAAGAATCTTGAGGCAGGAACAGGCCTGGTCTGTTCTAGGAGAAGCAAATTCGCTGATGTGGCCGGATTGAATAGGTGGATGAGTAGTGGGAGATGGGGCTGATGATGTAAGGGTATCAAATCACTCAGCACTTTGGGCTAGTGCAAGGATTGGACTTTCATTCTGAATGAAATGGGAACCTTTGCAGGGTTGTGAGCAAAGGCATGATCAATCTGTTTACATCTTAAAGGATTACCAGCTACTACTTTGGGAAAGGGAGCAAGTTACTGAACAGAAGTACATGACCTTATGTGTATAACACAGTGTCTTTACATAGATGCATTCTTGTTCCATATATAAGTATTAAAACACATGAATATATACGCATAGACACAATTCTTGGAAGACATAGTGGGTGATTCTGTTTGTTTACAAATCATCTTTTTATAGATGTGAATTTTCCTGTAGTAAACACTTGTCTTGAAGGTTCAGATTGTTATTATAAAGCATATGGTCAACTTGAAATGACACCAGAACAATGCATAAAAAGAAATTCAGCAATATATTTTGCACTTATTTGCAATGACATATGTCTATAATCTTACTCATGCAGAAGAGTTAGTAAATTTTCTACAGAAAATGCTAGGAGTTTGTTTCCATTAGAACCAGTTTGCCATATACGTATGTATATATAAAGTAAATTTTAGGGAAAAATGCAATTAAAAAATTATATGGTACTTTAGTAAGGAGAGAAAAGTGTGTTTGCTCTCATTTTATTGATAATGAACATGATAATGATACCTAACATTTATTTATCACCTACAAGGTGACAGGTATTATGCTCTTGCCTTATTTGCATTACCTCATTTAACTCTCACCATCATTCTAGGGTGTAGGTGCAGTATCCACTATCATTGTGAATATGAGGAGATAAGGCTGAGACAGTTGATGTGAATTTCCAGGTAGACAATATGGTCTTTTGAAATCAAACTGGTACTGACACCTTTATTCTTTTTTGTTGTTGTTGTATTTGAGATGGAGTCTCACTCTGTCTCCCAGGCTAGAGTGCAATGGTGTGATCTTGGCTTACTGCAACCTCTGCCTCCCAAGTTCAAGCCATTCTCCTGCCTCAGACTCCCAAGTAGCTGGGACTACAGGCATGCACCACCACATCCAGCTAATTTTTGTATTTTTAGTAGAGACAGTGTTTCACCACGTTGGCCTGGCTGGTCTCGAACTCCTGACCTCAGGTGATCCACCTGCCTCAACCTCCCAAAGTGCTGGGATTACAGGTATGAGCCACCATGCCCAGCAAGACCTTTATGCTTGAACCATGAGTTGATACTCAGAAGTGGTATATAAATCAAATCTTACTACTTTACATAAAAGAGTATTTCTCATCTTCCTTGTATATTGAATACAAATATTTAAACATGTTTAAAAATTGGCTTTGAGGAACTTTTTTGTCCTTATCAAATTAAAAACTTTACTTATTCCCCAAAATTTCATATAAAGTTAATAAAAAATAAACTCAATTTGTTTACTTGTTTATTTTTATTTCTTTTTCCTACTCCTGGCTGGGAGCATTTCCAAACTTCTCTCTCTTTTCTGTATTCCTTTGCTGTGTGAACTTCCCTGTTTCTGCATGGTATCATCTACTTGTTTAGCTTTCAAAATCTGTATAGATATAGCCACAGCTTAGCATAAAACATCAGTTTGTTGTGTTAAAATGACCTCAAATTATGCCTGTCCTGAATAGAATTCATCATCTTTGTCACTCCGTTTCCTGCCCTTCTTGATTTGCTTATTTTTGTCATTTTTTTGACATCTAAACTTGAAAGGGGAGAAAAGTTTACTCACTCTTCTTTCATTTCCTGCAATCACTCACCTTCAGATGTTTGGTCTCTCTTACATATTCCCACTTTTGTCACCATCTTCGTACATATAATCCTAGTTTGGGTTATTACATTATCTGTAAGAACCTTCTAATTAATTTCCCTGCTGTCAGAATATCTCCTGATTTTCAATACAACCAGTTCTTAACTGAACTTATGTTTTCTTAAAGAGTAGTTTTCTTGTGTCACTCATCACTTTTCACCCTAACTACTTTATTGTTCCTCCGTCAATAGAGTTAAAAATCACTTTATTTGGGATACATGGCTTATTATGTCAATGATCTATGCCAATACTCCTATTAAACCTTTTACACAGAGTGCTAAAATGGAAGTTTGAGCTGAAAAGCAGGGGATAATAGCTAACATATTCCAAGGTGTTACTGGGCCTTAAGTAGTATTTTCAAACTAGGGGATGAAAAACCTCTTGCCAATGTTTAGGACATGAAACGTATTATATTTTTGAGATGGAGAGAGGAGTTTTGAGGATTTTTTTAAGTGTATATTTTGTATTATGAGTCTCATTCTCGTCACCCCTTCATCTGCCCCCAAAACTGGTAATAAACCTTTTGTCCAAGTCAAAAGAGAAGGATCCTAACGTCAGCTGAAAAGCTTAATATATGTCCCTATCATTTGGAGGGCTGGATAGACTGGTGTCTAAGACACCTGAGAAATCTAAGTGATTTCTGGCCTAGGCAGCCCAAGATTTGGGAGGTTATTTCACCACCCTGGTTTATCGGGGCATAGGATGTGTAAGCATTTGCAATGGACTGTGTATAAGAGTGAGCCAGCAAGGGTCATAATACATGTTATTTAAGGCTGTCTGAGGGAGAGGTTGGCATGCCAAGACCTCGGGCCAAACCCCATTGCCTCTTTGTAAATTTTGGAGCACAGCCATGCTCATTCATTTATGGATTGCATATGGCTGCTTCGGGCTATAGGAGTAGAGTAGTTGCTACAGAGACCATCTGGCCAATAAAGCCTAAAATATTTATTATCTGGCCTTGTACAGAAAAAGTTGTTGAACTCCGGTTTAGAGAGGTAGGCAGATTTCAGCAGAAAAAGTGTGGAATTATTGTTTGATTTCTTAGGACAGAGAAAGGAGAAAGCAAAATATCTAGAATAGAGAAGCAATCATCCTGATTATGGGAGGTCATGTAGAAGGGTGCTAAAGACAGAAATTTCAGAAGCCTAGTTAATATGAAAAGAGCACACCTGCTTTATATATATTCCATGTCCTGTGGTTATAACACCAGCTCATCATAGTCTCAGTCAAACAGTGCTTGTTGGGCCCCTTTCTTCTTCCTTTCCATTCACCAGCCCAGTAAGGCTGAGAGAGTGAATTATGTACCCGACTAAGAAGAGGAGTAACAGCAGGAGGGGACGAAGAAGATAAGCTGGGAGCACCTGCACCCCTGCCCAGCTTCAAAGCAGGTTCAAAGCTTTTATTATTACATGAGTTTCATCATTTTTATTATTAAAAGGAGATAGTGTTTTGCAACTTGGAGACTTTGAAATTTATGTAGCCTAAGAATAGCCAGAGAAGACATATGGTAGAAACACATTTTTTCAAGGGTCAGGGAAACCAGTGGTGTGCTGTAGCAGAATTCCACTGGCTTGAGAGAGATGGTTGTTAAATATTCAGGAACACTGCGATCCTGTGATTAGCACATCTGTAGCTTGAAATTGGCCACCATGGACATATTTATGCCACAGAAACTGATAAATGCTGCCAATCAGAACTGTTTCCCCCCAGAAAGTCAGGGTCAGCTTACTAGCACACCACTGGACCATAACATGCCCCAGGGACTACTCTGAAACTGTAGTGACAGTGGAAAATAGGTGGGCTTTTTATTATACTCCATGAGCTCTTCATGTTTAATACAAGGGTAGTACTTGGTTTCTCTTTTTTTAATTTATATTTTGATGTCATTCTCACTGTACTGTAAATACACTTATGATTATTTCTCATTAAATATGTTGTTTAACCTGTTTTGTTCAAAGAAATGTTTATCTCTCTCTGTTTGCCCTATGCAAATCCTACCAACTTTTGTGATTCACAATGGACTGTACCTTTTTCTTGAATCTTTTCCAGATTACTGTAGCTTAAATTGAATTCTCGTTATTGCTCTTCCTTTAGTACTTGTGTTTCATTGTGTAAAACCATAAGTAATATGCCACATGGTGTTAAAATGTTTTTGTCCTCTGTGTTTTCACCCTTCACCTATATTGTATGCTGATGGAAGGTAGGAATCACGGCTTCTTTCATTCTTCTATCATGTCAGTTCCATGTTCATAGTTACCATTAAGGAATTTATTTATAAACAAATATATTAATAACAGTTTACTCATGAATAAGTATGGTAAACTTACTCTATATTTACACTGGCATTTCTCTACCTTCCTAGATTATCGGGATGATTAAATCTGATCATACATGTGAAATTTTGAAAAGTATGACTACTTATCCAAATGCGCCAGTTGGAGAAAGGATCTGAAAACATTTGGACTGTCTTAGCAACCGCTGATATGTGTTTGACTAAAGCTAAATTTGCCTTTTTCAGTCAAGGCGCCTCTTTTCTCTGTTATCACATAATCATTGATGACTACTAGCTAATTGGTGATATTTTCTGACCTATCTTTCCCGATAATAAAAGAACTTGTATTAACAGCATTTTTTTTCTTTCAGTTACTATTTCTGAGTTATAGTAAGACCTGATTAAGTTGGTTATGAGCTAGTTGCCCCCCCCCCGCCCTTTTTTTTTTGTCTGCCTCTAGTGGCAAAATGCAGTGATCAGGATAACACAGGGAGCATCCTCGTTCAAGAGCGATGGGAAAACAGAAAATCATTGTGTGCTTTTACGGATAGGGTATATAAGAGAACAAATCAGTAAAGCTAGCTCACTCTCATTTTCTAGTAATTATTCTTGCAAAGACAAAGCCCAATACAATATGAGAAAAACAATCTTTTCTTATATGGTTCATAACAAATTTATTTGAATTGTTTTCACACAGTCTATTTTTAGTTGATGTGAAATAAAGCCTCAGTGATAGTTCTACATAAAAATAGCTTTTAAATTTTTGTTGAAATATCCTTCCTTTGTTGAGATCTTCTTCTTTATCCTTGTAGGAATATAAAGATTCTATTTGCTGGAACCAGCTAAGGCAACTTTCCTATAAAGGCCCCTTTGATGATACAAACTTCTTCTTCCTCAAAGTTTATCCCTAGATCAGGTATCTTTTCTTTTAAACTGTCTTTTTTTTTAACTTTGGAAAACTTGAGGATTTTCAGTCTATGTTTGATAATTTTTGTTTATGTGTTCAAATTAAAGCCAGGGGAATGAGTAACACTAGCCTGTAGAGACTGGTAGGATATTGGCAGTCTTCTAATCAATTTCACTTTGCAGATGAGGATATAGAAGACACAGGGATCTGAAGAATCTAGGCATGTTCAAGGTCAGATAAGTTAGAAATAGACTGCCCCATTCATAGGCATGACATCATTAGTATGTTGGGATTTGTGTATGAGTGGTAATAGGGCATCTGCTGTGGACAAATTATTTAGAATCTCTAGATTGTTTAAAATAGATTGCATTTTAAAAAATTATCACTAGACAAATGGAGACTTGACAGGTTTTCATAAATTACATAGTAATAAGTGATATTATATATAACATGATAACTATGGCCAAATAGTTATTCGTTAATATATTCTTTTTTCTACATTTACTGTTTTTCTCTGCTCACATTCAGTCTTTACATTCACTTATTCCCTGCTTCCTGTTAACCCTAAAAATCCTTTACTATTCAACAGTGTAGGAGACGAAGAATATATTTCCCTTACCCATCGTAGGTTTATGGCTGAGGCCCCTATAACAAAAGACAGAATAAGGAGGAAAAAGCATACGAACTTATTTAATACACCTTTTATGTGACATGGGAGCCTTCATAAGTAAATGAAGACCCAAAGAAATAGATAAACATGTTTATCTTTTATGCTAGGTTTGATGAAGAAGTAAATAGTCATAAAGATTGGATATAAAGTGTGATCTAATAGTAATAAACCAGAAGAAACATAGCAAGCCTGTTGGTTCAGTTTTCTTTCTTTGCCCCTGTGCCTTCAGATAAGAGGATATTCCTTTCTCACCGGAGGGTTTTATGACCTGTTTCAGGACAGAAGGGCAAGAGAAGGTGAGAGTGACTTTCCTGCTTCTGCTGTTTTCGCAAATGCCAAGGTGTCATATTTGGGGGTAGCATGTCCTCAACTCCTATCCACAGTTTTGATTTTTGATGCAGAGGCTGGGACTGACTGTGCATGAATATTGAATAGACTTAGGATTCGTGGAACATCAGAGGACACAGATGTAGATGCAAGCTCATTTGAACTATGTCTAGAAGGTCTGCTACTTCAAACAGATGCGGTTTTGAGACCAGCAATTTAATGAGAGACAAGGAGAGTCTAGGAATAAAGTGGATTTAGTTGGGATTGAGATTGGAAAAGAGCACAATTAAAACTAGAGGACTCTCATGGGAACAAGTAGTCCTCTTGGGTGTATGCATGTGTACGTGAATCTGATTGGAGGTGGAAGAATGGCATGTAGGAGAGAAAAACCAGTGTTCTGAGGCAGCAGGTGTTCTGTAAGACAGACCAGGAAGAGGTAGTAAGGCAGCCAGAAAGCTACCATGGTACACCAGAGAAGCCAAATTATTCTTGAGGTACCCACTGAGCTTGTCAGCTGCAATGGCTAAGAGGTAAGTTGTACTTATGAGTTTTAAGGAGAAATGCTAGCTCTTTTAACTGGAATGGCCACAGGTCATTTGTTCTTGTGGCAGATGGCTGGTCTGCTGTGACTCTGAAGGTAATTTTACCTATTAACAGAATCTGAAAGACAAAACTTGCTTTCAGTGATGTCATAAATGCTCTTCACTTTCATCTATTTCAGTGGCTGATAATGTTCCTTACTTCTGTAGCTGAGATTTCCCAACTTAATTTGGGTTCTCATCAGGGTAGAATTCCATCCAAGTCAATCGCAGCATCTGCACCCACAGCTCTGAGAAGGGAAAGATGTGCTTGGTGGTGGCCCCAAGTTTGCAGTATCGGATTGGACTCATTAGAATTACAAGGAAATGAAATAAAGAAAGGTAAAACTGGATTTCAAAGAGTCTAAGTGTGGCTGCTGTCGTGCGGAGGTGGTGACATGCAGACATGCAAGCTTGGAAGCTATGCAAGAAACAGAGCTGTGTGTCTGAATATCACCATGGTTACGGTCTATAAAAAATAATGAGGAGAGAAAAATAAGAGCACTGGAGTTTGAAGGCTTGTTTTCTAAAATTGGTTTTTATCTATTTGTCTGATAAAAATGAAAAGATCCTGTGGTTTGCATTATCTTGACTAAATCAAAAGCCAAAACCAAATTATAAATTTATCCTTAAGTGCTCACTGCTAAACATTCAAGAATGTTTGTGCTGTCTTTCCCTCCCCTTGACATCATGAATCTTAGGTTTAATGAATCATTGTGAGATATCAAGTCATCCTCTAATCTGATGCTGAGCTACAATCAAAATTCAGTGATGACTTTCTATCTTTCACCCACTACTTCTTAGGCTTGTTGTCACTGATGCAGTGACATCGTTCTTGAATTTCAATGCTTCTTGCATCCAGCTGTGGCCATTGATTCACTCATTGAATTTGATGGTGTTAAGCACAATAAGAAAGATGACTTAATGGGCCTTAAATGTTCACTCTTATTGAAACCATTCTGCAATTTTCATTACCAAGAGAAGTCCCTGCTGCAATGTTATTCTGTTGACTTCCCAAATGCTTCTGGTAAGCAAAGATACAGGGAAATGCGGTCCACACCAGCTGTTTCAATCTAATTGAGAAAGAAACTAAGTGCTGATATTTAGTAAAAGTCTACAAAAATGCTCTTTTTTTCTTAATGACGAAAGGACAAAAGGCATTGCATCTTCACAATTAAAGGAAAGCATGAACATCGGCGGTTTTCCAAAATTAGCATTCTTAGACAATATGAAGACCCGTATTTTTAGATGATTCCTTAATATTAGAAAATATATACTGAAAGGGATCAGAGTATGCCACCCCAAAATATAGCACTTTGGCATAAGGATTATTTTGAGCCGAAGGCAACTGAGAAACAGTAAACATTGAAAAGACTTCTACCCTCCTGTATTTGGCTAAAATCAGGTCATAAATTTCCCTTCGTGAAGGTGCCCCACCTTCTCCCTTCTCTTGTGCCAGGAAAGGGAGAATGGTTTGTAATCACCAGAGATGATCTCCAGGGGTGTCCAATCTTTTGGCTTCCCTGGGCCACAGTGGAAGAAGAAGAATTGTCTTGGGCCACACATAAAATACACTAACATTAACACTAACAATAGCTGATGAGAAAAAAAAAATCACAAAAAAACTTAGAACCTTTTAAGAAAGTTTATGAATTTGTGTTGGGCTGCATTCAAAGCCATTCTGGGCCACATGTAGCCCACAGGCAGTGGATTGGACAAGCTTGACCTAGGCTCAGCCCAGAGACAGCAACTGAGAGGAATCTGAATAACAGACCTTACTAAACAACCCTTATCTTTCATTAGTTTCTCCTACAGATTTACCTTCCCACAATTAACCACCCTTAAAAGCCTAATCCTGTTTTCCTTCATCTTGTCACTTCCACAGTTTGTTGCTCTATGTTAAAATGCTGTGTATCCCTGGGTTTAACTGCTTTTTTGGGTCTTTGCTTTTTTTCTATGAAGGACTTCATATGCATATGTGATAAATGATTTTTCCTGTTAATCTCCCTTTTGTAGGTTTAACTTGCAGGGCACCAGCCACTGAACTTACGAGGGTAGAGGAAAAAATTTCCCTTTCTTACAATATCCGTCTGGTTTAAGGTGAACTAAGAAATGGCAAATTTTAAAATTGATGTACCTTCTGAAGATGCTGAAAATAACTTCTTTGGTTACTTTTGATGTATCTTACATGAGTAATTCAGGAAATATTTAATAACAACCAGCACTAAGCCCAAGATTAGACAAAAGCACTCAGGAATTATGCAATTAGTTATTTATTTTTTCCATAAATTGTAGGAGCTTTGTGGTCAGGAGAGGCCATTATCTTTTTCAAGATACTATACCTTCACGTTCAGATATAATAAACCAAAAAATCTCCAAACGTTCATCCTTTCAGGGTTACCAGTGTTGAGTGCCAAGTGGTGGTAGTCTACTTTTGACTGTTCTGGAGGTCTTATTTTTTTAGAAAAATCTCAAAAAATAGAATGTTTACTTTAAATGTGTGCATTTTATATGTGTTTATGAACATGTATGTGTGTGTATATATATGTGTGTGTATATGTATACATATGTATGTAGACACATGTGTACATGTATCTGTAAAATATCACTCAAAGTCAAATATCTTTTATGTTAGCTCAAGTCTAAGAATGCTTGACACTTTACTGAAAGCAGATATTTTAAATGAAATTTGACTTTTGTCTTCTTTATAATTTCTAATAATATCGGTTGCCTGTCATAAACTGAAAAACACATTTGCTATCTTAGGCAGAATAATAAATATGGGTTGTAAATAGTGTCTTTCATGGATAATTAAACTTTTTTTATTAAGAATGATAATAGAGTTTACTGTAAATGTGGCTATCTTCCCATTACTTATATTTTTGAATGTCATTGGAAACATTGAAAAAAATAGTGTGCTACTCCCTAACTTTACTTCTTTTACTCCATCCACATAGAATATAGTAGAAATCTCTTTCAAGTTTTGTTTTCTATTATTTTGAGAAAAATATTCTCTTCACATGTATTTCCCCAGAAGGACATTCTCTGACATAACTATAGTACAATGATCCCATTTTGGCGTGTGATATTGATACTATATATCACGTTATCCATGGTCCATATTCGCTTTGGCTGGCTGTCCCAATTTTTTCCTTGGTTCCTCACTCACTCCAGGACCCTCCACTGGACTTGTTATCATGGTTCTCTAGATTACTTCAATCTGAAAGAGTTTCTCAACCATTGTTTTTAATCTTGAGATTTAAAAAAATTATAGGACACTTATTTTATGGAATGTCCCTCAGTGTGGGTTTGTTTGCTGATTCCTCAAGATTAAATTCCAGTTTTGCTTTTTCTGCAGGAATACCACAGGAACACATGGTGCTATTCCCAGTGCATCACATCAGGAGGCACGTTGTTGTTTGTCCTAAAATTGCAGGTGTTAATGTTGATTGGTTGATTAAAGCTTCTCCAGTGTGAAGTTATTCCTTTTCCCCTTTGTAATTAGTAAGTAGTTTGTGGGGAGATACTTTGAGATGATATATAAATTTTTTTCTCATCAAATATTCACCTAATTAGCTTTAGCTTCAAGTAATTCAATGATATTTTCTTACTTCATCATTCCCTCTATATTTACTAGTATACATTCCCCTTTAAGGGAGACTTTTTCTATTTATTTATCTATTAATTTACTCATTGATTCTTTTTTTTTCAATGAATTACAATCTATTAGAGTTATTTATTTTGATAGTCAAATGACATGAGTTTGGCCAATGAGAGCCTCCTGTGTCTTTTGGATAGGATTCCATCATTATTCGAAAACTTTTGTCACTCTCTGTTGCAACAAGAGATTCCAGCTTATCATTATTTCCCTTCATCAACCCCAGAATCAGTCATTTCTCTAAGGAGCCGTGGTTTCTTTTAGTGAAGATTAATATTCAGAAACCAAGATCTGGGTTATAGATGTACTTACTGTTATTAGCGTGTTGTTGCTTCTCAGCTCTCTCTAGAAAACATATGTACATATTTAGATATCTTTATTTCTATATTTATTTATCATAGATTAGCTGTTATTCTAGAGCTTTATAAAAATGGAATCATAACGGAAGCTGTGTCGTTCATCTGGGGTAATAGCTGAGTTTCGTTTTCCCATTGCCACGGAAAACTAGGGCGCAGACACACCAGCGTGACGTTAAGAGCAGAAGTTTAATAGGTGAAAGAAAGAGAAGAGCTCTCTCTGCTGCAGAGAGAGGGGTCCCGGAGAAAAATGGGTTGCTGGTTCCTTCTCGAAATGCACGGGGTTTTATAGATGAGCTTGAGGAGGCGGTGTCTGATTTACATAGGGCAAACAAGATTGGTCGGACCAGGTGCGCCATTTGTATAGCGAGGAAGAATCTGGCCACCCCACCCAAATCTTTTATTTTGCAGATGGTTCTCTACCTGTCCGATGCCATGTTGCCTATTCCTTACTGTACATATGGTGACAAAGAAAGGAAAGATGGAGCCTGCATGTTGAACATGTCTGGCCCCCAGGTAGCCTTTTCCTATTGGCACAGCTGCTGACATTCATCCATGCAAGCTTCTAACTTGCTTATTTATGTCTGCAGCTTAATTTTTCAGGCTGCTCTTTTTTAGGAAATAAATGATTTGGAGGCTGCTTTTTATTAAAAGGGAAACCTTACCAATGAATCTCTTACCATCACTAACTACCTAAATAATTTCTTTTTAGCTCCCATATCATAACCATGTATTCTTTTTGTTCAGCTTTTTTCATTCAGCATAATGGTTATGAAAGGCATCCAGGTTGTTCCCCATATCAGTAATTTGTTCTTTTTTATTCCAGAGTAGCATCTTGTATGAGAATACTTCAAATTTTTATCCATCCTTTTGCTGATGGACTTTTGGATTGTTTCTAGTTTTAGACTACTACAAAAAAAGGTGCTACACACATTCTTGTCCACATCTTTTTGTTGCCATTTATTTTCATTTCTATTGGATAAAAATCTAAAAGTGGAGTTATTGGGTTGAGGAATATTTTACCCTTTAATTTAACTTTTTAAGAAAATTATAGGCTGGGCATGGTGGCTCACACCTGTAATCTCAGCACTTTCAGAGGCTGAGGTGGGTGGATCACTTTAGGTCAGGGGTTCAAGACTAGCCTGGCCAACATGGTGAAAGCTCATCTCTACTAAAAAATACAAAAATTAGCTGGGCGTGGTGGCTGGTGCCTGTAATCCCAGCTACTTGGGAGGCTGAGATAGGAGAATTGCTTGAACTGAGGAGGCGGAGGTTGCATTACACCACTGCACTCCAGCCTGGGAGACAGAGTGAGACTTTGTCCAAAAAAAAAAAAAAGGAAAAAAAAAAAAGAAAAAGAAAAAAAGAAAATTATAAAGCTTTTTCTAAAATAGTTATAAATTTACACTCCCACCAAAAAATATATGAGAGTTCTGATAATTCTGTATCCTAGCTAACCTTTGGTGTTTAATTCTTTTTAATGGTAGCTACTCTAATGTTATAATCCTATCTCATTTTATTTTTAATTTTTCTATTTTTAATATTTGTGAGTACATAGTAGGTGTATGTATTTATGGGGTACATGAAATATTTTGATACAGGCATGCAATATAAAATAAGCACATCATGGAGAATGAGGTATTCATCCTCTCGAGCATTTATCCTTTGAGTTACAAACAACTCAATTACATTCTTAAGTTATTTTAAAATATGCAATTAAATTACTATTGACTATAGTTACTCTGTGGTTCTATCAAATACTATGTCTTTTTCATTCTTTCTAATTTTTTTTGTACCTGTTAACCACCCCCACCTCTGCTGCCCCCAACTTCGCCCTCAGCCCCCCACTATCCTTCCCAGCCTCTGGTAACCATTCTCCACTCTCTATGTCCATGAGTTCAATTGTTTTGATTTTTAGATCCCACAGATAGGTAAGGACATATGATATTTGTATTTCTGTGCCTGGCTTATTTCACTTAACATAGTAATCTCCAGCTCTATCCATGCTGTTGCAAATGACTGGATCTCATTCTTTTTTATGGCTGAATAGTACTCCATTGTGTATCTGTACCACATTTTCTTTATCCATTCATCTGTTGATG
The DNA here is from genome assembly GCF_000001405.40 of Homo sapiens. NCBI lineage: Eukaryota > Metazoa > Chordata > Mammalia > Primates > Hominidae > Homo > Homo sapiens. Next base: position 175,900,878 of record NC_000004.12, on the reverse strand, counting down.
GACATGTAGGTTGCTTCCAAATCTTAGCTATTGTAAACAGTGCTTCAACAAACATAGGAGTGCAGCTATCTCTTTGATATACTGATTTCCTTTATTTGGGGTATCTACCAAGCAGTGGGATTGTTGGATCATATGGCAGCTCTATTTTTAGGTTTCTGAGGAAGCTCTTAATGGTTTTCTATAGTGGTTGTACTAGTGTATATTCCCACCAACAGTGTACAAGGGCTCCCTTTTCTCCACATCCTTGCCAGCATTTGTTATTGCCTATCTTTTGGATAAAAGCCATTTTAACTGGGGTGAGATGATATCTCATTGCAGTTTTGATTTGCATTTCTCTGATGATCAATGATGTTGAGCACTTTTTCATATGCTTTTTTTTTTGCCATTTGTATGTCTTCTTTTGAGATGGGTTTGTTCATATTTTTTGCCCATTTTTTGACCGGATTATTAGATTTTCTCCTATAGAGCTTCTTATATATTCTGGCTTTTTCCTTTCCTTTCCTTTCCTTTCTTTTCCTTTCCTTTCTTTTCCTTTCCTTTCCTTTCCTTTCCTTTCCTTTCCTTTCCTTTCCTTCTTTTCTTTTCTTCTCTCTTTTTTTTTTTTTAAGACAGAGTCTTGCTCTTGTCACCCAGACTGGAGTGCAGTGGTGCGATCTTGGCTCACTGCAACCTCCGCCTCTTGGGTTCAAGAGATTCTTCTGCCTCAGCTTCCCAAGTAGCTGGGATTACAGGTGCCCACCACCACGCCTGACTAACTTTTTTGTATTTTTAGTAGAGACAGGGTTTCACCAGGCTGATCTTGAACTCCTGATCTCAGGTGATCCGCCTGCCTCGGCCTCCCAACGTGCTGGGATTACAGGTGTGAGTCACTGTGCCTGGCCATATTCTGGTTATTAATCCTGTGTCAGATGGGTAGTTTGCAAATATCTTCTCCCATTCTTTGGGTTTTCTCTTCACTTTGTTGATTAGATCCTTTGCTGTGCAGAAGCTTTTTAACTTGATGTGATCTCATTTGTCCATTTTTGCTTTGGTTGCCTGTGCTTGTGAGGTATTGCTCAAGAAATTTTGCTGAGATCAATGTCCTGTAGATTTTCCCCATTTTTTTTTGTGGTAGATTCATTGTCGGAGGTTTTAGATTTATGTCTTTAATCTATTTTGATTTGATTTTTGTATATGGCGAGAGATAGGGGTGTAGTTTCATTCTTCTGCATACGCATATCCAATTTTGCCAGCTTCATTTATTAAAGAGACTCTCTTCCCCAAGTGTATGTTCTTGGCACCTTTGTTTAAAATGAGCTCACTATAGATGTATGGATTTATTTCTGTGTTCTTTACTCTGTTCCATTGGTCTGTGTGTTTGTTTTTATGCCAGTATCATGCTGTTTTGGTTATCATAATCTGTAGTATAATTTGAAGTTAGCTAATGTTATTCCTCCACTGTCTTATTTTTAAATGGTTTTATTTGTATTTCCCTACTTACTAATGATGCTTAGCATTTATCATGTATTTATTGTCTATTTATATATCTTTCTTTGTGAAGTGCCTCTTCAAAGGCTTTTTTCATTTAAAAAATTGTTTTGTACTATTTAATTGTAGAACTATTTTATATTGTCTTTATGCAAGTTCTTTATCTCTGCCTTAATGGGACTAGGAGAATACTACAGGAAAAGCAAATAAATACAAAATTACATAATACAGTTTTAAGTTGTTTAGTAGAAACATGAATTCTGTGCAATAGAGGGGAGAGGAAGAAGCAAATAATTCGTCTGTGGGTGTGGAAGAATATGTGGCATCTAAACATGGACTGAAAACTGACTAAGGTTTTGCTTAACAAAAGAAGCAATACAGTATGTAAGGAAGGAAAGGTGTGAAACAGCATAGAAAGTCAGTTCCATGAGCATGGAAACTTGTCTGTTTATTCATTATTTAGACTCTAGTACTGAGAACGGTACCTGGCAAACTCTTAGGTGTTGAACAAATGGTGTTGAAGAATGAGTAATCGAATCCTTGTGACCTATAGGTTCATGGACAGCATCAGCAATGTTACTAGAGAGAAATGACATGATCTTATTTATTTATTTTGAAGCATAACTTTGATGGCTATTTGTATAATTAATGTCAGAAGGGAGAGAATAGAAGTCAGTTTGGAATATTTTGGTAGTATTTAGTCTTTCATTTAGCACATATTTTTTGAGGGCCATTGTTGGTAGTTTTACCAAGGAAGAATAAGGTGTGAATCCTGCTCCCAAGGGGTTCTCAGAATGTTTGAGAGGTAGAAATGGAAACAGACAGTCACATCACAGTGCAAGCATTACAATGGAGAACGTATTCCCCGAGGGCCTGTGTTTGCAAGGTCATTCTTGGGCATTAGAATCTCTTACTGGAGCTGAATCTACATGGGTATCAACCAGAAGAGGGAAATCAGACAAATGTTTCCATAAAAGATGTACCATAAACAAACCCTCTGAGACCCAGTGAATATAGTAAGTAAGAAGCAGCTTGGAATTCACAGAGGTTCAAGGTCAAAAACAGAAGTAGGTCAGAGGTAGTTGGGTGTCAGGTCTTGGGGAACTTGTAATTATATATGGAAATGTTTGAGTTTTATCCATTCAGTGATGAACCACTGAAGTGATATAGGCAGAGGAATGACATAATCAAATTTACATTTTACATAGATCATTTTAAAATTTATGTGATAGATGAAAGAAGACAGGATTGGTATGGAGAAATCAGTTGCACTGGTTTAAGGGGTAAATGATTAAGGCAGCTAGAAGGTTTCTCTCAGAGTGATAGCTTTTATTTATCAAAATTAGCTTATAATACCAAACTACCATGGTATAATTCTGATTTAAGGTATTGTTATCTTGCCTGTCTCTCATTATTTACAATTTGAAATTGAGAAGAGAGGCTTAGTGTTGTCTTACTTGCCAACTTTAGTAAAATATAACAGGTATCATTAATGTTGCCAAGAGAAGAGGGATTCTAATTTAAGTAAAGTCAATTTTTAGAATCACTAGCTTGTACAGAGGACCTGATTCTTCAGTTCTGAAATCTAGGCTGATTTTATTCTTTAACCAAAGTAGCTCAATTGACCCAATTAACAATGCATTTCTAGACACATTTTAAAATTTCTGGGAGAGATTTTAGAATAAAAAGGAGTGTAGAGTCTAGTACTAAACTCTTCTTTCTTAAGTTCTCAAGTGCATGCCTCCCTAATCTTAAATATCTTATATTCCAAAGAATGGGTCTCTAACGTTTTTACAGTTTAAGCAAGAAATAAACTCACTAAAGGAATCCAGGGGTAGTAGAAACATTGTGCAATAAATGAGTAGAATCCTGTCCTATGTTGTATTGAGAATTCTTAAATATGCTGGTCTCTGGACTGCATGAAGGAAGGTCCATTCCTCACCTCTCCCCTTCTCAATATACAAGAGACCTGACCTCTGCAGACCGCATTTCACAGGCTTTCCTGTCAGCTGGCTTCCTTTCAGCTGGATTATTCCATCAATGGGAGGCACTGGAGTGAGATTGGAGAGTGGGAAGTAAGGAGAAGCCAGGGTATTTATTATCCTTGTTCTCTGACTTCAGTGGCACCTCTCAAATGCAGCTCCTCTGAGGCTCTAGCTTCCAATGTAAGCCCATCCTGGTTTCAGCCACTTGCACTGACCCTGGACACCACAAGCATCACCTCCTCCCTCCAGCCCAGGCTGGACACCAGCTTCCTACATTTCCTAATCCCGAGGATGTCTCCCTGTCTTCTATGTGGCTTCTTGGCTCTTCTGTCCCCTATTCATCTTATTCCCTGTATTAACTTTTTTGATTTAAATGCTTAGAATGCTTTTTGTTTTCTATGTTGGGCCCTGACTGATTCATGAGGCAAACGAGATCTTTAAGTGCTTGAGTTAATCATCTTGAATTAAACATTTTCAGTGAATATAATAATTTTCCCTGATACACTATTCAAATGAAAGATGCCACCTCAAAGAAGAGGATTTCTGGGTGATTTGAAACAAACAAATGAACCAAAAGTCCTGTCAAACATCAATGTCTTTTCATTGACTAACACAGAATATGGCCTTGAATAACAAATGTGATGGCAAGTTGCTTTACTAAGATATTATTTTATGTATTTCTCCCCAGATTCTACCCTGTCTCCTGCCCCCACCCCAAGAAGATAGACAGGGCCTGTGGTGCCTATCTAATGGGGAGATTTTTGCAAGGCAGAAAACAGAAGCAGAAGACAGAAACAGAAGCAGAAAACAGAAACAGAAGCCTTTTGGAGTTAAAGGCTTTTTGAATTTTCTTAAACTCTTTAAAGAAATAGTGTTGGGTCCATAACTGGGGTAGAGTGAAGACAGAATTTGAAGTAATAAGGCTTTTGAAGAGTCAGATCAAGGCTTAAGGCTTCAAAGGGGGCAGACATGTCTGGATCTCAGGAATAGCTGAACTCACATCAGAATCCCAGGCACCTCCCCGAGCAGGTTGAATGATCTGAGGATAATTTTCTGGTGCATTTAGGGAGGCAGGATGCTAGGTACCTGTGACCCTAAAAAGTTTGTCATAGAGACCCCAGAACTTTGTGGCCTGAGGAACTATATGGATTGGGCTAAGTGTCTGTGGTCACCAAAGCAGAACGATGTGGGATCTTACCATCTACCTTGAGTCCCCCAAAACCCCCTGAGACTTCATCATCCTGAAATGTAAAGCTTCCCCAAAAGATAAAAGTCTAATTTCCTGCCACTCTTCCAGGATGGAAACTAGTGAGTTTACTGACTCATATTTATAAATCCTTTGCAAAAGTAATAATATGTGGTTCACGCTTTTTTATTTACAAAGCTACTACAAATTATATTTTAACAACCAGATGTTAACAGCAACTTTGCTTAGTAAAGGTCATAGGAAAAGGCCACAGATGGAGAGATTCAGGATTAATAAAAGCCAATGTAATAGAAAACATAATAAAATAAAAAACAAAGTAGATCAAATATTTCAGGGTTTATGCCAAGGTATGATTATGAAGAGTTACTAAAAAAGCTGTTAGGAAATATTTTAACTTGAGGTAATTACAAAAAATGCACTATTATACCCATACATCATATACAGTATACTTAATACAGAATTTGGAAAATATTGCAAACCAAATAAATATTCCATTTTCAACAATTTCTATGTTATTAAGTACTTGTGACATTGATTAATTGTATCTTCTACAGTTGAGACTTTACCAATATCCTACTGTTACTATATTAATAGGTTGATTTGGAATTTTAACTTGTTCATAACATGTCATCTGTTTAAATTTATTAGTAACTATATATCTCTTGGTGATATACATACCTGTAGATATTATTTTTCCTCATCTGTGTTTTCAAAATTTTCTGCAAAGAACATGTAACACTTTTGAAATGTTAGTTACCTTCCAAGTTCTTAGTTTTTTCCAATTGGCAATAAGAAAAGTTAACTTATTCACCATTTTTTTTGAAAAGATAGGATGCATTGTTTATATCAGTATTACTTTAATTGAAATTAACCTAAATTTATTCTGAGAAAAATATAAATAGGATTTTGAATCACGTATTCTTTATAGCAACCAAATGGAGTCATTTAGTTTATTCCAGCCCTTATAGAAGCTTACCAAACAGAGCAAAATGGATCACATATTTAAAAGCAAGTTGGCTACACTGGTGGCATCTCAAGTCATTCACTGGCATACTGAATCACAAGATGATTTCATTCTAAAGATCAAAGAAGATTTTGTTTTGCCTTTAAGTATTTGAGTTTGCTTTAAAGTTCACTGATTCATGGTTTCTCACTCTATCGCATTCTGGGTCCCCTGAAACACAAAGTAACACAGTAAAAAAAGGGATGGTAAGACACCAGTTGTAACATGTCTTATCAATGCTGTATACTGATTTGGGAAGCAGTGTGTTACAGTAATAGTGTTTTGACTTTTAGAAACAGAGAATGGGTTTAAAACTTGGACCTGCCACTTAGTAGATGCATGATGTGATACTTAATCTCTTTTTGAACTTCGAAGACCCTTATATAAGAAAATGGGGTCATGTATTCTTTGTATAATATTTTGTGTATGAGTTTTCCTCCTAAATGATACTAGAGTGTGTTTGAAATTAATTAGCCAAAATGATTTAGCCACTCCCCTTTTGACAGATTTTTGAGGGGTTTCTGTGGTTTTACTATTAAAAATATATACTACTAACATTAAAATCCTTGTATTCTTGTTGTTTGTGCAGGTTACTCTGGATTAGGAATGATGAAAGGTAGAAGGGTAGAAAATGTAGTCTCATTATTAACTGGAAGACATTATTAACCATGGAACACACTCTTTTTGCATGCATAAAAATCTCTTTCTTTTCATGAAAAGCAATTGTGGGCAGAATGGAGCAGCTATTTCCTCAGAGGGGAGTCACTCTATCAGACAGAGTTAGTCTTTTATATTTTGTGACTCTGTCTTTCGAGCTAAGGCAGAGCAATTGTTCTTTAGCACCCCTTCCTCGCTTTTTCGCTATATACAGAAGTATCTTCCTATAGATTAGATATAGATGATTTCCCACTTGGACTTAGTAGTTGCTGAGAACACTTAATTTGGTCTATCACTTTTCCTTTTTTTTCTGAGCAAAAGTATCTTCAAAGAACTAAAAAAAAATGTAATTCTAACATGAGGACGGTCTGCTATCTTATCTTCTGTTTTCCAATTATATCTGCCATCTCAGTTTTAAGATCAACAAAGAAGGTGGATAAAGCACTTGTGAAATTATCAGCCACACTGAGACAACAGTATTCTCAGAAGTAGGAGTTAAGGGGTCTCTGAAATAAGAGATTAATTTATTTTTAATCTCTGTCTTTTTTAAGGATTGGATTTTTGACCAATCCATTTCAACAGGAATGATCTCAGAGATAGAATGTGAGGTGTGCAGCTCTCTCAAATGTTGATCATTATATTTTATATCATTTTGTTAATTAATTTATATCGCTTTTTCTTACCGAGTTTTAGCACCTTCATGTCCTACAAAGAGATGAGTTGATAGATATCAGGTTATCTTAGACTACACATTCCTAGAATAAACTTATATTCTTCAGTGAACTTCTGTTTTTACTTAGGAAGGTTAGGAAACGTAACTAGATTATGCAAATCTGATCTGAACAAAGATTTGAAGATATAAAACGAATGAGGTTAGTTATCATCCCCACCTGTCTTATAAGACATTAAGAAGGAATATTATCTATTCAGGGGGTAGTTTAAGAAAAACTGGCCGAGGAAAGAAAGGAGGACCCCATGAAGGTGCTGGAGGATCAGGAGGAAGAATAGAACAAGAGGAAAAAGGCAGTCAGCTTAAGGGAGGCCAGGAGGGAGGCTGATCAGAGTAAGGTCAGGAGAAAGGGAGAAGTGTTTAACTTAGGATTTTAGGTACTCCATGCTTTTATTACCTTTTCTAAGGAGTTCTTAAGGGAATCAGTTTTAGAAATTTCTTAAGTTGTAGAGGCTACTTCAAAAAATAAAAAACGCTGATCATTGAATAGTTGAAATTTTGAAACTTCTCCTTTCCTACGGCATATCACAAAGGATTATTTTCTTCATATTCCAAGTTTTTCTAGTATTATCAATAAAGTTCAAAGTTGTTCTTAATAAAAGCCTGCCACAGTTTAAGAAGCTGGATAGCAGCCCACAAGTACATTGATTCAAAATAAGAGAACCTGAGCATCAGGCTCGTAGGTTTACCATCACTGTCTCCAATGCCTGTCTTATCCATGGGGGAGACCCATTAAGTAGCGAAACAGTGCAAATGAAAAAGCTTACACCAAGGACAATTAAGATGGAAGAATAAAAGCTTAGATAGTGCTTTCAAGCAAAGGGAGCAGAACAGTGGTCAGGAGCAGGACCAGCCCAACTGTCTAGTCACTGGGACTCCAAAGAGAGGAGACATCAACAGAGTGTCTGGCATGATGAAATGCCAAGCACCCAAAAACACAGTCCTGATCTGAGTCTTGACATTGAAACCCTGGAAGAAAATCAGTCAGAACAATATAGGTAAAAATCTGGAAGACGGAGCTTTTATTGAGTTTAGCAAGAGGAAGTAGTTGAAGTTCACCTAGTTTTGGGAATAGTTGCTCAAAGATGATTCTTGTATATTCACTGCCATTGTTTGAGGAATTTGGATTATGTCAACAGGGTGAGAAGGGGCAATTGGGTGAAGGTCATGTGCCAGAGGGGATGGGAGGAAGAGACAGCTGTAGGGATCAAGCAAATGAAAGAGCCGTAGTGGAAAATTTAGTCCTTCACTCTCTCTTACAAAGTGGATGAAAATATTTATTGAATAAAGGAATGAAAGAATGAACAATAAGTATAAGAAGTAAAAATAGAGTGCAACAGGATTTCACAGTAGTGACCATTACTCCAGTTGGGGCTGCTTACGAATTCATGAAATAGTTGACACATGAATTACAAGTTGAAGGATAGACAGTATTGGACATTTGAGAGAGAAGAAAGCACAAATAATGACCAAGAAGTGAGAAAAAGTAGGGAAGGGATAGGGAACAATAAGTAGCAGATTGTTTTTCTAGATGTATTTTTTAAGGTTAATGAAGTAAGTTCGAATGAAATAAGAGGGTATCTTGAGTCCCTATTTAAGGATTTTAATTATGTAAATAATAAATGACTGTGATATTATCTCTCAATTAGGTAGGATTCATATGAGCAAGATGCCATTTGGTTAATTTTGTTCTTGAGAATGTAAATTGTAGTTCGCTTTAGTTACCAAAAGGTGGCAAAGTTACATGCTTGATAGTAGTTTTAAAGTACTAGACTGCTTCCCAAACAAGCCCTCTGATTTTTATTGAGTCTGTGTCAACACACATACAACATGCAAGATAACAACGGGCAAAAGCCACATTGAAGTTTGCTGTACTGCTTGTTGATCTCTGTTCCTGGCAATCCTGCAGCATCACAGCTTGCAATATTATGAATCATAGCCTTGCCTTTTCATTTTATTCTTTATTTAGTACTATAATTATCTAAATGAGCTTTGAAATTATGAGTTGAAGCTTCAGACTAGTCTCTGATTCTGCTATTCCAAGTATAAATTTGGTTCAATACTTTACATGTCTTAAAAGAGCAATGCAGTTTTTAAGAGGCAGTTCAAATTCTCACCACCTTCTTTTCTCTCTTACAGCTTCTCAAGGAATAACTACTGTCCTGAAATTAGAATGACTTTTTTCTGTATGTTTCTGTTTTAATTACTTATTCTGGTTAATGCCTCCTAACAAAGATCATCAGGAAATCTGTATTTGAATAAGTTCGGTACATTTCGATGATGGAGAATGCACATCATAAGAAAGCGTGGAGCACCTCAGTAAGAGGGTGTTAGAAAGGATTTATTACAGATTTGGACTTGCATTAGGTAAGTCTGGGAGGACTCAAGGAAGTGGGACTTTGCTCCAAAATGTTTACTGTTAGGAAGCAGAAGTAATTCTATTATTGAATGTCTTATCAAATCTTACCTAAAAGAAGGGAAGAATAGGATAAAACTAAAGCTGTAACCGGTAGAGAAGCAACAATCACTCCTATTAGCTGGGAAGAGGAAATGACATTCAGTAGAGAGAAGAAAGCATAAATAGAGGAGATTTGGTCATACTTGTGGTTTGGATAATATTCCTGGTTTGCCTTCGTTTAATATGAATTCAGACTTGTTTTTATTTTGGCCTATAATGATCACAAGGTGGCTTTGTCTGATGTTGATGTAAAATTACTTATGTTAAGTAGAAGAATATTAAGCCTATGTCATCAGTCTCATAAAGGTGAGTTCCAGGCCAGACCCTAGTTGTTAGTGTTAGCTTTGCTCACACATGTCAAGGGCTGCTTTTTGCATATATTTATATATCTACATCTAGTTGCATATACTCTATATCATTTGGGCTATGTATCATTTTTTGTGTTTAAATGTATATAAATGTTATCATACTGCATGCGTGATCTCTAATAATTTGATTCTTAAAATGTTCATTCTTAGAGGGGTGTGATGGCTCATGCCTGTAATCCCAGCACTTTGGGAGACCAAAGTGGAAGGATCACTTGAGGTCAGGGGTTTGAGACCAGTCTGGGCAACACAGCAAGACCCCATCTCTACAATATAAAAATAAAGATTAGCTGGGTTTGATTGCATGCAATTGTAGTCCTAGCTACTTGGGAGGATCACTTAAGCCCAGCAGTTAGAGGCTGCGGTGGGCCATGATTGCACCACTGCACTCCAGCCTGGGCAACAGAGCAAGACTCTGTCTCAATAAAATAATAAAATAAAATAATAAAATAAAATAAAATAAAAACATAGCATAACATAAAATAAAATAAAATAAAATAAAATAAAATAAAATAAAATTGCTCTAAACATATTCAGTTTGCTTCTTTTTGACTGTGTGTATGGTTTTCCATTATACAAAAAGCCTCCTAAATATACGTGGACATTCAATTTCATTATGCTGTTTTGCTATTATAGGTAGTGCTGTCAAGAACTATAACTATGAATATATTTTTCGTACATACATATGGAGTTCTTTAGGGTGTTTATTCTAAAATGAAATTACCAGATTCTATAGGATGGACATTTCAACTTTACTAAATATTGTCAAGTTGGTCTCCAAAAATTGATTGTATAAGTTTTTACTTTGTCCTGCATTGTTGCAGAGTTTGTTTTCCTGTATCTTTCAACAGTACTTGTTATCAAATTTTCTCAGTCTTCTGGGTATGCAGTAGAGTCTCATTGTTATTTTCATGTGCTTTTATCTAATTATTAGTGAGCCTGCCTATTTTGTTATATAACTTTTGGCCATTTGGTATTTCCAATTTCGTGCATGGCTTGTTTATATTATTTGGTTATTTTTCCATTGAATGTAGGTGTTTTGCTTGTTGATTTGTAGTGTGTTTTCACATGTTTTGGGTTCCTATTAATTGTATAGTCAGTGACTTATCTTTTCCTTTTTTCATGGCCTCTTCTTTTCTTTTCTTTGCTCGTTTTTCTTTCTTTCTTTCTTTTTTGTTTTGTTTTGTTTTGTTTGAGACGGAGTCTCGCTCTGTCACCCAGGCTGGAGTGCAGTGGCGCGATCTCGGCTCACTGCAAGCTCCGCCTCCCGGGTTCACGCCATTCTCCTGCCTCAGCCTCCCGAGTAGCTGGGACTACAGGCGTCCGCCACCACGCCCAGCTAAGTTTTTGTATTTTTAGTAGAGACGGGGTTTCACCGGGTTAGCCAATGGCCTCAATCTCCTGACGTTGTGATCCACCCGCCTCGGCCTCCCAAAGTGCTGGGATTACAGGCGCGAGCCACTGCGCCTGGCCTCTTTTTTTTTTTTTGGAGACAGGGTTTTGCTCTGTCACTCAGGCTGGAGTGCAGTGGTGTAAACACTGCAGTTGTGACCTACTGAACTCAAGTCATCCTCCTGCCGTAGCCTCCAGAGTATGTGGGACTACTGGCACACACCATCATGCCTGGCTAATTTTAAAATTTTTTTGTAGTGGCAGGGTCTCACCATATTGCTCAGTCTAGTTTTATGGCATTTTCTAACCCAGAATTTTTAAACTTGCATGTGATCAAATTTATCAGTCTTAAAAAAATTGTTTGTATTATTTGTCGCTTAAAAATACTATTCTATTCTAATGACAAAATTATTCTCTTTTTGTTCTAAAAGTTATAAAGTTTTATTTTTCACATCAGATCTTTAGTTCATCTAATTTTGTGTATGTGTTTGTGTATGTGTGCATAATTTGAATAGGAATTTATTTTTCCATTTTAACCATATAGTTTGTCAGTTGTCCAACACTTTTTTCCCATCTGATTTATAATGTTACCTAATTCCTAAGTGTAGTTCTTATAACTACAGGGATCTATTTCTAGGCTCTATATTTAATTACATTCTTCAATTTGCCTAGCACTATGGCAGTATCATAATATTCAATTGTACTTTTTCCTTCTGTTTCTTGGTCAAAGCTGACTTAGCTTTTTGTAGATCTTTATGTTACCGTATTACTTTATGTTGACTATATTATCCTTGGAATCCTTGGAATCCTTTTGGGAATTCAGTAAGTGTTGCATTTAGTTTATACAATTATAGGGAAAATATCTACCTTTAAGCATTGAAATTTTTTATTAGTGAACATGGTCTGTTATCTTCTTTTATTTAAGACATTTCTGTTCTTCAATGATTTAAAAATTTTCTCAGTAAAGTCTTACAGATTGTTTTAGACTTAGATCAAAGCACAGTTATTAAATATGTTACATATTATCTTTATTTTCATATATTGATCTTATATTCAGCAACCTTGCAGAAGTCTCACATTTGCTAATGTATAATGTGTGTTCTTTCGGATTTGCTATAATAGATTAACTGTCTTTGTGAGTGATGACAGCTTTGTTCTTTTCTAGTTCTTGTATATTTAATTTCTGTTTTGATTTACAGAAGCAAACACTCTAGCTTATTCCTGAATTAAAAGGAAATGCTTCTTATGATTTACTCTGTAGTATGCTGTTTCTTATAAAATAAATAATCATTAAGAGATTAGGACAATTTTAATCGATTTCTGGTATGCTTAAAGCCTTTATTCTTCATAAAAGCGTACTGAATTTATCAATTTATTTTATTGCACAAATACCTTGTTCAATAAATTTTTGTCTTAAATCTGTATGATGTATTAAAATAAGATTTTCTAATTTTAAGCTATCTTTGTACTCAGATGTTAAACCATCCTTGAATTGTGATTGGTTATTATGTATTACTTTTCCATTTTAAATTAGATTTTAAAATTTTAGTTTGTAAATAAAATCAACCTCAAATTTTTCTTTTTGATGATGTCCTTACCTGTCTTTGGTATTAAGATTTATGTAGTAATATAGCATTAAGTTGCAAAATGTGCTCCTTCTATTCTGCAACAACTTGTACAAAATAGAAATTATCTCTCCTTAAAGCTTTAATGGGGCCCTTATTTAATAATATCTGGGCCTGGCTATTGATCAGTGGGCAAATTTTTAACTATTGATTATTGAAATTATTATTATGCAGTTCAGGCTTGCTATTTCATTTTGAAACACTTAAAATATGAATTTCATCAACATTTTCAACAAACTTAAGAAATTATTTTTAGTGTTTTTTATTTTTTTTCAAAATTTTTATCATGGTTATATTTTTATTGTGTCTAATACTTTACCTTTCCTCCTTTGTTCTTGATAACACTTGCAGTGGTTTGTCAAACGTATTAGCATCTAGAACACTAGGTTTGAAAATGTTCTTTCTCGTATTCTTGATTTTTTAAATTCTATTAATTACTCTTTTCATCTTTATTGCTTCTTGTGATCAGTGTTTTTCCTTGTATTTTGTTCTTTTAAGAGAATAAGTGAATTTGTTTGAATGTTTTTCTTTCTAAAATATGTATATAAGGCTCTAAATTTTCCAGTACTGTTTAATCTGCATTCCTGTACATTTTGATGGATAATTTTTTTCACTGAAGTTCAGTTGTATTTTGTCAAGTTTATTATTAATTTTTCTTTAACCCACACGTGATTTAGAAGTTTTTAACTTAAATTGTGTTTAATGACCTTTTCATCATTCTTTCCTTATTTACCTGCATTTTGATCATGTGACATTATGAACATTATATAAATTTTTTGGCAGCTGTTGTGACTTAGTTTATGGCTTGATAATTGATTGGTGTTTATAAAAGTTTTATGTATACTGTATTTGATAAACCATGTATTTACTTTAATTATTGGGTACCAGGTTTCATATATGTCCATTGGATAAACTTTTTGTCTTGTTTTTGTATTCTATAACAATGACTTTTGTGTGGAAATATTTTGTTGTGATATTAATTTTTGATTAGTGATATTAAATTAGCTATCAACTTTTCCTTGATTAGTATTTACCTGGCATATATACTTTTCCATTTATTTAGTTTCATTTCTTTTAATTTATTTTTTCATTTTTTTGGTTTCCACACTTGTATCTTATAAGTTGACATAGACAGATTTCCAAAATTCAATTAGAAGCAAGTTTAATCTTATAACACTTATTTAGATTTCTGAGAATTTGGCTTTATTTCTGTTGTCTTATTGGTGTGTGTTTGTGTGTGTGTGTGTGTGTGTGTGTGTGTGTGTGTTTACTGAGTTTTACCTTTACCATTTTCCTCTTTTTTTTTCTCTGTTGTATTTCGTTGATCAAATGTTTTTAACTCTCTTTTTGTCTTTTTATTATATGAAGTTCTTATACCTTTACATTTTTAACATGCACAAATGATGTGACGCAGTCTTAATTTAATCAATATCTCCATTTGATTCTGGACCGTAGAAGGACCTTTTGGTTCAGTGACTTCATCATACTTGTGTAGTTATTTCAGTAAGGTTCTGTGAGTTAGGAACTCCTTCAGGGTTGGTTAGTCTATAAATGTTTCACACTCTTTCTTGAAAGGCAATTTAGCCTGCTTTAAGGTTCTAGCTTGACAGTTATTTTCTCCCAACATTTTACAGACATTATGTCACTTTCTGTTGGATTACATTGCTGCTTTGTAAGTCTTCTTTCAGTCTAATTATAATGCTCTTATGGATACTGTGAATTTTTTCTTTAGTTGCTTTTAAGGTCGTTTTGATATCTAGTAATTTCCTATAACGAGTACAGTTGTAGAAACCCTTTTATTCACCCTGTTACTGGTAGACTGTTCTTCCTGCATCTGAGACAGTGTGTTTTATTAGACAGGTGAAAGTCTAAGCTTTTATTCCTTTTGATATTGCCTTCACTCAGCCTCTACATTTTCTCATTTTGGAACTTCTGCTAGCTATATATAGAATCTCTTTATTCTGACCTCCATGTCTCTTAATGCTGTTTTTTATTTTACGTTTTATCTTTTCATGCTGTATTCTGAGTGATTTCCTCAGATCTTTCAACTCCCTTAAATTTCTTATGTGGTCTGTGTAAATTGCTGTTTCATAGATTTATTAAGACTGTTAAAAAACAGTAAAACTCAAAACATACATATCTAAAATGTGCAAATCCTAAGTGTAATAATTACAGACCAATTAGTTTTCACCATTTGAACACATCCATGTAACCACCACCCCGATTAAGACTAGAATTTTATAAGCAACTGCTACAATGAACATGGTGATGCAAATGTCTTTTAGAGATTCAGCTTTCAATTATTTTGGATATATACCAAGGAGTGGGATTACTAGATTAAGTAATTCTTTTCTTTTTTGAGACAGAGTGTTCCTCTGTCACCTAGGCTGGAGTTCAATGGTTCAATCATGCATCATTGCAGCCTTGCCCTCTCAGGCTCAAGCCATCTGCCCACCTCAGCCTCCCAAGTAACTGAGACTACAGGTGTGCTCCACCACACCTGGATAATTTTTAAAATATTTTGTAGAAATGGGGTCTCACTATGTTATCCAAGTTGGTCTCCAATTCCTGGGCTCAAGAGATCATCCAGCAAGAGGTGTCCCTCATAGACATCCCAGCCCATCCTCCTTAATTTAAACACTATCTATTCCTATCTGCATCAATTACTTTTGTCTGTTTTTGAACCTTTTATAAATGTAAAGTGTGTACTCGCTGTGTCTGGTTTCCATCACTTAACATAATCCTTGTGAGACTCATCCATTTTGTTACAGGTAGTTCTGGTTCAGTAATGATCATCATTTTGTAGTATTTCACTCCATGGTTATACCACAATTTATTTTTCATTCTCTCATTAATGGCTGTGTTGTGTTCAGGTTTTGAATACTATAAAGAGTGCTACTTTGAACACTTTTGATGCACATACATATGTACATTCTGAAAGATATCTTCCTATAGAGCGGAATTGCTAATCATAAGATTTGCATGAGAGTTCCAGTTGCTCTATATTCTCACCAGCACTTAGTATTGGCTATCTCTGCCATGTTACCATTTTGTCTCAAAGAACTTCCAAATTTGCAAAGAAATTTGAAAACAGTAGATTTTTAAAAACATTTTTAATATGTCAAAGAAATATTTCATTTAGAGATAAAAATAATTGGCCTGGCACGGTGGCTAACCCCTGTAATCCCAGCACTTTGGGAAGCCTAGGCAGGCAGATCACCTGAGGTCAGGAGTTCGAGACCAACCTGACCAACATGGTGAAACCCTGTCTCTACTAAAAATACAAAAAAAATTAGCCGGGCTCTTGGTGGGCACTGGTAGTCCCAGCTACTCGAGAGGCTGAGGCACGAGAATTGCTTGAACCCAGGAGGTGGAGCTTGCAGTGAGCTGAGATTGCACCAATGCACTCCAACCTGGGCAACAGAGCGAGACTCCATATCAATAATAATTATAATTATAATTTTGGTCACAATAAATGATGCTTTACAAATATGAGTTCAAATGTTGGATTTATTGGAATTTTAAAATAAGAGTGGTCTTTGCCTTATTTCTTTGTTCTATTGTATGAAACAGTCTGACACTATTTGTACTTAGTTTCCTAAAGGAAATTGTATGAAAGAACCATGAATATAGTTGCTAAAACTGTTCAGAATATATGTGTAAATGATGTGAATCATCACTAGTATGTGAAAATGTTGAAAGAAAAAGAAGACAATGAATCTAACGATCTTGCGTTCTTTGTCAATGCTTGTTGGTTGAGTCATAGAAGAGTTTTACAAAGATTTATAGTTCTATTAACCCAAATTGAAGAATTTTAAAACAAAAGTAATGCTTGACAAATATTCAATAACCAGGGACAAAAATAGCCCTGTGACGTATGTTTTATCAGCAAAGTCACGCTGCTCTACACATGAATTTAAAGCTCCAAGGAAAAGGAAAAGCTTATTTTTGAGGTAGCCAGGCAGTTATGAGATTTGGCTTTGAAATTGAAACTTTTCATAATACAAATCAGTAAGATCAATTTTATACATTTTCAAATATGAATCAATGTATAGGACATTATAATTGTAATCAACTGTATTATGCAAATTGGTTGTAAAAACTAGAAGAAAATTTTCAATAACATTTCTGAATTGGTAAATTTAGAATTGTTTTCAGTTTGTGTAATACCTTAGTGAATTTAATGTCAATATTGAGTTAACACAAAAGTGAATTTGCTTATCTGAGACAGATGTACTTTTGAGACACAGTTTTGAAACTGACACGTTCTTGCTTAAAAACCAAATCTATTGTTCTAAAAAAAAGATGAACAGAGTTGTCAATATTGCGGATATTAAAGGAAGATGATTTTTGATATTCAATTCAGTTATTAGGAAACTTTCAAGTAAGTCTGTAATAACTTGGGAAGATGCATCTATTTTCTTACTGTAAATTATATGTAGTATAAATACAGATCAAGTACTTCTGATGAAAATTTAGCATCCAAAAGGAGATGTGCTATAAGTATAAAATGCTTACTGGATTTTGAAGACTCAGGGAAAAAGTTATGTGAACTACTATCTTCTTAATTTTTTATATTGATTGGATATTGCAAGATAATATTTGGTTTTGAATATTTGGTTAAAGTATATTATTAAAATAAATTTCTTCTGTTTTTGTAATGTGGTTACTAGAAAATTTAAAATTACATATATGGCTCACATTATATTTCTATTGTACAGTGATAGTCTAGAGCAGTAGCTTACATGTGCATATTTTCAGAAGAAGCAATCTCAAACCAGTATGTTACAAAGCAAATTGGGTTAATTACCTGTGTTTCAATCTAGTAGTTTCCCATTAGCTTACTTCCATCAAGAAGTAAGATAAATTCCTTAGGGTACTGCAGACTCTGTGGTCAAATATTTGGCTCTTATTTCAGCCATGTGAGCTACTCTTCTCTCCATTGTACTTTAGTGTGTCTAAAGAAATGAATTCTTTTTTCTATTTTTGATGATGCCATTCAATTTCATGAGTTTTAAAAATTTACATCAATTATTCCTGCTACTTAGAATGCCTTTATCATCTTGACTGCTTGGTGAATTTCTATCAGTTTTTCCAAGACCTTATTCTTATTTGTTCCTGTTCAATAATTTTCTTGAGTTTTCTCACTGGAAGATTAATCACTGCTTACCTCATCTGTATTACCACTGTGTTTTCCACACACCCCTTATCACCTTTTATCAAAATATTTTTGTTTGAAAGATTTATTTTCTTACCACCTGTAAATTCTTTTTGGTCTTGTTCCCTACAGTTTTTTACATGTCTGGCATAGCACCTGGTTTATACTATATATATATGAATATTTTTTAAATGTATGAAAGACAAAAACTAAAGTAAGGTAAAACATCTGACTTGAAAAATAGGATAAAATAAATAAAGGGAAAGTTAAACATTTAAACATTTCTTAAAAATGGTAGTCCAGGTCCATATAGAAATTTTCTTAGCTGTAATGGAAGAATAAATTATTTGTGAAAAATCTGAAATAGTACAAAAAAGATGATTTCCATTTTTATTTAGTAGGAAATAAGGTATTATAATTTAATATATTATTATTGAAGACTTATTCCTTACTGACAGTTTTCTTAATCATCCAACAGCATAAAATAATTTTATTGCTCACTTGTGCATTAAATTACTAGCTCTGTCAGCTACCATTAAATATTTTAATAAGTACATATTAGAGCTTACAGAAAATATTGAAGAAAATTTATGTGACTAAAAATAGTAATTGATATTTTTAGAGGCACGCTACCTCAGGCACAATGGAAAACAATTATGTCTTTCTTGACTTATATTAAATGGAAACAGTGGAAATAGCTAAAATTGATTAATTGATTACAATGATAATAAACTATGGACAAACAAATGCATAACAAATAATTAATCTAAACAATTATATGAAAATCATTCTAATCAATTTCTCCCCTTTTTTAAAATTTATTTTTATTTATTATATTTTTTATTATATTTTAACTTCTAGGGTACATGTGCACAACCTGCAAGTTTATTACATATGTATACATGTGCCATGTTGATGTGCTGCACCCATTATCTTGTCATTTACATTAGATATATCTCTTAATGCTATCCCTCCCCCTCCTCCCACCCTGCAACAGGCCCCAGTGTGTGATGTTCCCCTTCCTGTGTCCAAGTGTTCTCATTGTTCAATTCCCACCTATGAGTGAGAACATGCGTTTGGTTTTTTGTCCTTGTGATAGCTTGCTGAGAATGATGGTTTCCAGCTTCATCCATGTCCCTAAAAAGGACATGAACTCATCGTTTTTTATGGCTGCATAGTATTCCATGGTGTATATGTGCCACATTTTCTTAATCCTGTCTATCATTGTTGGACATTTGGGTTGGTTCCAAGTCTTTGCTATTGTGAGTAGTGCCGCAATAAATATACGTGTGCATGTGTCTTTATAGCAGCATGATTTATATTCCTTTGGGTATATACCCAGTAATGGGATGGCTGGGTCAAATGGTATTTCCAGTTCTAGATCCCTGAGGAATTGCTACACTGTCTTCCACAATGTTTGAACTAGTTTACAGTCCCACCAACAGGGTAAAAGTGTTCCTATTTCTCCACATCCTCTCTAGCACCTGTTGTTTCCTGACTTTTTAATGATCGCCATTCTAACTGGTGTGAGATGATATCTCACTGTGGTTTTGATTTGCATTTCTCTGATGGCCAGTGATGATGAGCATTTTTTCATGTGTCTGTTGGCTGCATTAATGTCTTCTTTTGAGAAGTGTCTTTTCATATCCTTCATCCACTTTTTGGTGGGGTTGTTTGTTTTTTTCTTGTAAATTTGTTTGAGTTCTTTGTAGATTCTGGATATTAGCTCTTTGTCAGATGAGTAGATTGCAAAACTTTTCTCCCATTCTGTAGGTTGCCTGTTCACTCTGATGGTAGTTTCTTTTGCTGTGCAGGAGCTCTTTAGTTTAATTAGATCCCATTTGTCAGTTTTGGCTTTCGTTGCCACTGGCACAAGACGGGGATGCCCTCTGTCACCACTCCTATTCAACATAGTGTTGGACGTTCTGGCCAGGGCAATCAGACAAGAGAAAGAAATAAAGGGTATTCAATTAGGAAAAGAGGAAGTCAAATTGTCCCTGTTTGCAGAAGACATGATTGTATATCTAGAAAACCCCATCGTCTCAGCCCAAAATCTCCTTAAGCTGATAAGCAACTTCAGCAGTCTCAGGATACAAAATCAATGTGCAAAAATCACAAGCAGTCTTATACACCAATAACAGACAAACAGAGAGCCAAATCATGAGTGAACTCCCATTCACAATTGCTTCAAAGACAATAAAATACTTAGGAATCCAATTTGCAAGGGATGTGAAGGCCCTCTTCCAGGAGAACTGCAAACCACTACTCAACAAAATAAAAGAGGACACAAACAAATGGAAGAACATTCTATGCTCATGGATAGGAAGAATCAATATCATGAAAATGACCATACTGCCCAAGATAATTTATAGATTCAATGCCATCCCCATCAAGCTAACAATGACTTTCTTCACAGAATTGGAAAAAACTACTTTAAAGTTCATATGGAACCAAAAAATAGCCCACATTGCCAAGTCAATCCTAAGCCAAAAGAACAAAGCTGGAGGCATCACGCTACCTGACTTCAAACTATACTACAAGGCTGCAGTAACCAAAACAGCATAGTACTGGTACCAAAACAGAGATATACACCAATGGAACAGAACAGAGCCCTCAGAAATAATACCACACATCTACAACTACCTGATCTTTGACAAACCTGACAAAAATAAGAAATGAGGAAAGGATTCCCTATTTAACAAATGGTGCTGGGAAAACTGGCTAGCCATATGCAGAAAGCTGAAACTGGATCCCTTCCTTGTACCTTATACAAAAATTAATTCAAGATGGATTAAAGACTTAAATATTAGACCTAAAACCATAAAATCCCTAGAAGAAAACCTAAGCAATACCACTCAGGACATAGGCATGGGCAAGGACTTCATGTCCCCTGTTTTTTAAAATGCTTTTGATTGCAAATTATGTGTTGATTCTTGCTTAACTTGGTGGGTGTTTAAATGGGCTTTTTCAATATTATTTTATTATTATTGTTTTCTCAAACATTCAATAATAGCATAACATTCTTTTCTAACCAAATAATATACTAAAATATTTAGAAAAAATATCCATGTCTACTACATAATAATTAGTGGAGGGAAGAAGGCCATTTTGCCTACTATTTTGATGTTGCTATATAAAGGTGCTTGATATGGTTTGGTTCTGTGTCCTCAATTAAATCTCACCTTGAATTGTAATAATCCTCATGTGTCAAGGGTGGGAACAGGTGGAGATAATTGAATTATGGGGACAGTTTCCGCCATACTGTTCTCATGATAGTGAATGAGTTCTCATGAGATCTGATACTTTTATGAGGTGCTTCCCCTTTCACTTGACACTCATTCTCTCTCCTGCCGCCCTGTGAAGAGTTAGCTACCACCATGATTGTAAGTTTCCTGAGGCCTCCCCCTCCATGAGGAACTGTGAGTCAATTACATGTCTGTTATTTATAAATTACACAGTCTTGGGCATTTGTTCATAGCAGTATGAGAAGGGACTAATACAGTAAATTGGCACCAGGAGTGGGGTGCTGCTGTGAAGTTACCTGAAAATGTGGAAGCAACTTTGGAACTGGACAACAGGCAGAGGTTGGAACAGTTTGAAGTGGTCAGAAGAAAACAGGAAGACATGGGAAAGTTTGCTACCTCCTAGAGACTTGGTGAATGGCTTTGACCAAAATGCTAATAATGATATGGGCAATGAAATTCAGACTGAGGGGGCCTCAGATGGAGATGAGAAATTTGTTGGGAACTGGAATAAAGGTGTCTCTTGCTATGCTTTAGCAAAAGACTGTCAGCATTTTGCCCCTGTCCTATAGATCTATGGCAATTTGAACTTCAGAGAGATGATTTAGAGTATCTGGCAGAAGAAATTTCTAAGCAGCAAAGCATTCAAGGGGTGACTTGGGTGCTGTTAAAAGCATTCAGCTTTTTGTAATCACAAAGATATGGTTTGGAATTGAAACTTACATTTAAAAGGGAAGCAAAGCATAAAAGTTTGGAAAATTTGCTGCCTGGTGATGTGATAGGAAAGAAAAACCCATTTTCTGAGGAGAAATTCAAGGTGGCTGCAGAAATTTGCACAAGTAATGAGGAGACAAATGTTAACCACCCAGACCATGGGGAAAATGCTCCCAGGGCATGTCAGAAACCTTCAAGGCAGCCCATCCCATCATAGGCCCAGAGGCCTATGAGGAAAAAATGATCTTTTGAGCCAGGCCCAGGACCTTGTTGCTTTGTGCAGTCTTGGGACCTGGTGCCCTGTCCCAGCTGTGGCTAAAAGAGGCCAAGATACCACTCAGGTCATTGCTTCAGAAGTTGAAAGCCCCAAGCCTTGGCAGCTTACATGTGGTGTTGGGCCTGTGGTTGCATAGAAGTCAAGAATTGAGGTTTGGGAACCTCCACCTCGATTTCAGAGAATGTATGGAAATGTCTGGGTATCTAAGCAGATGTCTGCTACAGGGGTGGGGCACTCACAGAGAACCTCTGCTAGGGCAACTTGGAAAGGAAATGTGGGATCAGAGCCCCGACATGGAGTCTCCACTGGGGCACTGACTAGTGGATCTGTGAGAAGAGGGCCACTATCCTCCAGACCCCAGAATGGTAGATCCACTGACGGCTTGTACCATGTACCTGGAAAAGCTGTAGACATTCAATACCAGGCCATGAAAACAGCCAGGAGGGAGGCTGTACCCTGCAAAGCTACAGGGGCAGAGCTGCCAAGGTTGTGGGAGCCCACCTCTTGCACCAGTGTGATGTGGATGGGAGACATGGAGTCAAAGGAGATCATTTCAGAGCTTTAATATTTGACTGCCCTGTTGGATTTTGGACTTGCTGGGGCCTGTAGCCCCCTTTTTTGGCCAATTTCTCCCATTTCGAGTGAGTGTTTTTACCAGTGCCTTTACCCCATTGTATCTAGGAAGTAACTAACTTGCTTTGATTTTACAGGCTCATAGGTGGAAGGGACTTGCCTTGTCGTAGAGGAGACTTTGGATTTTGACTTTTGAGTTAATTCTGGAATGAGTTAACAATTTAGGGGATTATTGGAAGGGCATGGTTGTGTTTTGAAATGTGAGGACATAAGATTTGGGAGGGGCCGGGGCAGAATGATATGGTTTGGCTCTGTGTCCCCACCCAAATCTCACCTTGAATTGTAATAATCTCCATGTGTCAAGGGTGGGACCAGGTGGAGATAACTGAATCATGGAGATGGTTTCCCCCATGCTGTTCTGATGTGTGAATGAGTTCTCACAACATTTGATGGTTTCATAAGGGTCTTCCCCTTTCACTCAAGACTAATTCTCTCTCCTGCTGCCCTGTGAAGAGGTGCCTTCCACCATGATTATAAGTTTCTTGAGGCCTCGCCAGCCATGAAGAACTGTGAGTCAATTAAACCTCTTTCATTTATAAATTACCTAGTCTTGGGTATTTCTTCATAGCAGGGTGAGAATGGACTAATACTATGCTTAACTGCCTTTGCTTGCTTTGAGTCTAGAACACTGTAACAGACTTGCTGTCCTTGTACATCTAGAATTACTTTTATTTAGATAGTCATATAAAAATGACTCAGATTTGCTGTCCCTTGCTTCTTGCCTACCACTGAGGCAGGGACAAAACTTCATCCCTGGAATCAGGTGCAGAGGATTGTGCCACACTGTGCCCACACATGAATCTGCTGTCTGCATTCACCTCAGGACAAATGTCACTTCCCTATTGAACCTCACCACTGGACATCCTCTGACTTTCATTTCCCTGATGGCAGGGAATCATCAGGTGTATTTCTTCCAATTATGTTTCCAGAGCCTCCAAAGCTGGGGAGCTGGTTTCTGCCAGAGGAGGGATAAGTGACCGCATGGACTTTGAGGCACACTCTGTTTATGCAGAATCCTGTCTGTTACGACAGTGTCACCAGTCTCTTGACCCTTCTTATCTCTTAGCTATAATCTTGTTGTTTCTGGCCTTTGTGTTTTCTAGCCTCAATACAGAGAACCAGATGAGGGACAAATACTAGACTGTGACTTAATGGTGAGAAAGTAGCCAGGAAAAAAATTTAAAAAAGACTCGGGTTGTTCGGAGCAATGGCAAAAATTGCTGGATTGGTTGAATCCTGTTTCTCCTCCTCATTCTTGGCATTTCATTTGGACTAACACTGAGAAATTTTCCCACTTTCATGTTAAAGCATACCCTTTCAGGTCTCTTTAGTGTGATCTTCTTAGGTGGCATTTTCAAATGTCTTAAATTGCGCATCCCACAGGACAGATTTGACTGGAAGGATGCGGTTACCATGGAACTCAAAAGACAGCTTCCAGAAAGAAATGTATCTCCTCCAAAAACAGAAGTAAAAACTGAAAATAGATAGAGTGGCATATTTTCTCTCCAGAAATTGAGGACAAAAAGTACAGTATATGTTAGTAAAATGCAAAGTCTAATTTTGGTTTTTAAAACTTCCTTATTACTTTAAATCTAATGCATTTAATGAATTTTAATTATGACTTTGGCCATTGCATGAGTCATATTATTACTCCTCTAGCACAGTCTGGTAGGGGGTCAGTATTCTGGAAATCTAATATGAGCTACTTCATGAAACTGCTCATCTGAAACTCATGGGATTGTCACCACACTCCTCTTAGGTTTCTACCCACAGTAATACTATTTTTAGATCTGAGTACCATATGGGAATCAAACTACATAGAGGAATCACAGTGCAGATTCTAGAAGGTTTGAGCTGCATTAAAATTTTGTCTAACGTTCTCAATTTACGGATGAAGAAAGTAAGTGACAAAAAAGGTTATCTGACTTATCCAGTCAAGCAAGTGGTTAGAAATAAAACCAGTGCTTGCTTTTACTTTTCTTATTTTATTTTATTTTTTACAGTTTCTGGATTTCTTCTTGCTTGCTTTTTAATTACCAAGACAAGATTTACATCAAGGGTTAGTCTACCAAAGGGAAATCATAGCTCTCAAAGATAGGTGATCCACCATACCGTTTGCACTTAATAACAAAAGTAATATTTTTGTTTCCAAGGCTTCTGTTCTTAAAAGAATTTAAGGGACCAAGGAAGGATTTAGAATGATCTTCTGTATTTTATAGGTTGCTGAGTTGGGAAAAACGTCATGTTATAAGCAACATGAAAATTTAGTCTGCATGTTTAGTTGGCATATGAGATGGTATTTGTAGGGATGAGATGCTCAGTGGTTTTACCAGTAACCAGCATCTCGACTGTCCAACTTTTGGAAAGTATCATAGTTTGTTATAAAAAAGTAAAATGTGGAAAATAGTCATCATGTAGTTCATTACACTTGGCCATTATAAAACTGTTTGTGTCATTTAAGTTTAAATGGGTTCTCAGTGCCACTAGTGATTCTTTATCACCTCAAATTGACTCTAATTATCCCATGATCACTATTACAAATGCTTCCTCTCCCATCAGTCTTCCAACTCTGTCTGTTACGCTTGTGTGTAAATTGGGGAGAGTGGTGAAAGAAACAAAATCACTCGTGACTAATTTAAGCAAAAGAAAATTTAGTGGCTTGATATTAAAAGCTCATGGCATTGCAAAAAGAATAGAGGAACAGACATGAAGAGGACAAGACAAAGCCAGCTCCAGAAGCCAGAAACTGGGAGCTGTGGGAATCATTCTTCGGCAGAAACCTGTCAGGGCACAGCTGCTAGGCAGTGTAGACTCCCATCCTTATAGTATTCTTGCATCAAGGTTCAAAGTCCCAGGAGTAAATTTTCTGTCTAAGCTTAGGACACATTTCTGCCTCTTGGATGTACTGGGAGGTGAGAAGCACGAATTATCCTCTACAGCTTTTGTAATTGGAGGCAGGCACATAGATTTCTTGTTGCAGTATACACACACACACCTTGGGGCTAAGGTAACTTCACAAAACGAAACTGAGGCGTGTTAAGCAGTAAGAAAGGGTACAGTGTAGAAAACAATTGTTCAGTTATCTTTTATATTTTCCTTCTCTGCAGATGGCCACGGCCTTGGCTTAATTAAAAGGATGTATGCCAATTGAAATGAACTGTATAAATTTTCCTCTTCTCCCATTTTCCATCTATTTCACATCAAGGATCCCTCATTCTCGGTGCCATCTACCTTTCTGGAAATTCTATATCTCATACACTTCCTTTCTCGTCTTCAGTCTCATTATTACAGCCTCTCTTTTCTCATGACTTTAAGCTATTCGCCTTCTCATTTCCAAATATTAAAAACCTTCCATTGACCTTTTTCTCGCCTTAAGGTACCATTAAATGTCTCCAATTTCTCTGTGAAAGTTTCAAAAGCATATGCCACACCCTTTGGCTCTGCTCCCTCAGTGTTTACTCCTCCCTCCCCTCCACACCACAGTACTGAACCTGCTCTCTCAAGTCCCCAGGGAACTCTCCCAATATCAACAGTCCTCTGCCCATCTGCAGCCTCACTGAGCGTCCAGAACCCCGTTGGCTGTAGGTCTTTTCTTGAAAAATAGTTCCCTTTTCAGCTTTTGCAGCATTACATTCAATTTTTAAAATGTCTCTGACTTCTTGTTTTCTGTATTTCTCCTGGAACTTTTTCTTTCTCTAACAAATTACATGTGGGTGCTCATCAATGATAGCATCCTTAGATTTGTCATTACTTCTATTTCTTTATTCCACAATCTTTATTGACCTGCGGAACATGAAGATGTGCGGCTGAGATTCCACCTGCCGTAAGGAATATGGTGCTCCGTGTTTCCCTGGTGCTGCCTCACGTCTCTTTCATGAAAGTTACCATTTTCTTTTTACACTAGCTAGTCATGTATTTTTCTCTAGTTTTCTATGGATTGCAATTTTCTGGAGTTTATGGGACTCTTTTATTACTTTGTTTAATATATGACAGGTGCTCAGTCAATAATTGTTAAATTAATAAGTTACTACAGGGGAAAATAGACACCCTAATAAAAGTCTGTAGAAAGATGGACTATAATATAAACAAAGATAATTAAGCATAACTTTATGACACACTAAAGTTTTATGACTGTAACCACAATTATTTACTGAGCTTCCTGAATACAAATATTTGGATTTGTTTCCATATTGAGAGTCTGTAATAGTGAGGAGACCAAGAGATAATTTTACATATTGTTATCTCTTTTAAATATTGGGGATTCATTTTAAAATTACGCATCCTGAAAATAATGGGAGAACAAAGTTTTTTGTAACAGAAATTAAGTGCCTTTTTTGGAAAAAGTAAAATTAATTCATTAATAATTGTTAGTTGTCTATGAGAAAACAACAGGGCCAGTCTTTTAAATCTTTGATTTATCATAATTACTCTATTTATAGTTTGGCTATGTTTTTTATCAAAATATATTTCCCATTGATTTGTGGAAAATATAATAACATAGCTGAATAGCAAATAAATGATTACATATTTTTAAAGTGTGAACATCTGCACTTGGAACATTCACACATAGAAGAAAATGTGATTGTTTTCTGTAATTATAATTTAAATAATATTTAATACAAAATGTTTACAGTGTTTTTTTTTCACAAGGCACTTGTCTTTCAGTCTTGCTGATAAATTTTCTAGACCTAAAATTAGAAATGACAAAGTACTTAATGTAATAAAGGAATGCCTGTGTGTGACATTTAAATCTGAGTACCAGGTAAATGATTTTTTTTAGGACCTACTTATGTTACTTCATTAAACTGAGAAAAAAACACACATTGTCCTTCATTACATCTGAAAATTAACATATCTATCTATCTAATCAATTGAACATAGCTAAAACACACACAGACCCAGATAAATAAAAATAAAATTGTATTATTTTATTTAATATCTTATTCTTCTTCCCCCAAATACCTTAAATAAAATCAGCAGGTATCTACTTGCCCAGTGAACAATTCCATTTCTTTTGATCCCTTTATGAAGGTTAATTAGTATTTATCTGTAAACCCAGAGAGTATAGTTTAATTCATCCTAATAAGACTTGTTAGAAAGAACTCTGATGATCACATTTTGGTTTCACAGAAGTGTAAATTTTAGAATTTTATTTTCACAGGAGCGTTATACCATCTGTCTACATGTTAATTTATTGCTTCAAATGCATTAACTTCTTTGCACCTTTTATTTGTCACATAAATTTCGGCATTGCTTACATATTAATCCTTGGGTTCCTAGGCTGGCATTGGAGAAACTTTACTGTAAGTACTCAAAATAATAACTCAACTTTAAAGATGGGAGTATTTATTAATATTATATTCACTATGATCAAAGGAATTTATAATGTTTCTTCTAATTCTCAAAGAAAGCCAAGTAAAGAGAGTTTATTATACAACCTTTTGAAATATCTTAATTTCTTTCTTTGCCTTAGTTATGCATACTTCAATTTGCATGGCAACTCATCATACCCACATTATAGGAATATTTTAGTGTGTCCTGGGTTGAAGCCAAGATGGCTGATGCCTCAGACAGAAAGACACACATCAAAGAAGCCCTGGAAGCAATTTTAGGAAGTTCCTGGAAATAGAGGAGAAGGGTGTAAGTCTGGAGTAGAGTAGTGAAGGAGGAGGTGGAGACAAGTGTTCAGGGTGACACCACGGTGCAGAGTTGGTTCCAGAGAGCTTGCAGAGGTGTGTAGAACTGAAAGGCATGAGCCACACCCTGACAAATGTAGACCTCTGTAAACTGTGCAAAAATGAGAGAAGATAAAAACATGTTACTTCTAGTATTGATTTCAAATGCTGGCTTGGCTAATTAGCCAGGAGGAGAAGGAAAGGCCAATAGAAGTAAAATAATAAATATGTGGAATCTCTGAGGTGAAGAAAAGAAAAAAACCATAGAGAGATTGTGTTTTATAAGCCATAATTGTAAATTCCCAGTGGAATGAGTCAGACATTTTCTCTGGAATGCATATGTCAGAGATAAAAATAATGTGTTAGTTGAGCTTTAGTAATAAAATGATCTATGATCTCCTTGGGAATATCTGGAAGGAAAAAAAAGAAATAAAATTTTTTATTTCTGCAGCAAAAATTGCGAGCAGATCACAGCTATTCTCATACAAAATGGTCACTAGAGATTGTATTAGTCCAAGGTTAAAGAGTCATAATGCTATTAATTTTGCACAAAGACTCTGAAATAGGCAATATTCCTATACGGGAGAAGTAACAGCATAGATAACCCTGGGATAGAAGAAGTCAGAATAAGCCAAAAATGTTGTGTTGGTGAATGAATATAGGGGATAGTGTCATTACTTGAGAATCAAGGTAATGAGTAGAAAAGAGAGAAAGCTATTGTGACCAGGGTTAAAGGGAAGGCTGAAAAATATTCAGAAATCAGGAGGAAAGGCAGCTACTTGTTAGTAAGATTGAATTCTTTCTTTATTTTTATTTTTTTTGAGATGGAGTCTTACTCTGTCGCCCAGGCTGGAGTGCAGTGGTGCAATCTCGGATCACTGCAACCTCCGCTTCCTGGGTTCAAGTGATTCTCCTGCCTCAGCTTTCCAAGTAGCTTGAATTACAGGCATCCACTACCACATCCGGCTAATTTTTGTATTTTTAGTAGCGATGGGGTTTCGCCATGTTGGGCCAGGCTGGTCTCGAGCTCCTGACCTCAGGTGATGCGTCTGCCTCAGCAACCCAAAGTGCTGGGATTACAGGCCTGAGCCACTGCGCCTGGCAGACTGAATTCTTTTGAAGACAAAAATTCCAAAATTTTGGTTCGAACTGTTTGCTCAAGGTAAAGATAAAGTGAGAAAGATAAATAAGGAAAGACTGGAGAAGCACCAGAATACTCTAGCATACAAATAAACCAAGCAGGAGGCATGGGATTAAGAAGATGAATGGTTCTAAAGATGCCCTAGAAATATGATATTAACATGATTAAGATAATAATAATAGGTACTCACATTTATTGAATCTTTCCTATTTGTTTGTCATAAATGTTTTGTGTGATGGGTGCTTTTATTTCATTCTTACAACATCTCTTTAAAAAGATACTTCTTCTAATCCCTGTTTTATAGAGAGGACTTCGAGGCTTTGAAAGACCAAAGTAGTTGTTCAGGATTAAAGCTAGTTAATAAGGGAAACAGGCTCCCAACTTAGCTGTCTAACCATAGGAGAACCCTAGGAAACAGAGTTATACACAGAAGAAAAGAGAGATAGTTTTCCCAAAGAGCAAATTTTCACCATGACATAGGGTGTGGGAACAAGGAGAAGTTAAAGGAGAGAAGCGATGTAGTGTAAGAGAATATATTTAAAAGAGGAAATTCTCAGGGTTCTAGATAGCAGTCCATAAGGAGAGCCATGAGATTTAGAATGTAAAGTAAAAACTTAAGAAGCTTTTAATTGCAAAAATAAATATTTTATATACATTATTTTTATTGTTGTATCCTCTGTATTTGGCATAGTGCCTGTCACATAGTAGGTACGTAATAACATTTTGAGTGAATAAAGGAAACCTGATGGTTGAATGTTCAGTGTCAACAAGGTAGCCTAAGATGCTGAATTAAAGGGCTTAGGATAGCTTACTTACACAGGGACTTTTTAATAATGCATTGTTGTTTGATATTTGAGGAATTGAATTACTGCCCTGAAAAAAATTGAAAAAAAAATTTGACTTGGTTCAAGAAAAAAGCAGATCTTGTATTTTAAAGTGAAGTTTAGATGCTGTATTCTGGCTCAAGGAAACTAATAATTAAGGTCAATGACAAAACACATCAAAGTGTTGTATATTATTTGGAATTATAGCACTAATCACACTATACTACTATGGCAATTCAGTTTGTTAATTAATTGGTGAATAAAAGAAAGTAAATAACATGCCTAATCATGGAGATGAATAAGTCAGAGCACAGAATCTGGAACCAGATAGCTTGGGTTCAAATCCCAGTGCTGCAAATTATTAGCTATGTGACCTTGTGTAATTTTTTTAAAGCCTATACTATTTCCTCACTTGTAAATGGAGGTAATGATTGTACTTGCATCATAGACTTGGTAGGAAGATTAAAAGTAAAAGGTCTAGAACTTGTGAATTGTTTAGAAAAATACTTGGCACAAAGTAAGTGCTCTGTTAGTATTTTTTTTTGTTTGTTTTTGTTTTTGTTTTTTTTGAGACGGAGTCTTGTTCTGTCACCCAGGCTGGAGTGCAGTGGCATGATCTCGGCTCACTGCAACCTATGCCTCCTGGGTTCAAGCGATTCTCCTACCTCAGCCTCCTGAATAGTTGAGACTACAGGTGCGCACCACCATGCCCAGATAATTTTTGTATTGTTAGTAGAGACAAGGTTTAACCATGTTGGTCAGGCTGGTCTGGAACTCCTGACCTCATGATCTGCCCTCCTCGGCCTCCCAAAGTGCTGGGATTACAGACGTGAGCCACCATGCCCAGATGTAGTTTTGTTGTTTTTTTTTAAATAAATAAATGTGATATATCTGTAAGTGATTAACTTACTTCCTGGGTATATGTGCTCCCTTTTTATTTTGTGTGTCCTATACACAGAATCACATATTATTATAAAGAAAAGACTTTTGAAGTCATTTACATTTAGCTAGCAGATCAACATAATATTAGGAAAATAAACAAGATATACTTTATTTCATATAATCTGTATAAAGTATGATTACAACTGTGAAAAAATGCATAGATAAAAGGTAAGATGAAAATACAATAAGCCATTGGCATTTATGGGTTTGAATAGCGAGATTTTTGACAAATTGAGAGTAGCTTTGGAAATCTGTGAAATGTAATTGTTTGTGATTTTGTTAGGCATGATGGTGTTTCGAAGTAAGTCATTAGTGACTAAGTCAAGTCAAATGCCTGGAATCAGCATTTAGAATACTATGCATTTATTGAAATGTAATCACAGCATGTGAAACTGAAAGGTACCTAGGAATTAGTGTAGACCAACTCAAGTCATCAATAATACAAGCAATTGTACAATAGTAAGTCATCAATAGCACAAGATCAAGCTGAACTGACACTTTCCTGAAGTCATGCAACAAATGAGAACAGAAAAGGATGAATGAAACTTCCAGAGAAGTGGATCATTCATTCATTCTTTCATCAAGTAAGGATTCAACATTTACAAAAATTGTTACTGAGTAATAATGAGATATAACAGGCAGGTCATATTCTGGACCATAAAATAAGTCACAGTATATTTGAAATGATTGAAATGATACATAACATGTTCCTGCATGAAACAAAATTAAATTAGCAATCCGTAACAGAAAGATAACTGGAAAATCCTCAAACATTTGGAAACTGATCTCAACATATTTTTGAATAACAAATTAAGGAAAATACAAGAAAAAAATTGAAACAATTTGAAATTGAATGAAAAGAAAAACATTTGTCAAAATGTGTCGGATGCAGGTAAAGCTCTACTTAGAGGGAACTTTATAGCATTAAGTGCATAAATTGAGAATAACGAATTAGTGAAGGAAGAATTTTCCAAAACAAGTTAATGACATAGAAAACAGGACTGACAAAGGGTGTTTCACTACAGATACTACAGACATTAAAATAACAATAAAGGACTGGGTTCCAGTTCCACATGTAAGGAGTTTGGAAATCACCATTACTTCCTAACAACAAATAACAAGCTGAACAGATTGAAAAATCAACACTCTGGATCTAGATGACACAGGGCAAACTGTTGCCTCCAACACTGGAGAGACAGACAGGTGAAAGCAGGGAGTTAGTCTTGCCAGATCAAAGACTCATGAGGATAAGAAAACCTGAACAAATTGCTGGAGGCTTGATGTGGACAACTCTGGGGACCAAAAGCTCGAGAGAAACCGAGTCACGGGGACAAGGCACAATATTCACCTTCACAAGTTCAACCAGATGGACCTGGTTCCCACAGTAAATATCAGAGAAAAATTCCATTGCTCTTCTGGCAGGGAGAGGGGAAAATGAACCATTTTGAAATACATGAGAGCACTTTGTTCTTAACAAGATATTTCCTAAGGAGAAACTATTTAACCAGAACCAAATGTGCTGGGATATGATCAGAACCTAACTGATCTGGGGGAAGGGAAATACCCCACTTCAATCGGCTGTAGCCTTTCATGTGGGATAAGGAAAATACAAACCACAATAGCCAATACATCACTTTGAAGGAAAAGAATAAAACTGCAGGACTGACCCCTGACTTCAACACTTACTACAATGCAACACTAATCAAGACAATGCAATATTGGCTAAAGAATAGATCAGTAGATCTATGGAAATAGAAATAGATCAATGGCAACAAATAGTTTAATGGAACAGAATAGAGAGCCCAGAAATAGCCCCACATAAATACTGTCAACTATATTTGAACAAAGGAGCAAAGGCAATATAATGGAGCAAAGATTTTTTTTTTCAACAAATGTGCTGGAACAACTGTACATCCCTAGGTAAAACAATCTAGGCACAGATCTTACATTATTCACAAAAACGAACTCAAACTGGATCACAGACCTAAATGTTAAGTGCAAAGCTATAATAATCCTGGAAAATAACATGAGAAGAAAAACTAGATTACCTTGGGTATGGTGATGACTTTTTAGGTTCAACATTGAAGGCGCAATTTATGAAAGAAACAAACGATAAACTGGGGTTTATTAAAATTAAAAACTTCTGCCCTGTGAAAGACAACGTCAAGAGAAAGAGAAGACAAGCCACACATTGAGAGAAAATATTTGCAAATGATATATCCAATGACTGTTACCTGAAATACACCAAGGACTCTTAAAACTCGACAGGAAGAAATTTAAAAATCCCCGTTAAAAAGTAGGCCAAAGACCTTAACAGACCCCTTATCAAATAAGGTATGCAGATGGAAAATAAGCTTATGAAAATATGCTCTACACTTCATGTCATCAGGGAAATGAGTATTAAAACAACAATGCATACCTGGTAGAATGTCCAAAATCTGGAATACTGACAACACCAAATGCAGATGAAGATATGGAGCATCCAAAACACTCATTCATTGCTGGTGGGAATGCAAAATGGTATAACCGCTTTGGAAGACAGTTTGGTGGTTTCTTACAAAAGTAAACATGCTTCTGTCTTATGATTCAGCAGTCACACTCCTTGATATTTTCCCAAAGAAGTTGGGAACATGTCTACACAAAATCATGCACATGGATCTTTATAGCAGCTTTATCCTTAATTTCCAAAATTTGAAAGCAACCAAGATGTTCCTTAGTAGGTGAATGGATTAACAAACCTGGTACATCCAGACAATTAAATATTATTCATTACTAAAAAGAAATAAACCATCAAGCCATGCAAAAACACGGGGAATCCTTAAATGTATATAATTATGTATAAGAAGCCAATTTGTAAAGGCTACATACTCCATGATTCTAACTATATGACATTCTGGAAAAGGCAGAATGGTGATAGTAAAAATATCTTTGTTGTCAGGGGTTGAGGGATGGAGAGGTGGAGCACAGAGGATTTTCGAGGCAGTGAAAATGCTCTGTATGATACTCTAACGATAGGTATGTGTCTTTATACATTTGTCCAAATCTTAACATGTGCCACACCAAGAGCAAACCCTAAGGCAA
This sequence comes from Homo sapiens, assembly GCF_000001405.40. Lineage (NCBI taxonomy): Eukaryota > Metazoa > Chordata > Mammalia > Primates > Hominidae > Homo > Homo sapiens. The sequence goes on along the minus strand of NC_000004.12, from coordinate 175,866,302 downwards.
ACTATGGACTTTGGATGATTATGATGTGTTAATGTGGGCTCATCAGTTGTAATGAGCATGCCATTCTGGTGGGAAATGTTGATAGTGGGGGAGGCTATGCATGTGTCGGCATAAGGGGAAATCTCTGTACCTTCCTTTTAATTTGCCTGGGAATTTAAAACCACTCTAAAATATAGTTGTTAAAAATGAATATTGCAAACATTATGGCAATAGATTAAATAACTTGGATAACATTTTAAATTCTGTGAAAGACTTAAACTACTAAAGTTCACTGAAGAAAACATATAAATTGTAATAGCACTATAGCTATTAAAGAAATTGAGTTTTCAATTAAAAATTTTTCCACAATGAAAATTCTAGGTTCAAATGGTTTCAGTGGTGAATTCTGCCAAATATTTAAGGAGGATGTAACGCCAGTTCCACACAAACTGTTTTTTTTAATAGTGGTTTCCTATCAAATCACTCTTCTACTGATAACAAAATCAAAGAAAATCCAAAGAAATAAAACTACAGACAAATATTCCTCAGCAGAATAGACAAAAATATTCTATATGCCAGCAAATACAATCAGAAATTAAAAGTAAGAAAAAAAGTCTCAAAAACTACCAATTGTAATAGCATCACAAAATATGAAATGTTAATGGATAAATTTGACAAAAATATTTAAGATGTGCATGTAGAAAGATAAAAGATTTATGAAAGAAAGTAAAGAAGAACTAAGTAAATGAAGAAATATATCATGTTCATGGATTGGAAAACTCAATATTGTTAAGATGTTCATTCTCTTCAAATTGATCTATAGATTCAATGAAATACCAATCAAGAACCCACTCAGATTTTTTGTAGAAATATTCTAACTCATTCTTAAATTTACACAAAAATCCAAATGACCTAGAATAGCTAAAACAATTGTGAAAAAGAAGAGCATAATTAGGTAATTTACACTATCTGACAACAATACTTATCATTAATCAAGGCACTTGGTATTGCCATAATGTTAGAATACAGAACAGTGGAGAACACTAGAGAGCCCAGGGATGGAACCACATCTATATAGCCAGTTGATTTTCAACAGTGTTTTCAAGGTAATTCAATAGTGAAATGATCATCTTTTTAACAATTGTGCTAAAACGATATCCACATGCAAAAAAGTACTCTTTCATTATTACCTCATACTATATAAAAAAAATGAGACCAGGCACAGTGACTCACGCCTGTAATCCCAGCACTTTGGGAGGCCGAGGCAGGTGGCTCATTTGAGGTCATGAGTTCAAGGCCATCCTGGCCAACATGGTGAAACCCTGCCTCTACTAAAAATACAAAAATTAGCCCGGTGGTAGTGGTGTGCCTGTAATCCCAGCTGCAGCTGCTGGGGAGGCTGAGGCAGGAGAATTGCTTGAGCCTAGGTGCAGAGGTTGCAGTGAGCCGAGATCACACCACTGCACTCCAGTCTGGGTGAAAGAAAAAAAAGAAAAGAAGAAAAAAGAAAAAAATGAAATAAAAAAATGAAAATTATAGGTATAAAGAACACCAAATAGAAATTTCTAGAAGAAAACGCAGAAGAAAATCTCAGTGATCTTGAATTAGGCAAAGATTACATGAATAGTATGCCCCCACAAAGACACAAACTATAAAACAAAATATAATGAAATGGAATTAATCGAATTTAAAAATGTTTGCTGTTCAAAGGACACTTGAAGTAGTGAAAAGTTTGGCCATAGAAAACATATTTGTAAATTTTTATTAAAAAAGTTGTATCCAGGATAGTAGAAGAACCCTTACAACCCATCAATGAGAAGAAAAACAACCCTACTCAAAAATTAGCAAAAAGCTGGGCATGGTAGCCCATGCCTGTAATCCCAGCACTTTGGAAGTTGGAGGCAAATGTGGGCAGACTGCTTGAGTCCAGGAGTTTGAGGCTAGCTTGGGCAAACTGGTGAAACCCTGTCTCTACAAAAAATACAAAAAATTAACTGAGCATGGTGACATGCTCCTGTAGTCTCAGCTACTTGGGAGGCTGACATAGGAGGATCATCTAAGCCCAGAAGGTCAAGGCTGCAGTGAGCCATTACCGTGCCACTTCATTACAACCTGGGCCACAGTCAGGCCCTTTCTCAAACAACAAAAACAAAAACAAATGGCACATGAAAACTTGCTCAACTTTATTTTATTAGGGAAATGCAAATGTAAACCACAATGAGTATCTCTGTAAACCCACTAGAAGGTCAACATTTAAAAAGTCTCAGCACAGCATGTTGGCAATGGTATTGATAAAATGGAATTTTTTTTTCTTTTTTTTTCGGAGACAGGGTCTCTCTCTGTTGTCCAGGCTGGAGTGCAGTGGTGCAACCACAGCTCACTGCAGCCTAGAATTCCTGGACTCAAGGGATCCTCCCGCCTCAGCCTCCCCAATAGGTGGGATTACAGGCATCTGCCACCACAGCTGACTAATTTTTTATTTTCTCTAGAGACAGGGTTTCACTTTGTTGGCCAGGCTGGTCTTGAACTCTTGGGCTCGAAGAGTCCTCCCACCTCGGCATCCCAAAGTATTGGGATTACAGATGTGAGCCACTGTGCCTGGCCAAGAAAATGGAACTTTTATACATTGCTGGTGGCAACATAAATTTGTTCAATTTTGGAAAATAATTTTGAAGTTTCTTATGAAATTAAACATGTGCTTTCATAAACCAGTAATGTCACTCCTGGATATTGATTCAAGAAAAATGTGAAGGCATATGCTCACGCCAAGACTCATAAACAAGTGTTTACAGCCTCTTTATTTGTATCATCCCAAAACTAAAAAAAAACAAAGTCCATTAATAAATGAATTGATAAACATATTGTGGCGTATTAGTTCAATGGAATACTATTCACCAATAAAAAGTAATGGATTGTTGATATGTACAGTGTCATTGATAAATTTTAAAATAATTATACTGAGTGAAAAAAATCCACAAAAACTATGCATAGTATAGGATTTTATTTATATAAAATTCTAGACAATGCAAACTAAACAGTAATGTCAAAGAAGAGATCTCGTGCTGCCGGGGTATGATATGGAGGAAACTATGGATCACAAAGAGGCATGAGGAAACTTGGAAGGGTGTGATGGAAATGTTATCTATAGTGTGGTGATTTTTTAATATATGCATACACATTTGAAGTCTCATGAAATTTTATACTTTGAATTTATGCAGATTATTGTATTTCAATTAACCTTTAATACAGCTCTCAAAAATGTCTACTCAATACAATCACCAGAATCAGTGAAATGGAGAAAAGGAAGGAAGAGAGAGAGAGGAGATGAGGTGTAGAGAGAAAGATGACAAACAGAAAATCGTATTTGCAAAAACTCACATGCTGATATTCATGGTGCGGGTATAATTGGTCCAGTGACTTTGGAAAAACACAAAGCTGAGATGACCCTATTCGCAACAGCAACCAAAGCTTTCAACACGAGACATAAAATTTATTTTTTAAATGCAAAATTTGCATGAAATATTCACTGGATATACCTGCCAGAATTGCTCGAATGAAAATGGAGACTCATAGAAAAGAAAAAAAAAAAGACAAAAACATAAAACCTTGTGCTTTGAGTAAATGGAATGCTAATGTAATACTGATGGGGATTTAGATTGGTTACTAAAGCTGAACATTGCCACGTGCTCCAAAGCAATGTGTGTATTGTTTACGAAAGTACTTGTACAAGAAAGTTCAAACAGCACTGTCTTTAATAGTCAATACCAGAAAGTATATAGATGTTCACAGCAATAGATTGGATTAATAAATTGTTCTAAATTAACACAATGAGAACACTGCTCAGCAGCAAGAATAAATGACCTATAACTACAGGGACAGATCTCACAAACATAATGTTGAGCAAAAATAAATTAAAAAGAATGTATTAATAGTGTATGATTCAGTTTCTATAAAATCCAGAAACAGGGAGTCTACTACTATACTGTTAGAAGACAGGGACGGTTACCCTTGATGGAAAGGGGTGACCTCAAGGGGTCTGGCAGAGTCATCTGGCACTGAAATAATCTGGGTGCTGTTTACATGGATATATGCAGCTTGTGAAAATTCACTGGGCTTTACTCTTGCAAAGTGCACACTTTTCTCTATGTATGAGAGACTTATGAAAAAGTTTTTAAGGGAACTTATAGCCTCAGCCAAAAAGTTAATCTATGGAAGTTATAAATTAGACATAAATACAAAACTATGCTTTGGATAGGAAGACTTAAAAATGTAAAACTGTGAATTCTGCCTTGAATTAATGTACACGCTATGTCAGTTACAAATGGTAATTTTAGATTAACAGAGTAAACATGTGAATATTTAATACTTTTTTATAGAAAATATGCTACTTTCATCTTATTTATTCCTCCATCTAGTTATTTATTTTATTTCTATTTTATAGAAGATATAATACATTATAAATTTGGAAAACAACCTTAAATTTATATTAGGGATAGTGAAAAATAAAATGTCTTTAAACTCACCTCTAGCAATCAGATTTATGTATACATGTTCTTTTTTTTTTTTTTTTTTTTCAGAGTCTCTTTCTCTCTCTCACCCAGCCTGGAGTGCATGGTACCATCTTGGCTCACTGTAATCTCTGCCTTCCAGATTCAAGTGATTCTCATGCCTCAGCCTCCCCAGTAACTGGGATTACAGTGTGGGCCACCACGTACAGTTAATTTTTGTATTTTTAGTGGAGATGGAGTTTTGCCATGTTGCCCAGGCTGGTCTCAAACTCTTGACCTCAAGTGATTTGCCTGCCTCGGCTTCTGAAATTGCTTGGATTACAAGCATGAACCACTGTGCCTGGCCAGTATATATCTGATTCAAAGTTGTTTTTTTTTTTAGTTTGAATTAAAATTATTGAACTTGTTTCTCTGAGTCATTTAAATGAGAGAGGACTAGAGTTATAGATGCGTAGCTATATAATTTATATATAAAGTTATTTTTATATTTTTATCCTTTTTATTTATCCTTTATTTGCCCTTTTTATCCTTATTTTTGTATTTTTATCCTTTATCTAAATATATATTTATAATTCATATGTATTTGTCTTTTCTCTCTTTCACTCACCTTATACAAGCTCCAATATTGTATTTGTGCCTTTAATTTCTTTATAAAGAGTAAACTTGAAATATCCTTTGACCATGCTAGAGGATTCCATTATATTCCTGTTTTATATATGCATGTTATTAGCAACTTTTGGAAATGCTTATTTTCATGGATCTAAATTCATTTAGGATGATACAGATTAATGAAGAAAGTTGGTGCTGTTCTCTGGCCTAGTGTTTTTTTTTGTTACAGGCCTTTTCACATGGATGAGATATTTATGTGAGGAAATTTCTAGGAAATGAGATATTTTTCCTAGAATTCACCATATGCTTTACACATAAAGAGTAGCCTTAACATTCACTTAACTTTCCTCTCAAAAGGATTGAAATACTCATGGCCAAAAAATAGCCATCTGCTTAAACATAGTAGCTGACCATTAAGGAAAGATTTTCCTGGTTCTACTCCTAGAGGCACTGCATGGGAGGAAGAGGCCATGAAGTGATGAGTGATCTTTACTGTTGGTGTTTAAGCTGGGGGTTCTGCTTGCTTGTCACCGAAGTAACTAATAGGAAAATGGTCAGTATAAATTGACAGCATAGACCATAATATTTGGCTTCTAGAGATATTTTCATTCTGTGCTACGCTTCCCTCTCATCTTTGCTTTTGGAATATTTTAAATTATGGATTCAATTTCTCTAACAAATATAGTGCTATTCAGATTGCCTATGTCTCCTTGAGTGAATTTTGGTAATTTGTGTCTTTCATGGAATTGGTCCATTTTATCTAAGTTATCAACTTTGAGGGCATAGAATTGTTCATAGAATCTAGTATATTCTTTTAATGTTCATAGCCTCAGTAGTGATGATCCCTCCTTAATTTCTAATATTGGTAATTTGTGTATTTTCCTTCTTTTGTTCTTAATCAGATGGCTAAAGTTTGTTAATTTTATCGATTTTTTTTTCAAAGACTCAGCTTTCAGTTTCATTGATTTTTCTCTATTGTTTCACTCTTTTCAATTTCATTTACTTTTACTTGTATTGTTATCTTCTCACTTCTGCTTGTGTTGGGCTTAATTGGCTCTTCTTTTTCTAGTGTCTCAAGACAACAGCTTAGTTTATTTATTTTAGATCTTTCTTCTTTTTTAATATATGAATTTAAAGTTAGAAATTTCCCTCTAAGCACTCCTATCCCTGCATTCCATAAATTTCAATAAGTTGTATATTCACTTTTATTTATGTCAAAATAGTTTAAAATGGTCTCAAAATGTCATTTTTGACCCATGTGTCCTTTAGAAATGTATAGTTTATTTTTTAAATATTTGGTATTTAGCAGCTATTTTGTGTTGCCTACTTTTTACATTAGAGCCCTTGACATACTACTCATGGTTATTTTAAATTCCTGGAGGCACAGCATGGATGGTTTTGTTTTGGGGGCATCTAGTTCCTAGCTGTTTGAAGTTTCATGATATAGGATATTATTTAGGAAAACCCCAGGGCACTTCATCTGTATTCTTGTCACATCTGTCTTGGTGTCAGGAATCTAACAAGAAGTAGGAATCAAGTGAGTGGGGAGTGGGGAGAGAATCTTGTCTAGATATTATTTCTCTGGGTTCATTTGGCTCTTGCTTCTGTAGCATGGAAGGACATTCACCTTTCTGTACTTCTGCTACACAGTAAACATAGACTTCATAGAAGCGTATGGATATATTTTCTCTAGGACAGGAATTTCATGGAACAAATTATACTGAATTAAAAGTGAATGACACAAACTGAGTTTCGTGTTGCTTAACTAGTTTGGCACTAATTTAGAAGATTACATTGCCTCTACCTTTTGTTCTTTGTCGCTTAAATGCACAGACACGCCATTGATTCCCAGACTTTAAGGCTCCAGCCTCTGAAGTTTTTGCAGGTTTAACTTAAATTTCTTTGGATTTCTTTTTTAGTATATTTCTTTGTGACTAGTCATATTTTTAACAGCTTTATTGAAAGATGATTGACATACAACAACTACACATATTAAACATGTATAATTTGACATTTCAACATATTTATACATCCATGAAACCATAACCACAGTTAAGACATTTAACATGTATACATCCTTCCTCAGCTTTCTTCATGCCTCTTGGGAATTCTTTCTACCTGAACAACCCCATCTCCTCCTTCCATCCCCAGGCAATCACTAATCTTCCTTCTATCACCATAGATTAGTTTGCATTTTCTAGAATTTCAGATAAATGAAATCATACAGTATGTACCCTTTTTTGCTTCTTTCTTGCAGCATAATTATTTTAAGAGTCATCATATTGTAGTGTGTTTCAAGAATTTCTTCCATTTTACTATCAAATAGAATTCCCTTTCATGCATATATTAGATTTGTTTATTTGTTCACTCGTTCATAGACATTTGAGTTTCTTTTAGTCCTTAACTCTTACAAATAAAGCTGTTATAAACATTCTTATAAGAGTCATAATATGGACACACACCTTCGTTTCTCTTGGGTATACACCTAGATGTGGAGTGGATCGATCATATGGTTGATATATTTTTAAGTTTCAATAAATTTCCTAAATGTTTTCCAAAGTTTCTTTTACCATTTTGCATTTCCACCAGCAGTGTTTGAAAGTTCCACTTCCTTCATGTCCTCACCAGCACTTGGTTATGTTCACCTTTCTTTAGCTTTTCTTTTTTTTTTTTTTGAAACAGAGTTTCTCTCTGTCGCCCAGGCTGGAGTGCAACAGCATGGTCTCAGATCACTGCAACCTCCTCCTCCTGGGTTCAAGCGATTATCCTGCCTCAGCCTCCCGAGTAGCTGAGATTATAGGCACCCACCACCACACCCAGCTAATTTTTGTATTTTTAGTAGAGACGGGGTTTCTTTGTGTTGGCCAAGCTGGTGTCAAACTCCTGACCTCAGGCGATCTGCTCACCTCGGCCTCTCAAAGTGCTGGGATTACAGGCAAGAGCCGCAGCGTCCAACCCTTTTTAGCTTTTCTAATAAGTGTGTAGCGATGTCACATTGTGATTTTAATATTCATTTCCTTAATAACTTATAATGTTGAGCTCTATTTATATGCTCATTTACCATTCATATATTTATTTGGTGAAATGTTTGCTTAAATCTTTGGCCGACCTATTTACATAGCCTACCTCTCCAGTGATCTAAGTCTTTAATTTCTCTTGGCAATAGTTTGTAGTTTTCAAGTGTGTGGTTCTAGACCATTTTTTTCAGATTTATCCCTACATATTTTAAGTTTTTTGATGCTATTATAAATGGTATTTTTAAAATTTCAATTTCTAATTATTTCTAATTGGCATCTGCAAAAACATAGGTTGCTATTTTTTTAATCTTTCTTCCACTATTTAGAACCTCTAGTATATTCATGAATATACGTGGTAAAGGCAAACATCCTTGTTTTGTTTCTGATCTTAGGTGGAAAACAATCAGTCTTTTATCATTAAGTATGGTGTTAGATTTAGCTTTTTTTTTCTTTTTTTCAGAAAATCTTTATCAGCTTGAGAGAGTTTCTTTTTATTCCAAATTTGCAGAGAGTTTCTAAAAACAACAATGGATATTGCATTCCCTCAAATGGCTTTTCCTGAAAGTATTACGGAATTCAGACCACGTGCATCTAATGTTATTACTGATATGGTTAGGTTTACATCTGTCATTTTGCTATTTTAATTTTGTGTTTATTTCTTCTTTGTTCCATTTTCACTTCCTGTTTTTAATTGATTTTTATGCTTGCATTTTATATCTTTTCTATGCTTGTTAGCTATAACTACTTTGTTATTGTCCTGGATATTTTAATGTTTATATATTTTAACTTATCAGAATCTACCTTCAAGTGGTTTTGTACTTCTTCACATATATTGTAAGAATCTTGTAATTCTTTGCTTCATTTCTCTCCTCTCAGTCAGTACTGAAATGTATTGTACTGAAATATTCTGTACTCATACATTTTACTTTTCACATATTTGTATATCACATGCTATATATTGCTTGTGATATAATTGCTTGTGCTTATTTTTGTTTATTGAATCAATTACATTTTAAAATATTTATGTTAATTTTTACAACAGCTTTAAGTTTATAGAAAAATTGAGAAGATAGTACAGAGAATTGCCATACTATTTACACATAGTTTCCCCTATTATTAGCATCTTACATAAGTATTGATACAGACAGGAAGCAGGGAAATACTGGGTAGAAGAGGGCAGGGTCCTGGGTGAGGGCTCCACCCACAAGCCTGGACCTCAGGCCCTAAATAAGAATATGCATTCCTGTTTTCCTGCCCGAATGCTACCTTTTACAAAACAACCCTGGCCTGCCATGCCCCCTCCAAAACCACTCTGACCTCCCATGCCCCCAACTCTGTACCCATAAAAACCCCAAGTTCCACTGGCAGAGGAGCAGAGCGGTACAGCAGAGGAGAGAAGAGAAGAAGCATCTGAATGTTGAGAGGAGTTCAACTGGGAATGGCCGAACTCCAGGCGAAGATTATCTTCCCACTCCATCCCCTTTCCAGGTCCCCATCCTGCTTCCATCGCTCAGTAAAAATCCTCTGCATACACCAACCTTCAATCCGTTCATGTAACCTGATTCTTCCTGGATGCTGGATAAGAATTTGGGATGCACTGTGTGCAGGAACCCAAAAAGGCTATCATACTGACTCTTCACTGAGCTGTTTGACACTTAAGCCATCAGCAGACAGCAAAGCAAAAACTGTTTGTAACACATGCCCTCTGGGGCTCCAGAGGTCGTGGGCAACCCCTAGATGCTGCTGCGCGCTGGTATGGGGTTCTTTCCTGCTGGTGCCCAAAAGCACTTGCCATGGCTCCTGCACCCACTCACCTATGTGCTCCCCCTCCCACAAGCAGTTTGAGCAAATGAGCCAGGGGCTGAGTAAAGGAGTCACACCCTGTTGCAAGTCCCACAAAGGAATCAAGGGAACTCTCCCATCTCAGTACGGTATATTTGTTATAATTAATGAAGTAATACTTTGTTTTTAATCAAACTGCATATTTTACTCTGACTGTCTTAGTTTTTTACCCAGTGATTTTTCTTAGTTTTTTACCTTAAAAAATCCCTTTTACCCAGGAAAACCACATAAACATTAATTTATCAATATATCTTTCCTTTTTTGAATAATTCCTTTTTTCTTGAACTAAAAGATGTTCCAGATTTATCTTGTTTATATCTCATCCCAGTCCTAGAATCAGTCATTTGTCCAATGATCTCTGTTTCCTTCTGTTGGTGAGTGGTATTAAAAAGCAAGAGCGAGCGCTAGGCTCTTACGTGCTCCTGTTTGCTAGTTAGGTGTTTTCATTGTTGCCGGAGTGTCATTGCTTCCTCTCAGTTGAGAGAGAAAAGAAATATATATGTGTATATTAACCTATAATATGTACATATTTACAAATATTTCCATGTGTAATCATCAGTATTATATTAACATAAGTTCTTAAATCTTCAACTCTAATCCATTACCAAATGGATCATTCTAGCCTCCTTCCCTTGCTGATTTATAAATTTCCACTCCAATAGTGAGAAGCCTCAATTGCATCATCTGTCATCTATTTACTTAATTGTTCAATTCCAGTACATTAATCTAGTACTATTAGAATTGTTATCCTCTACCCCAGTAGAAAACAATTTTGTTGACTAGAATAGAGTGCTTATGTTCAGTTCCTTTTGCCTTATGTCTCATAGACACCATTCATTTCCACAGTTATTTCGTTCAGCACCTTACTCTCAACCTCTTAAGTTTTTTTCATACATTTGTAATACAGTTAGATTCTCTTGTAACAGTCTGCATTCTTTCCTGGGATCCTCTGTCCTAATATATTATTTGCATACATTTGTTGTACTGTTTGTGTCATAAAGTTTTATAAGTTTTGCAAATGCAAACTGAACTTTTGAACATTTGGACTATAGTTGTAATAACTGTTTTAATATTATTGCCTGCTAACTATCATATTTAGTTGAGATCTGGTTCTGTTTGGAGAGATTATTTTCTTTCTTTTTGAGAGTATATTTTCCTACTTCATTGTATGCATAGTAATTTTTGATTGCCTGCTAGAAATTTTGAAATTTTTCTTTTTTAGAAAAAATACTGTGGAACTATGTTCCAGGATGCAGTTAATTACTTGGATATAATGTAATCTTTTCAAAGATTCCTTTTAAGTTTGTTGGTTGGGACCAGAGCAGTGTTTTGTCAAATTATTTTAACTACTGAGGCAAAACTCTTCTCAATGTCTACCCTGTGACTTGAGAATTATGAGATGTTCTACCCTTACTGGTAGAAACAAACACTACTATTTCTAGCTCTGTGTGAGCAACTGGTGCTATTCCTTTTAATCCTTTCAGGTGGTTCTTTCTTGAGGTTTCTTTATGTGCATTTGTGAATCAGTGCTCTGCTAAATACTGAAGGCAAACCCTCTGTGGATCTCCACACTTCTCTCTTTGTGCAGCTCTATTCCCTCGGCTACTCTGTTCTTTTAACTGCTGCTGTCTAGGTCTCTCCGTATTCTCCGTTCAATCTTTCAACTCACGGAGTTCAGCACTCTGCCTGGGTTTTTCTTTTTTGCACCACTGCCTGGAAATTCCTTCAGGGCAGTAACAAGGCAATTATAGGGCTCATTTCATTTGTATTCCCTCTTTCAGAGATCTTTGTATTTTATTACATACTGCCCTTTGTCTTGGAAACAATTGTTTCATACATTTTGTTCAATCTTTTGTTGTTTCAGGTATAAAGGTAAATCCAGTCCTAGTTATTCAATCTTGGCCTGAAGTAATAGTCCATCCACCAGTCATTCATTAGATTATTTTTTTCTCTTGAGTCCTAGGATTTTCACCTTTCTAAGCTTTCATTGCTATCAGATAAAAAGAGTTCTTGATGAAACAGACTCTGACTTTATTCCTCTTTTAGTTCGAGCCTTCATGTAATTTCTGGATGAAACACCTCTACTCTGTCCTCATATCCTTACTTTCTTACTGTTTCTTCTTATTTGTTTGCCTTTTATTCTTTTCCTAAGAAATTGATGGTGTCAGTATCTTTATTCTAGATACACTTATCTTCTGCTATCTTGTGCTGACACATATTTATTTCCAAAGTGCCTCTGCTAAAATCAAAACTATATCCTCAGAACTTTCAAAAATTTCAGTTTACCTGCCCAAGTCAGAAATGTGCTTTCCTTGTGCTTTTTCCTATTTCTCCTTTTATAGGAGTCCCTTTGTTTTAACCTTGTGAGATATTTAAGTCAACTGGCAGCCTGCATTTAGTTTCAAGGTAAAGTGGGTATCTATAGTTCAAATTAATGTGGAACAATTATAAAACATATTGTATAAATACTCTTTGATAGTGAAATAGTTAAGAGTGTTTAGGCTTACAACAATTGTTTGAACTTGCTAAGAAGGCTTAAAGTTTTTATTTTTGGTAACTGAGTGATATTAATATCATAATATCTTCACACAAAAGTACTACTTAGAAATAAAACCTCAGAGTCATGTGAGTTCTCAAGTTGCCACAACTCTTATTTGTTGGGTATTTTCCTTTCCTTTTTTGTTTTGAATTCCTTGGAACATAACCCCTTACATAAAAGCATAGAACGACTCCACTGGTAATCTTATTAATTCTTTGTAAAGAGTAATGAAGATTTCCTGATTTTCTTACTTCTTGATCTCATTGTTTCTGTGGCTTTGCAAAGCTAAAAAAAAAAAAAAAAAGAACTTGTTTGAATTCCCAATTATTGTCTGATTTGTGTTGCACTATTATTTAATACTTCCTTAATATTGTGATAAGCTTCAACTCAAGATTTTAGCCAAGATTTTAGTTAAGGTAAAAAGGAATAAAAGAAAACCTAAAGCTTCTTTTGTTAGTACTTTCCTGTAAACTTAGCTCTAGAGTATTTTATTAAATAATCTTTTTTGATATCATGCCAAAAAAGCCTTATTTCAATAGTATTTTTGAGTTGAATTGAAATAATCACTCTAAATATGTATTAGTTATTAAGGATAGAAGCAGCAAATTATTCATAAAGTATTTTAATCTCTTTGAACCAAAATGGTTTGAAATTTTTTCTTTAAATTATAAATAATAGGAGAAAAAATGAGGCAATCAGTTGTAACATTCAATAGTGTTCTGTAGTCCTGTATAATCAGGTTTTTGTGGGATTCAAGTTCCCTAAAGGAGAGGACGTTAGATCTAAGAAGAAGCATGATATTGGCAATAACTGGATGACCCATTTGGGGTACAATGTTAATGAAAAAAATATATTTATTGCGCATCGATTGAGACATTTTGCTGGACATTACATAATCTATTCGTTGCTTTGAACAAGGTGATATATCTTTTCTGATTTACATATTGCTGTAAGGATGTGTGAAATGTTTTATTTTATTAGCATTTTGACATTTTCATTGAAGTTTCAAGATTTTTTTCCTTCCTGTTTCCCTGACAGCAGATGGAAAAGGACTTTCCTCTTTATATTTTAAAGGCAGCAGAGTATTAAACAAAGGAGGGAAATTAAGTGCTATCTATTGGTACTCTGAAATTATTTTCCAAACCCCATTCCTTTTGTTTTTAAAAATAAGGCCAAATACATTTTCAAATTTGGGAGTGTAAATACTTATTACTAATATAAGCTCTAAGAGCCTCCAGACTGAAAAGGCTTGGAATGCAGATCAAACATGACACAATAAAGGGCTAGTTCACTTTTTCTTTGCCCTCTCCAATAAAGTGGAAATGTATTAGAATTTTCAGTAGAATGAAGAATGAAACAAGAATGAAGATAGGTCTTTGCTCTGAAAGAAGACTTAAATTTTTAAAGCCAATCTTTATTTGGTCTCTGGCGATTCATTTATCTCCGTAAGTATCCATTGGTTCTTATCAGTTCATTTTCTCATTACTCCTTTTTAAAAATGTAAGCCTTCCAAAATTTCCTTTTTTTTTCTTATTCTCTTTACTCTCAATATTTTCTCCCCCAGGTTCTCACACATTTCCACTTATTTATTTATTCATTCCAAACTGATGGAGTATCTGTTACATCCTAGGAATAATGCCAAACTCTAAAAATGAAAAGATTTCACTTTCTGGTCTCATCCTTTTATTTCACAGCTAGTAAGATGGCCAAAGCCCCAATTCCAAGTATTATGGGGAGTTCAATACCCTCCCCTGGGAGCTTATTTTCTTGTGTTTGTCTCTGACTCTGAATTCCTGCTCTGACTGATCTTTTAATATCCAGTCACTTCCTGGGGCTAACATCTTCTTTCCATATTGCTTCACCCAGTGTGTGGCCACTGTCCTCTTTTTTTTGTTTCTTAAGGCACCACCGACATGTGTCTGTTGCATAAAACAGGTTTTACTGGAAACTAAGTGATAATGGAGGATGATAATAGTGCAATACAGAATAGAAAATTATTTAAATTCATTATTGAACTGCAAACCAAACAAAACACGGAATGCAAATTATATTTTCATAATGCGTGAACTGGACTTGCCAATCACAACTGATTTGCATATTGTGCCACCTGTTGGTGCAGCAAACTGTGTGGGTCTGAAGGGAAATAGATTGACAGGCTTTCTCCTCCTTACTCCAAAGTTGCTGTTTCCAAGATCCCCATTTTACACTAGAGAACTAGGTACTCTTCCCTCTTCAATGTAACCTGAATATTATTCCCTCTCATTGAACATTAAGAGTGTTTGGACACTCATTTGGAGACTACAGTCTTTTTTTTTTTTTTTTTTGAGACGGAGTCTCACCCTGTCACCCGGGCTGGAGTGCAATGGCACAATCTCGGCCCACTGCAACCTCTGCCTCCTGAGTTCAAATGATTCTCCTCCCTCAGCCTCCAGAGTAGCTGGGATTACTGGCGTCCACCACCATGCTCAGCTAATTTTTGTATTTTTAGTAGAGACAGGATTTCACCATGTTGGCCAGGCTGGTCTCGAATTCCTGACCTTGTGATCCGCCCACCTTGGCCTCTCAAAGGGATTACAGGTGCCCGCCACCACACCCAGCTAATTTTTGTATTTTTAGTAGAGACGGGGTTTCACCATGTTGGCCAGGCTGGTCTCAAACTCCTGACCTTGTGATCTGCCCACCTCGGTCCCCCAAAGTGCTGGGATTACAGGCATGAGCCACCATGCCCAGCTGGAGGCTACAGTCTTCAGAAAACAAAGTGTCAGGCAAAAGGAGAGAATGGGCTGCAGTGATATGCTGTATCCTAGGAAGAATATTTCTAGTAAGAAAAATTGTTGAAAGTAGGAAGAACACATGCATGATAGGGAAATCAGTTTTTAACATATATAATATAGATATACATATTTTATGTTACAAATAAATATATAGTATCATATGTGAAATTATATATAAACATATATAATATTGTATTTATATAATACATACGAAAAATGTAAATACATACAATTTTATATATGCAATATATATGTAAAATGAGTATCCCCATTCTGTAGGTGCCCTTCCTACATATATGTTTCATATATATTTACATACTTATTTATTTTACAAATATATATATTTCTTGCAATGCATCAGATAAACAGATATTGGGGTCTAAGAAAATTCCACCTGAGATTATTTATGGTGAAATAGTTCAGACTATTTTTGCTGTCAGGCATGTGTCACCCAGACTCTTTCCTGAATTCCAAACCTACTTTTATCTTCTTCCCACATGGTGTATTAGTATATCAAAGCCAACAAGTCCAAAATCAAATTGCCTCACCCCACCCCTGTTTGTGGTCTTATTTTTGTTTTTCCTGACGTCATCCTTTAATCATCCTGGTTTCTATCTCCTCTCTTCCCGTTGCCCTCACATCCACGATTTTGTTTTCCTAAACTTCTTGTGTCTGCACTCACAAAATGTTCCATTTTTTCCTCTGTCTTGCATTTCCATTGTTACTCCCTTGTCACACTAATTTCTTTTCTTATTAAATCCCACGGTGGTGATTGTAATAAACTTCTAATAGGCATGTCTCTGTTCCCTCTCTTTATAGCTTAGGGTTCTAAAGTAGAGTTTAGAATCATGTTTTTCTCCTGATATCTCTCAGGAATTTGGAAAGAATGAAAGAAGGTTGTCTTCTTTCGTGCTGAGTAAAGCTTCCATGTCTCTTCACATCTTTCCTTTAATAACTTTCTTGAAGGTACTGTTATTTTTTATAGAAGCACATGAGGGTGGATGTCAACTCTGTGTTGTTTAGTTACAGCCTTTACTCCGTCCATACTCAACAAGTCACTATTCTCTATTTATGAGTTTGCTCATGCTAGTCTCTCTCCCAGAATACTCCCCATTATTTCATTACCATATCTTGCTCATCCTCACATGTCTAATACATCCAATTCTTCCAGACTCAAATGAGATAATATCTCTTCCCAGAAATCTAGTAGGACCAATATTCCTTTCCTCAGAATTAATTTAACACTCTATGTTTTACTATAAATATTTCTGTCTTCTCTTTCATATCAGACAATGACTTACTTTGGGGAAGAAGCAGCTTCAACACAATAAGTTCCAATATATATTTATCAAATAAAAGTTATAAGATTGGCAAATATTAAAAATAAAGGCAATTATGAAGAAATGATTATTAGTATAGTACAACTGTTTTCATCTTTTTGTCAATGAAACCGTTTCCATGTTAATCTGGGCAGTCTAGATTATGCTGCAGTAACAAATTAACTCCCATATCTTTGTGACTTAACATGTCCATGGATTATTTTTGGTGGTGCTACATGTCCAGTGTGGATCATCAAATGATCCTCCATTGCTATTCAAGGCACTGGGTCAACCTCTACGTTGGCTACGTTGGCTAAACCTCTACGATACTGCATTCGCCAAAGGTAGATGAGCATCCATGTTCTCATACCTATCATCCAGGCTTTTGCTTAGAAGTGACACACATGTACTCTGTTGTTAATCCATTGGCCAGAATTAGTCACAAGGCCCCATGCAACTAAAAGGGGGCTGGGAGAATTGGGAAGTACATGGATATTGAATAATTGAATATTTGGTACAATGTCTTTATTACACTTCTCTACCAGATTAATTAGTACTGTACTTACCTTTGGATAGGAAACATACCTTATATGTCTGGATAAGAAACATTTTTACACTCTTAAATCTATACAAATTTATAAAATGAATTACATATTTTGAAATTAATACATTTCACATGCAGAAATAAATATCAAGCAATGAAATTTCAGGCAGTTCAATACCATTTCCTTGTTAAAGAATCAGTCAACAACAAAATCTAAAATTAAAATTTATCACTTTTCCTCATATGAATCTAAATTGTATATATCTGTTTTCTTACTCTTCCTTTTATTTGCACACGGAGATTTTTAAAAATTCCAAAAATTGTAATAGCTCATTTGCTTTATGGCATCAATAATAGTATTTATTAGACATTTATGTTTGTTAGTTAAAAATAACAGTATTTATTATTGTGTACTAAAAACATGTGTCAAGAATGATGTATACATTATCTCTTGAAATTTCAGAACATCATTGCTCGGTTGTAGGCAAATTGTTAATATTCTCATTTTACGTGTACAGGATTGAAACCAAAATGGAATTATAATTTTCCAAAATTACCAGTTAGTGCAAGGTAAAGCCAGAATTTGATCTTCATTATGTGTAACTCTAGTCTCTAAATTATAATCTGTTTTCGGGTAAATTACTAAAGGCATCTATTACAACTAAGTTTGGCTCTTTACCTCCAGAATTTTCGGTAATGTATTGATTTTAAACACTGTAAGACAGTTGGATATTTTTCAAATGTAGGTATAAAATAAAAAGGAAACTCTAGGGCCTCCCATTTAAGAACTCTGTCATCTGATGAGTCCCAGAAGGAATGAAATAGTTTTATTTCGTTGACTTTCAGAGGTAAATGGAAAGATAGTTATGTTGGAAAAGGCTTTTCATTAGGGGCTGCTATTCTCAAAACTAGGAAGACAAGACAGCTACAAAATATGCTGTCATTTAAAATTATACATTATTGCAAATGTTCAAGAAAAAAGCTTGAGCGCTAGAATGCGGAGAGTCACTAGATTATAGCCTTGGTGTTTTGACAACTAGTCAAGAAAGGGAACTCTGAGCTTTTTGCCAATTAACAATGGAAAAGAGCTAGGGGCTAAGGGTAGGCAAAGAGAAATGAAGATATGAACTTGGGAGAGAATGAAAGAATTTGATATCTTTTGCAGAACATTGTACTTTGTTAGGAAACTATAGCAGTTTCCCCTTATTCGTGGGGATACATTCCAAGACCCTCCAGTGGATGATAGTGCCATACCTGGTTGACGTTGATCAGAGCACGTTTCTGTTCACATCTTCCATCCACAAATTTAATGGCTTTTACATCCTAAAGCACTTATCACGTGCTACAGCTGTAACTTTTGCAGTTTGAAGTGAGATAAGCAAAACTAGCATAAATTTTTTTCCTTCTTCACAATTTCATGGATAGAAGATGTCTCCTTATCATAGATCTTAACCTCAACTATAATTTTTGTCTTTTTTTAATTAAATAAAGAACTTCCATCTTTTCACTTAAAGGAAGCATTTTATGGCTTCTCTTTGGCGTATCCAAATTGCCAGCATCACTACTATTGTGCTTTGGGTCATTATTAAGTAAAATAAGGGTGACTTGAACACAAGCACTGATACTGTGACAATAGATCTGATAACCAGGAAGGCTACTAAGTGACTGAGTGGTGGGCAGCATCCACAGCATGGAGAGGCTGATCAAAGGGGGAGGCACGTCCTAGGCAGAATGGAATAAGAAGGTGCAAGATTTCATTACACTACTCAGAACACAGCACGATTTAAAACTTATGAATTGTGTGTTTCTGGAATTTTCCATTTAATATTTTTGGACTGCGGTTGACCCTGGGTCACAGAAAGAGCAGAAAGCAATAATGCATATAAGTGAAATTACTGTACTCTGAGCATCTTAAGGAAAGGAATTTGCTTTAATGGGCATGTGAACAAGTAGAAACTTTGTTTCTAGACTGAAAGAAAGGAGGACCATCCAGTGGGTAGTTTCAAAGATGTGTTGAATGGCATATTCTATGTGTTTTCCTTTATTACACCAAACTGCTTTCTACTTCCAGCCTGAGTTACTTTTTTGGCTTGGTAACTTTCTGCATTACTTCTTTTTCTATATGTTTTAGTATTGTTTGAGCTAAAAAGGGAGATTCGTTGATTCTTGGCTCTTACTTATACAGCACATGTTGACAACAAAAATATTCCAAAATTCTTATTTGTTTTTGACCTCAAAATGAGGCCATGTAAGACAAATGCATTAAACAGCTCATCTTCATTATTTCATTGTGACTAAGTCACAATGAGATACACATCTCACAGTTAACGAAGACTGAATAAGCAGGAGCAAGATCTGTATATTTTTATTAAAGTACTTAATATAATTGCTACATTCTATATCTCAATTTCTTGATATTTTGAGTAAAATCCTATTATAAGAGCTTTTGCACATTTATGAAAATTGGCAGAATCAGTGAAATAGAGTAGGAGACCTTATTCTTCGGTATAGACATTTCTTTAATTGCTAAGAAAAAATAATATTTTTCCACATATTAAAAGTTATACAGATGTAACCAAATTTGCACCATATAATATTCTTTTGAAAGTGAAATTATAATCACTCACTTGGTATCTAATTAATCCAGAGTGCCTCTCACGTTAAAGGCTTTACAACCTGGGCAAAGGGAATATTGGCTTCGGGTTACAAAGATAAATTAGCCAGTGACTCTGGGGACTTCTCTCTATAAACTCCTTCAGGGAAGAATCAATATTTGAAGTTTCTTTTCAATATTCAAGAGGTTTATAAACTGAAGTTTTAGGATCTTAAAATAGGATTTCATGTTGAGCCTCATAAAACAGCAAAAACGTGTACAAAATTTGGTAAGTTTTCAAATATTCATTTGTCGGGTGATAGAATAGAAGGTGTAAAGCTTTTATCAGATTATCAAATAAGCCTATATGTACAAAAAATGAGCATTATTGAAATAATAGTTTCTTTCTCTTGTTTTCAATATAAGGCAAACTGGAATAATGAACTAAGGGCAAAATTGAGAGTAGAGACACGATGTTACGACACATTAGGGCTTGAAAAGAACAATTCTTATGGGGGTGGAGGGTGTTATGAACTTGAGGGTGACTAATATTTGGAAAAGTGAAATAGAGGAAATGGCAGTGAGTGAAAACACATGGTCAGTACTTTGGGGACAGCATTTTTTTCTCTACTTTTAAGTATGACAAAAGGTATAGTACAACTTACATTTGAAGGCAGCTTGGAGGCAGATTCATATATTCTATCATTCAAATAATGGAGAGACAGTCAAGGTTTTTTAGCATGGGAATAATGTGATTGAAAAATACCTGCTTATGGTGATTGTCTTGACAATACTAAAAAGGAGAGCTCTTGAATTATGAAAATTAATTGGTATCTGATTGTAATGGTCCAGATAAGGATTACTAAAAGTAGAAATTGTGAAAATAGAAAGCTACAAATTATTGCAGAAATTTCAAGAAGAGAAATTTTCTTGGTGAGGAAAGGGGAAAGATAAATCTGAACTGGAACCTGCATATTTAGTTCTGTTCCTTGTTTCAAGAAGATTTAAATGTAGTTATAATCAGTAAGGGGATAAATGAGCTCATAAGCACAACGGTAACTCTATATATGCATAGATGCCTACATTGTTAGGTGAACATTTAGGAAGAATGAGAAGTTAGTAATCCAATGTATCCTTTACTCAAGAATGTGAAATAATATAATGGTGGGTTCCATGTCTGTTAGGGAAACGTCGAAATCAATGCTAGGAACCTCATGTTATCCCTGTAAGTAAAAAATTTACATTCCAAGTTAATAACGTGGGTCACACCATTGTCTACTATGGCAACTTGTGTGTATTTATCGTAATTATAAACTCTATGCTGAGAAGCTGTTGGAAACAAAATCCTATATCTCATTTACATAGATCCACCACTAGGAAAGAAAATTTTAGGAAAACACACAGTTTTTGTAATTAACTAATAAAATATTTTTAATTGACTACTATCACAAAATAAAAATATGTTTCTCTTTTTTTGTAGTCAATTTTAAAGCAGTAAGTCAAGAAAATGGAATTATTAAAGGTGTTAGCTGACTTTAGAAAAAGAAGAGAGCTGAATTAAGCTGGTATAGGTCAAAAACAAATGCAAATATTATGCAAAATATAATACAGCTCCTTTCTCTAGCCATTATAGCTGAAAAAAGTGCTTAACATATTTATCACCTACGCCCCTCTTCATCCCTCTTCTTAGGAAGTAGCAATTGTCTAAACAGAGTTTTAAAGAAAATAAATTCAATACCTGGAACCCAAGAGATACTTTTAAAATCTTGACAGTGATAAGGAAATCTGACATAATTATTTAAAAGAAAGCTAAGAGGCATTGGAGGAATTCTTAATTAATTTTAGAAAACTTGGTTTTTGTTTAAGCTACAAGACTTCTTTAACCTTCTTTTCATCATTTGTAGAGTCAGAAAGTTGGACAATGATCACTAAGGTCTTCCTGAGCTCTAATAATATTGGATTTTAAAGAATGAAAGAAAAGCAAACATGCAATAGTTTTATGTGTGAGAATAGGCATCTATAATCTGCATAGAGAGAACAACACTGTTCTATTATTGAAACCTAAAATGAACAAATCAACAGAAGACCAAAATCAAAAGAAGACCTAGGAGGATATTTCATATCCTTGGTTTCATACAGTGACAAGGAACCATGTCACCGTTGGAATAAATGTATTGTTGACAGAGAGTAAAGCAGGTTTGAGATAATTCAGTCTTGTGGCAGAAGGAATTGGAAAGACTGCCTTGTCTTCTCAACTAACATTGGAGATCTCATGACATCTGTGTTTGAGGTGAGGGTTTTGTTCAGAAAAAGGAACATAAACTCACAATTTTATATTTCTCATGTTAAAGACAAATTATTTTGACATTTGTTAAAATGGCATTGAAGGTTTTATTAAAAGCTTTTGCAATGAGGATCAAGACTATTGCCATAGTGAAGAGAGATTAGGCTCAACTCTGGATACAACAAAGAGAACTTGGGATTTACAGCCAAGGAGCAGAGTGATGTGGTCAGTGGATGAGAAATTACCAAGAAGAGACATTAAGGGTAGCTGCTAATTGTAGCTAAGGACTTATGTATCAAAGGTGGGGGATGAGGAACTTGCAGATAGCAAAGGTGGGGTGGATTCTCTCCGGACTGATTTATCAGGATGCCTGCTAAAACTAGGCTAACCAGATTGAGAACGGAGCACAAGGATGAGGCATCCTCAAAGGGAGGGCCCAGAGAAGCCTGTCTAAATTTTTATCAAGAAGGGAGTCGTCATTAGTCATGACTGTATCCAGTCACCTTATTTTACAAGGGAAATTGCTTCTAAGCGATTATCTCAAGAAGTGGCTACATAATTTTGGCCTCAGTATAAAATGAAAATGTGGGACCCTTGTACAAAAATTAAGATTTTCAAGACGATGACAGCAGAACATCAAACCAAGTGGTGGTTTCTTCTAAGCATAGCACCTAGTTCAGCTCCACAGGTTGCCTGCCTATGAAGCTCGCCTGGGTCCCAAACTCCTTCAGAGTAGGATTTATGGCTCACATATCTGCCAAAGACCTGAATAAATGTGTTGAAACAGAAACCCAGTAGGTTTAAATAAGTTCATGAGGGTCACTCGGCATTTCAGTCATGGAACTAGGATTACAAATGAGATGGTCAGATGCAGTGAACTTGCCTCCTCATTGTTTTGTGCTCTGAAGGCAGGGGCCTCTGTTCAGTAGATTTACATTTAGCTTAAGCATGTTCCTGTCAAGAAAAAAATGAATGTAAAAGGAAAGACATTTATATTGGAGAAACCAAAGTTAATGATATTTTTTGTAAATTCCTCCCTATTTTAGGTGAAATTAGTGTTTATATTCTGTATTTTCTTACATGCTCTTCATCTAGGAAATCCTGCTTCTTCTTTTTGGCAAGCAAATATTTTCCTTGTGCTCATGGGTATAGATCAATAGACCTCTTTAGTTTAGAAATTCAGAGATTGGGTATATCCCTGAAAGATTTCCTGCTTGAAGTTTGCTATATCTACCTAACTACCTACATACATATATATACATATAAAATATGTAATGTGTTTATACAGAAAATATATATGTAATTTATATATTTTACATATATAAAATTAAAGAAAAATTATGCATCAATTATTAATAAGGAATTATCATTTTTATAATTAGGTAAGCAAGGATTGGGATTAATAATGCTTTCTTTTTTCTTTTCTCCATAGAGCCATTAATTCAATTCATATTAAAGTATAACTAAATTGACCTATAAGGTCAATATTTAATCTTCTAAATTAACTGTGGTATATAGCATCATAGAGCAGAAAAAAGATGGCCATGGAAATGTAAAGAACTATGTTTATTCTCTCTGTTTTTTAAATTTTTTTAGACACAGGATCTCACTCAATCACTCACGCTGGAGCACAGTAGCATGAAGGTCAAGGCTCACTGAAGCATTGAACTCCTAGGCTCAGCCTTCAGGGTGGCTGGAGGTGTGTGTCACCATGTTCAGCTAATTTTTATTTTTTGTAGAGACAAGATATCCCTATGTTGCCCAGGCTGGTCTCAAACTCCTGGACTCAAGCACGTCTCCCGCCTCAGTGTTGGGATCACAAGTGTGAACCAACATGGCCAGCCTGTTTATTTTTCCTATGGCCACTTACCATGTAATGTGTGTGAGCATCAAATACCTCACTTGTTAAAAAAAACTGATAACAGTATCTGCCCTTTCCTCACTACACAGGATTGTTATGAGGGCCAAAGTCATTTACATAGTAACACCTTTAAAATCTGTAATATATATATTGTTTAAAATAGCAGAGTCAAAATTATTTTACATACGTTAATGCTAAATTTGCTTTTGGAGAATCATTTAAATTTAGGAAGCCTTAAAAACATAATAGGAAAAAGGAATTCTGTACAAAAAAATTGCTGTTACCATAGGGAAATTAAAAAAGCTATCTTTTTCAAAATATTTTTAAATGTTTTATCTATGCAACACCAAAAAGAACTAAATTTTAATACCCAGAATTATGAATGTAAATCTATCTCACATCATTAAATAATAGTGATTCTTTTAAATGAAAAAATTATTTTGGCTACATGTATATTCATGAAGGAGCACCCTATATTATCTTAAAATAATATGATGAACTGGATGTTTCTAAAACAATAAATGGAATGACAGCTATGGAAACTAGAAAACTCATTTTCTGTAAGCAATGTCAGATCATATCTTATATTTTACTTCTCCGTTTTTCAGAATCAGTAGAAAAGATGTTAAATCTCTTCATGATAATTTTAAAAATCAGCCTTATAATCCCTCCATTTATAAAAATGTTATGTTATAAAACAGGCTAACATTTTTTCCTATGTTAATATGTAGTTATAATTTAGCATGGATATGAAAGGTTATTCCTTTTATTGAAAATGTTTTATTTGACTGAATGTTTCAACAACAACACATTGCAGAAGTGTGCTGGCCCTTTAATGCTCTGTTTCTGTTGTCATGGAAATAAGATTTTCAAGTAGGTTTATCTGCTGGGCTTTGCTTTTTATAGACTTCCTATCATTTTAAGTTGGTTTTAGACAAGCATCCTTATCCTTCAAATAAAAACACTAATCTTTATTTTACCATATTTCTTAATATTTTTCCCAATAGGATTTCTCAAGATCCTGGAGGGTGGGGGACGTTCCAATTTCCAGGCGCGTACATTAAATATGAATGTTTAGCTCCTGGTTCTAAAAACAAAGATTTAAAAAAAATTGTTATGATGACAAAGAATTCCAGAATCCATTTCCAATTTTAAGCTTATAAAATGTATGTTACTCTCAAATTACTGTTAATTATATAAATACAATTTATATATGCAAATATTTTGTAACATGAACAGAATCATGTAACTTACTCATGTTGCTTATCTAAATGCAACCTTGGCCTACATATTCCTTCATAATTTAGCAGCCACTTATCTTTAGAATTCATTTTTATAGAGAGACAGATTAGGTTAGGATCTGTTTGCTACTAATTAGTTGTGTGACTTTGACAAATTAGTTCAACTATATCTTTTTCAATATCCTTCTCTGTAAAATAGGGATAATAAGTAAGTAATAAGCAGAGTTATTGTGACAATTACATGTGTTACTATATGTTAAGGACTTAAAAAAGTAATTTGAGCCCAACGGGAACTCAATTAATGTTATATTTGCCAATGTTTTGCTATTATTGTCTTTCACTATTTTCTACCGTTCTCCTGTTCATTCTTCAAGTGCATTAAAACTTTTGCTGCCTTATGACTTAGCCCTTTGGATATATCATTGAATTATCATTAACACTTTTCTCTTTCATGCTGGATTCTTCACTTCCTTGCCTCTATAACACTTGGAAATTCTGTATTTATTTATTTATTTTTGAGATGGAGTTTCGCTCTTGTTGTCTCCAGCTGGAGTGCAATGGCACGATCTTGGCTCACTGAAACCTCCGCCTCCTGGGTTCAAGCGATTCTCCTGCCTCAGCCTCCCGAGTAGCTGGGATTACAGGCCTGCGCCACAAGGCTACTTTTTTGTATTTTTAGTAGAAAAGATGTTTCGCCATGTTAGCCAGGCTGGTCTCAAACTCCTGACCTCAGGTGATCCGTCCGCCTCGGTCTCCCAAAGTGCTGGGATTACAGGCGTGAGCCACCGCACCCGGACTGCATTTATTTTATTACTCGTTTACTCTCTATTCTTCCACATGCAAAGAGATTCAATATGCACTTATTAATGTAATGAATAATGGAGAAAATTTCTTTAAATTGGCATAGACATTTCCCCTTTTTTCTAACTCACTAAGTAAATACTTTAAAGATTGAAATCACCCCCAGATTTTCAAATGAGGCACTTTCCTATGTCCTGAAAAAATTATGATGGGTTAGATTTAACGCTAATTATGAGAAACTCTTTTCTATTCTATGGTCAGTTGTAGCCATAGCTGTCTTCTAATGTCTATCAATAAAGCTAACGAAATTATTTTTCTCCCAGTCATATTGGAAATAGCTGTTTGTTCTTGATGAATTGGTTTTAACAATCTCATTACTGAAGAATTTAATTGGGATGGCTCTACTTTAGACGTAAGTTACATTGGTCTCTCTCGCTTCAGGAATTATAATTTTCAATTTTAAATTCCTAATTTTAATTATACATTAATCTCTAAAGATGTCATGGTAGAGTAATATTATTAGCTAGGATCTCCTATAAATTCTTTTGATAAGTTTGTGTATCTTTTGATGGCAATAAAGACATCAAGAAACTCTTTGGAATTATAATATATGAACAAGCTAAATGGGAATTAACAATGATTAATAACTTCAATTATAAAGTATTTTTCTTGAAATCTAGTGTTCAAGACTAGTCTATTCCCACAGTGAAAATGTTTAGGTGGTACCTACTATGTTGGTAAAATGTCTGTTTCTGTTCAAATTATATTTTCTCATTTTAAAAAAAAAGTGTTTTTTATTTTTGAATTGGGTTTATTATATATTCAACATACAAGTTCATTATCAAATAATATAAATACTGCTCTCAGTCTGTCATGGCTTGACTTTAGATTTTCTTGAAGTGTCTTTCAAAAAGAGAATGTTTTACTTTTGGTGAAGTCCAAACTATTTCTTCCAGGTTTTCATTTGTATTTTGTTTTGCTTAATTTTTATGCAAAGTGTTTTTTAAAATTTTAATGTAGTAGAATATTTTAATCCTCTTCGTTATTGCCTGTGGAATGTTAGTCTTAGTTAGAAATGTTTTTCCCTTTATCCAGTTGACAAAGGAATTCGTTCATGTTTTCTTTAGCACTTGTTTGATTCTATTTATTTGTTTTCTTCTGGTTCATCAGGAGTTTATTCTAGTGTATAATTTGAAGTGTTGAGTCAAATTCTTCTTTTTCAAAATGGCTGTCTTGAACCAATACCATTTATTTAAGTCTGGCTTTTTAAATAGGCTATTAATGCTTACTTTATATTGGATAATCTTAAATGAAAAGACACTAGCAATATTAAGACCAAAGTAATAGCAGAGAATATCTCCTCAAATAGGTGTTTATTTTGATTATTCCTGAAGTCAGATCCATTATCATATATAGATTAAAATTTTCAGTTGGGCATGGTGGCTCACACCAGTAATCCCAGCACTTTGGGAGGCTGAGGTGGGCCTGAGGTCAGGATCACCTGAGGTCAGGAATTCGAAACCAGCCTGGCCAACATGGTGAAACCCCATCTTTACTGAAAATATAAAAAATTAGCCGGGTGTGGTGTTGTGGGCCTGCAGTCCCAGGTACTTGGGAGGCTGAGGCACGAGAATCGCCTGAATCAGGAGGTAAAGGTTCTGGTGAGCCGAAATTGCACCACAGCACTCCAGCCTGGGTGATAGAACAAGACCCTGTCTCAAAAAAAAAAAAAAAAAAAAAAAAAAAATTCACTGCTAGAAACCACCATATCCTTTGTTCACATAAAGTTTTCCTAATGGCCAGGAAGGGGTAACAGATTAAATGTGAACGGGGATGTAGTAACAACACTTACTTATATTTGTTTATATTCAGTACTGCTTTATTGGAGTAGACTACTGACTTTGTTGCAGGGAACTAGCATTTAGTGCAGTAGACAGAAAAAAAGTTGCAGCTTTCCTTATTTAGGGTAGAAATAGATATATACATCACCCTATCATCCAAGCTTCAGACAGTAAAACTGTTTGAACTTGAAATGCATCATGAGTTTCAAGTTCAAACAGTTTTACTGTCTGACGCTTGGATGATAGGGTGATGTTTATTTCTATTTTTCCATGAGGGTAAGAGAAAATCTCAAATTAAATGGTAAAATTCTCATGAATAGATCAAGAAGTGCTTTACTTTCTTTCTCTCAATCCCTTTTCTTGGAAAACTCAAGCAGAACTGATGATGTAAGTCATTATTACAGGGGTGCGTGTGTGTGTGTGTGTGTGTGTGTGTGTCTGTGTGTGTGTGTGTGTGTGTTTTAACCAAGGCCTACTGAACGGCTATTCTTTATTAGGAGCTGTGGTAGGTGCTTTGGAGAACTAAAGAACATAGAAATTTGGTGTTTTCTCTGACTGCAGATATTCCTTTTGTTAAAAGCAGATTTTATTCAAAAGTTGTACCATTATTGTGTTTTGGTCATAGGTTGGATAGCCACCCTTTTATTCTTGCATAATTTTGTACTTAACAAAGTTCTTAAGCTAAAAATGTAGAAAAACACAGAAAAAAATAGCGATCTCCAAGCTTATAATCTAGCCACAAAGGCAGATGAGGACATGGATGACTATCTAATAAATGTCAAATAAAATAATTAAATCCTATAAATGTCACAGAGAAGAGGGATCATTGGTTCTTTTTCCATAAATGAGGTCCTCTTGCCGTTGTCCCTGTCTCATTTGATAGCAACTCTCTGTCAGTGCTCAGGCTTAGAACCCTGGTGCCAGCCTTAACTCTTTCTCACCTACCTCACAGGCGGGCTTTTAGGAAATTCTATCAGTATGGTCTTCAAAATATTGCCAAAATTTGTCCATTTCTCACTAACCCCACAGCCCCTCTTTTGGTTGGATCCATCATTCTCTCCCTTCTGGGTTACTGTAGTAGCTCTCTAGCAGGTCTCTCTGCTTCCGTTCTTGCTCCCGGTTATTCTCAACAGCGCAGCCTGCTGTATTAGTTTCCTATTGCTGCTGTAACAAATTACCATCAATTTAGCTTAAAACATCACATGCATTGCCTTACAGTTCCAGTGGTCAGAGGTCTGAAAGGAGTCTCGCTGGGCTAAAATTAGGGTGTAGGCAGGTTGGTTCTTTCTGGAGGCTCTAGGAGAGAATCTGTTCTCTTGCCTTCTCCACTTTCTAGAGGTTCCCTGTATTCCTTGGCTCCTGGCCCTTTCCTTCATCTTCAAAGCCAGAAGCATAGCATCTTTCACTCTCTCTCTCTCTCTCTTGCTCTTGTTCTTACTCTATTTGTCACATGGTTCTTCTCTGACTCTGATCCACCTCTCTCTTTTGATGTCCTTTATGATTACATTGGGTTCATGTAGATAACCCAAGATAATCCTCCCATATCAGGATCCTCAACTTAATCACATCTACAAAATCCCTCTTGCTATGTGAAGTAATATATTTACATGTTCTGTGGATTAGAACACGGACATCCTGGGGGAGTTGTTATTCTCCCTGCTATGCCTGGTGAAGCCATTTTAAAACAGATAACATCATGTCACTCCTTAGTTTCAAGTCATCTAATAGTTCTAATCTCATGTTCCATAAAAGCCAAAATTCTGTGATCTACAAAGCTGGACATAATATACCCCATTGTCATTGTAACATCATATTCTACTTTCCCTTCTATTTTTTTTTTGCTCAAGCTGTGCTGATGTTCATGCTGTTTTGGGGGCATTTTCTAACATATTCCTGCCTTAGGAAATTTGCATTGGTTCTTTTTATTCTGCACTTTTTCAAAGTTTTTACTTAAATTCATGTTCTCATTGTTGTCTTCCTTGGCCAACCTGTCTAAAACTTTTACCCTACTTCTGTAAATTTTATACTTTTCCTCTATGGTTTTTTATTTATCTCTTCAGAACATACCACTATGTATCATACAATGTGGTTTACTTATTAAACATTTTGTTTATTTGTCCAAGAATGTAATCTCCAAGAGGGCAGATATTTTGTCCCTTTAGTTTACTCTTTGCTCTCCATCACCTAAAAAAAATTTCTGACATGTGGTACACCTCAAAAGACATTAGTTGAGTGAAAGAATCTACGAAAGGAATAGGATCTGAGGAGCAGAAGAAAATGGAACCGAGACAGAAGAAAAATTAGGCTTGCTGTATGTATAGAAGTGCACTCCAGGTTGAGAGAGGATGGTGATTAGAAACACAGAGGGAATCAAGTGTTCAGGGAATATCAGTAACAGAGCATAATTGGGTAGAGAGGTAGAGAAAGCCAGATACTCGCCAAAGATTCCTACTCTGTCTTTATAATGTGGAGCTGTTCCTGGGAAGTGGCTGCCAGGCTGAGGACCACATTTCTCAGCCCCCTATAATTAGGCATAGTCACATGATGGAGATCTAGCCAATGGAATGTCAGTGGAACCATGGGCATCTCTTCCAGGCCAGACCTACAAAAAACTTTCCACGTTCTACACCTTTATGCTCTTCTCTTTCTGGCTTTTGGGTAAATGTTCTGAAAGCCCCTATTTTTCAAGCACATGCATATAAAAATATTTATAATATATAAATTATGTATTATATATAACAGGTTTATAAAGTATATATTATATATGCTTTATTATATAATGTTAGTAAATATAATTATTTGAAAAAATAATATATTATATATAGTTAATATGTACTGTAAAGTATATATTATATATATTTATAAAGTATATATTATATATTATACACAAACATACAAGCATATATATATATATATATATATACACACACTCACACACACATATACTTGGGTATGCTAAAAGGGGTTGAAGTACACACACCAGGAGTCAATATTGGCGCTTCTTGGCAGTATAGTGGTGGTTAGAAATGGAGGACAGAGAAGGTTTTTAATTTTAAATATATTTTTGTATTTCATCCTCCAGATTTTCTGGTTCACTAGGTATACAGTAAGTTTTGGGATCCATGTTTTCTTAAAATCTTCTCAGATGATCAAAACGTACAGTCAGGTTTAGAAGATGATCTCTGTCTGGTTCCCCAAGACAGCCATATTCTTGAAGAGGTAAGCTTTTTGAGAAAGATGGTATACTAAAGTTAATAAAAGTAAGCAAGTCAATTTCCACTATGAGATAAAATTTACGTTTCCTAATCATTTAGATTAGTCTTAGTGTATGATATTCTCATGTGCTGTTTATATATCGATAGGGTCCAAAGGAGAAGCACGGTACAGTACAAAGACCTGGGCTATGCTGTCTTATTGGGGATTTCTGAACTCCCAATAATTGGCAATTTTTAACAAGCGCCCAAGATAATCTGGTAAAGTTCGGCAGCACTGTCTTCTCAAGGCATGAATGCACAATGAGATCTCATGGTGAGCTCAGCAGGAGAAGCTGGAGAAAAGATAAAGAAAGGGAAGAATAAAGGCAGCGTAGTTAGTTCTAGGACAGAAAGAGTAGGTGCCATGTGGCTGGTAAGGGAGCTCTTGACTCAGTGTAAATACCAGGGATGAAAAGAAATACACTTACCAGTAATCAATCTTTATGCTTCTTTGTTCTTCTCTTTCTTTGGGAGAGATATCAGATGCAAAAGATTAAGGAAGGCTTTAATAAAATTAAGAAGAGATGTATTTTTGTTTTCTAATAGTAGTGATGGTAATAATACTTGGAAGATTGGTTATAATTATCATTTTTATGACTCAGGCTCTCTCAGCTCTTGTTAGTCTAAACTTATAAACAGTTGTTTTTTTTTTAAATTCTTGGTAAGGGAAAAGTGCACAGGTGAGAGAATGCTGATAGTTTAATCCGTTCCATGCAGGATTAGAAATATAGTGGAGACATTGTGTACATACTCAAGCAATGTGAGTTTACAGCACACATTCAATACAAAAGGAGTAAAGAAGAGAAAATCAGTCTGTGAAGGTCAGAGATGCAAACTGTGAATAGGCTAGTGGACTGCATCCTTGAGTCAGGGTACTGAAAATTCTGCACTCTTTTTCACTTTTTAAAGATTTTGTAACCACCCATGCAAACAAGCAAGCCAAGAATAAAACAAACTAAAAAAAGCAGCCGAACAATTCTAAGGGATGGTGGAGTCTTTTGTCCTTTTGTGGAAGCATATACTTGCCCTCCCCCACTGCCAGGCTCGAAGCCAGAATTGAGGCGTAGGGACATTCTATAGCAGATTTTTGCATGGTTTTATGAAAGCCAGGCCATCATTTTCAGATTAAAGGCCTGGCAAATAAACAGTTGAGTAAATCGTAACACATCTCTCTCGGTTGGGTAGTCACGGCCTCTTTGGCAGTGCTGCCTCTGCTTTCCTCTGAAGTCACTGCAGGTGTCAGTCTCTCTGATATCTAGTAGGGTAGCTACACAAAACCTAATAGGACCAACTTTTTCTGAAACGCACTAGCTCAGAGACGGCGTTACAGCACTTCTCTGGAAGGACTTGGGAATTTTTTAGCCCAGTTTCTTCACTTACAATTCAAGAAATCGTGGTCTCAATCTTACTGACTCATGTAAGGGCTTATCAGACTGATTTTCTCTCTGCTCTCTTCTCTCTCAGACCTAGTAACTGCTGCTTGGTTTGATGCCCTGGGTATAGCTGATTTGAGGTTCCCACCAGGGACCCAAAATAATTTGTGACTGGTGGTTAGGCAGAAAAGTTCAGATGACTGCAAGGAATCACAGTTTCTGCTATGACTCATCTACTGTCAGGGCATACTGTTTAAACATTTTGTCCTTTAATTTCCATATTAGTTAAATAGGAAAATAATATATCTTAATTACTCTACTGGGAACAACACGAAGCTGAATTAGACTTCACCAAAAATATTTATTTGTTTTCATGTTTATACCTTGCCTTATTCCAAAGAAGTTACCTGTTATCTAGGAAGATATAAAAGCATGAAGGATTGAAGATTGCTCTATGAACTGGATTACGGATGTGGTAAAGGGATTTAAAAACAAAACATAACAAAACAAACGGACTAGCATTCAGCTGCGTCTCTGCATGCTTCTACAGAGTCCTACAGGTGGTAAGGAGGAGGAGCTGGGACAAAGGGTCCACCTTGTTTCACATTCTATAATTTTTGCTATGGAAATCTGCCTTTGTCACTGATTTCTGTTTTTCATCATTCTGTCTTCTTTCTTTAGCCCGCCCACCCCCAGGAGTCTTTATCCATACTAATAATTTTCACCAGAATTTCTTACTGATGATATTTTTGCTTTTTGTTAAGAGCCTCTCCAGAGAAGACATTTATCATGCCCTACTCAGCTCCTCCCATATTCTGAGAAAGCAATCTTACCTTTTGGGGGAAATACTCCTTACACTCACTCCTTCCCTCGATGGAAATGCTTCTTCTTTCTGGTGTTGCTTTGAGGTACGAAGCTAGCTGCTGTTGGCAATTGTATTTCCTGCTTAGTGGGAAAGTCTGAAATGGAGATGATGGCTTCGCAGTGCAGAAATAGTAGAGGCTGGAAACCATCCTTATTGTCTTTGGGAACCGGCATTCTTGTGATCCAGATGTTCCCCTGTCCTGACATGTCCACTTTGTGGATGTGCACCATGAAACTCCCCATTTGATTTTAGGTGGTTGTAGCTGGTTTTCTTTCTCTTGCATTAAAAGAGCCTTCAATAATATAACAGATCAATATAATACTTGTATGTGAGTAGAATAGAAATCTTGCATGGTTTGGGGGAATTAGAAAATAGAGATCAAGACATAAAACATTCTACTATTTGTCAAGTATGTGAAAATTTTCTAGGACAATAAAATAATACCCAAGTTAATGCTTCCTTCCTGTTGGTCCAGCTATCACTAATTCCTTCTGCCAGATTCTAAACAGACTTTAAGCTCCTGTGGGTAGATAACGTTTACTTCATTTCTATGTTTTTAGTACCTACCACAATTTATGATGCATAATAAAAACTATATCAGGAACTTTGAATATAAATAAATATAACATATTGTCTTAAAAGAAAAATCCTTAAAATAGCAAGTATTTCACATAACATTATATTCTACATTATTTTGCTTTATCCTCCTTGTCTTTATAAAGAAAAAAATACTACTTTCTTGTTTAGCTGAGGTTGAGGTTTAAATCTCAAACACTTTTGAAAAATCAAGATTAGAAAATAATTTTGGAGTCACCTGGCTGAAGAATAATAGTTTGTTATTTGTTTGTTTGTTTGTTACTAAATGAGTTCCTGAATTCTTTGAGAAAGGAAATAGGAAAGTTAGAGAGCCAGAATTTTAAGAACCAAAGAGCCAGGGAGTTGGCAATCCGAGGAAAGATCAAGGGGGCTCTGATCTAGATAAGGGAGTATCAGGGAAGGTACTTCCAGCATTAAGAAGTCAAGTAGAATTAAGATGGTTAGGCCAGGCACGGTGGCTCACGCCTGTCAGCCCAGCACTTTGGCAAGCCGAGGAGGGTGGATCACCTGAGGTCAAGAGTTCAAGACCAACCTGGTCAACGTGGTGAAATCCCGTCTCTACTAAAAATACAAAAATTAGCCGGGTGTGGTGGCACGTGTCTGCAGTCCCAGCTACTCGGGAGGCTGAGGCAGGAGAATCACTTGAACCCAGGAGGAGGAGCTTGCAGAGCCAAGAGCTAAGATAGCGCACTCCAGCCTGGGCGACAAAAGTGAACCTCCGTCAAAAAAAAAAAAAAAAAAAAAAAGAGATGGCTAAATGGGCCTTAACAAGTTCTATTTGTGACCTTTGAGAAAACAATATTGGGGAAATGAACTGAAGGGAAATCAAATTGCAGGGGACTCCCTAGGAGGTGGAGAAGGGTGGGAGTAGCCTGTCAATGAATCTAATTAAGCACGGATTTGTTTTGCAAAACAGAAAAAGATGTTACTTTCTTGACATGGGGCCCATCAATGGAGTATTTTAAATTTCATGCTAGGAAATTTGTGTTTGAAGAATTGGGAGATTGGTCTGTTCAAAATAAATTACTGTCTATAGTCAGGCATAAAGTAATTTAGACTTTGAAAATGTAAGCTTAGTGTTTTGAGCTTTTATTTAAGAAAATGTACCGAAGAAGTCAATGTTACAATAAGCAGAGCACAGCCATTCAAAGGTACTTTCAATTTTGACTAATAATTCTACCTTTCCCTTTCTTGGTGTCTTCAGGCTAAAGTATATAATCTATTAGATTCAAATTCTTTTTTTTCTATCCAGTGAGTTTAATTTATCCAGAGTGTGGCTCTGCAGGGATTTGCAGTAATTAAATAAAGGGCATTTCTACCACTCCATGTGTTTTGATAAAACTCTGGCTTTAATTTCTAGTTGACAATAAAAGGACAAGTAGAAATAGATGCTAATAATAGACATTAGTCCCAATGAAAAGGAATTGTATTTTTTTAAAATAGACAAATAAATGAGATAAAGGAGTCAAATAAACTCAGCAATTTAGATTTCTTTTCCAGTTTAGGGGATAAATAAAAATTGTCCAATTAAATCAAAGTTGTTCCACTTCCTTTTTTTTTCCCCAACCCAGTTAGTATAGGGGTATATATGGAGATACAGGCAAAAGTGAGTCAGGATATATAAACGAACAAATCAATATGAAAAAAAAAACAGAAATAATGGAGATTCTACCAATGACCCTGAACAAACACATTGAGTGAAATCAGTAAGTACAGAATGGCGGCATGCATACGTGACATATATAGTAAGAACCTTCTATTTTATTTATACACTCTTTATTCAAAATGGATGAAAGATATGGACGCTGAAGAAACCTACTTGCTTTGAATCTCAACTCTGCCATTTATTGCCACTTATGAGTGATATGATCTTGGTAAATCACTTAAATCCTTTATGCCTTAGTTTTTATATGAAAACAATGGGCGTAATATTAGTGACCACCTAATAGAGGTATGGTGAAGATTAAATGGGATGATATATGTGTGAAGAACAGTGTCCGGTGCATAAAAAGGGCTTATATAAGCATTAGCTACTATTATTACATCATCATTATTTTATATACACTTTGGCCTACATAGTTATAACATATAAAGTTGTGAATAGCATTCGTGTATTTATGTGTCTAAAAAATGTGATGTAGCAAACGTGCCCAAGTTTAATGCAATCAGACTGTGGCATTTAACACAACCTCACTGAGTGATGCTCAATAAAAATAAAAAACAAAGTGATTTTCATCACTGCTAGCTCATGGGCCCCAAACTCACATGACCAGCTCAACCATCACCACCCAACGATAGATCTTTGTTGATTCTCATGCCCCCACCTCTCCATATTCATGTGCATTTTCCTCCCTTCTGTCTCATTCTCTCTCTCTCCTTTCTCTGGTCCTCTGTTCCCTGCCTCAAATCAGTGGCAGTGGATCTATTAAACTCAGAGGATGGATGTCCACTTCATGCAGAGCCAACTACTATGCCTAGACACTGGGCTTAGTTTGACCTCTTTTGCCCAGATTACGGCAATTATAAGAAATTGATCTTATAGTATCCAAATCTGAGATTAATATGTATTACATAAAACTATTTGTGGCAGATTTTGCATTAGGTTTTCTAGTAACCTGCATTTAGTTTTATGGTCACAAAATGTCATGTCCTCCATTTAGTTTTATAGTAACTTCCCAGATTCTCCAAGAAAAATGAGTAAGATATATATATCTATATATATATCTTATATATTTCCTATATATACATATATATGTAATATATATACATATATGTAATATATATATGTTTTATATGTATATATATATATATATTACATAAATGACTTATTTTGGTAGTTTTTCTGAAATAAGGTTATTGAAGTGTCCACATGCAAAACCTGGAAACTGCTAAAAACCCCCAGCGGACAGCTCTCCAAGTAAAATAGTGAGAAAAACACGTTTTCACTTGGCATCCAACTATACCACTGACTTCACTGTTTAACTGACTTTAATATTTTATTTAACTTAAGTAGGTTACAATTTCCCCAACACAGTGTCTTTAACAAATTATTGTTGGTATTAAAATAGAGAGTTGTATTTTTTAATCATATAATTTAATCTAAAAGGATATTACTAAATAATCTTTCAACTTGAAACTTTCCCCCTGTCTTGATATGATTATGGTTATAACTAAACTATATCGAGTCCATTTTCTATTTATTTTAGATGTACAAAAAGTTTAACATTCTTGGCCAGGCCCAGTGGCTCATGCCTGGTGGCTCCCAGCACTTTGGAAGGCCAAGGCAGGTGGGTTGCTTGAGCTCAGGATTTCGAGACCAGCCTGGGCAACATGGCAAAACCCAGTCTACAAAAAATACAAAAAATTAGCCAGACATGCTGCACGCTGGCACATGCTTGTAGTTCCAGCTACTTGGGAGGCTGAGGTGGGAAGATTGATTTAGCTGGGGAGGTGGAGGTTGCAGTGAGCCAAGACGGTGCCACTGCACTCCAGCCTGGACAACTGAAATCAAACCCTGTCTCAAAACAAAACAAAACAAAAAGATTAACACTATTTATAATTTTAAAATTTGAAATGTTTGTAATGCCAATATAAATTTACAGTCTTTCTATTTATGTAAATATATTTTATATCATTAAAAGATAAAGTTTATTGTAATTAAAATTTACTTTGCAAATGTGAATTTCTAAATCATTTTGATAATTCATAAGATCTATGGGTTCTATAAGTCTACTTATAATTACTGCCTTTGTTATTATTATTTTGCTTATTGTATTTCAAATGTTCATCCACAGATTCGAATTTAGAAATCTGTTAGGGCCACAGAAGTAAAAAGATTTTAAGCAATTAAGCTAATTTTATTAACCTAATTAAAAACTCTTTGCATTAGGGGATTAAAGAGCATTTGTAATATGAATACTCTTACAAACATAAATATTTTGTTTGTAAACAGCAGAATCACTCTGTAAAGAATAACAATTGTCTTCAAACAACACAGCAAGATTGTCATCTTCTTAGTTTTTTTCTATTTCAGGAACAATTAAAATACAATTTAAAAATGAGGCCATGGAACCATCCAAAGTTCAAGCACATAACAAATTCAAAATATGCCCCCTGCTAAATTTTTGACACAATTAACAATTTGAAAAACTCACGTGCTTTCAAATATTTCCATGTGGTTTCTTAGCAGGCTGTATCTTGCCTTCTACCCTGACTAATAACTGTTACAAGACAATTCTACTTGGTGATAAAATTTGTTTTGGCAGACCTGTGGCATGAGCAAGTATAGAACTGACCTAGGAATTGCCAAGCCAGATCAGTCCACTAGTTTTTCAAATTGCATATACTGACCTCTGAGAAATCAGTATATGAATATACAATGTTTTAGGGAAAAAGACCTATTTATAAATACTCAGGATAACATTATTTTCACAAAAGCACATTGCTTCATCACTCAGAACAATATACAGTTGATTTAAAACCTGATATTTCATGATCTGAGGCCTTTCTCTTAGCTTTTCCTAGTTTATGGGAGAATAAATTATTTGAACTGACACCACATTTGAGGCCAGAGGAAGAAGCAGACTAATGTTTACTGAGTGCCAACCATGTCTGTGCCAAAATTTGTGCGGAATGCATTTGATCCTCACTAAATCCCTGATGAATAGGTATTCTTTTCCTCATTTACGAATGGGAAACAGAACCTTAAAGAGGTCATGGAGGATGAACAGGGCTGGCTGAGCTGCCATTTGAAACTCTGATTGCTCCTTACAGAACATCATGCGGACCAAACCAACAGAGCCTAGAGAATGGCCCGAAGGCTTGTGCGCAATGAGAAATAATCCAGCTATTTGTTCTCTAAGCCTGTTGAATAAATAGCTAATTGGTTTGCACCCTTTCCAGCCTGCTTCATAGAAGCAGTGTTATGATGAAGAGCGCAGGTTTAAGAACCAGACCTTCTGGGTTCTAGTCCCAGCTCTGCCGTTTACTAGCTGTTACCTGGAACAAGTCACTTGTTCTGTTTCTGTGTTTCTTTAGCTGCGAAGTGGGGATAATAATACTATGTACCTCACAGGGTTATTTTGAAGATTAATGAATTAAAGTGAGGACATAAATGCTAAGACCTGCGGTTGGCATATATAAGCTCTAACTAAACGTTTTGTATTATTACATGAGTTATATCGGGTGGTCTTACTGAGCTACTAAATATAGTTGACATTTTTTTCTACAGCATACATGCTTCACTGTTTCCTGTTTAAAATGGATATAATTACATCATTTTTGTATAGCATTTTATATTATTCAAAGAAATTTTTCATCTTCTGTCATTAGAGAATCTATTTTTCTGAAGCCCCATTTTCCTCGTCTGTAAAATAGCTTTAATTAATGATACTTACTTCATGGGCATCTTGGAGGGATAAAATGAGATCTTGTACCTAAAACATTTAGTGCAGTGACTTCACCTTGTGAAGTCAGTGAGACAAGTGTTAAATTCATTCTGTATTTGAGGAAGTAGATAAAAAACATCTTCGCCTGAAGTCGTGTAATGAGTTAGTGGTACATCTTCACACAGAGTGGAGTAAACCGACAGATTACTTGTTAATAAAGAAATAAATCAACATTAGGACTCTTTTTTTTTTCCTAAAAGGCTAGTGATCTCTCCATTTTCTTTTGCTGCCTGACTTGGTATACATGGGCATGCTGGTTGTAACATGAGTTTATTAATAAAAAACTCAGGAAGCTCTCTTTTCTGAGCCATGAGAAACTTGTTTTTGTTGACTTACAAAAGGTGTTTTAAATTTCACTGCACAAATTGCATGTCTCTGTATTCACTTCTTTGTGAACCACTCAGAGAAGGCTGATTATTAGCACCCTCTTCTACCACCCCAGTTTTCCGTTCCATCTTTCATTTTATGCATAGCAATATTTACCTCCTTTAGTGAACGGAATCAAAAGTCAACCTAATGTCGAAACTACTATATTAACAACTCAGAAATATGCAATGACCACATAATAGTATTACATTTAAAAAGCAGTGTTTTATAATGGAAAGTGTGATAGCTTTGGAGTCACACAGACTTGTGTCTCAATCTTGTCCCTAATTCACGATACACACACACACACACACGTGTACGCCACTGAGCAGGGGAGGAGGGGGAGAGAGAGAGAGAGAGAGAAAGAGAGATTAATTTCTGCATTAGGTAATATGTTAAGGTCTTTCAAGCCTTATGGTACGGATCAGTGGCCAATGGTTTTTGAGACTGAATGATAAGAGACAGTTTTTTTGTTTGTTTGTTTGTTTTGAGACAGTGTCTCCCTTTGGTACCCAGGCTGGAATGCATTGACATGAACATGGCTCACTACAGCCTGGAACTCAGCTCATCCTCCTGCCTCAGTCCCCCAAGTAACTGGGACCAGAGGCTCACTCCACCATGCCCTCTAATTTTTTGAGATGGGGTTTTGCTATGTTGTCCAGGCTGGTCTTGAACTCCTGGGCTCAAGCAATCTGCCCTCCTCGGACTCCCAAAATTCTGAGATTACAGTTGTGAGCCACCGCACCCAGCCAAGACTTTTTTTTTTAACTAAAAGTTTGCGAATCTCTTCAACTTGACTTGAAAATGTTCAACTTGAAAATGTTGTGTTGTACCACATAAAAATAATTACAAAAGATCCCATCTGGACAAAAAGCACATTCAAGACCACTGCTGATTGCTCAAGCTCATTGTCTTCTTTCCTTTCTAACGAACAATAAAATTCTATTAATGACCATTTCATAGTAGAGATTTTGACATATTTTTATTATTTTGGCTATGGGTGATGTTAAAGATTGCCATCATCTTTAGGTTGACAACACAAGCTAACAGAGCCTCTAAAACACTCTTCACTGCCTCATTCTGATATATTTTCATCATTGCCCATGTAAGAACCTGACATTAGCTCCTTAATGTATTTGTTTATTTGGCCTCTTACATTCCTCTTCTGAAATCTAAAGACCATGGGAGCGAGGACCCAGTATATGTGTTCATGGACTTGCCCTATAAATTAGATTTACCTCTGGGCAATGGTAAGCACTCAATATATAATCAATGAATTAATGACTGAAAGACTAGCCTTGGGCTGGATTTCTTTGGGCATATTGCATTTCCTCTTAAATCAATTATTATATAGTCTGATACTACTCCCATGAAATATACTTTTGCTGTTAAGATTACTGCACCCCAAGGTAACCTAGTACAATTATCTGTAAAACCTTGGCTTGTGTGACTTTAACATTCACTCTGTTTTTTAAGGATAATGGTTTTTAAATTTTAAATTGATTTTAAATTTACAATTCAATTTATATTCAAGATTCTTTATGGGCTACAAGAGATATACAAGAAGAGATGCCTCAAAAAGTATCTAGAAATTTATACTGGCATCCTACCCATTTAGCTACAAGCGTTAAGACTTAAATAAAGACATCTTTTGAAGATATATTTACATCACTTTTGCAGGAATTGATTAGTCAACATCTGTT
This sequence comes from Homo sapiens, assembly GCF_000001405.40. Classification (NCBI taxonomy): domain Eukaryota; kingdom Metazoa; phylum Chordata; class Mammalia; order Primates; family Hominidae; genus Homo; species Homo sapiens. The sequence continues at coordinate 175,824,945 of NC_000004.12, read as the reverse complement.
TACTTTTTGTTTACTGAGTCATTTAATGTATTGGAAACAGTGAACTTTTGAGAGACTTTTATATTCAAATTTTGCTTCCTCGTAGTTGTAGAACTTGTGAAAATCATTTGCTTGTCTAAATTTCAGACTTATACCCTGTAAAATAGAAATACCACTTACTCTCAGGGTTGTAAATAATAAGAAAAAAATATGTGCCTAGCATACAGTGGATACCACACAAATATTTGTTAAATATTACTGAATAAGAAGAGCTGAACCTAGTCCCTGGAAAGCTGGGCACCTCGCAATAGGTTCAACGTCAGTCTCACTTTATGAATGGTAAGGGAGAAACAAGTGTAGCTCGTGGTTTCTGACCACAATGACAGGCAGGGGAAATGGATATCAGACATACTGAAATATTAAAAATAAAAAATGTATGATATCTGGCAAATATGAGCTACAGACAAATGATATTGAAATTCAGGAAGTCAGAGAGAGGAAATAAATCACATCTACCTTAATATTTGCAATAGTAAATGCCGAAAACAGCTTTGCATTTTGTCCAGGACAATGGCAGCGGGTTGCTTACTGCTTACTTGAGCACATCGCTGAAAACCGTGAAGAACACTTGTAAGTGGATGGGGTGTGTGTCTGCCGCACAAGCAGAGTGGAGTCAAGTGGTGTCTGCAGGTTCATTCGAAAATAACAGTGTGCACATTGCAGCAGAGGAACGTCTAGAATGTAAATTACTTGAGTGTATCAATCTTCCTGGAGCCATGGTCTGGCCAAATATCTATCCAAAGAGACCATATGTCAGGGCCAATAAAACATCCTTGAGAAAATGTTTTCCGGGTGTTTCTGGAACACCCAGGATGTGGGCCTATTTGTTTTCTCCTTAATGGAGAGTAGATCACAATCTAAGGCCTCTTGCTCAGAACTGACAAACTCTCTAAAGATTTCAGATGCCTAACTCACAAAAAAAGGAACAATGTGTAAAATCATACCTTTCTCTCAGAAGTAAGAAAGGAAGGGCCTTTCACCTTGATTGCCCATTGGGAGAAGTCCAGGCTCCCAGCCTTTTTAGTCATTAGTTCAGATGTGTTGGGCAAGGCACTTTAAAGAATGAGAAAAGTTGTCAGTCTGAGTTTTCTTTTTTGAGATAAGAATTTTTAGGTTACCTAAAGTGATCTCTGGAAATGTAAGAGTACACTTTAATGTATTTTTTTCATCCACAGAGGACTTGCAATTTAACGTATAAGCAAAAATACCAAAACGCTTATGATAAAGCTGAGAAAACTTGAGTCTTGTTTTTCCTCATCAGTCCTCTATGCACCATATAGTGTAATCAGCTTTTTCAGAGGATATCTCCTACCATCTGCATCTGCAGTGAGATTCAAAGCAACAATTTAAAATCACTGTTTCAAAATTCAGGACTTATGGCAAGCCACTAGTTTTGCATAAAGTTGTATTTACACCCCTCCCCCTTGTCTGTCTTTTTCTTTCTCTCTTGCACTTATCTATTTATTTTTGCAAGACTGTCATTTGCAATATCCAATATGTAAGGTTAGGCTTAACTGACGTATCTTATTGTTAAATATTGGTTCAAGTGAATGGAGCCAAAAAAAATCATCCACTTTTCAGATAAGTTATAACCTATGTTCATTGTTGTTAATATAGCACTAAGCCTTTACTCAAAACTGAAGAAAAGCTAACATGTGTTGGCTAACAACTGTGTTAATCAAGTATTGAATGACTTATCTTTTGAGTGATATAAGTTTAGTATTAGGGAAACCAAAATTCAAATCTCAGTTCCTCATTCACCAGCTGCGTAGCCTTGAGAAAGTTGCTTAACCTTTGAAAGCCTCAATTTTCTCACATGAAAGAAAGCTATCTTGCAGAGGTGTTACGAATGTTAGAAAAAAAATTATAAAAATCGCCAGCCCAATGTCTATAACATTTTAGCTGCAGTTAGTGGTAACCAACTTATTATTGTCAGTTTTGTAAAATTATTAAGTTTTCTGATAATTAAAATAATATTGTACCTATATAAAAAGTATCAAAAAGCATGTAAAGAGATGAGAACACATGGACACAGGGAGGGGAACATCACACACCGGGGCCTGCCAGAGGCTGGGGGCAAGGGGAGGGAGAACACTAGGACAAATACCTAATGCATGCAGGTCTTAAAGCCTAGATGACGAGTTGATAGGTGCAGCATATCACCATGGCACATGTATACCTATGTAACAAACCTGCAGTTCTGCACATGTATCCCAGAACTTAAAGTACAATGTTTTCAAAAAACAAAAAAAAAAGCATGAAAAGAATTAAATAAATTATCTCAAATACCACTTTCTAGAAATAAGCACTCTTAACATTTTCCAATAGATCTGTATAGGTTTGTTTCAATGCATATGTTTATGAACATTTTAAAATACAAAAGGATACTATTTATACTGTTGTTATATACTTCTATCACTTTATTGTGAACAGCTTTTCATTGTTAATACAGACAACTTATGTAATCATTAACTGCTATACAGTATTCCCATTTTTGGATATACCAAAAATTTTAATAAACGATTCTCCTAAAGTGGACAGCTTTTTAAAAAGGCATTATGTATGTTTAGAGAAAAATAGATAGAAAAGGATAAGATTTCCAATTAAAAGAAGTTTTCAAAATATTAAATTGAAATTAAAGCAATTACATATCATGACCAATTCTCTGTTTGGGAATGCAAACAGAGTTTAACATCAGAAAATCTACAAATGCAATTCTTACTTTAATATATAAATGGATGCAATTTGTATAATCATCTTACTTGATGGAGAATAAAACATTTTTTCTGATTCAATACTTTATAATAAATGAACCTCAGAAATGTGTACTAGAAGGGAACTTATTTAAACAGATAAAAAATGTCTATGCAAACCTACTACAAATAACACATAATAATGAAACCATAGAATCATTTCTTTTAAAATCACTGCTCAATTCAACACTGTGTTGGGGACCCTAGAATGCACAGTAAAACAGAGGAAATAAATTAAAATATATAGATTGGACAGTTAGACTCATATTTGTTTTAATTCAAATATGTGAATTTCTACATAGAAATTTCAAGACCTATGCATTATTAGAACTATAGGAGAGTTTAGCAAATTTGCTTCTTATAGGACTGATTTTTAAAATCCAATAATGTGTTCCTTTGCTTCAGTCAAAAAAAGTCTTGAGAGATTTAGTATAAAATACCTCTAAAAGAAATCAAAATACTTAGGAATAAAAACAAAAAAAAATATGCAAAGCTCCTAGGGAGAACATTTTAAAACATTCTTAAAATATATGAAAAAAAGTTCTCAACATATGGAAAGAGATCTCATGTTCATGGAAAGAGATTCAATTTTGTAAAAATGTTAATTATGTCTCATTAATCTATGAAGTTAATTTAAGTTCAATAAATATAAGTTCACCTCCCCCTCATTATATTTGAAAGCTGATTCTAAAATATATATAGATGACCAAAAACCAAGATTAACTAAGGCACTGTAAAAATATATATGTTAGACATTTAATTGCTATGGAATTAGTATTCAGAACTTACAAATAACATCTATAGAATAATACCAAAAAGCAAACAATACTGTGGGCAAATGAGTGAAGGGCATGAATATACATTTCTCAAAAGAGGAAAATCATTGGCTAATTGCAAGAAAATGTTCTCAACTTTATGAGATACTTAAGGAAATCATATTAAGATATATAATTAATACTCATGTAAATTAAAAGATTTATCTTTGGTAACATTTAAAAATTACTAAGTATAGAAGACGTAGAACAGTAGGATTCTCAGATAGTTCTTAGGGAAATTTAAATTGGCACAAGCACTTTGAAGGGCTTTTTAACACACATATTATTGAAGACATACATAATCTCCTACCCAATGATTCCACACATACATACACCTCAGACTTGTAGGGAAAATTTTAAATGTATGCACTAAACATATATAAAAATATTCATTGTAATTTTTTACAGTTGTTTAGAAATTAGAAACAATATTAAATGTTTATCAACAGATCCGCATATACATTAAAAGATTGAGGAAGAAGTTGCGAAAAGAGACATATAAGAAGATATTCTTGATATCTAATCAAAACCTACAAAACAGGCCGGGTGTGGTGGCTCATGCCTGTAATCCCAGCACTTTGGGAGGCTGAGGTAGGTGGATCACTTGAGGTCAGAAGTTTGAGACCAGCCGGCCAACATGGTGAAACCCTGTCACTACTGAAAATATAAAAATTAGCTGGGCGTGGTGGCGCATGCCTGTAATCCCAGTACTTGGGAGGCTGAGGCAGGAGAATCACTTGAACCCGGGAAGGGGAGGTTGCAGTGAGCAGAGATTGCACCACTGCACTCCAGCCTGGGCAACAGAGCAAGACTCCATCTCAAAAAAAAAAAAAAAAAAGAAAGAAAAGAAAAAAGAAAACCTACAAAACAATACTAACTATGGTGTGTATATATATCTGTATACACACAGACACACATATGCATGCACACACATATTAAATAATAAGGACAACATACAGGAATAAAAACTCTCCAGTCCTGAGTGATTATTAACAGGAGGTAGGGCTGAAGAAGATATAAGGAAAGGAATGCAGTTAGAGAACACGTATAATCGACTTTATACTTTATTTTCTATGTTGGGTGGTAGTACAAGTGTTTATTATTTTGGTCTCAAGAGCTAATTTAAAAAAAGAAAATAAGAAGGAATAATAACTGTGCATAAAGTCCTAATGGCTAAATTGTGGCACTGAATAGAGTTTGAAGATCAGAGATACGTCCACTGAGTAAAAGTCTCCATATTTCTGCTAAACCGCTTAGATGATAATTGCATTTGTTGACGAAAGCTATCAAGCATATTAGAAATCTTAAAGAACGTTCTCTACTTCAACTCCCTATAGTAGTTTTACTCTGAAATCACACTTTTGTTGATTTATTGCTGTTTAAACTGAGTATTAATATTTTTAACTTCAATCGTAAGTTCTTTGAGTATGAGAATCATTTCTTCAACTTTTTTGTGTGTCTCTCACAGCATCTGGCAACATGTTGGGCATATGGGAAGCAGTTAAATGTTTTTGTTTTTGGATGAATACAAATATTCATGTTGTGAGAAGACTTTACAATCAGGGCCTTTTCCTACATTAAATGCCTTTGGGTCTACTACTTACATAAGTGTAGGCGGATATCCAGGTGGTTCAAAGAATGGGCTTTGGGGTCAGAATGCCTATGTTTAAATCCCATCTTCCCCACCCTGTTACTTGCTACAAAGAATTTAATCTTTTTGTTTCGATTTCCTCCTCTATCAAAATGGGGACAATAGTAATTACCTGACAGGGCTGTTGTGGTGAAGGTTAAATGGGATATACACTTTTTAGAAACTTAGAACAATGCCTCACACATGTGAAGTGCTGAGTATAATTGTCATTAATATTAATATAATTGCACCTATCATACTTTGTTCCAATTGTTTGTCTCTCTCTTCCATCTTTGCTATTAGCTCTGTTAGAGCAGGAAACTACATCTGTCCTGTTCACCTGGCTCAGCTTCAGATACCTAGTAGTCATTGAGTAAATGCAACTTGAGTGACAGAGTGAGCTATAAAGTTTATTCTTTGGTGAGCTCAATTTAAAGTAGAATTTTTGTGACCACAGAGAATCAGCTTGGGCCAATTTTTGTGATCTCTTTCTCAATTAGTAGTAGTGTTTGGATTTTGAGTAAACAGAGGCCACTGCTGCTTACCCATTGCATAGTTTTTAACCCCTCATGCTTTCTGCCATGTTTTATGGGAAACATAATTACCAGAAAGAGATTTGGATTACTCTTGCTTTCTGGCATTTTGGAGAAAACAAAACTATTTAGAAGTTTTAAAATTTGGATCACCTTTATGGTTATAGGAATGCATAAGTACTTAGAACTGATCTTTCTATAAAAGGGTAAGTTTGGCCCAAAGAGTGTCACCCTTGAATTTTTCTGTCTCCCCTTACTGTAATCAGCATTTATGACAATACAGCTTTCCCTTCCTAGAGGAAAGATGAAACACAATTAATATTTCCCAGCTCCCTTTTTGTTTTGCTGGTTGCTCTTTGAAATATCTCATTATCGTTTTGCCTTCAACTGCTGGGGAATGACATTTGTTACATATGAACATGATATGTATCTCCCCAAGTTATTGTAAATTATGTTCACCCTCTAAAATATTTTGTGGAAGCAGATAAACATAAGATAAGGTATGTGTAAGCCACTGAGTTTGTTCATTCATTTATTTGTACATCATTATTCGTTTATTCAGTCATTCATGCATGCATGCATGCATTCAACAAGTATCTATTGAAAGCTTACCATGTGCTTGTCTTGTGTGAGGGGGAAAGATAGAGGCCATTATCTCATGGAGCTTATAGGCCGCAGGCCAGGGGGGAAGATACATATATATAGAACTGACTCTCTCTCTATATATATATTGCAGACTATATCTATATGTATATTGCAGACTTTGAGGAATAGCTCTGTAATGGCATGTGATATGAATACTAAAAGAGGCCTATGCTCTTGAAAAAGTTTTGCCTGAGGATAACACTTTCCAGCTGAGATCTGAGTAGATCTAGCTATCTGAGGGTGGAAGGAAAAGTGTTTTAGGAAGAAGAAACAACATTCACAAATGGACAATTTTAAGAAATTAGAAGGAGATGAATGAATGAACAGCAGGGGGACGTTATGCCGAAGAGGTGAGCTCCTGCCAGGTCATGTCCAATCTTTCCAGCCAGTTCTATCCTAAGAACACTGGAAAAGCATTCACCAGTTGTAAACAGGCCTATGACATACTCATGACTACAGCCCTGGTAATTATGTGAAAATACAATATTAATAGATTGGAGAGGAAAGGTCTTGGTAAGAAAGAGCCTAAGATACCCGAAAGGTAATTTCTTGGGGGTAAATATTAACGGGTTTGCCATTGTCTACCTTTAGGCTCCAAACTTATGGAGTACAAGCTAGGTCTTAGGAGCGTCTTCTTCTTCAGTACTCTAAAAAAGCTAAGGAGCAAGACTCAGAATTGGATATTCCAGCACGAGACTACTGAATACCTTGGGGGGTACAATGTCTAATAAATAGTAAAAGAGAGTTTCTGCCCATGCAGCCAGATGTTAGTCTATTACATGTTCTCAGCAGAGTATGTCTCCCCCTCCATAGGCCTTCATGTATTCTCTTTCAACTGTTCAGAATATCTTTTCTTTCTCCCCAACAATCTGCCTCCCCCTTTTTTCCCATCTAATTTCATCTCCTTTGGGTGAAAGGTCACCTGCTTTGATCAGGTCAGATCAAACTGTACCTTCTAGGAAACCAGGAAAACTTTTCCAACTATCAAAACTAAATATAGGTTAGATATCCTTGAGGTAGGCTCATGTGCCATCCAATGCATCTTTATTTTTATTTGGTAGCACTTGTCATTCAGCGTTGTGATATTTGGTCTGTCCTACGCTGCTAGGCTATAGGCCTAATTAGGGCAGGAATTTGTCTTCTTAGTATCCCTTTTGCCTACATCAATTTCCTGTAAGAATGCTTAGTAAACACTTTTACAATTCAGAATGAAAGGAAATGGGGTAATGATACTACTGTGAACACCACGATCATTCTGTGAATTGACTGCTTTCTATGATTATGTAACTCTGAAGAATGTTATGGTCATTTTATAATGGACTGAAAACATTGCAGTGTTTGTGGTGGTTTTGACTTTCTTTAAGAAAATGTTGGCCGCGGGGCGGTGGCTCACGCCCGTAATCCCAGCACTTTGGGAGGCCGAGGCGGGCGGATCACGAAGTCAGGAGATCGAGACCATCCTGGCTACCACGGTGAAACCCCATCTCTACTACAAATACAAAAAAAATTAGCCGGGCGTGGTGGCGGGGTGTAGTCCCAGCTCCTCGGGAGGCTGAGGCAGGAGAATGGCGTGAACCCGGGAGGCGGAGCTTGCAGTGAGCCGAGACCGCGCCGCTGCACTCCAGCCTGGGCTTTGAGCGAGACTCCGTCTCAAAAAAAAAATAAAAATAAAAAAAAGAAAAGAAAATGTTATGAAAGTCAGTTTCTGACTTGGAGCTTAAAGCAGCAGACAAAGGGGTCCTTTTTCTCTGTCAAAATATAAGAAGATCCCAACTAAGACATTTCATTCTAGAGATAATGTTAATTCTGTGTCTGAAACATTTGACGTAGAATAAAAGGCAGTTTCTAAACCGTGTTCCTGCCTGTTAGTCCTATGCACTGGGCTAGGTTTTCATGATCTTCTTTTCCACATCTCCTCTCTGTTCTCTGACCCAGGGACTACGAACATTTTTCCCCCTCACTTTTTATAGTTAATGCGATATTTGGAACCACAACTTCTTTAATCTGTTAACTCTCCTTACTTGTCTATATTATGAACATTGTATCACAAAGATGACTGCATTACATAATAGAGGAATATGTCGATATTTACTTATTGTATATAATAATGTGTTTATCCATAAAGACAAGATGAAGTGTTAAAGGAAGCTCCAAATTAAGATTAAGAAAAATGAAAGAGAATTATAATGGTTTTGGATTGAGTGAGCTCACATAAGAAAAAAGTAATATACATTATAAACATTTCTTAGACAGTATTTGAAAGGGAAATCTGACTTGATAAAAATATAATCATATTTTTAACCACCTAGTTAACTTATATTTGTTTTATTTTATTTTTTAGAGGCAGGGTCCTACCCTGTGGCCCAGGCTGCAGTGCGGTGATGTGAGCATAGCTCACTGCAGCCTCAACCTCCCGGGCTCCCGTGATTCCCCTGCCTCAGCCTCCCCAGTAGCTGGGACTATAGGTGTGCACCACCATGGTTGGATAATTTGTTTTTTTAAAGTGTCTGTAATGGCCAGGTGTGGTGGCTCACGCCTGTAATCCCAGCACTTTGGGAGGCCGAGGTAGGCGGATCACCTGAGGTTGGGAGTTCGAGACCAGCCTGACCAACATGGAGAAACCCCGTCTCTGCTAAAAATACAAAATTAACTGGGCATGGTGACACATGCCTGTAATCCTCGATACTTGGGAGGCTGAGGCAGGAGAATCGCTTGAATCCGGGAGGCAGAGGTTCTAGTGAGCTGAGATCATGCCATTGCACTCCAGCCTGGTCAACAAGAGCAAAACTCCATCTCAAAAAAAAAAAAAAAAGAAAAGAAAAAGAGTAGAAAATATTTGTAGTGATGAGGACTGTCTATGTTGCCTAGGCTGGTCTCAAACTCCTGGCCTCAAAATGTGTTTTGATTACAGGCATGAGCCACTGCCTACAGCCCATATATTTTAAATAAATGACTAAGAGTAGAATGGGGCAAATACAATACGATACAATGGAAAGAGTATTAGATGAGGCATTTCAGTCCCCATAAGGACACATCATTGCTAGTTATTAAGCTTTATATAGTATATTTTATAATTAATAAAGCAAATCTACTATAATGTGAAACGATTTTCTTTTCTAACTAGTTTAAGATACTGGAGGTTCAAAATATTTTTACTTCCAATGAGATCCAAATTTTAAAAAATAATCTTAAAACCACCATTAGCAACAACAACTTGGCTGGGCTTGGTGGCTCACGCCTGTAATCCCAGCACTCTGGGAGGCCGAGGTGGGTGGATCACCTGAGGTCAGGAATTTGACACCAGCCTGGCCAACATGGTGAAACCAACCCGGTCTCCACTAAAAATACAAAAACTAACTGGGTGTGGTGGTGCATGCCTGAAATCCCAGCTACTCGGGAGGCTGAGGCAGGAGAATTGCTCAAACCCTGGAGGCAGAAGTTGCAGTGAGCTGAGATCATGCCACTGCACTCTGGCCTGGGCAAAAGAACGAGACTCCATCTCAAAAAAAAAAGAGAAAATCATCAACAACTCAACTGCCATCAAACAGGAGGAAGGGGAAAGGAGGAGTGCGTTTTTAATGGGCACAGAGTTTCAGTTTGTGGAGATGAAAAAGTCCTGGAGATAGCTGGTGGCCATGGTTACAGAATGATGTGAATGTACCTAATGCCACTGAACTACAGATTTAAAAATGATCAAAATGGCAAATTTTTCTTTTATATTTTACCCCAATAAATACTGAAAGCCTACTGACAGGTGATTGCTGTGAGGAGGCTATGTATGTGTATGCATCTCTCTTAATTCATTTGACGAGTCCATTTGGACTGGCTCTGAGGACTTTTTTGTATATTTTAAAAATTGGTACAAGTTGATGTTGACTTATGTTGGTAACAATTGTCACATGAAAAAGCCTGTTTTAGACAAAAAGTGAATGGTTATATGAGTGTATTCTGCTGCAAAATTTCCAGAAGAAAAAGAAATCATGAATATTTTTAAAATTTCCTTTCCCTCTCATTTCCCTCTTTTGCTTTATATGTGTGGTGAAAAAGAAAGCTATGAACTGAGGCTGATTTCTGAAGATGCTGAAGATACTCATAAAGGAACAGAGTAGGAAGGAAAATTAGCTTCTAAGATCAGAACATTAGGCAAGAAATCAACAGACATGGGTTCTAAGACTTACTTGGTGATTTATTAGCCCAGTCTCTAGGTGTCCCTGAGCATCCGTGTTTTTTGTTTTTTGTTTTCATCATAAAGTGGGGAAAATTATGCTTTTCCCATTTGACTTACAACGGGTTAATGTATGTAATCATGTTTTATAGATTGTAAAGTGTTCTAAAAATTTAAGGTGACATTATTGTATCTACTGGCACTACAATAAACAATTGCTTTCACTAATGATTTCCATGGTATAAAACGAATGAAGGATCTAAATGAGGAGCGTTGCTCCGTTCTGTGTTGATTATATGCCAGGTTATGTCAGCCTAGGGATGAGTTGAAGCAGAGAGGCTGCTACAATTTGGCTTTTTGATTTCCCTTATGGTTTCTCTCTCTCAATCTGTGCACTGAGCAAGCAGCTCTCTCAAAAACCCTTGAATACACATTGATATATATTCCAAAGAGATAGGTTTTGAGTTATTTGAACTCCAGTTATTTTTGGACAAAATTCATTTGAAAAGAGAAAATAATAACAAATGATTATACAAGTAAGAGGACTAAACATTCATTTATGAGAAATAAAGTGGAATGCAGTAATTGTGTTTCCTCTAAATAGCTGCTTTTGTAATATTTAGAGGGTGATGTGCAGCATGCTACTGGCCTGCTTTAAAGAATGCATGTGAAATACAAGCTATAATGCAAGAAACGTATGCTATGGATAATGAGGATGTGAGCTATTTTTCATTAAAGGCAGAGAGTTACAGTTATGTCTGTGTGTGTGTCCTTGTGTGTGTGTGTGCCTCTCCGTGTGTGTGCTTGTGTGTGTCTTTCTGTCCCTCTGTGTGTGTTTCTGTCCCTGTGTGTGTGTGTGCTGGCTGATTTGGAGATGAAGACAGAGGCAAGGATCCTTTCTTTCTACTCTAGGAAAGGTTTATGCTCCTTGAAAGAGATACTGTTTATTTTCTTGCTATACCTTTTGTGAAGTATTGAGACTCTTGGACTGTGCCCTGTCACTCAGTAGGCTGAAGTACAAATGCTAATTATCGCCAGACTGCAGCATTGTGATTTGCATTCCAAATCAGCTTGCAGATTCCCATTATAAATTGCTATCCTCTTGTTTCTTATCTAAAATTTGTTCCTCCCTTACATCACTCTTCTCATTCCCTAACACTGACCTTTAAAGAAATTCCCTTTCAAGAGATTCTCATTGGAAACCAGCAGCTTTCGTGGGCTATAATCATAACAATAAATAACAAAGACATCAATAGGGTTTTTCCTTCCAGTGGTTTTCTCCCTTTTACTTAAGAGTCATATGGCACTAAGTAAAATAATTACTTAAAACATGTATCTCTCAGGCTTAGAGCTTTATACTCACTCCTTTGACAGCCACGCTTCTATTTCTTTTTAAATCTCAAAGGTGTGGGATTACAAGTCCTGTCTTAGTAATAAACTTTTGCAGATAAACCCTGAGATGGTATAACTGCATCCTTTCTTGGCACCTTAAATCAAATTAACTAAATACTTAGTGAGGAGAGAAAAGGAAAACACAGTTTTTTTGCAACGTATCTGACTGGGTGAGAAGCCACTGCTGCAGCATAAAGAACCGACGGGAATCTGGGCTTTCCCACTCTGGAATGAAGGGGGGAATTACGGGTTGGTGGTCGGCTTCATGTTAGGAGGACACCCCTCCATCTGTTCACAGCTCAGCCTGTTTCCAATTTAAAGCCCAGATTTCAATACAAACCTCAATTTCTTTTCCCCATTTTAAATGCAAAGCAAGACTTGTGAATCATAGTGTCTCTGCTCCTGGGATTCAGACCAAATTTCCCCCCAAAATTCTCAGGCTATTTGTTTGAATACCTGCTTACAGTGGTACACAATGGGCAGCTTTGAGAAGAAAAATTGATAATCTTCACGGAAGAGTAATTTGAATGAAATTACACTTGACAGCCTGTCTCCAAGCAAACAAGAGGAACGAGGGAGCCTGAGCTAAGCTCTGAGGACTTGCCCAAGCCACTGCTGTTGGAGCTTCCCAGGAAAAAAAAAAAAAAAAAAAAAAAAAAAAAAAAAAAAAAACCCCCAGTTTTTCCAACATCTAATTGAGCTTTTGATTAATTCCGTGTACCAGATTCTACTGAAGAAAGGTAGCCATGGAAGAGAATATGGAAGAGGGACAGACACAAAAAGGTACTGTGCTAAAAGCGTTTATTTGTAACTAAGTAATTATTTTGCAGTTTCCTTGTTTGCTTTAGACACTTGCCAGTAAGGCTAATGAATGTTTCTCTCTTGGAAGGCATTTTGTTCCTTCCTCTCCTTTAGTCTGTTCCTCACTTGCAGTAATGTCTGGCACGAATGTTGTCATTATTTGCAAATCTTTCAGATATAAGTACCGAAATGCAGAGTCGAGTATTAGTGAGAAGAGCATTGCGGTATTGTAGTGAACTATTCCTTAGACCAGTCTTTGTTAACCTTCATTTATTTCGTGATTTCACACTTGCCGAGCTGGGTCAAGGGATCCCTAGTGTGAGCCACAAATACAATATTTGGAGTTAGTTAAAAATTTGGTGATGGAACCATTATCCATATCTTTGCATGGACATCTGATAGAACAAAGACCAAGACCATTAATTATCTTTTGATTGGTGCACCTTTTTAAAACAATCTTTAAAAAATAAAAACTAAAAACGAGGATGCAATATAGGTTTAAGCAGATGGAGCAAAAGTTCATAAATTTTCAGGGTGTATGGAAGCGTTAAGATTTTCCTTTCTATATAGTTGACTGTAATCAACTTCTGAGTAATAATGTTAAAGGAAATTTTTTTATGTGTTTTTAAAGCTTGTCTAGGTATATCTGGCTGTATGAGTTAAAGTGAAATTTCCATTTTTGAAGGTTGAAATGGTCAAATATTGGTAATTTGGAATGATTCAATCAACTCGAGAATTGTTTTAACGTGTCAAATGGTAGCTTCAGAGGGAGCTAGCTTTCACCCCAGATAGGCAGCGTTTCTCTCGTCTGCTGTCGGGCTTATGTAATGTCAGAGAAAATGGTCTCATTTTCTTAGTACTGAAGCAGTAACACAGGTAATACTACATAAAGGTAATATTCAAGAGTAGTGTTGAAAAAGATTCAGCTGTCAAAGTTAATTTCAAATGTATATAAAGGCACTTATCGTAAAAAACTGTATTTTATGTGATAAAATATATAGGGTGGAAGCACAGTATAGTTACCATATTTTTAGCCATTTAGCTATGCTGGGTTTCTTCTCTTAATGTACACACACATACTTTGAGGCATATATGGTGCATACACACACACACACACACGTAATAAAGGACCATCGATATTAAATACATGAAGGTTTTATATAAGCAAGAGATAATAGATAAGTTGATTTCCCAATTTTAGTCCTTAGTACCCTTATTCATGATAATCTGTAATAGAAACACAAAAATCTACATTAATAGCATGTGATCTATTTTTAAATTAAAAAACCTCAGCTCCCTTTATTATATGCACAAATAGCCCAAGTTTTCATCAGTGATTGTAAATGGGACATTTTAATGGTAATTTCTGTTCTTACAAGACATCTCAGTGGACTATTTTAACTTAGAATAAATTACCTTATGACAACATCTTTTTTGTAATACCTAATAATGATACTTATTGGCCGATCAATTTGCTTAAGGAAAGATAAACAGCATTTTAAATAGAGGAATGATATTCATTACACTAAATAAAACCTTGAGTTAAATCATGGATTGTGGTAACAGGTTGAATGTGTCTGAGCAAGCCTTGGTAGATGCGGGAACCAAGAAAAATGATGTAATTAGTTGTGATGTTTTTTTCTCAGGTAACACTGAAAAGCTTTCTTTTATGGGGGTGGAGGTGGCTATGCCGTGAGGGGAAGATTTCTGTCACAGTGGGTTTTTCCTCATTAATATATGCACCAGCAGCAGTGGTGGAAAGCAGTTTTAAATCAGAAAAAACGTTTAGTGGTCTATCAGTTTGTAAATGTATATGAATACAATATTTATGATTTAGGTTTTTTTCTTAATTGAGAAAAGAAGATGTAATTTTCTTCACTCTTGATCTTCTGTTCCTCTCAATTACGCCTATGACACCTTTTCTATATAAGTTTGTTGTTAGAAAGTTACATTTGAATCGAAATGCTCTGTCGATATGTGCGTGGGTTGTAACTGTGAAATTACTGGAGGAGCAATTTGACAAGCAGACAAAATCGTTACAGATTTTTCAAGAGTTTAGGTGGAGAGACTTAATGATCTGTCTAAAGAAAAGCAGCATTTTGTGTTAGTTCTTATCCTGTTTTTCTTAAACTGCATAGGATTTTCTTAAACAATAATTCAAATAGCACAGAGTTTTCTTCCATTTGCAAGAAGTAAGTGGCTTTTCAGTCTTTTCTTAAAATTTAGACCTTGTCTTTCCTGTTACATGTCACCAAGACTTAAAATTCACATCAGTGTTTACTCATATGACCTTGCAAATTCAACTAGAAGGTAAAATTCAGTGGATTCATTAATTAATTGCAATTTGCTATGTTCGAAAATATATATACTTGGTGTTTAAGCATTTAAAAAGATCATCCGTCTTAAGAAATATATTTTTCTTCATAGTGAGAGCCCACTCCCCTCTCAAGCTTTAAAAGACAATTGAGAATAGTCCTAACTTTTATCCTAATTTAAGCATATGTGTTCAGTCAGAGAGAGAGGATAATTTAACAGTATGGGTGACTTCACCCACCAGCCATTGTGTTCAATGAGCCCATGCCTGATGTGAAACTGAAATGGGGATCATTAATCTGTTGCTCCAGCAATTTCTGACACCCTCCCCAAAAGTGAGTATCTCATTATGCTGAGGGGAATCTAGTATTTTAAGAAACATATTTTTTGGTAAAACATGGCCTCTAAATGAAAGCCACTTACTTCATCTTGTGTGCAGCCAAAACAATGATATTCTAGTATAGAAAAAAAAAAAGGAAAAAAAGAAAAGAGTGTTTTGAATTTGGTCTTTACTATGGCCATAATAAACCTAGCATCATCTGTCACCAAAATCAAGAGCCATTGTCACAAAATCATGGCAACAAGGACCCCAGTTACTACAGAGGGGTTGAGCAAAGTGAATAAAGATATTTTGATGAAGATTTAACAGGTAGGCGTTTATGACTTGTAGCCATGCAACTGTTTCTAGAACATTTTGCCAAATCTTACGAGAAAATACGTAAATGATTTTTGGGTTTCTAATTAGGAGTGAATTGGTGAATACACATTCGGGTGGCCAGACAAGTGGGTGACCATCTCTTCATGGACAGCCCTAATGAAGGCCTTGCTGAATTAGGAGGGCTTTACAGAGGAAGGCTGATGAATCAATAAGTAAAGGGAGCAACAAAACTGTATAGAGATAAAAAGAAAACAGCAAGGGACAGAAAGAGCCAGCAGGTTGGAGTCTTCATAAATTGGCTGAACTGTTCCAAACAGCCAAAACCCTGATGGCTTTAATTTCTGAACATGAACATTTTATGAAACAGGTCTCAAAATTACATGGAGTATACCAGAAAGTTTTGATCAGCACAAAAGATAACAGCCACAGTGTCACTCACCTTATTTTTCTAGTGTAATAAACCAGCAGCTTATGTGAGTCTGTGCTGTCCATATCAACCACTGACTTTTCCAACACCAAAGCCCCGCCTGCCATCGCCTCAGTGGAATCAATTCTTGGTGACTCTCAGGGACTGGGTCACTAGCAGATGTAGATGATCAAGCTGAATGTGATCAAATGACCAGTTCCATCATTTCAAACAGCAATATACAGCCAAAGTTCAATGGTCATTGTTCATCCTTAGCTCAATAGCACTAACCTATTTGTCATTTCAGCGTATCTTTAATTTATTAAAACCAACAAGAATACATAAATGAAAGGAGAGGGTACAGGTTTATTTTCTTTGTTTTTCATATCAATGTTAATGTTGATCTATCTCATTATTTAAAATACTGTACAATTATTGTTGACAAGAGACCCCTTCATCATATACTTTATACATTTATACACACATATTACTATAAAGGAATCTATGCACACAAGGATATACTGTATATTGTACTTAATATAAAGTATATTTAATATACAGTACAGCTTATAGGCTGACTAAAAGTCTCTTCAGACATTTTTTGTGTGTGTAAGATTATTTTTATCTTGAAAGATGACTCTAGAACCTCACCTTTCCTTAAGCAGACATCATCCCTGAAGAAGAGACACCACTATAATCAACGAAAAAAAGAGGCAGCTTTGGCTGTAGGAGACTAGGAAATATTGGCCAACCTATACTGCCTGGTGATTTCAGTTCCAGACACTGGCCTAAGGACTTTACCTAAATGAACTCATTGGCTCTTCACAATAACCTTAAGTGGTACTAATGTTGAGGAAAATAAATACCAAATAGATTAATTGACTAGACCAAAGTCACATCGTAGTAAATAGTAGAGCTGGGCTCAATGCAATCAGAATGAGTCCAGGTTCTGAACTTTCAACCCCACTCTCTACACTAGATGGCCATAGCTGCCTGCCTGGCAGCCACACTCCTTCGAAGGACTGCCTCCCCCACATGCTTCCATTGCAGTCATCAGCTATGATCTGCAATTTATGGTTGTGTTCCTTACCACCAACTCTGGCTTCTTTTCTTTGCCAGATATGAAAACTTTTTCAAGGGCAGCCAATCTGTAAGTGCACTAGCAATCTACGACTTGTAAGTCGTGAATTGAATCCAAAAAGATGAATTGGTTCAATTGGCCTTCTTTCTTGAGAACGGGGAAAAGATGACTCTCAGTATGCTCTGAGGATCTCTTTATCCCACGGCAAATTTTAATAATAACTATGCTGCCCCATCTTTCAGCTACTCTGGGTGAATCTCTATTCTTTGCAATCGAAAGACCTCTAAGTAAAACAAATCTTCAGATCCTTTTAGGAGTCTTACATAAAGAGGCTTACTGCTAAGAAATTTTCCCTGAGTTTAACCTGGTGAGTCGAAGCTGAATCAACTGTATATTTAATGTATTAAATTTCAACTTTGACACCAGTCTTTCTTTAGTGTATTCTTGATGATTTTGATTTTTTTCCCTCACTGATCTTTGATTTTTTACAATTTAAATAAATTCGTCCCTAAATCATTGCCTACCAGTAAGTATTGGTAGTATAATATTTGGAGAACTATTGCAAAGAAATTAAAGAGACAGAATGTGTCTGGTTTATTAATAGATTTATAATCCTTAATATGTCATTGAAGTCTGTAGACTAGTGGCTAAGAAAATAACAAAAACAACATCAAAAATCTTTAAGCAGTCATTTAAGTGTAAGAATTAATAATTTGCTTCTTAGCTGTTGGCTACTCACAGACCTATGAAAAGGGAACTGATTTTATCCATCTAGTGGACAGACTTCGTCTCAGCAAATGCTGTCACAAATCATCTCTTCAGCTGCCATTTCTGCATTTGGATAACAAGGCTAAAAGAAACATAGAGAATCAGATTTTATAAAGCATATAGGAAAAATCTCTCCTAAGATTTCACAGCTGTGCTTTTACTAGCATTGTGCTTAACCTGAAGTGTCCTCCTGGGCGTAAGAAATTACTTTTACCGCTTGGTATTTTCAAATGTAGTTCTACAACATCTGTCAGTAGGGAAAATTAGTTATATTTTTAATAAAGTTCAATAGATATTCGTAGAACTTCTGCATTGTTGTGGTTATTATGTCTGCTGTGGTTTAGATATAACATTTTAGAATTTTGTCATTTTATATTTTCCTTGGATCAGTTGCTAATTATGGTTTCTTTTAGTGTCTGTGGTACTGTTTATCTCAGAGATCCAAAATATCAATAACACATTTCTAACATCTTGTTCAGATGAAGGATATGAATAGATTTTTCACAATGTCATTAAAATGAGTGAATTCACCTTTTCAAATGAAAGTGCTTGATATAGTTACTTCATTAATTCCTTGAATTAAAGTTTAAATATTTAAAGAGACTAAATGAGAAGTACAGCGTGATAGATAGATAGATATTGATAGTGTCCTTGGAGTGATGGCTTCTAAGACATGATTTTTAGAAATTAATTATTCCTTAATTCATCAGAAGACAATGGCTCATGAGAGATTCATAGGATACAGGAGATAACTTCTAGTTTGTCCATTGCGAACTCCATTTTCCCCCAAGCAAAAACCCCTCCCCACCATTCAAAATGTTTGACAGTTTTCTTTTTCATACATCGAAGGCAGACTGCCTGGCTTACTTTCAAAAATCCTTTTGGATAGCATCCATACTAACAGGTGGCACAGCTGTGGATTAGCTGACATTATAAAAATAATTCATGTTTTTCCATGTGCTTTCAAGTTGTGACCATTGTCTTGGATATTCTTAATCCAACAGTAACTTACTTCTTTGTACTGTGAACAACATAAAGAAAGAAAAACAGAAGATAACTGATTTTTTTTTCAAATTGTGAGTGGGAAATATAACTTTGGTCAAAGATGAGACTCAGTTCCTTATTGGAGTCTGTTTATAGAGTTTACTAGGGAATTAAGTTATAATATGAGGAAATCTGAGGTCAGAGAAAAAAGGAAGAATGACTGTCGGCTTTTAAATGATGTGTATTAAGAGATGTCAACATGTTAGAACATTAACTGCTGTATATATCCAGATTGATTTCCCAAAGAAAGAAAGACACTTTCTTACATTGTTTCAATTGTTTAATGTTTTTGGACTTAAATTTTTATCATATGAGAAATGATGAGTTTTACTTTACTTACCTCCATCAAAGAGAGGAATTGGATGAAATCTATCCCTGAGAATGATGCTAGAAACATAAAAGAGATTGTTCATATTGTCTCCTAAAAGGGGATGGTCATGCTTTTTCTTGGTTATCAAGTAAAAGTGAGGCAATTAAAGTATTTTGCTAATTAGCATTCTTCATTGATTTATAATAGAACTTTCAATGTCTGGGAAACTATTTTCTACATTTTTATGGTTGCAATTAATATTCCCCATTAGAAAGGTTATTTGAATGGTGAATTACCTATTCTTTCTTAACAAAAATAAAATATGGGAGAAAAACTTTACACCTGTATTTATTCCGATTGTTGTTTTATGCAACAAAGTTTAGTTAATAATTCAAATAAAGAACTAGTACACGGCCAAATTACCTTCCCCCCAAAACTTGACAGCTTTTTTTTTTGAAAAAAAAATTTTTTGAGATTCTTCTACACATTTCCTGTGTTGGTGGATATCCACTTTCATTTTGTTTTTGTTTTGTTTTGTTTTTGTTTTTTTGAGATGGAGTCTCGCTCATCGCCCAGGCTGGAGTGCAGTGGGCTATCTTGGCTCACTGCAAGCTCGACCTCCCAGGTTCACGCCATTCTCCTGCCTCAGCCTCCCGAATAGCTGGGACTACAGGCGCCCGCCACCACACCCAGCTAATTTTTTGTGTTTTTAGTAGAGACAGCATTTCACTGTGTTAGCCAGGATGGTCTCGATCTCCTGACCTCGTGATCCGCCCGCCTCTGCCTCCCAAAGTGCTGGGATTACAGGCGTGAGCCACCGAGCCCGGCCCACTTTCATTTTTAACAGCCTATACCATATCAGTTTTTCTGTTCAGTTTCGTTATTGAACATCAGAAACATAATTAAGTACTTTTACTAGCATGATTTATTTGTCAAGGAAAATATTAATAATAATAGCTAATATTTAATAATCCAGGCACTGTTCTAAGCATTTCATATGCAGTGTCTAATGTCAATATATCTTAACACTAGTTAATAAATATTGATTACAGCTTTTTAATAAATATCAAATGTTCTTTGACTTTACGGTCACACTATTTAGTCAAGGGCCATTGGGTTCAAACTCTACAGGAAACTAAGAGAAAACCTCACACAAACATCCAGAGAAAAAAAGAATTGTCATGTAACAAAATGAGGTAGTCTTCCATTTCAGTTCCAAGAAAGATTATGAGGTGGGCAGAAGGGAGAATGAGCCAAATGATTTCTCCATTTTTCTAGTTAAAAATTTATTTTTCCCACAATAAGGGCATTTAAATTCAAATTTTTGGAACCACAGACTGTACATTTGAGTGGCAGTAAGGAATTATATTTATTTTTCTTCAAACACCTTTCAATATTTCAATATTCAATAATAGAATTCATTATTAAAATAAGGATTGAGCAATGTTTGAACAATGGAACTCTTAGATATGACACTGAATGTGGTTTGTCAATTTAAAACCAACCATAGGCTTTGAGAATCTCTGTTTTAAATAGTACCAATGTATTACCAAAGCCAGATTCATTTAGTGGTTTATTGTCTCAGAGACGTTATTTTAGTTTTTCATCAAGTTAAAAAAAAAAACCATTTTACAGTGAAAAGAATGCTTTGAATATTAGTCAGAATAATTGAACTTAAAGCATTTTAAATCTCTGCTCAACCTTTCACAGTAGAAAGTTGTAATTGAGTCATAAGATCTAGAATTCAGAAACCACCCACTCAGATTGTCTCCATGAATTTTAAATATGTATAAGGGCCAGGAGTTTTTCAATTGACCATCATAATGAGTGGCCAATTGACTTTTGGTTTCCCAATCAGATGACCTGTGTTAAAGCCCTGGCTCCTTTTCTCCACCTTCATTTTCTCTGTAACTTAATCTGTGTTATTCAACCATATTTTTTTCAAAATCTCCATTTTGAGAATTAATTTTCTCTACCATTATCTTTGGGTTT
Source organism: Homo sapiens (assembly GCF_000001405.40). Classification (NCBI taxonomy): domain Eukaryota; kingdom Metazoa; phylum Chordata; class Mammalia; order Primates; family Hominidae; genus Homo; species Homo sapiens. The sequence continues at coordinate 175,803,600 of NC_000004.12, read as the reverse complement.
AGGTCTGTTTAATGTGAGTTAGATGTAATAAAGACTAGGTAAAAGCGCCTATTACAATTCCTGGAACATACTAGGAGTTGAGTAAATGCAGATTCCTTCTCCATGTTTCCTTTCCTCTCATCTTAACACACTGTGCCCATTTAAAAAGGTGACCAAGCAATTTTCCTTGAGTCAGAGAGTCAGAATTAAAGGACTAATAACTTTTTCGAATTGTTGTAACAGTTATTTCTTAAATGTTTGTCACTTACTATATGGCATATCTTACTGTTTTTTCTTATGTATGTGTTATGCTGTAGCTCCATTCTCAAAGTACAAATTCCTGAAGGGTAAAGTTTTTATCGTTTGTTCATGAACCCAACCTGCAAAGTGCTCTGAATACAAACCCATTCATAGCTGATGATGATGATGATGATGATGATGATGATGATGATGATGAAACGAGAACAGGAGGAGAAAGAGAAGGAAGAGGGGAGGGGAAGAAAAAGAAGAGGATAAAGAGGAAGAAGAAGAGGTCAATTGTGCAGACTAAAGAAAGAATAAAACACAATTTTTCCCCTAAATAGAGACAGATCTAACAGAGCAGCTAAACCTGGCTTGGGAGAATGCAGCAAGGACTCCATTTTATGTCATTAGATTTGAATTAAAAATAATTCTTTTATTCTTTGACCTGAAATATATTCAGTAGTTTGGTAGCAGCTTTCTTGAAAATGAATAGATTTTCTTTTTTTATTATTAAAGAGCCCACACATATTTTTAGCATTGTGATTCTGGCAATGAAGTCAAATACATTAAACTGTCAGATTCAGCAAATGGTTACTGAAACTTGGAAAATTATGTCATAATATTTTATAATACGCTGTTAAAATTTAACAAAGTAGTTTACAAATTTGCTGACACTAGGCTTACTGTGTTCATTCATAAGTATTGATCAAAGAAAACAAAATTACATAAGAAATAACAGTTTGAAATCATTGAGGACAGTTTAATAAGATAAGACCTTTTCTAGGATATGTTTAGTAATGTTCAAGGTAATGAATTTAAAAAATAGCATGCAATGAGTAATCAATTTTCTTTTGCCTTCTTTTACGCTTTATTTTAGTTTTTGTATTTTAATTGGTATATAGTCTCACACAATTGGCTTATATTTTAGATGGGATCAAGACAGTATCTGAAAACAGGGCATTTGAGCTCTGGTCAATGGTATCGGAAGAGTATTTCCATCTAACCTTTCAATGCTCATCATATTCTCTCTACAATTTTGGTGTACTAAGTTTTTTGATGTATTAATCACTAATTTGTGTTTTGAGATGAACTTGTGATACCATTATTTGGTGGAATTGAGAATGAATTCTTGTTAAACAACTGAAATAACTTCATGTTTTATAGGCCAGTTGTATAGCCAGGCTGAAAAGTATAATCTTGAAGAAAGATAAGCTTATTTATTTATGTGTTACTTTTACATAGTAACTTTTTTTTGCAACACTGCACGAAAATTTAATTCACAAAGAGACAGCAAGCATGTATTTCCATGATTGATCTCTACAACACTGTTTAGCAACTTTGAACCCCCTCCAAATGATTGGGATCTGCTCATTATACTTATACGGAGTGTAGTATGCTTACCAAAGGTCTAAAAGGAGCTACTGATTTATGATACATGTGGTTCTTTCATATCATCTGTGTATCAAGAGCGACCACTATTTTACATAAATATCAAAAATATTTTTGCCCATTGTTTCTGCTAAATTGGAAGGAAACTTTGTGTCATACTTACAGTTATATAATCATTGCAATATTTGGCCTTAACTCTGCTACTCTATCTTCTTTTAAATTCTGCAGTAATGCAAAAGCAACACCACTGTAACCTAATGATGATGAGGTCTTTTCAGGCAACTGTATTACCCATGCCTGTGTCCCCCCAGGCATTCCATAGTCTTTAAAGTATTAAAAAACATAGTGTATTTATTTATCTGACACGCTCAATTTTTAAAAAATGTATCATATCCACTGGTCATTTCATTCCATCTCTAACAAATTCCTGGAAAATTCTCTCCTATTAACTGACAAATGTATTTTGCTTCAGCCTTTAGGTATTAATAGATTTATTTCTTAAAGTCTACTGAGTGGTCTATTACTTATTTGTCTATATTATAGATATATTAGTTTGAACCACGTCAAATTACCAATATTAAACACTTTTTATCTACAAAATGGCTATTCAATATACCTATATTATTACCTATTAATTAATACCTATAATATTAACATACCTATAATATTAATGTGCTACATTTATAAAAGTTTTTAACGTGATCCTGATTTCAATGTACAAAATAGAAATATATGATGTGAAATAATTAGGATCTGCATATTATACTTATGTGGAGTGTAGTAAACTTACCCAGCATTCTCCAAAATCCTTGTGAGGTCATTAATTCACTGCTTAATTTTCCCTGTTAGCAAAAAATGGCAAACTATTTGAAGACTTTATTGTTTGACACATTTAAATTTCATGAAAAAGCTAACATTGATCTCATTTCTTAGGTTTCTTGAGTTCAATACTTGGGAGGCTTGTTAAACATAGTGCTAAGATTAACAAGTGTTTAAGACTTACCCTGCTTGTCTTAATGTAGACAGAATGTCCTTTAATCTTGAAAGTGGAAAATTTGCTTTGTTTTTCCTTAGATAGAATAACACTCCAAAAATCATTTTCCATACATGTGGCATGACTCAATGGAGTCTCAGAGCCTGCAAGCTGGGAATGCCATTCTGTTATGAGGGGGTTCTCTTTTAGATCCTCTAGGATGAGTTTACAAGGCTGTTTTGTGGTCCTTAAGGGAAAAAGAGTTATATACCATTTCAGTATTGAATGTAACCCAGGCATTAACCTGACCATTATTACCTCTCTGGTAATTTTGAAGTTTTATTTTGCAAGAAACAGAAGCCTTCATTGAATGGGTTTTATGATCTGTGTTTTAGAAATATGATGAAGCCATGATTTAGGCCTCAGAGTGGACAATAATGCAGTATTATGTAGGTATATAATTTTAGCTATTATTTATTAAGTGTTGGTATGGGAAACAAGTGGGGATGGCTGGGAAAGAATTTGATGCGCCCGATCTTACTATAGGACAGATTAAGTTGTTTTAGACAAGATTTGGCCTAGAGGTTGGAGGGTCTTTTCTTTGGCTTGGATAATTTGCATTCAGTGAAATTAAAATGATATTGATATTATCTAAAATGGACTTATATACACAGGGTTAGCATACATTGATTAAGTAAAACAATCTATACCTCTACCTAGATTTGGGTATATGCTATATAATTTTGGGTTTTTTATATTTTGTATATTCTTTTAAGCTATTTATTTTTACTTTGCACATTCTTAAATAAGATTGCTCTTCAGTTTAGCCCTCAACCACAACATTAAGCCCTCAACCACAAATTATACAGTTATTGGAATTATTTATTGACTTCCTAACCACTTTGGAATCCATATACTTTTTAAAAATATTGTACTCTCAGGATCATTCTATTTGAAATTACAATTTTGAAACATCTTTATAATTCAGTATTAAAAATCCCATTTAAGGGTCCACAAGTTGAATGAAAAAAGAGATAAACTTCAAAAAATATCTGAATTGTATCCTTATCAATAGTGTTTTATATTAAGCCTCTTGCTCAAGGATATTCTGTTTGTTTTTGAAAACACTTGCGGCTAACAAGGTGAAACCCCGTCTCTACTAAAAATACAAAAAATTAGCCGGGCGCGGTGGCGGGCGCCTGTAGTCCCAGCTACTGGGGAGGCTGAGGCAGGAGAATGGCGTGAACCCGGGAGGCGGAGCTTGCAGTGAGCCGAGATTGCGCCACTGCAGTCCGCAGTCCGGCCTGGGCGACAGAGCGAGACTCCGTCTCAAAAAAAAAAAAAAGAAAACACTTGCTACTTTTAGGGTGACAAATGTAGTCATTTGGAGTTGTCTGTTATACCTCAGTCTTCTCCTTGACTCCAATATTTCCATTTTTACTTTTGTACATAAAAATAGCAATACTACTTCCGTGCCTCATATGCTTTCACTTTCTTGCACTAATATCAATCTCTATTCTTATAAGTTAAGTTAGCAAAACTGTTCTTCAATTGACTCTTAGATTCCTAGATACTTAGATTCAAGCAGTTCTTAGTGTGAGAGGGGAACATTAAAAACTATGAGCTCAGTGCCTCTCGTTTTGGAAGAGGTCATTGAATGCTACTGCCCCACAGTGAGTCAAAATGAGTGGTCCAGAGTCAAAAATTAAAGAACTGCATGTATTTTTTGGCCAAAAAGGAAATGATGTATATTATAGAAAGGGTTGATGCCTGTGATACTCTAGGAAAGGCAGCTGACTGGAGCTCCCTAAGACAGATGAGCAAAGGGAGATTGTGAGTGCTGCCTAAGACATCCTGGGGCAGGAAAACAAGATTGGAAGAGCTATTTAAAGCCACGTTGGGAAAGAACAATGTTGTTTCCCATTTTGCAAAATGAAAAAAGGAAAAAAGGAAAGGAGAGGGTAGACTCGTATATTTTAAGCACTACGTATCAAGCCACTGAAATCTTTGAACTCATTGCTCATAACTAGCCTCTGGCAAGGATTTCCAATTGCCTTCCTTTTGCTTTCATGTGCAATACAGCAGAGGACATGGCAGACAAAAACTGAATACCTCTTTTGGTGCAATATAAAAAATGCATTTTACATTTCCCTTGGTAAAATTGCTTTCCTGAAGTAATCCACCGTATTCTAAGGAGAAAATGGGACACTAAGAAATAAATATCTTTACATTTCAATTGTGGGTTACATTTGTTCTGAAAAAGAATCGACTCAGGATTAAGAGACTAACAGAAAAGACATATTTGAGAACAGTGGTAACATTCAAAACTTACCTATCTGTGATAGTCAGTAAAAGAGTTATGTTGCCTCTCCTTCCGCCACCAAGAAATATAATAATTAGAAAGTTAGTACAAAGTTTGTATGTGTATTTTTGATAATGTGATTCTGGTAAATATGCAAGACATGCAACATAAATTTACCACATTGCTCATTGTTAAATCTAAGTTAAGTGTCTCAAATTTTCCTCATTCCGTAACCTAGCTTTTCAGTTTTGCTCTTTAAATGAGGCAATTATGTAAAGGAAATATTTATTTGTCTTGAATAACTGAATTGTAAGTGTCATAAACAGAGTTTTCTTAGCCTTAAATAGGTGAATTGAGTGCTTTTAGGATAATCTGGGTACATGGTAATCTTAACGTCAAGTTTAAATAACTCAGCTTCATTAAAAGTTATTAAATGATGTAACAGCAACCTTTGTGAAAGGTGGGGTGATTATGGGTTAGATCGTTATAAATGAATAACTTAGAAGAGTGACTATTAACTTTACTTTGCAATGAATGTGTTATGTTTGTGATTTGAGGTTTATTTGTCTTTGTAAGTTACACAAGTATAGCGGTACCATATTCTGAGTAGCTCTTCAACATTAGTTTGCTTTAGCAAGCATCACCTATTTTTGATGATTACGGCACTTCATTTCCCCAACTCAAGTTTCTGATTCGGTGAGTATGGAGTGGGGCCCAGGAATCTGCATTTCTAGCACTTTCTCAGGTAATTCTATTTTTGTGGATCCTGGAACCACACTTAGAGTCTTGTAGATTATTGGTTAAAAACCCTGGTAGCTTTCCCAATTGTGATTCATAATTTATATATCAAGATAAAGATATTATGGATTTGAAATCCCAAAATTTGAGAGGAAATAATATTCAGAGATTGCAATCATTTAAAATGAGAACTTTAAGGGTGTTCTGGACAACACCGCTATAATTTTGCCTTTGAAAATAAAAAGAACTTCGAAGCCTACAATCATGTACATAAGCCCTTGACTACTTCAAAAAGTATTGTAAAATGATTGGGAGGATGTGGTGGGCAGATCACTTGAGGCTGGGAGTTAAATGATATATAGTCTTTAATCTGGATTATTCAATAGGCATAGAAGAAAATTGCAATCATGGGATGATGGGGGAAATTGATTGAGATGGCCTACGGTTATTGAAAATGCTAATGCATGTAACAATAAAACAGTTACCATGTATTCCATATACATGGGAGCTCAATTATTTGAGGGCGGGGATACAAACATTGATATCACATCACACATCATTGCTGGTATTAATACTATTGTCAATCTCAACAGCTACCTACCCAAACATCATTAATAAATAAATTTTATGAACAAGATTATGAAAGCCCCAATGAACACTAACTCTTAATATTAATGGTTAAAATGTTGGTTATCAATATTGTGATGGAATAAGATCATAGAGCATCTTTCATCCACAAATAAAATGAATAAAATGAAAGTAAAAAGTATAACTATCAGTATCCCAGCTATTACCATGTGCTGTTGAATTATGTATTTGGTTTCTGGCATTATTTGGTTCAATTTTACATGTGTTAGTTATCTAGGAGAACTAAAATGACTAGCAGCTTCTCATACATTGGTATGGAATATGATATTAAATTTGCCAGTATTTTTTTAGAGAAGAGAATCCTTAGTAATCTGAGAGAATTGAGTACTTACTAAAAACAACAAAGAATGGCATAGGATTAACACACAGAAAAAAAAACAATTCAGGACTTATCAGAAACGTCTGAAAATACTGTTTTGGGTCAGAACAATTTTAAAAGCATGTTTAGACAGGAAAGAAATTGTGAGGTTTAATTCCTGGGGGTAGCACTGAGAGAAAGGCAGTCTTCAAGCTCCTTCATTGGTGCATGCTGTTTGCTTCTTTGTTTTTGAACTAATGAATATATAATGAGTTCCCATAGGAATTAAACTTCACAACTTCTTCCAGAATTCCCAGATGTAAATATCACTCCTAAATTATAATCCAAATTTGGTAAAACAACATAAAAGTATTGTGAATGCAATCAAATAGGGTGAGTGGTTTGTATTTTAGCTTTTACATACTTATAATGAAAAACACTAAAGTACCAGAGGGAAGGTAGTGTAAATAAACAGAAGCATTCAAACATAAATGTATATTCTAACTCTGCTATATACTGGTTGTGTTTTTAGGCAGGTGACTTAACTTCTGATCAAGAGACTTAATTTTCTCATCCATCAAGTAGGAAGAAAAGTATCTATATGTTGGAATTGTTGAGATATTTAGAAATCATTGAATGCACTGATTGG